>NC_000001.11:216934587-217559587 GCF_000001405.40 Homo sapiens | reverse complement strand
TTTTCCATTTCCTTAAGCTAGCTTATATGTTTGTAATGCCATAAGATGAGGGTAATGATAGTCCTTTGTTAAGCATGGAGAGAAGAGGGCAAGGTGGGTGATAGTGAGAAATAGGACTGTAGCCAGCTCTCAATGGAGTAGTAGAAAAAGGAGTTTGATTTTTTATGTCACAGGTATGGAGGGGCCGTTGAAGGCTCTATATTGAAAAGATATCTAGAATCTGATCTTTCCTCGGTATCTTTTGAAGGATTTTTTTTTTTTGCAGGGGGTGATATGTTTATGCTTTAGAATGAGTCGTGATCCATGGCATAGTATAGTGTTTGAGAGGTATCTTTTGGCCTTAGCTGATCTGGTTTGAATTCTAGATCTAGTACGTAAAGCTCTACACATGCCATCTAACCTCTTCATGCCTCACTTTTCTGAGCTATAAAACAAATATGTTTTTATAGGATTTTATTGTAACATCCGAGAAGATTTGGTGCCATTTTTAATTAATTGTTTAATTATTTGTTTAAATTAATATTATTATACATATTCCTGAGGCAGTGGGGAATATTTAGAGCCGTGTGGTCAGTTGAGTGTGAGGAACTTGAAAAGTGATAATGGGGGCCTGAAGGGGGATATTTGCTGCAGGGAGAATTAGTGAGTATGGTAGACCCACTTGATTTGTTGCCTACCAAGTATAGTTGGAAGAAGCAAAAAGGAGTAGTAGTCAGGGATGACTTCTAGGCTTTTGCCTTAACTTTGATTCATTGTGGTCTTTTGTTATGTTTTATTATTATTATTTTATTTTTTAAAACCTTTTGTAGAACAGGTCTCACTCTGTTGCCCAGGCTGCTCTCAACTCCTGGCCTCAAGTGCTCCTCCCACCTTGGCCTCCCAAAGTGCTGGGATTACAGGTGCGAGCCACCACTCCAGGCCTTGTTTTGTTTTAATGATGACCACAACTTGTTTGAGTTTTGATGGGGTGGAATATAGGAAGTCTAAACAGGGAACGTACCAGAATTTAATTTAAACACCTCGATGCTAAAGAATAGGGATTGGCTGGCAGGATGGCTTGTGGACTTCTTAGATTGGTTCTTGACTTTTTCGTAATCAGTTGGATGCATGTAGTCTACATAAAGGCTTTGTGAGACACTTTATTACAACAAAAGATCATGAAATTTGTACCTTCCGTGTTTGATTCCATTGTTGTTTAATGTTAGATTAAGAGCCCTGTTAGTAAAAGATACATGAGTTCACATGTATTCAGTGTCAAAATATTTATTTAGTATACACTACATTTCAAGCATGGTGTTAAGTGTTTAAATATATTACCTCTGTTACACACAGAAACCCTTCAGGACAGTGGTTATCAACACTGTACAGATGAGGTGACATTAGCCTCAGAGAGGTGAATGATTTGTTCAAGATTATGCAGCCAGTCTTTTTAGAGCCCTGTTTCTAATTATTTTTTTGTGCATGTGATTTCAAAACATGTGGTTTTTCTACAATAATATGAAGCCATTATATAAATTTAGTATCATTTTAAATTCAAGATTGATGAAATTACATGAAAATGCTTTGAAAAAGTCAGGGGGTTAAAAAAATTAATGGTTTGAAAATCGTAAGATGTGGATCATGATTCAGAAGCGTTTTACAGATTAACTTGTGTCTTCAGCTTATTAACTTGTTAAATGGCAATAAAGTTTACTTCTGCTTATTTTACGGTATGATGGTCATGTACTGAAAAGTTTTAGGAATTCAAAATTTCATCTTATGAAAGATACATTAATGGGCAGTATAGTATCGGTGCAGGGATAGAAAAATAAACAAGTGGAACAGAACAAGGAGTCCAAAGCAAAAGCACTCAAATAGTGTCATCTGACATATGACAAAGGTAATATTATAGATCAGTGGGAAAAGGATAGACTTTTTAATCAAGGATGAAGAGATAATCAGTTATCCATGTAGGGTGAAATGAAGTTGGAATCTCTATCTGATAGCACATACAAAAATTGATTCCAAGTGGGTTTAATACAGAAATGTGCTACAACATTTTTGAACAAATATCGGAGAACAACTCTATGACCTCAAGGCAAAGAATTTTTAAGTAGAACAAAAAAGTTTATAGAGGAAAAGACTGTTAAATTAAACCACATTAAAATGAACGGAATTTTTTTTTTTTTTTTTTTTTTTGAGATGGGGTTTCACTCTTGTTGCCCAGGCTGGAGTACAGTGGTGTGTGATCTCACCTTACTGCAACCTCCACCTCCTGGGTTTAAGCAGTATTCCTGCCCAAGCTACCTGAATAGCTGGGATTGCAGGCACCCGCCACCACGCCCAGCCAATTTTTGTATTTTTAGTAGAGACGGGGTTTCACCACGTTAGCCAGGCTGGTCTGAAACTCCTGACCTCAGGTGATCCACCCGCCTTGGCCTCCCAAAGTGCTGGGATTACAGGCGTGAACCACCGCACCCGGCCAACTTGACATTTTTAAAAGATGTAAAGAGAGAGAAACAGCACACACATACCGAGCCACAGACTGGGAGTGGCTTTTTCAAATGAAAAATAAACACTTAGCAGAAAGATGAGCGAAAGTAAAGAACGAATATTTCACAAAAGAAGAAACACAACTGATCTATAAACATGATATGTGTTCAACTTAATTAGAAAGTAGGAAACTGTAATTAAAGTCACAGTGAGATAGCATTTCACCAGATTGGCAAAAATTAAAAACAGACAGTACAAATGATTATCAAGGTAAGGATCATTGGCTTCCCCGAAACATTGTATCTGGGAATACACACTGATTTATCTATTTTGGAAAAAGGCACCAGCCAGTAAAGAATGCATATCTCACGAATTTGTGATGGCCCACAATGTATATTTCCCAGGGAAACTTCTGCACTTTTGTGCTAGGAGGCATGTAAAAAATATCCATAGTAGCAATCTTTGTAATAGTATAAAACTGGATGAAAAAATCATAAATGTCTCTTGGCAGGAAAATGGATAAATTGTGGTATATTCATTCAGTGGAATACTATATTAATAGTAAAAATGATCTACAGCTAGATGCACCAATGTTAATAAATCTCAAAGTACAATATTGGAAGAAATGAGCAAGTGCAGAATAATGCATACAGTTTGTTTCTATTTATAAAAAGTTTAAAGATTGGCAAAATGGAACAATGTTATTTAGGGATACATACACCAGTGGTAACAACTAATGAATAGAAAGAGAATGATTAAATCAGAATTCACAGTAGTGGTTGCCCCCCGAAGAGAAGGGGGAAGATATAAATGTGGCATGGTGAATGGGGACACTTGGAGTATGTTAACATTCTAGTTCCTGGGTTGGGTTACTGCTCCTTAAACTATTCGTGTGGTTTTTGTACAGACTTAACTGTACAAGCTATATTTCAGAGTTTAAAAAGGATCAAAGCAATAGATGTTAGGATTTTCTTATGTATTTTTTATTCTATCCCATTAATGGTTTAGATTCATGTTTTAAAGAAAAAGAAAATTTCTTTCTTGGATAAATTATAAAGATGTAATTCCATTCATTACATATCTCAAACCTCTTTTCAGTATTAAGAAAGAGAGAGCAGTTCAAATGATTTATAAGTTGACTATTTTGTTCTGCCTGTTGTATAGTACAAAGTAAAGAATTTGGAGTATGACCTGTATGTCTCAGCCTTAGTCTCTCCCTCCGTAAAATTTGTGTAGTATTAATCCGTACCTCATAAGATTGTATGATATAGGTACATGAAAGAAGTTCATAAACTTTAAGGTGAAGTGCAGATGTTCATAAACTTTAAGGAGAAGTGTAGTGTAGGTGTTAGAAATGTATGCTACTTTCTTATGGAGCTGATCAGCAGAGGAGGAAAAGTTGGAAAGGCTTCCAGTGTCTAATTCTCTGCAGCTTTCCACCAAGTGATAACCTGGAATACTTGGTTGAGATGTTGCTTTATGTTAGTTATGTCATTGTCATGTTTTTTGAGAAACAATTTGATTAATAAGTATCATGGACATTTTTCTTTCTTTACCTTACAGTGCTCCCGAGAGTAAGTAAAAGTGAGATTCAAAATGAGGCCAAACCTATAATAGTAAAATTACATCAGAACTTCTAAACCTTCATACCCTAACGTACAAGCAGGAGCAAATTGTCCTGCTCAAGCTGACATTTTAGCCAATGTGGCAGAAAGCTACAATAGTGTGTATATGAAACCACTTGTAAAAGAATTTGCAGACAGAAACTTCCCACTTAGAATTTTGATTCCTCTATAACCTTATAAAATGAAATTATTGAACATCATTAGACTCTGAGGAATAAAATAAGATATAGACAGTCTTTCTAAATAGTTGGGGTTTTGTATTAAATTATGATGCTAGCTTACCTTTTGCTGCATTACTTTTCACGTTGGTTTTTAAAAAGAGGACCTGGAACAAAAAATACCTATCTCAGTAAATCTTGGTTTTAGAAATCCATTAACAGTGAGAATGTGGCAACAAAGTAATGGCATAATTCCAAGAAGGGAAAGATTCAGGTGTCATAAATTTTCAAGCCATCTGTACACTGAGCAAACTGATGAGTGATTCATGTATTTTAGAAGAATGGAAATCTTTAAAGTTCCTACTCTTTGTAGCACTGTCTGTAAAAGCTTGAGTGCTCAATAGTACAGGCAAAAGCTCTCAAAAAATTTTCCAACTATTTTGCAGGGAAAAGTTTGTACCTTTATAAAAATAAAATGGATAAATATGGGAGAAAAGACAATTTGAAAATAAAGAATGGGGTTTTTTATTATTCACTTTTTTCCCTAAGTCAAACTCATCTAACACTCCAGTGTAGTAACATATAAGAAGTATCAAAGTACTTGTTTTTTAAAATATTACTATAATTTGTATAGGATTTACATTCCACCTACTTCCAAAACAGATTTACAGTTAGACTAGTTTGACTTCTGGAAGATTAGATTATGTCAGATTAAATAAAAGAATGTGCCTTATCAATGGGTATATATATTCCTGAATCAACACATAGTAACTACAGCATTTGTGATAATAACAATAATGTTCAAATTGTGGCAGTTTTAATAGTTTCATTATTTCTTTCCTGTGACTGTCACCTCTTAGTGTTTGTCGTACTATAGATACAAGTTAATCAATTGCCAGGCAATGTAGTGTTATTAATGTGATCTCAAGAGATGCTCAAGTACAGATAGGGCCTATTTCATACTACATGCTGCTGTGACTTTCAGAGCTCAGTGAGGATGAGGTTGCCCTAGCTAGTGACCTCATAATTTCCAGAAGCAGGTGGAGGTGGCAATTATAGCTTTGGCCACTATCTTGAACTTTCTGTAGTAGGTGATGAATTGCAAATGGCTAGACCCTGTGCACAACAATAAACTCAAATAAATCTTCAATGTGTAATAATGACAAGAGCGAAAGACTGGCAGCTATAACAAGGCTTCTGTTGTCACCCACTTTACTGTAGCCTTGGTATTCATCATTATCAGCTGGAGCTAGCTCAAGAGCTGGACAAGAAGGTCCGAAGAAGGATGAGTTGTTTGCGCTGAAGCGTCCAGTTGGTCCCATCTGGACGAAAGTAAATGGGATTTTTTTTGCTTGTTCACTAGGCCAGAGCTGTCCATCATTTTAGGCAGGTATCTGATCACTTCATGCTGTGGGACCATATGGCTTTACACTGTTTGGTTCTCTCTTGGTTGTTCAATGTAACATTTCTACCCTGTTTGGAAGCTTTTGGTTACTTTTCAGTTATGTAAAAATGCCATTGTATTTCACAAAACTGAGCTAATGATATTTTCCATTGTTGACAAATGATTTCTCAAATGAGAAAATAATTTTAATGCAACTTGACTCACAATCGAAACCTTGAATCATGTGAGGCTTTTGTGTTGAATAAGAATGCATTTATTGTTCCTTTATACAACTTACCACTTTTAATTTTCAAAACAATAATGTAGACTATACAAAAAATTGTGTTGGAACTTTAATTTTTTCTTAAAATATTACTTAATGTTCCCTAAATACTTTGCTATTGTTAATATATCTAGTATACATATTCTTACAATTACAATAATGATATACCTGTGACAGTTCTGTCAAAATTGAACATTGTTTGACTTAAAGCCATATTCACATGATCCTTCAACATTTTAGTCCTGTGATGAAATTAATCAATAAAATGTGATGATTGGATTTATTGTTCTCCCTTAGATGTATACCAAATTTTTTAAAGTGCAGAATAGAGTCTGTTGAGTATTCATTTATGAAGCCCCTATAATTACGTATTTTGTGATTATGAGGTTCTTAAAATGAAATATTGCAAATTTAGCTACTGATAGGTAGCTGATTTTCCTGGTGATTAACCACAGACATCTTGAATAGAGATTATAAACTAAGCAACCCCTTAGTTTTTTTATTACTTTTTTTCTGTTGATTTTCTGTCTTTTAAGGGAAATGATCGTATAACTATTTTTTAACATTCTAGATTTGGTGTTTCCCCTTAAGAAAAATGAACTTGTTAATAATAATGAAACTCTGAGTACTTTTGCTTTTGATTAATGATTTTCCCATTATTATCACTTAAATATGTAATTTAGATAAACCAATAATTATATAATTCAAATTCACACTCCTGAGATGATTAAAAGGTAAGACTTCTGAGGTTTTCATCTCTCCAAAATGCAGGTTCACTTCCAGGGTTCAGGCCAACTGACATGCCATCATTCATTTTGTCTTTCCTTCATAATGAATCTTTAAGCCTTGAGGCACTAGACTCATGCAGATTTTTTTGCATTTCAGTGTCTTGATGGAATAACAACTTCCAATTTCAAAACCAAAGCATATTGTATTTCATCTCTGTAGACCTAGCTTCACCCAGTAGTGGCCACATGAAAATATATGACAAGAACACTGTTTTTTCATATTGGAATTTAGGCAATTTGTTTTCAGAGTGTGAGCAGTTTCAACCTATTTTTGGAACCCCTTTGGGGCCTGACCATTCGTTCCAACATAATTTATGGTGGCACAGTAACATATGGACTTTTCATCACTGTCCAGCTGAAATTCTCTGTTGAACATAGACTCTTCTCCCTTTGCCCTCCTGTGGCTACTTTTACTACTACCTTTACTGCTTCTGGAACAGGTAAACCAGTATTGAATTTGTATTAGGCCACATACCCCTTTAACTAGGTAACTTATTAAATTAAATTATATGAGTACATTCTGAATAGTATATGTGTGTATGTGGATATGCCATATGAGTATGTTTAAGTTCTGATGAATATGAATATATTTGAAGTGCCTTCTTATATGTAAAGGCTGAACTTTAGTTGAGGTTGCTTCAGTAACTGTTAAGAGAGGTTTTACAAGGTTTTTATTCATATACATCAGAGAGGTTTTATTCATATACATAGGAGAAGTTTACAAGGTTTTATTCATATACATCAGGTTGGTTTGTTGGTAAGGCAGTCAGTATTTTTTCCCCGTATTTCACAACTAGATATACTACTTGAAGTTATGTTAGTAACTGATAGGTAATTGCAAATTTACCCATCTAAAAATAGGTTGATTAAGAATTTAAAAAATTATCTTATTTTCTTAATAAAGTTCTTAGCCTGTAATGTTAAAGAATATTTTCTGTGGCATCCAAGGCTATGATAACTGAAAACTAAATAATTTAAATGAAAATGGGTGATGTTACATGATATGTAGTTATTTTGTCATCGGCAATCATGCCATTTGACCTTCCTTATACAAGTTCCATAACCCCTCTAAACTCTGGTTTCCTCCCTTGAAAACTGGGTTAACGATAAGTACTTCTGTTGCAGCATTTTATTGTGTTAATGGATATAAATTGCTTAACATGATTTCTGCCTAACATGGCACAAAGTTTTAAAAAAATATTCAGATACAACAAACACAACAGTGAGTGAGATCTGTGTTCGTATTTCTCAGTTCATGGTTGAAATTGCTAATGTGGCTGGCAAAGGAGACTTTTTTGGCACTGTTTTCAAGGTTAAAATATTATTAGAGAAGACTAGCAGTCTTGGTTCTTTGAATATTAACCTAGAGCGGTGGGTGGTATTCAACTGTACTATGTGTAAGAATCAGCTGGAAGGCTTGTTAAATTAGGAGTTGCTGAGTCCACTTCCAGTTTCTGATTCTGTAGGTCTTTGTTAGGGTTTGAGAATTTGCATTTCTAGCAAGTTCCCAATTGATACTGATGCCTTTTAGGAACACTGATCTCCAGAGACCCTTTCTTAAATGACAATGAGAATGAATTGAACGAATTGATGATACCTTGCCTGTGTGTTTAGTAACATTTGCATCAAATAGAATGCCGGTGCAGGCCTACAAAGAGCAAAGACTTTGTTTACTGACCATACATCTTTTTCTGTTTCTGACATAACCAGATTTGCACTCCTGACTGGTCTAGGTTTCTCTCTGTTTTTTTTTTTCATGATTTCTGAAGAATTCTTGTTATATTTTCTTAAGAATTTAAAGCTTCTTGAATGATTTTGATTAAAATATTATTTCAAATTATGAATTTTTAACAGATTTATAGTGCATAAGCATATGAAAAATCATCTGTCCATGTAAGCAAAAATTCTTCATAAAGTCTCTGATTATATGCTATGTAATTAGACTTACTAATCATGTAATTACTTATCTTAATTATTGCATGCCTTACTTGCTTCCCTACATGTATTTAAATAATTATATTATAATAGTATATAATTACAAAAATGTAGTATAATATCACAGATATTTTATTGCTTATAGAGAAAATATTTGTTCATTAAAATTATGTAAAGCAGACTAATGGAAGTTAAAAATGATTTTAAAATCATGTGTTTAAAATTGTGATAAGTACAGAGTAAGCTATTTCATTTTTGGAAACAAATTTTACTTTATGGGTTTCTGTTATTGAAGCAAGTTATTAAACATTTTTTATTTTGTCAATAGATATTAGCTATGTCTTTTTTTTAAACCAACTAGGTAACAAGAAAATTTGACTTTCACTTATAGACGAGTGTCATTCACTAAAAATAATTTTAATTAATGATGATAGCATAATTTCCGTTTGTATTTAACACTATTCCTAGATTTTTTTTCATATGTTTATTGTTGGTATCCCTTCATGAGAATCAACTTTGAGGGTAATGAATGTCTATTTTGTTTACCTTAAGGTCCTTAAGTTCAAATCAGTACTCAGCACTGAGCAGGTAGGTTTCTGTAAGCATTTGGCGAATAAATGAATAATAATGATCTTTTATTGGGCACTTACTATGTGGTAGGTCTTTGGTTAAGAATGTACATACTTTATCCTCATCATGCCCTATAAAAATTAGATATTATTAATCATAGAGGAACCTGAGCTTACAGAAACCTACCATGTGTCACAGCTAACAAGTGGTGAACCCTTGTCTTTCTGCTATAGAACCCAGAGTCTCATCACTAAATCATGCTGCCTCAAAGTCTTATATTCTGTGGGATAAAATAGAAAAATATATAGTATTTAGGAAGTGTAGATATTGGTATTTAGGAAAATAGGAAACTAAAAATGGTGAATAGACAGTTATTCCTTACAGAGTTCTCCCGTTAAAGAACTAATGAGAAGGAAATGAAGTATGATTTTGTTTGTATATAATTTAAAGCAATTGTCATCCAAGTATGGTGTTTGCACCCAACTAAGAGCAAATCTAAATGTGAACCTAAATTCACTGAAAATTTTTAGTCTTAGGCTTTTCTTTTTTTCTAATTCCTATGACTTTGCATAAGACCTGTTAGTTTATGGATTGATTTGCTGATTAGGAAGTCTTTCTATGTTTTGATAGTCTTTCATTCATTTAACTAAATTGGTCAATTCTTCGTTTTTTCTCATACATGGTTCTTAGTAGATATATCTTACCAAGGAATATGAGTTATCAGCAAATGCTTGTTGAATGAGTGAATGAATGAATGACAAGAGTCTCTAAGTATTTCATTACTTTTGAATGGTCTTCTGTGAGATGTAATTCAGATAAAATGGGCCATTTGTTTGTGTCATAAGGGCAAAGATGGAGAGGTAAGAAGATACTACATCAAATAAACTTTTCTCATGGGATACTAATCTTTCTATACACAGTAGCAGGAATATCTTAAATGTTTCTGGAGCATTTTCATTGCAAAGCAGTATTTGCCATCTTCATTTCCCAAATATTAGCTACAACAGACAATCCTGACATAACAGATATATGGAACATGAGGGAGAAGTCTATATCCTGAGAAATATAAGTTTATAATTAACTTAAAAAATCTCATATTGATCTAAGTTATGAATTCTATGGTCATTAATTGAGATTAATTAAAATATATCTCCCATGATGTCTAACCCATAATATGTTCTCAGTAAATGGTTTTGTAATTGAACTGAGAGGCTGTGGCCTTAAATGAGAGCTGCCAAAACTTAACTATTTTGAAAAGAATGTGTTTAGATACTGCTAGACAAAGCTGTATAGAAGGAGGAAAAGAACAAGCAACAGTATACAGACATTTGTTTGCACCTGGCAACTACCACTTCTCAGGTGATTTTTATTTTTAAAGAGAATAGAGCACCACCATCAAACTGTGATATCTCCCCATGTATTAGTCTGTTTTCATGCAGCTGTGAAGAAATACCCGAGACTGGGTATACTATAAGAAAAGAGGTTTTATTGACTCACAGTTCCACATTGCTGGGGAGGCCTCAGGAAACTTACAATCATGGCGGAAGGCACCTCTTTACAGGGCAGCAGGGGAGAGAATGAGTGCCAGCAGGGGAAATGCCAGATGCTTATAAAACCATCAGATCTCATGAGAACTCACTCACTTTCATGAGAACAGTATGGAGGAAACTGCCCCCATGATTCAGTTACCTCCCACTGGGTTCCTCCCATGACACATGGGGATTATGGGAACTACAAGATGAGATTTGGGTGGGGACACAGCCAAACCATATCACCCAGTTTTGGACAAAAGAAAGTTTTATAAAAATTGTGTGAACTGAATAAACTATTGAATTCATTATAAAAAGCCTGTAAAATATTCAAAGTATTCTTTTCACGACTGAGATTTCTGATTTTGCGAAGATTGAGAGAAGCAGGTGTCTTAGTATTTGTAGCACATGTAATCAAAAAGATTACTTTCATTTTCAGGGGTAACTGCATACCTGTGCAGGTTTGTTACATAGGTAAACTTGTGTCATGAATATTGTCGTATAGATTATTTCATCATCCAGGTATTACATCTAGTACCCATTGGTTTTTTTACTGATATCTCTCCCTTCCCCCACCACAACCTCCAATAGGCCCCAGTGTCTGTTTTTCCTCTCTGTGTGTCCATGTGTTCTCATCATTTAGCTCCCACTTATAAGTGAGAACATGAAGTATTTGGTTTTCTGTTCCTATATTAGCGTATTAGTCCGTTTTCACACTGGTATAAAGAACTACATGAGACTAGGTAAATTATGAAGAAAAGAGGTTTAATTGACTCACAGCTCCACAGGCTTAACAGGAAACATGACTGGGAAGCCTCAGGAAACTTAACTATCATGGCAGAAGGCAAAAGGAAGGCAAGCACGTTTTACCATGGAGGAGCAGGAGAGAGACAGGAGAACTAAGGGGGAAGTACCACACACTTTCAGACAACCAGATCTCTTGAGAACTCACTATCACTTCCCCAACAGCAAAGGGAAGTTCACCCCCATGATTCAATCACCCGCCGCCAGACCTCCTCTGACACATGGTAATTACAATTCGAGATGAGATTTGGGTGGGGACACAGAGCCAAACCGTATCAGTTAGTTTGCTAAGGACAATGACCTCCAGCTCCACCAATGTCCCTGTAAAGGACATGATCTAATTCTTTTTTATGGGTGCATAGTATTCCATGGTGTCTGTGTGCCACATTCTTAAATCCGGTTTATTGATTGGCATTTAAGTTTATTCCATGTCTTTGCTATTGTGAATAGTGCTGCAGTGAACATACGCATGCATGTGTCTTTATAATAGAATGACTTATATTCCTTTGGGTATATATGCAGTAATGAGATTGCTGGATCGAATGGTATTTCTGTCTTTAAGTCTTTGAGGAATTGCCACACTATCTCGCACAATGGTTGAACTAATTTACACTCCCGCCAGCAGTGTACAAGTGTTCCTTTTTCTTTACAACCTTGCCGGCGTCTGTTATTTTTTGACTTTTTTTTTTTGCGCTGTCACCCAGGCTGGAGTGCAGTGGCGCGATCTCTGCTCACTGCAACCTCTGCCTCCCAGGTTCAAACAATTCTCCTGCCTCAGCTTCCCAAGTAGCTGGGATTACAGGTGCCCACCACCACACCTGGCTAATTTTTTGTATTTTTGGTAGAGACAGGGTTTCACTATGTTGGCCAGGGTGGTCTTGAACTCCTGACCTCGTGATCTGCCTGCCTCGGCCTCCCTAAGTGCTGGAATTACAGGTGTGAGCCACCACGCCTGGCTTGACTTCTTATAGCTGTTCTGACTGGTGTGAGATAGTATCTCATTGTGGTTTTCATTTGCATTTCTCCAATGATCAGTGATGTTGAGCTTTTTTTTTCATATCATTGTTGGCTGCATGTATGTCTTTTGAAAAGTGTCTGTTCATGTCCTTTACCCACTTCTTAATGGGGTTGTTTGGGTTTTTTTCTTGTAAATTTGTTTAAGTTCCTTACAGATGCTGGGTGTTACACCTTTGTGAGATGCAAAGTTTACAAAAATTTTGTCACATTCTGTAGGTTGTCTACTCTGTTGATAGTTTCTTTGTCTGTACAGAAGCTCTTTAGTTAGATCCCATTTGTCAACTTTTTCTTTGGTTGCCATTGCTTTTGGCATCTTCATCATGAAGTCTGCCCATGGCTATGTCCTGAATAGTATTGCTTAGGTTGTCTTCCAGAGTTTTTATGTTTTGGGTTTTACATTTAAATCTTTAATCCATCACAATTTTTGTATATGCTGTAAGGAAGGGGTCCAGTTTTATCTTCCACATATGGCTAGCCAGTTATCCCAGCACCATTTATTGAAGGGAATCCTTTTACCATTGCTTGTTTCTGTCTGGTTTGTCATAGATCAGATTGTTGCAGGTGTGCAGCCTTATTTCTGGGCTCTGTGTTATATTCCATTGGCCTATGTGTCTGTTTTTGTACCAGTACCATGCTGTTTTGGTTATGGTAGCCCTGTAGTATACTTTGAAGTTGGGTAGTGTGATGTCTCCAGCTTTGTTCTTTTTGCTCAGGATTGCCTAAACAATAGTTTTTTTCTAGTTCTGTGAAGAATCTCAATGGTAGTTTAATAGGAATAGCATTTAATCTATAAATTGCTTGGGCATTATGTCCATTTTAATGATATTGATTCTTCCTACCCATGAGCATGGGATGTTTTTCTATTTGCTTGTGCCATCTCTTATTTCTTTGAGCAGTGGTTTGTAGTTCTCCTTGTAGAGATCTTTCACCTCCCTAGTTAGCTATATTCCTAGGTATTTTATTAAAAAAAATTAAAACTTTGTGATATAAAAACTAGTAAGAGAATCTTCATTTCACAGGTAAGAACATAGTAGTTGGCAGATATTCAAACCCACAGTTCATCCTACCCATTGTCTAACACTTTACCCAGAGAAAATTATTGAAATGGCCTTGTTGGCTTTATAACATTACAAATGTCTGTTTAACAGTTATCCATTTTCTCAGCAAATACATGTTATGATCTAGCTGTATGTAAAATCATTTCATCTTTATTTGACGCTTTGTAGTTTATAAAACCCTTTATGTATTTTACCTCATTTTAGTTTTCTATACATCAGGGCCTCTCATCATCCCAGTTTGACCTCACGATTCCCTGGCTTGTTCTTTTGACCACTTGTGCTTGGAGCCATGGACAACACAGAAAAACAATTACATAGTCTACTGCCAAGAAGCCTATAATCAAGAGAAAGGTCTGTAGACAAGTAGCTATTAAATCAAATTACTGTTAAAGTGTTTAGACATTCAATGAAGGACAGATCAATTTTGATTGGAAAGATGAGAATTTCTTAAGAAAATCCTTTCCTTTTATTTTCCCTTTCTGTGGGAGAAAAGTAATAAGTATGCACCTTTATGCCCGCAGACTCTAGGTGCTGCCCAAATACCCTCTATGATGAGGATTAGCACAAAAGAGGCCAAGACCTCACTCTAAGATCTTACCAGCCAGTCATCTTCCCAGAGTCTGAGATATGGTCTTGGTAGTGCTTGTCCATTGACGGAACTCCTGCTGTGAATAAACAGTGCTTCACTGTCGCTCTCCACTCACATTTCCGAATTGAAGGGTCACCTGGAATCTCTGATTTCTGGGCTACCTCAGCCAGGTTTTATATTGTAGCCGCCTGTGAGAAAGTGGGGACAAGCATATATTGACCGTTCTTCCAGGAAGTTGGGCTTTCAAGGGAAAGAGAGAGAAAGGAAATGGCACTGTTCAGAGTTTTGGTTGGTTTTAATAAAGGAGGACCTAAAACCTGTCTGCCAATTGAGAAGGCTCCAGTAGACAGGGAGATGTTGAGAAAAACAAGAAGGAGAGGGGCTGATGGATTGAATGAGGTTCCTAATTAAGTGAAAGACAGCAGGAGCCAGAATATACAGATGGAGAGCTTAGCCTTAGATGGGAGGAAAGACATTTCTTTCATTTTACTAGAAGGAACATAAAGGGCAGGTATATTGGAGTTAAGTTTACAGTTTCAGGGCAGGAAATGAAAAAGTATTCATTTATATTTTATTTGTAAGATAGAAGGCAAATTTGTTTGCTAAGGTGGGGGATGGCAGGGAGGTGATGAAAAGGTTTGAATGGACTTGAGAACGTTCTAAATGCCTTATGTGAAGAACCGAAGAGCGAGATCACTAGAGACTGTTGGGATTGCCCACTTGCACATACATTGATAGAGTTCATCTCAGTTGTGTGGCTTTTTATTTCCAATAGCAGTTAGCAGCCTGGGTATGGAAGGCAGATAATTTAGTGTGTGGAGAAATCTTGGTTTGCTTCTGATTAGGGTTTACTTAGGCTGGTGTGTGGAGAGAAGAGCTGACAAAGGGAATTAAACTTTTTTTTTAAAAGAATGTTGGCCTCTGGGTTGGAAAGGATAGTGGACGCAGGAGAATCACATAATTTGGTTTGTTTGTTTGTTTTTGGAACAGAGTCTAGTTCTGTTGCTCAGGCTGGAGTGCAGTGGTGCGATCTTGGCTCACTGCAACCTCCGCCTTCCTGGGTTCAGGTGACTGCTGCCTCAGCCTCCCCAACAGCTGGGATTAGAGGCTTGTACCACCACATCCGGCTAATTTTTGCATTTTTAGTAAAGACAGGTTTTGCCATGTTGGCCAGGCTTGTTTCGAACTCTTGACCTCGAGTGATCCGCCTGCTTCAGCCTCCCAAAGTGCTGGGATTACAGACATGAGCCACTGTGCCCAGGTTATTGCAGTTTCATATCTCAGTTCAGATGTTCAATATAAGAATATCTGGAGTAAACTTTTTTAAGACTTTATAAAGGTAGTAACTCAAGTATAACTATATACACACACTACAAATAAGATAAATTAACATCTTGATATTAACTTCTAGTCCATTCACATTACAGAAGCAATACAACTGTTAGCCAAGCGAGCCTGAGAAAGAATCCTCTTGAAGGATTCTCTTCTTGGTTTCTCATCTTTGGTTATAACTATGGCTTTTCCTGCCCTTCTTTGTTTGTTCTGTTCTTGTCCCATGAAACTGTGGGCTGGACTGGTCATTTCCTCTTATCAGTTCATTTAATACACTCTTTCTCAGAACATTTAGGTGTTTATCATGACTTAATTTCAGGCTTTGCTATTAGCAGCTTACAATATGCCAAGTATTGTTTTAAAATATTTGATGAGTAACATCTTAATTATTCTCACACTATCCCTATAAGTCAGACAAAGATGACTTTTAATCATGTTGGGAAACTGAGGCATGGAGCAGATTTAAAACATTCCTGGCCAGGTGTGGTGGCTCACGCCTGTAATCCCAACACTTTGGGAGGCCGAGACGGGCAGATCACGAGGTCAGGAGATCGAGACCATCCTGGCTAACACGTTGAAACCCCGTCTCTACTAAAAATACAAAAAATTAGCTGGGCGAGGTGGTGGGCGCCTGTAGTCCCAGCTACTCGGGAGGCTGAGGCAGGAGAATGGCGTGAACCTGGGAGGCGGAGCTTGCAGTGAGCCGAGATTGCGCCACTGCACTCCAGCCTGGGCGACAGAGCGAGACTCTGTCTCAAAAAAAAAAAAAAAAAACGTTCGCATCATCATGCTTTTCAATGATGTAGCCTCTGAGACATAAATCTAAAACTGACTCTGGAGCCAACACATATAGCCACTACTCTGTACTAAATGTTGATCCACTATATTCTCTGACTAGCAATTTCTTAGTCCCTAAGGCATCTGTCTCTTCTTCACAGTGTTATGCAGATATGAAATAAGGCTAAGTGGACTGATGTAGGTAAAACAGGCAGAACTGTGCCTGGCTCATGGCAGGTGTTTAGCAGTTTTAGTTCCCTTTCTTGTCCCCAGATGCCACCTGCACCAGCATCTTAAGCTCAGGGATAGATTACTCTCTTTAGTGAGCTGCAGCTGACTGCCTTTCTTTAATGTCCCTACACTATTCTGCCTTATGATGTCAGTGACAAAGTAGGTGAAAAACTTCCAGATTAAGGAAAAGTGGAAAAGCCTGTGGAAGAAAATATCTTGTCAACTCTGGAGGATATTAAACCCTAGGCAAAGGTTTCAGTTTAGGACTTTAGTATTAATTCTTAAGACGTTTTGGGTTTTAAGTAAGAGAAACCCAACTCAGCCAGTCTTATTATGCTGAGACATTTTTAAAAGGAAATAGATGTTTATTGGCTTAGAGAACTAAAATGTTGAATCCACAGGCTTAAAGGATGGCTTTGGTCCTAAATCTGGCGCCTTCCATCTGTTGGCTGTTTTCCTCGGGATTGAGCCATTCTTGGCCAGGCTCTCCCGCTTCCAGAGACGGAGGGCTCCCAGCGCTTGAAACTTATATCTTATCTCTGGAATCCTTCCCCCACCCCAAAAAGAGGAATTTTTTTCTTTCCAGTAGTTTCAGAACTGTTCTAGAATTGATTCTTGATGACTTTCACTAGGGAATATCCACATCCCTGAGCCAACTATAATGGGCATAGCATGGGGTGCTGTGAATGGCCAGGCCTGGGCCAGGGAATCGGAGACTGTGTCACTGCGTCTCCTACCGTAAGGATGGGAGAAGGATATTTTCCTGTGGAAAAAATCAGGATGTTGTTATTAGAAGGAATAGACACTGTCACTTACAATCAGTATGTTATTATTAGTAGAAGGAATAGACACTGTCAGCCAACCAGCAGATGTTCATCACAGCCTAAACCCAGCAGGATTCCTCAAGAAACAAAGCTTAAATTGTATAATCTCGACCCTTTTGACTTCAGGGTATATAGCCCTCCTTAAAATTTTTTTACCAAAAAGCAAGTTCTTACATCATTTATGAGCATGAGTGACTTAGTTGGACCAAAGGACATGCTAATAAGACAACTGGGATGTTTGGTCTTTCTATAAAAAAAACTCTACTTCAATCTTCCCAGATGGAATACCTAAAATGTAGCTTGTGAAAGAGGCTTGAACATTTTATTCCAACTAAATTTGGGTGTTCTCAGCTTCCACTTTGTCATTTATCTAAAAGGCTTGTGTTGTTAACTTGCCTATCAGATTATTATGTGAGGTAGTGAATTACCCAACCCATTGTCTTACACATAGTAGATGATAAATAAGTATTCACATGGATTAAGAAAATAATTGAATTTTACTATATGTATGCATTTAACTATTGCTAATTTTTAGGATACTTATGTGGCTGAACAGAATATAGAAGCTTAATTTTTATGATTTTTATTCTTTTGTTAATGCAGGCAACAATGTAGAAATTGCTGGAAAAAAAAATGAAATGAGCTCTTTTCAAATCAAGGACTTTTTGTAATTATCGGGCTTTGAGACTCTACTTGTCAGACCCCTAGTGACTCACAAGACTGTACTTTTTAACTGCTGTGACAGGACATCTGTATACCCTAAATATGAAACTGCAGGGGGAGAAAACAAAAACATTGCTGATTTTTCTTAGGAAGTATAGAAATTTAGACTCATGTCAGACATCTGAATAGAGCAGTTATTACCTTGTGCCCAGTCATTTCTACTGCCGAATTGTGTTGCATTCAATGATATCAGATTTATGAAGGCTTTATTAGAGAAATAAAGTCACAATTTGAAGAAATTGACAGAATTTTCAGTATGAGTAATGATTTTGCTTTTCTTTAGCTTTAGAGAGCAAACTTAGGATGATAGAAGCTGTATCAGTGTAGTACTCTGTCAAAAGGAGCTCACGGACCTTAACCAAACTTGCCTACCGATGAAAGAACTTAATACAGAAGCTATAGATGAATATATTTGTCCCAGAAGTTTCTAAAATTCCTGGCTGTTTGGCCAAATTCAGTGAAATGTTTGGATACAACTGGAGTTACGGTTGTCACACAAGTACACAGGATACATCTGGCTCTTATGTACTCTCATTGAGTCTCCAGAAAACAGTATTACAATAAATTTGTGCACAATGCCGTATTTCAGCCTCAGTGTTTTAGCCAAAAATAAGGGTCGATTGTTCTGAAGAGAGAGACTGTGGGAACAGATATTAAATGCCACCTTGGAAGCTGTTATTCTTTTCACCTTTAGCTACGTAGTCCTAGGGCTATTACTTCAAATGTATGTGTACTAGGTTCCTCACTGCTAGACATTTGGATGTTTTTTTCATGTTTATAATTTCATTAAAAGACTTATCTTGAATAGTAGGTACTTGTTGAATCCTGTTTACCACTAAAGTGGTTCAGAATTGATCCTTTAAAGAGTAGCACTATTGTGCAAACACTGTGTACTTTAGTGTAATAAAGTTGACAAAAATGGTTTTATTGTTTCGAAAGGATCAATCACTGCTATGTTACTAAAAGAAAAAAGATTTTATATTTTTGAAAACACAAGAAGACTATTGTTTATTACTGCTATCAATGTAAAACTTCATGTTACTTTCACACGTAATCATGCAGTGTTTTGTTGAATAACTGGGACTGCTACTTTAAGATAAATTGTTATCATAGGGCTCCAAGACAGGGAAAATACAGGAACAGCCTGAAGCCATAGGACCCAATAGTACCTAGCAGCCAGATGCAAAAGGGGCACTTAGCTGCAAGTCTGTGGGTCTTACTTCCTGTTCATCTGTCTGGTTTTTCTCCCTCCCTCCCTCCTTCCTTTCCTTCCTTCCTTAAATATCAGTTTAAAGACCATTAGAACCCCTTTGTGATTGTGCCGTAATGAATTAATTGTGCTTTATCAGTTATAAAATTGAACAATAGTATTTAATTTTTATATTGCCTAACCTTCCAAAACATTTTAGTGTAAAAACTCTCTAAAGAAATGCAGTTCTGAGATTGGAAAATTTCAGGTTGAACCTGATATGCAAATGTTTATCATAGGCAATTTTTATGTCCAACCTATTAACTCAAAACTAAGTGGTTATGATAAAAGTAGTGACTATTTCAAACATACAGTAAGCATAGATGTATATCATTAAGTTTTTTTATAAATACATATATAAATAAATTGTAAAACAATCAAGAAATCAAGTCTTTCAGGGTTATCTATTGCCATTGTTTCCTATGCATTGAAGCCCTCACCATAGCCATTACGATAAAACATTCCCTAAGTACATAAAGGCTGTGATCGTTAAGATTTTTATTGCCAGCCACACATACAGAGCTGCAAATTGCCTTGTTTCAGATTTATTATGTATTACTCCAGAAATTCTATAAAGATCAAAAGAACTGATTACAATGTTGACCTTTGCATTAACTCATCTGAATTTAAATTCAAGTGTTTGATTTGGGAAAATAAGTCCATTTATCATAGGTCTGCTACTGAGGGGATTGTGCAGCACTGATTGGGAGTGCTGAGACCAAATTTATTTATTGAGCGTGGGCTTGAAAATTGTTTGTAGGACAAGAGGAACAAAAGTTTGACCTGCCATTGTACAGTACCAGGGGAACAATGTGGACATTGCCCTTTTCAAATTTCAAATAGTCAGTCTGTTTCAATCTTGTTTTTAAAATCTCCAGATAGTAAATTGAGCAAATATATACTGGTTTAATCATATAAACTCTTCCTTGATTTGAAATTAATGATCCTTCTTTTACTGAGAGAATAACCATTTTTTTTCAACGTGGTATTTACATTTTGGAACAGTATGAGATGCTTCCCATTCTGAAATTAGCCTTAATATATTAGAATCGAGCTCATACTTGTCAATGTTTTATTTTTTTAATCTGATGTACTAAGGAAAAAATTGTAGTACTGTTTTCCTATATGGAATTATGGATTTAATTAACTTTCACCTATGGAACTATTTAATTATCGACACACAGAATTCTATTAAACTCATATGCCATACCAACACCCACACCCCAAATGGCAAATCTTGTCCACATTGATACACCTTTTCATCTGCTTTTAGATAAGCAGAGGGTATAAGAAAGTGATTTGATAAAGGGGGCAGTGATGGGAGTCAGCACAAGGCATCAGCATGAATCTATCCCTAAATGCCCATGCTGTTTGACAGTATAGCATTCATAACAGTGTGAAAAATTAGGACCCAACACTGTTAAGTGTGACGATGATGGACATAACTTGGCCCATAGTAACCCAAAGAGTCTATTGGTGTATATATTTAAAAAAGCGTACATTGTGGATTAGGATTTATGCCCATCTTAACATTAAGGTTCAGCTCTTCTGCTCTTCATGGTGATTAACCTTCCAACCCAAGCCACAGTCAGAATGGAGAGGCCAGGGTGTTACCCATTTGCTAAGTTTCAATGGGCAGACTGGAAACGATTACAGTAGACCCTTGATATTTGCAAGAGATTTGTCCTGAGACCTTCATGTATCTGCAAATGGGAAAATGTAATTACATATTATTTTCCCCATAAAATCTGGTGAAGTATAGCTAAAAACCATTTTGACCCTTCAGACTATTAAGGTTTCTATAAACACAAGAGTAAATTATTTATAAAGTTGTTAAAGAAAATTCTGCCAATAAAATAAACTCCATAGCACATAACATCATTTTAGTGACATTAACTGAAATTTACAGAATCTGCAAATCTTAAACAAGATTGATGTAATGACATTTAGGTGTACAAAGGTGTATTGAAATGTGAATGCTCAGCTAACTTGTCATGAACCTGCTTCATGTATGTGAGTCACATCATTAGAACTGCCACAAAAGC
This sequence comes from Homo sapiens, assembly GCF_000001405.40. Lineage (NCBI taxonomy): Eukaryota > Metazoa > Chordata > Mammalia > Primates > Hominidae > Homo > Homo sapiens. The sequence continues at coordinate 217,538,194 of NC_000001.11, read as the reverse complement.
ATGAACGAATATATCATGCCTTTTGGATCTCTTGAATATTTCTCTTGTAAAATTTCTTGGGTTCAAACTTTATTTTTTTAAATGGATGTAGATTTTTTAGTTGATACCTACAGGAATCTATCTAAGTTAGAATCAATTTGTTTTTTGATGGAAAGGTAGGGCTGAGAGAATAGTTTTGTACTTATTTCATCTTTATACAATCTAAAAATAAAGGATCCTGGTAAGGAGGAGGTAAAGTCTGTGTAATTAAAAACCTAGTGTTTGTTACTGAAAGAAATAAATATGTATAGTAGTTAGATATTATAATCTGCTTATTGTCTTTAAATAAGTTTTGTAATTTTTAATATTAAAAAACTGAATTGCTGTGAGAAAATCTTGAATGATGTTATTGTCAATTTGAAATTGTTAGAATTATCCAGATGATTGAATTAGTGGGAAAAGTTGTATTTGTCAAATTAATTTAAGCATTTCCTTTTTTCCTTATGTAGTCTAAATGGACATTTAAGCCCTCAATGGTTTGATTGTACTTTGATGAATTTGACTCTTTTGTTTCACCATTTTTAGCATATAAGACCGAAGTGGTTTCATTTGTTGTGGTAATGATTCTTTCACCTCATATTTTAATATTTTGAGTAGCATCAGGACAGTGATAGTAGTGAGAGGATAGTTAGGAGAGACAGGGTTTTAGAAAGAGAATACCTGTTGTCAGTGCAAAGCACTTATAATCTTTATAATATATAATTATAACCTTTATATATTATAAAGCCTTATAATCTTTCCTATCTCATACTTAAGATAATTAATTTCAATGTAGCAAACATATATTGAACACCTACCATGTGCCACACACTGTCTTAAGTAGCCCAGATACGAAGTTTATTAATTGAAACAGACTGTATTGTCAAGGGATTTGCTACCTAGCAGGGTAGACATGTGCTTAATATAATACGGTAAAGTGCGTTATTAATGGAATGAACAAAAAGCTGACGAAATTCAGAGAGACGGAATAAACCGAAAAGGACTCCTTTTCTTTGATTTCTAATCTGTATGAAAATGATCTAAGAACTCAACATAGAATCACCAAATGTTTTTGATGCAAAGGATTTTAGAGAAAATACTGAATTTTTTTAACAGATTCAAAAATCTAGGTCCAATGACTTAAAGTGACTTATCAAAGCTCATATGTCTGTTTGTTTGGCTGGTTTGTTTGTTTTGTTTTGTTTGAGATGGAGTCTCGCTCTGTCACCCAGGCTGGAGTGCAGTGGCACGATCTCGGCTCACTGCACCCTCCGCCGGTTCAAGCGATTCTCCTGCCTCAGCCTCCCGAGTAGCTGGGATTACAGGTATGCACCACCACGCCCGGCTAATTTTTGTATTTTTTCAGTAGAGACGGGTTTTCACCATGTTGGTCAGGCTGGTCTCAAACTCCTGACCTCATGATCCGTCTGCCTCGGCCTCCCAAAAAGTGTTGGGATTACGGGCATGAGCCACCGCGCCTGGCCATACATCTGTTTTTTTAAGAATATAGTTATTGATTACAGATTTAGTGTACTTGTAGAGGTTACCATCTAGGTAAAACCTTTCTAATTACTAGAAAGCAAGCAATTAAGTTCAGAATTATATAGTATTCACCTTAATTGCGATGGGATTTCCAAAAAATTAGAAATAGGCTAATAGAAATGGAGAATACACTATAGAAGAAATCAGCAAATTATTTGGATAAATGGAGAGTATCAGTTTGAATGAAAGAAAAATAAAATAAGAAGCAAAAGAATGGCAGTTTCTGGCACAAAAGTCTTGATAAAATATTCAGTGCATGTATGCCTCTTGTTTGCCAGAGTGTTGTACTTATAATTTTTTCTATGTATTTTCTCTTTTTAATCCTTACAGAAAATCTATGAAATCAGAATTAGAATCAATTTATGGCTGAGATTATTGAGGCACAGAGTGAGTTAATTAACATAGCTAGGTTGCATAGTAAAAGAGATTGCTTCATCTGACTACAAAGCACTCATTCTTTCTTCCATACTATCCTGTTAGTCATTAATAGATGACTCCCAGATTTTCTCACTTGTGAGACTAAAAAAGTACTGGTATTCACCAGTAGCCAAAAACAAGTAAATAAATACTAATAAAATTTTAAAATTGGGCTTTAGGAAAAGATGCTAATTTGAGAGAGATTCTAATGAATTTATTTGGATGTAAGGAGTTCAATGTGATTCTTAGCATATACAAAAACAGTGTAAGTGATTTGAGGGAGAAAAAGGGATGGGCAAAGTTAAAAGAAATTTAAAAATTTTAAAACATTTTTCTAATCTGAAATCAGTAGCGGCGATGAGGTGGAACTATTGCCAGAGTTTGTGGTATGCTGCTCATGAGGGTTTTTAGTTCCAATTCCAAGTACACTGGGGGTTGTTCTCGTAAAACCGGAGTCAGTTGTCTATTCATTCAACAAATATTCTAGGTAGTATTTTCGGTACACAGGATGCATTTTGAACAGTCTTCTTTCTAGCTTTTACTTAAAACAATCTTGTACATTAACTTGGCCGGGCGCAGTGGCTCACGCCTGTAATCCCAGCATTTTGGGAGGCCGAGGCGGATGGATCACGAGGTCAGGAGATCGAGACCATCCTGGCTAACACAGTGAAACCCCGTCTCTACTAAAAATATAAAACAAATTAGCCAGGCGTGGTGGCGGGCACCTGTAGTCCCACCTACTGTGGAGGCTGAGGCAGGAGAATGGCGTGAACCCGAGAAGCGGAACTTGCAGTGAGCTGGGCTCACGCCACTGCCCTCCAAAAAAAAATCATAATAATAATCTTGTACATTAACTTAAAAAGAGAATAAAAACTTCCTTTTTAGACTGTTACCTCAGTATCAACTCACCCACTCAACTGGAGTTGAGTAAGTAGATACTTGACATTGAGGTAACAGTCTAATACAGAGGAATTTACTTTTTCTATTTCGCTTAAGTCAAGTGATTGAAACTAAAAACCAGCAACAGTACCAGGATTGAGTAGTCCTAATAACCAGGTCTGAGTTGAAATGTCAAGCCTGTTGGTAAAGCAGATTGGGGCTATAACATCTATGAAATCTGCTAGGCATAAGAACTAGCATTATTGGGTCCTTACTATGTGCCAGGCATTTTTCCAAGCACTTTATGTGTATTAACTCATGTAATTTTCATAACAGCCCTATAAAGCAGGTTTTACTATTATTGACCTTTTACCTATAAGGCAAGAGAAGTACTAAATAACTGAATAGCTAGAAAGTGACAAAACATGAATTTGAACAAGACAGTATGACTTAAAAACACAAACTAATCTCCAGTTATTTAGTGCCAAGTTGAGCTAAGTAACTGAGACAGACATCTGCAGTATCCTGACCTGAATGTAGTTAGTACCTTTACAGCTCATGGTGCAATAAATTTTGTACCCTATCCAACTGTATGGTCATGTGACATCTGGTAACCCAGTGAGAATTGGGAAAGGGCCAAAAGGATCCAGCTTTAAAGAGGACAATTAATTTTTGCTTAATCCGGGTGGTGGTGAGTGCAGAGGGTACCAGTTGTGAGCTTTTGTTATCTTTAGATATCCTAAATGTTCTTTTTTTTTTTTTTTCACAGACTGTAAGTAATTTTATAAATGGAAGAAGAAGTTTAACACAGAATTTCATTTTGAATATGAAAAATGGCCTTATTTTATAGGTGAAAGTTAACTGGACCATCAAGGCCATGCTCACTAATAAGAAGATGGGCAACTTTTACTTAAAAGCTAATACTTTACCCAGTTGATAATAAGATTAAATTACAGTCTAGTGTTTCTGATTTGAGAATGAATGTTTGCTAGTATGTTTTCATGGCTGTTCCTAAATCTTCAAAATGTGGGTGGCATAAAGTGTGGTCTGTATTTTATAGGAGAGAGCAATTAATTATAAGAACTGTAAGAATCTTTTTATTTTCATTTATTTATTTATTTTTGAGACAGGGTCTCGTTCTGTTGACCAGATTGGAGTGCAGTGGCGTGATCTTGGCTCACTGCAACCTCCACTTCCTGGGTTCAAGCGATTCTCCTGCCTCAGCCTCCTGAGTAGCTGGGATTACAGGCACCCCCCACCATGCACGGCTAATTTTTGTATTTTTAGTAGAGGTGGGGTTTCATCATGTTGGCCAGGCTAGTCTCAAACTCTTGACCTCAGGTGATCTGCCCACCTTGGCCTCCTAAAGTGCTGGTATTACAGGTGTCAGCCACCATGCCTGGCTGTAAGAATCTTTTTAATAGATCTTATTTTATATTCATTTAAGTATTTCTATACATAATTAAAAGAGCACAGAGTTTTCTTGCTAATTATATTTGTTATCCCCGTTGCTATTTACCAAATCTATATCTATATTCAATAAAAAGAGCTTAATGAAAACCTGTGCACCCAGGATTCTGTTATACATGATTCAGAACAAAGTATCTGGCATGACTTTCATGGAGATACCAACGTAAATATCAAGAGAAAACATAAATACTTAAGTCAACAAGTGATTATTGCTTTATTTCATATTTGCCATGTGCCAGACACTGAGCAATGTATGGGAGAAACAAAGTTGATTAAGAGACAATTCCTAGTCTCTAGATGCTGCTAGTCTGAGAACCACACTTGGATGACCACGGCATGTGGCAATGCTTCTCGAAGTGTGATCTGGAAACCACTGGGGGTCCCTGAGACTCTTTCAGTGGGTCCCCAAGGGCAAAACTGTTTTCATAACGCTAAGATATTATTTGTCTTTTTCACCTTTATTTTTTCACAACTGTGCAGTGGTATTTTCTAGTCTCCAGGAGGTGTGTGCTTGTAGATTCTTGAATTTAAAAACACAGTTTTAATATCTCATACACTCAATATCAATAGATATAATCCGCATAAACAAAAGCTCTTTGTAGTCCTCCATCATTTTTAAGAGTATAAAGTTTGAGAATTGCTGTTATAAAGAAAAGAGCAGGCTGGGTGTGGTGGTTTATGCCTGTAATTCCAGCACTGTGGGAGGCTGAGGCAGGCAGATCACTTGAGCTCAGGAGTTCAAGACCAGCCTGGGCAACATGGCAAAACCCCATCTCCCCATCTCTAAAAAAAAAAAAAATTAGCCAGGTGGGCATGGTGCTATGCATCTGTAGTCCCAGCTACTCCGGAGGCTGAGGTGGGAGGATCACTTGAACCTGGGAGGTCAAGGCTGCAGTGAGCTATGATGGCACCACTGCACTCCAGCCTGGGTGCCAGAGGGAGATCCTGTCTCAAAAAAAAAAAAAAAACAAAAAAAAAAAAACAAAAAAAAGATAAAGAGCACAACTTTTTACAATTAAGACCAGTGGGACCCTCTTCTGTTCTCTGACCTCACATTGTACCCATCTTCCCTTCCCCACACAGACTTCCATCCTACTCCTTGAACATGTAAACTCTTCCTTGTTTCCAGGCCTTCATATATGCTATTTCCTTTGTCTAAGAATGTTTCATTCCTCCTGCCCTTTGCTTGGCTGCTCCATCTTATCCTTCAGGGGTCAGGTCAGCAGGGGTTCCTCTTCCCTACCACCTTCTCCTTATTTATTTCATTTCATTTTCTAAAATCTGTAGTGTTCTTGTCTGTTTGTTTTATTCATTGTGGCTCTCTAGAGTAAAATGTCAGTCCCATAAATTCAGGGGCCTTTTCAGTCTTGTTCACCAATACATCTCCTCTTCCTTGCTCAGTATACATAGTCAGGGCTCAATATGTTTTTTGTTGAGTCAATGAACCAGACATTTCTGGACCAAAATAGTGGCTGTGCTACTTGTCAGGTAGGTGGCCTTAGGTAAGTTGTTTTAATCTCTCCGAGCCTCATTTGTAAGATTGAGATAATAATTAGAATCTTGCAGAGTTGTGAGCATTAGAAATATTTAATATGCAGCTTCTGAGAGTTTCTGCCACCTAGGAAGTGCTCAATCATCGTTTGTTGAAATCAATAATAATGGATGCTATTTACTGAGTACATACTGGGTTAATCACAGAGGACAAAAGAATAAAACAGTACCCCTGCACTTGGAGTTGCTCACAGCCCAGTGGAGTGTGCTACTTGGGATTCTGTTTGTGTACCGGTCCAGCGGAGTTGGGTTGTAGTGACATTATGTCCATGTTTCACAGACTGACTATGATAGACAGTATCCTATTTTTTCAGATTCCATGGTGTGGTTTAATGTCCACAGAACTCATAGTTAATACTGTGAAACAATTCAAGAAATAATTGGTGATTTCCAGTTTCTTAATTATATTGATGCATACATGCTCCTCTTGCTTTGTAGGTAGCTTCTAGAATGGTTTGTAAGCACATATGATATATCCTGCCATGTTCTCAGAGTATATGCTAGTGCTTGACAGCATCCTTTCTGTCATCAAATTTCTTAACAGTGTGCTACCCAGGAAGATAATTCAGCAATTTTTCTTTTTTCTTGTATTCTTTTTTCCTCTGTTTTCACCAACTTGTCAAAAATGTTTTAGGTGTTCATTAATGATAGTAATGAGCATCTCTTTCATTTTCTATATTTTAAAAATTATGAACCACTCTTTATGCAAAGCACTGAGTAAATTATATGCCTGTAGTCAGTTGATTCTCTTTGTATTGTCTACTATTTTTTTTGTGTACTATTTCATGAGATAGGTATTAGAATGGTTTTAATTATGCAGATGGCAGTGTGCCTTCAAAAACACCATATCCAGATTTTTGAAAGACTACAGTATTTAACCTGTTTGTGAATTACTTGAGGTATAGTCTGAATTTTTATGACTATTGTAAAATGCTAATCAGCTCTCATGAAAAATATTTGTGCTTTTGACTAATTCAGCACATGTTTCACTGTAGGCAAATGTGCCAGATCCTGGTGGCAATACAATAGTAAATAAGACATAGCCTCTGCTTTTGAGAAACATATTATTATAGAGAAGACAAACATATGTGTAATTCTAACATGAGGCAGATAATCTGTTAAGTGATATAAGAAAGATACAGAGACATATAGGAATTAAAGTTGGATAAAGAAATTACTTCTGTTTTGTGTGATCAGAGAAGCCTTCAAGGTTCTGCATCGTTATTTTGTATAAAATTAAATAAAGTGTGTGTGTGTGTGTGTGTGTGTGTGTTTGTGTAACTGGGCTTGGGAGGAGGTGCGTTCCCTTTATTTCTTCCAACAACTGAATACCATGTATTCAACTGGTCTGCCTCTTCAGGTTTTCAGGCCCTTAGAATTGGCCAAGAAAAGCAAATCAGCTGTAAAACATTCAATTTAGAGACGATTATTATAGCTAAAATACTTCTGTGTTTTATTTTAACTCATGACCTTTACACTAATTGAAAAGCATCAGAATTATCAGCCTATACAGTCACTAATAATGTCTTTGTGGAAATTATTGAATTAAGTTTTATAATTTAGACTAAGTACCACAGGCTTTAAGTAACTATTTTTAAACATTGAGTGTTTTGTAAACTAAATATGTATCTGCACTTCTGATACAATCACGAGAAAAAAATTATTCATTTGATTTTTATTTTCAGTTAATTCACTGAAAGAAGTGGTGATGGCCCCAATAAATAAACATCTTTGATGGCATGATTTTTCTGTGTACACACCCTCCTTGCTCCCAGTCCCACCAACCCTACAAAACTCCTTATTCTTGCTAGCATCTACTGTAACATTTATTGTCATCTTATTATTGAGATTGTACTTTGCATTAGACTGTGAAACAATTAATACAAATAATAATAGCTAATACACACTGATCTATGTGCTTTACAAATGATCTCTTTAATTTTTGTAATAAAGCAATGAAATAGGTACTATTATCCACCCCCATTTTGTAGATGAAGCAATTGAGACAGTCATAACACTGAAACATGGAGAAGTTAGTATTTGGACCCAGGCAGTCTGGCTCCATAGCCCAGTTTTCATCTCTGTGCTCTTCCATTATTAAGAACTACTTTATACTGGAGGGGAAAAAATGATGAAATCCACAAATTTCAGTTTATTTTGTTAAACTTGGTGGATAGCATATTTCATTGTGATCACTGCATTGGATAACAAGAATTACTGCTAGGACTCCATATTACTTTGTTTTCTAGACTTACCACAAAGGTTATGTCTTTGTCACTGTTGATTTTGTAACCTGTAGATTGAAAAGCATGACATACATTACATTGTATTTTTTTACTATGAAACAGTGAAAAAGCTTAAACTAGTATTTAGTACTTTACTACTTGTGGATACATTGGAAGATTTTTATCTATTCTAATTTGTAAAGATAATTCCTCTATTCATGAGTATGTTCTAAAGAGTTGATGTCAGTTTGTAAGTGTGGAGAGCAAAAAGTTAACTCTTGGGCGAGATAAAATATACCTTCTTTATTTACTACATTTGTTATTTCTCATGAGCTTCTGACTGTTAGTGCCGGGTGTGGGGAAATTGGGAAAGAAGTACATTGGTGGAGGAACAGGAATCTGGGAATCATCTTAGTCTGTTTTGTGTTGCTATAACAAAATACCCAAGACTGAATAATTTATAAAGAAAAGAGGTTTATTTAGCTCACAGTTGTGCATGCTGAGAATTTCAAGGGTACCGCACTGTCTTCTGGTGAGGGCTCTTATTCTGCCTCATAACATGGAGGAGAAGGTCAAAGGGGAAACAGACATGTGTGAAGAGAAAAACCTGAGCGATGTCCTGGCTTTATAACAACCCACTCTGGAGGGAACTAATCCATTTCTACAAGAATTAATCCAGTCTTCCAGCAGGAGAACTCACTACCATGCAGAGGGAACCAAACCATTCTTGAGGGATCCCATGACCCAAATGCCTCCAACTAGGCCCCACCTCCCAATACCATTATGCCAGGGACCAAATTTCAACATAAGTTTTGGTGGGGACAAAACAAACCATATCCAAACCATGGCAGGAAGTGAAAAAGATTTTCCAGTTACAGTTATCTCTGTATAAACTATTTATTTGGGTAACTCAGCCCCTTTTTAACAAATGCTTGTTCTTGCAGTTCTCCTCTGTCTCCATCTGATTCTCTCCATGGTGGCACTACAGAGCTTATGTGTCCTGGGGGTAATTATAGGGGAATCTTTTACCTCAGATCCATGCATCATCTGTCTGTCCAATCACTGTTCTTTGCCTTGCTGACCTCTAGCTGGTCTGGACTGAACACTGGCACCACATTCACTTCTGTGAGTCTGGTTCCATTTGGCCTTTGGGGGTATTATTCTGGTATTCATTACTGAAGCCCACAGATTCCAGCCATTTGCCTCGGATCTTCAAGTCCCTTTGCTTTCTTGAATCCCAAGACAGTCCTCACCCTGGTCCCCTCAAGAGGGTACAGGAACTCCTGGATCACCTGTCTCACACTCAGACCTTGGGGAACCAACAGCATTCTCTCAGGCTATCTGTCTGGCCTCCTCCTTCCACAAATGCAGCATTTTTACCTCTGTGCCCTGTTGGACAAGGTGCCAGTTCAAATGTGGCACCTCTTCTAGACATGTTACCTCCCTGACTGTACCTCAGGGAACAGACATCCCTCAGTCCCCCCATGCTTCTCTGACCTTCCACCTTACTTTATGCAAGAGGCATGGAGATCATTAGAATGTTGGTTTCTGACTTACTCCTCCTACTTCAGCCTTAGTTCTCCTTTTCATTCACCAAGGAGCAAGAAAGGGCAGGATGCCTCAGGTCCTAGTCATCGTAGGCAGAAGGATTTGCCTCATCCTGCTGTGTGTAGAAGAAACTATGTATCTTCAAGCTCTTGATACAGGATCTAGAAAGCAACGAGGAAGTAAAGGCAAAAATATGGAAATTTAATACATGAAAACGTTATCTTGTTTGTGTCTTTTTAGTTATTTTTACTTGGCTACCCTTAACAGAGTCTGATGATGTCAATTAGTCATGAAAATCTGGCTTAATTTTTAAAGACTTGAACATAGAGATTATTTTACAGGATGAACAATATTCTTAGATTTCTGAACCTTTGTTGCCTATCCAACCATTATTTTCCATGAACTTCTAGTCAGGTTTATTTCCTCATTTCCAATATATATACCCTTTTGATTCATAACTTGTTTATGCATACAGTCACCCCTCCTTCCATTGGCTTAGATCCTAGCCAGCTCTAACACTCAGCATAAGTCTCATCTCCTCCAAAACCCACATTTGCTAATTTGGGCTTTAATGATTTTTTTTAACTTCCGTTGCAGTTATAACTAAATGAACACAGTTTAGTAGTTGTTTAATCTTTATATAGTTTTATGTTTTAAGTCTGCAACATATTAGCTAGTAGGGTTGATATTGTGCAATTCATTAGAATCTTCCATGTAGCACCTGAGTGCTGGACATATGAAGTAGTTGTTCACTATCTCCTCTCTTATTAGTGAATTCCTGGTCCACCAAATGACTTGTTGTTTTCTAGGACTAAATGTAGAATTTAATAGATATAATTGGCTTCATTATTATTAAAATTAGGGATTGAGCTTGGTGTACATAATAAAGTATCCAAATAATGGTGGCTCGAACAAGAGAGGGTTTTGTTTTGTTTTGTTTTGTTTTGTTTGTTTCCCTCCTGACATAGAAAGGCACGTAGTGGCTTGGTTATCCAGATAAAAGATGCCATGGTGGAAACCTTTGATTCTTTTGGTCTTTAACTCCTAGTCAAAAAAAAAAAAAAAATGGATGTTATTGGCCGTATCCCAGGCACCATGAAGTACAAAGAAGGGCACAAGGCACATGCCAACTGAGTCAGTCACTTAAAGAACTTTCCTTAGAAGCTTCACCTGGTGACTATACATACCTCTTATTGTCCAGAACTCACCTCACAGGAAGTGAGTTATCTCTGGCTACCTGACCGACTTTATAAACCAGTGCTTTCCAACCTTTTTGACACCAGAGACTGGTTTCCTGGAAGACAATTTTTCCACAGACTGGGGGTAGGGGGATGGTTTGGGGATGATTCAAGCACATTACATTTATCATGCACTGTATTTCTATTATTAATGCATTGTAATACATAATGAAATAATTATATCATTATTACATTGTAATACATAATGAAATAATTATATCATTATTACATTGTAATACATAATGAAATAATTCTACAACTCACCATAATGTAGAGGTAGTGGGAGCACTCAGCTTGTTTTCCTGAAACTAAACAGTCCCATCTGGGGCTGATGGGGACACAGTGACAGATCATCAGGCATTAGATTCTCATAAGGAACACACAACCTTGATGCCTTGCAGGCACAATTCACAATTGGGATCACACTCCTGTGAGAATTAAATGCCACCACTGATCTCTCAGGAAGCAGAGCTCAGGTGGTAATATGAGCAGTGAGGAGCAGCTGTGAATACAGATGAAGCTTTGCTTGCTCGTCTGTTGCTCACCTCCTGCTGTGTGTGGTTGGGGTTCCCTGCTATAAACAACCAGATTTGGGATAGACATTTACTTCTATCAAGGTAAAGCTAATAAGTATTTCAAAAATATGACAGTCTGACTGTGATTATTTACTTAGAATAGATATTGGCCAAAAAATGTTAAAAGTTTTAGGTTATTTGGGATTTTTGTTGTCATTTATTGAGTATGTAATATGCTAAGATTATGCTTACACTGCTATTTGTTAACTAATATTTTACCTCTTTTTAATTAACTCATTCACTCATTTATTCATACCGCAAAGAATAGTTTGCAATATGTTGTACTTTTGTACTTTTTCCCTCCCCCATCAAATCATGATTACATACTTTTTTTTTAGCTATGGAAATTTTTAGTGCAATTAATGGTATAGTAAGGTCTTGAACTGCATCACGTAAGATTGAATGATTGAATGGTTGCCTGCATGTTTGTTTTAGGAGAACAGCCTGTACAGAACAATATTTTAAGTGTTTTGTTTGCTAAATATAAACCATATTAAGTTGTCAGTTTAAAAGTGTTGAGACTATCAGCATTTTTCTTATAAATTACTATTGGTCCTTGAGATTCTTAGAAACGCTCTTTTAATTATAAAAACCAGCTGTAATTTTTTCCCCTGATGTAAATTAAGGTTTTATGCAACACCACTATCAGGTTAAGAAGAAATTGACTAGTTTATGAAAACACTTTGAAAAATAGTAGAAATAATACCCAGTTCAAAAAGTATGCACAATGGATGATATGACACATTGTTGAATAATGTGGAAAGAAAATAAATTTTAGCTGCCAAAATGTTGATCATGTGATTTTGAGTACCAAAATAATTTAAGTAGTTTGTAAGCAAGCACTTAAAAGTTTTCCTAGTCTGCTTATATTCTTAAATAAATTTTTAAAATGTGCATGTAGAATTTTTTTCAAAAAGCTATATTAATAATTTGTTATGTCCTCAAACATGTTTGCTGAGTCTCACCATTATCTTCACTACCGTATTGCCCTCTGACCTCTTCTGCTACCCCCCAAAAAATTAAAAAGAAGACAATTAATTTTACATGTATTAAGCTTCAATATGCATAATTCTCCCTAGGAATGAACTACTGAGATCTCTTTTAAGTCTTATCTTTTATATAATAGGCTCTATATAACCTAAGCAACAAGGAGAAAATACTTTCTGGCTTTTATTTTCTATGTATGTGGGTTTTGTTTTTTAACCTTTGGTAAAATTGTGGGAAATGGGAATGAAGACTTTAAACATAAAATAGAATGTTTATTCATTGTATGAAATTCTTTAAAATAGTTGAACATTACTTTTAAAGAATGACTCAAATGTCCAGAGAGATAAAAAAGATTTTTATAAACAAATTCCTTGGCAGGAACTACATTATGTGCTATGTATTTCAGGATAATAATAAGGGCTTACTGTGGGTCAGTGTGTCATATCCCAGTGGTGTCTAGTGAGATGGAGGGTTATCTTATATGTCAGCTAGATAACCCTGTGAACCATTTTGAGCAGGCAAGATAATGGGACTGAATTCTGAAATGAAGGTTGAAATATACTGGAATATTGTTACATGTGAGAACAATCACTTCTTAAAATAAATGTAGTCACCTTTTGACATCATTAGATATATTTGCTAATAATTTTTAATAGAGTATATTTAGGTAAATAGATTGGGTAAAGGATGAAGTGAATTAAATATATGATTATATATTTAAATAGATAAATAAAAATTCCAAATTTTCCCACACACGAGAAGCTTTTATTATTAGGAAGCTGCTGAGCAAAAACTGAAATCTCCCTCTCCCCTCTCCCCTCTCCCCCCTCCCCCTCCCCCCTCCCCCCTCCCCCCTCCCCCCTCCCCCCTCTCCCCTCTCCCCTCTCCCCTCTCCCCGGTCTCCCTCTGATGCCAAGCCGAAGCTGGACTGTACTGCTGCCATCTCGGCTCACTGCAACCTCCCTGCCTGATTCTCCTGCCTAAGCCTGCCGAGTGCCTGCAATTGCAGGTGCGCGCTGCCACGCCTGACTGGTTTTCGTATTTTTTGGGTGGAGACGGGGTTTCGCTGTGTTGGCAGGGCTGGTCTCCAGCTCCTAACCGCGAGTGATCCGCCAGCCTCGGCCTCCCGAGGTGCCGGGATTGCAGACGGAGTCTCCTTCACTCAGTGCTCAATGGTGCCGAGGCTGGAGTGCAGTGGCGTGATCTCAGCTCGCTACAACATCCACCTCCCAGCAGCCTGCCTTGGCCTCCTAAAGAGCCGAGATTGCAGCCTCTGCCCGGCCGCCACCCCGTCTGGGAAGTGAGGAGCGTCTCTGCCTGGCCGCCCATCGTCTGGGATGTGAGGAGCCCCTCTGCCTGGCTGCTCAGTCTGGAAAGTGAGGAGTGTCTCTGCCCAGCCGCCATCCCATCTAGGAAGTGAGGAGCGCCTCTTCCCAGCCGCCATCCCATCTAGGAAGTGAGGAGCGTCTCTGCCCGGCCGCCCCGTCTGAGAAGTGAGGAGACCCTCTGCCTGGCAACCGCCCTGTCTGAGAAGTGAGGAGCCCCTCCGCCCAGCAGCCGCCCCGTCTGAGAAGTGAGGAGCCTCCGCCCGGCAGCCACCCCGTCTGGGAAGTGAGGAGCGTCTCTGCCCGGCAGCCACCCCGTCTGGGAGGGAGGTGGGGGGGTCAGCCCCCCGCCTGGCCAGCCGCCCCATCCGGGAGGTGAGGGGCACCTCTGCCTGGCCGCCCCTACTGGGAAGTGAGGAGCCCCTCTGCCCGGCCAGCCGCCCCGTCCGGGAGGGAGGTGTGGGGGTCAGCCCCCCGCCCGGCCAACTGCCCCGTCCGGGAGGGAGGTGTGGGGGTCAGCCCCCCGCCCGGCCAGCCGCCCCATCCGGGAGGGAGGTGTGGGGGTCAGCCCCCCGCCCGGCCAGCCACCCCGTCCAGGAGGGAGGTGGGGGGGTCAGCCCCCCACCTGGCCAGCCGCCCCGTCCGGGAGGTGAGGGGCGCCTCTGCCCGGCCGCCCCTACTGGGAAGTGAGGAGCCCCTCTGCCCGGCCACCACCCCGTCTGGGAGGTGTACCCAACAGCTCATTGAGAATGGGCCATGATGACAATGGCGGTTTTGTGGAATAGAAAGGGGGGAAAGGTGGGGAAAAGATTGAGAAATCGGATGGTTGTCGTGTCTGTGTAGAAAGAGGTAGACATGGGAGACTTTTCATTTTGTTCTGTACTAAGAAAAATTCTTCTGCCTTGGGATCCTGTTGATCTGTGACCTTACCCCCAACCCTGTGCTCTCTGAAACATGTGCTGTGTCCACTCAGGGTTAAATGGATTAAGGGCGGTGCAAGTTGTGCCTTGTTAAACAGACGCTTGAAGGCAGCATGCTCGTTAAGAGTCATCACCACTCCCTAATCTCAAGTACCCAGGGACACAAACACTGCGGAAGGCTGCAGGGTCCTCTGCCTAGGAAAACCAGAGACCTTTGTTCACTTGTTTATCTGCTGACCTTCCCTCCACTATTGTCCTGTGACCCTGCCAAATCCCCCTCTGGGAGAAACACCCAAGAATGATCAATAAAAAAATAAAATAAAATAAAAAACTGAAATTTTTTTTCTTCTCTATTATGAATACTGAATTGACATTTCCTAATACAAGCAAGGTTTTGCCTTCTTAATTGCTATTTCATTTTGAATATAAAATTACTTCCACCCAAACATAGGAGCAATAATATAGAAATTTTTTTAATTGCTTTGGATTACTATGTTTCCAAGATAGTATTTTCATAAACCATTACATAAAATGTTAATCTGTTTTTTAAAGTTACAAATTCTTTCAAGTTTTTAAATTCAGTCTTCTTTGTGTTTGCCTCCAAAGTCAGTTTGCCAAGCCTAAATATAAACTTAATTTTGAGAAGTTGTGTGTGTGTGTGTGTGTGTATTGAACAAGTCCCCAAAACTATTTGTTTTTAAATGCAGATGTGAATTGCTTTGATATGAATTGAGTAAGAAAATCCACATTTAGATTATCATGGTATATAAATTAGAATTTTAGAAGATATATAGATTGCCAATCTAATCCAAGTGTATAGCAGTGGGACGAAATGATGGAAGTTTTTTACACCATCTTATATACATTTTGTTTATTACTTTGTCATTTATTCATAAAAGAAGATCTTTAGGCACAGTGGATTTTACGTAAACATATGTGGCCATATCCTTACTTTCTTGATGCTCATAATATTGCAAGGTTCATAAATGAGGGATTTAAGAAGCCTTTGGTCAGCCAGTAGAGGCCACTCACAGCTTGTTACTAAAACTGGACGGCAAAGTGAAATTCTTTACTATCACTATTGGGCATCATTCTGAGCTGGTTAATTTTTAGTTCTTTACTTAAAAAAAATAGTATTACCATGGAGTGGTATGAAAAAAGTTGTTGCTGTATTTGTTTTTGAATTATTTAGTGATTAATCTTTTTTGTGAAAGCATTTAGATCTTTTATTAGTAGTGTATACCAGAAATGAGAATTTATGTATTTAATAATTAGAAGTATTATTATTCTAATAGACCAATAATTCTAAATTCTTAATTATCAATGCAGAATGGCTTTAACTAGGAAAAAATTGTTTACAATGAAGATTTAAAACAATTATATTGTTTAGTTTTACGTTAAAAACATAATTGCTAATGTCATACATACAACTATATGTGTATGTATATATTTCTAAACAGTATAATTTTCATTCTGTCATTTCATAGAGAAATATATTTGCTGCTCTTACTTAAAAATATAGTGAGATCGCTTCGAAACTAACTGAAGTCTATGTCTTTATTCACTACTTAATGCAATGCTGGCAGCTGTAAGGTTAGCATCTTCCCTGCAACACACGTGTACGGATTCCTCTAGGAAGGCAAATCCTCAAC
Source organism: Homo sapiens (assembly GCF_000001405.40). Lineage (NCBI taxonomy): Eukaryota > Metazoa > Chordata > Mammalia > Primates > Hominidae > Homo > Homo sapiens. The sequence goes on along the minus strand of NC_000001.11, from coordinate 217,521,847 downwards.
AGAAAGACAAGCCTTGTACTTCTCTATGGTTTATCTTTGGCTATTTTTTTTTTAAACAAAACCTTTGTGGTTTAAAGATGTAATCACGTATTTAGATTTATGTCTGCTTTCAAAGGAAAGATAGCCTAAGTTCTCTAATTTTCCCCCAAGTTCTTTCACATATTCTCATCGCGGAGTGTTTACTCCTCTCCAGTACACTTTGTAAATGTTAGCCTTCTTTTGCTGTAATGATTAGTAGGGGAGCCGTTTGTTATTCTTGTTAGTCCTTCTATAATATGTGCTGGTAACCCTGTTTAGTGCTGCCATGCCCTGCATTGCATATACTTAAAATAGCCCGCATGCTACCCAGAAGTTACAGGCAAGGTCTAGAGTATCCTTGGCTGAAGATTTTCCTAGAGTGTATTCTAGATTCAGGCCATCATCTCCTGGGACAAATCCCCAAATACAGAAAACATTTGTTTTGATATATCATCTTTTTTTTTTTTTTTTGCAGTCTCCCTGTAGGGGAAAAAGTACTAGGTGGTAAATTGGACAATTTTGGTTCAAAGTTAGCTTAATTCCATTCCTATAGTCTAGGGCATGTGCCCTCACCTCAGTGAGTGTTAGTTTCTTCACTATTATTTGAGAATAATGATGTTTCTTCACTCTAGGCACATTGTTTATGAAAAGCAAGCCATAAGGTAGGCTATAAAGAACAAGAGTGGCTGGACACTGTAGCTCATGCCTGTAATCCCAGTACTTGGGGAGGCTGAGGTGGGAAGATTACTTGAGGCTGGAAGCTCAAGACCAGTGCATGCAACATAGCAGGACCCCAGCTCTATACAAACTTTTAAGAAGTAACTGGGCATGGTGGTACACACCTGTAGTCCTAGCTGCTCCAGCAGCAGAGGCAGGGGAATTGCTTGAGCCCAGGAGTTTGAGGGTGCAGTGAGCTGTCATTAAGCTATGAGTTGTGAGTACTCACGCTTGGGCAACAGAACAAGACCTTGTCTCAAATAAGTAAATACACTTAAATAAATTTAAACAAATAAAAATAAGGATATTATTATTAATGACAATAGAAATATTTCTAATTATATTAATTTTTGATATATCTTTTGTGATCATTATTACACATTCTTTGTCAGTTTGTTCATGCTTAAGCCCTTCCAAGAAAGATTTAAAATTGCATTGTAAAAGCATAACAAACAATATAGAATTTTTACTTTAACCTTGACTAACAGGTAAAAATAATCAGTTTCACCCACTATACTATAATTTAGATAACATGAGGGCTATGACTAGTCGATACTATATAGGTCCTAGTTCAAAGTCTTTTCCTAAAAGTCATACAGTGTGAGCTCTGCTAATAAGAGCAAGATTGTTTGTCAATATTGACATTTTTAAAGATATGAATGATAGGAACCTGATGGGCCTTTTTGTACCGTTATTAGATTTTATAAAATTCCAAACTTTGAGGCATTTTCTCCATTGGAAAACTGAGTTATATTCCATAACCTTAGTAATTTTCTACAACAGTTTTGAACTCTCTAGCAATTCAGTTGTCCTCAGGAATGGATCATCTTCCTTCCTGAATATTCTTTCTAGGAGGACATTGTCTGAAACTAAAAGATCTGGTAGGTAAGGATTTGTAGTGACTTCTCCCTAGCATTAGACATATTACCAGGAATACATTAGATGTTCTAGTTTTTATGGCGTATATTTCATATGCACCAATTTTTTCATTTCTTGTAGCCAGTGATGAGGATTTTTCCAGGCCTGCCATATAAACACATTTTTACTTTAATAGAAATCTAGACAGATAAAGGTGAAACATGAATTATTACGTGAATTATATTTACTAATATTTTTCATGTTTAAAAAACAACAATCAAAAAAACCCTTGGAATTAGAGGAGTTCTATAACTTGACTTTATCAAGACATCAAAAAGATTAGTTCAGGTGAACAATATAACTAAAATCACCCAACTGAAAGGGAACACATATCACTTATTATATAATAAGGTTAAGCATAATTTTATATGTACATTAGGTTACTAGTGGAATTGTACCAAGTAAGCAGTACTGGATTTAAAATAAGAAGCTCTCAGTGGCTGCATAAGGTGCTAGATCACATTGGCAAGTAGGTAAGGATCAGCTTAGGGAAAGCCTTGCATGCATATCTCATTAATTTTCATTTTACTTTCAGTGTAAGCCATAGTTGGCTGTGGAATGAGAAAGTTGACATGTGAAAAGCAGCAATTTAGAAAGTTGAATTTGGCACGTTGGTAAGATGGATTGGAGCAGGGGGGAGATAATGCATGCAACTCCCTTCTTAGAGGTGATTTTTTATTCCTCTTTATTCCTCTTAAATCAGATAACTACTTTGTTTCCTTTTAATCTTATAAATGATATCCAATTTATGTTCCTTGAATTATCACTTTTTGTATTTCTTTTAAAAGCAATTCTAAAGTAATTTTTACATGTTTGTATGTTGCTTTAAAAGTAATTTTAGTGTTATTTTCTTGAATATGTTTCTCATCCCCAAACAGATTGTGCTTTTTGTGATTTGTGACCATTCTGTAATATTATAAGAATAGATACACAATGAAATATTTTATTCATTCCTCAAACTGTCTTGTAACAGAACTTATAAAACGCCAATATAAAACAAAGGTGTGCTCATTTGAAATGCTTTCGAAGAATCTTCCTTTATTCTTCTGTATGGGGATAAGAGATAAATATTCAACACATTTATTTTAATGTCTATTAATTAAAATGAATTATTGTAAAACATTTAGAATATTATCTTACTTAAAAGTCTTGTTTCTTTCTTCAAAGAAGTTGAGTCAAATTAATAATTGCCGTAAGAGAAACCAGAAACCTCTGGGTCTTGACAAACTGGCCGGGAGGCTGAGGCAGTGCCTCCCGACAGCCTGGAGGCCAGGCAGGTTTGATTGACCAGTCCTCACAAAATGGAAAGGCCTTCTTTTGAATGGCAGCTTGCCAACATAAGTGTTTGTCAGTGTGGGCACTGAAGCAGAGTAGCATTTGGAAGGCAAATAAAATATAGTTGAAAAGCAGAGCGAAGTTGAAGGGGACCAGCTATACTAGAGGGAGAGAAGAAAGGATGATGGTTTCTTGTTCTTACGTGTGGACATGAAAAGAAACTTCATTAATTTACAGAAGGAATCTCAATCATTGAGAATATAAGTAAGATATCATCCATATTGAATGGCCTCTGTATTAATCTTACGTGACTCTTGTGTCTCAGATAGGTTTACCTGATTTGGAGAGTTATTCAGTTATGTAATTGTGGAAGAATAGTATGGCATGCATTGGGTTTGATAATGACACAATTAAATGAAAATGAGACATAAAACCAACTTTTTATCTTTTAAGCAAAATTATAAAATTGGTATCAATACATCAGGGACAAAAAGAATAAGAAAATGCTTTTAATATGTCTTATAACTTTGAGAGAACAGACATTTTGTCATTGATAATTGATCATTTAGCAGAATTTCCAATATATTGGTACATATTGACCTCCTGAATCGATAGTGGTACTTGTACAACTATTGTTAAATTTTCATCTCTTGCTACTACATTCTTATTTCCTGAGACTGATAATATTTAAACAACAGCAAAATCTAAGATCCATGTGATCTTTTAGAATTAGGACACAAAAGTTATGTTATCTAGAAAGCATCAATTCCTTTCTAACTTTCAGTTTACTTCTTAAGACTTTGTGTGATAAGCGTCTAATAAAAAGAAATATATCTGCTTTATTTCAGATTGTAGTCGTTATTTATATAGTAATATTTAACAAATGAATCATAAGAATTCAGGGCGTGTAATGTGATGTCTAAGTTTATCAACACTAAATATTGGCTAATTACATAAATGATTGTCTCCAGAGTTTTGTCAATTATAAGAATTGGATTGTGGAGATACTGTTTCTCATGAAGAACAGAATACCTGTTTCCTGTCTAATCTTATGGAATAAAATGTATTTTTCTTACTAATAAACTTTACTATGTGAATATTTTATTAGATATTTAAAGTGAAACAACTTCTTAAAATTTGTGATTTCTAAGACAGTTCTGAAATCACTAAAATTAGCATGTGTTTTGGAGAAGAAAACAGTCACCATACTTAATTATATGCTAGAAATTAATACTTTGATCTGATGTTTAAAACTGCTTCTTTAATTTTTGTAAAGATTATTTTCTATCTTGAATTAATGATAAGACAGAAACTTTTAGAAAGAATTCCTTAAGTATGTTCCTTGAAGTTTTATAATATTTTGAAGTAGTCTCCTAATAATCAGATTAAACATGTTTTAAAGTTTAAAATTCACTGAAACTTCAGTATAACACTGCTTTCCATAAGCCAAATTCTATATTAAATATATTGTTCTCAAATTTTAGGTAAGTGTGTCTAGTTGCCACAGTAGCAAAAGGTTCTCATTGTAAGAACATTTTACTCCTGAGGCAGACCACTGACATTGACCCTGAAGAGATCATTATATGTTGCTTTATTTCATTAAAAAAAGTAAATTTCTAAATTATGCCTATTTTGCATATCTTTAAAAGTAAAACAGAAATTGAACTAAAATAACAATAAAGGATAGTCACCTCTGTTTTCTTAAAGGGATCATGTACTAGGTAAATAGGTAAAATTATTTAAGTATCTATACTTGAAACTGTAAATCTTTTGTGGGTTACTTGCTGCAGTTGAACTGAGCTTACAGGTTTTTTATACATATATATGATTGCTGAGAAATACATAGTATGATTATTTCTGACTAGATTGAAAGCTTACATTTGTATTATGGTATAAATTAGCTATAAATTCTGTTTTATTGCATTCAGTTGCTTTGTTTTCATCAGGCAATTTATCACATGGGTGTATGTGAAATTTCTTCATTTATTAAATTTCAGATTATGTATTTCAAGCCAGAGCAAGACTTAAACATTTTTCCATAAGTATAGCTTCAGGTAAACAAACAATTTTAGTCCTGAAAATAGCTTCTGCTTCTGTCAACACGTTGTTTATTTTTTCTCTGAGATAAAAAGTTTAGTTTTCTGATATTTGTACCAAGATAAAGTCAGTAAACAAGATTAATATAGTGTGGAAAAGGTTGTCAGCAGCCTTGGCAAAGGAAATAAGTTGCCTGTACATAGAACATACTGTAAACTGAATAAAAGTGTCAGGTCCACCATGAGATAATGTGATCATGAACCTCTAACAAAGCATGACATAGGCACAGTCGGCTTTTCTCATAGCCACAGTGTAGAAAATGGATTACTGTATTCCAGGGATACCCACTGGAATAGCATGAAAACCTCATTTTGAGATGAATGCAGGATGCAGTCCTGGAGTTGAGCCACATGTTTACCTGTGGCGCTCAAACCATAGGGTTATTAATGTCATCATCTGTGCACATTTGCAGTATTTGCATTTCTTGGAATTTCTGAGTATATACTGGCATTCTTGTAACCCAAGTGATACGGGAAGAAGTAAGGTTTTGAAAATGTTAGGGTTTTTTTAAGAGGAATTTTATTGCTGTCTCATGCTTTTCCCCCCATTCTATATAAATGGCACTTCTATAATTACAGAGGGTTTTTTTTTAAAATTAAAATGGAACATAACTTAAAGCCTTTTGCTGTAAATGTATGCCTTGTCATTTGTGACTGATAGATTCATTCTTGTACAGTGCTATGTTCCCTTTGAGAACCATCTATATGATAAGAAAGTTGTGAAATTCTAAAAAAAAAAAAGGAGTAGCTTACTTTAGATTTTAAATTTTATTTAGAAATAAAGGAGTGAAAATATTTTTCTCTTAGATGAAATTGCATTTTGTACTGTGTAAATACACAGATGACTCCTGTCTTTTCGGGGAAACTATGAAAAGGGCTGCTCACCACTTCCTTGATCTAAGTTTTTGTATATATTTAAATGTATGTGTTATAATACATGTTATTTATATTTAGGATCTAGCTACAAATACATTGGTCCTCGGAAATATCTGCTTAACACTGATCTAATTAAACTTTTTTTTTTATGTAATAAGTCACTGGTCTTTTTTTTTTTTAAAGGATATTTACACTATTATAAAGAGTCCTTTTTTTAAAATTTTTTTTTAGTATTATTTTGAGACAGAGTCTTGCTCTGTCACCCAGGCTGGAGTGCAGTGACAACCTCGCAGTCCACTGCAGCCTCTGCCTCCTGGGTGCAAGCGATTCTGCGGCCTCAGCCTCCCGAGTAGCTGGGATTACAGACGTGTGCCACCATGCCCGGCTAATTTTTGCATTTGTAATAGAGATGGGGTTTCACCGTGTTGTCCAGGCTGGTCTCGAACTCCTGACCTCAGGTGACCTTAGCCTCCCAAAGTACTGGGATTACAGGCGTAAGCCACTGTGCCCGGCCAAGATTCTTTTAAAATAGTCTTAAAAATCTAGCAGAGGAGTCGGGCGCGGTGGCTCACACCTGTAATCCCAACACTTTGGGAGGCCGAGGCAGGCAGATCACGAGGGCAGGAGATCGAGACCATCCTGGCTAACACAGTGAAACCCCGTCTCTACTAAAAATACAAAAAAATTAGCCGGGCGTGGTGGCGGGTGCCTGTAGTCCCAGCTACTGGGGAGGCTGAGACAGGAGAATGGCGTGAACCTGGGAGGCGGAGCTTGCAGTGAGCCGAGATCGCGCTGCTGCACTCCAGTCTGTGGGACAGAAAGAGACTCTGTCAAAAAAAAAAAAAAATCTAGCAGAGGAAATACACTAGACCAAAACAAGTGAAGTATTCTTACCAGGAATTAAATTATACTTTTGATCCACACAGTGTTGTCTGAGATTTGAAAATCTTGTATTCTCCATTTTAGAGTGATGTCTTCAAATTGATATATCACTATTATCCATGGTCGTTTTATAAACAAATCTGAAATTTATTTTTTCTTTTTAAATCTCCCTGTAGGTACCCATTCCTGGCCCAGTGGGTAACAAGAGAATGGTTCATTTTTCCCCGGATTCTCATCACCATGAGTGAGTACTCAGTGTGTTTATATAACCTTATTGGAGTATTCTACTTAGCTCTTTTGGGAAATTATTAGCTACTACTAGTAAAGCTTATTTAATTTGTACTTTTTAAAAAGAGTAAGTATAATTTACCATTGATAATAATGTAAGAACAACTTAAACGAAAACCATGACAAAATTTAAATGGGGATTTTTAAATATAGTTATTCTGTTATTTGTGATAGTATTTGAAATTCATGCATTATTGAAATTTATGTATTGTCTTAAAAATTTAAAATTTTCATTACATTGAGTAGCATCAAGCTTTCGTACTCCTCCATCCTTATTCTCTATCCCAACCCTTCTAAAATACTAAAATGAAGAGTAATAAGCCAGTCATGGTGGCTCATGCCCATAATCCCAGCACTTTGGGAGGCCAGGGTGGGCAGATCACCTGAGTTCAGGAGTTTGAGACCAGCCTGGCCAACATGGCGAAACCCATCTCTACTAAAAATACAAAAAGTATCCAGGTATGGTGGCACATGCCTGTAATCCCAGCTACTCAGGAGGCTGAGGCAGGAGAATTGCTTGAACCCAGGAGGTGGAGGTTGCAGTGAGCTGAGATCATGCCACTGCACTCCAGCCTGGGCAGTAGAGTGAGACTCCATCGCAGAAGGAAAAAAAAAAAGGAGTAAAAGACTGTTTTGCTTTTTTTGCGGGGGGGCCAGGCATGGTGGCTCACAGTTGTAATCCCAGCACTTTGGGAGGCCAAGGCGGGCAGATCATCTGAGGTCATGAGTTCGAGACCAGCCTGGCCAACATATCGTGAAACCCGGTCTCTACTAAAAATACAAAAATTAGCTGGTCGTGGTGGCGCATGCCTGTAGTCCCAGCTACTTGGAAAGCTGAGACGGGAGACTCACTAGAACTTGGGAGGCGGAGGTTACAGTGAGCCGAGATCGCTCCACTGCATTCCAGCCTGGGCAACAGGGTGAGACTCCCATCTCTCAAAAAAAAAAAAAAGACTGGTTTTCTTCATTACTTCTCTACTTTCTGCTACTGCCAAGCATTTGGTAATAATATAAAGACCCATGAAACAACCAGAATATATTTCCATTTTGCAACAAAAGGAAGAGACTACTTACTAGATAATTTTTTAAAACTAAGTAGTTGTAGCTTTGACTTTGGTAAATTATTGCTTGAATTTCCAGGGGTTAATTCGTTCTGTAAATACATCTTTGTTGGAAAAGCTTAACTTGTTGTGTATTTTAGAGCAATACCATATATCTCCTGCAAATTTGATTGAACTTTTAAAAAGGCCATAAAGTATGGGAAGACATGAATTAATTATTGAATAAATTTTTTGTGGCAAGCAATCATATTAGGATCCATTAGTTTCTATTTTTTAAAATCACTACTTAACAAATATAAAATAGAGATTATTGTTCAGATATAGCAAAATGATATCATAATCTTATAGTGGCCTATGCATTCAAAGTGCTTGATGCATAGACTATAGAATTGTTGAGAAGGTAGGCTAATTTTTTTTTTTTCCCTGAGACAAAGTCTCCCTCTTGTCACCCAGGCTGGAGTGCAATGTCATGATCTCGGCTCACTGCAACCTCTGCCTCCCGGGTTCAAGCGATTCTTCTGCATCAGCCTCTCGAGTAGCTTGGGACTACAGGCGTGTGCCACCACGCCTGGCTAATTTTTGTATTTTTAGTAGAGATGGGGTATCCCCGTGTTGGCTAGGCTGGTCTCGAACTCCTGACCTCAGGCCTTCTGCCCACCTTGGCCTCCCAAAGTTCTGGGATTACAGGTGTGAGCCACCGCGCCTGGCCTAAGGTAGGCTATTTCAACAAAAGTTCGCATTCAGGAAATGAGATACTTAATACTCAGCATGCCACAACGCATATATCCAGTTTGGCAAGCAATTCTCTCTCCTCTCTTGGAGAACCTAACTTGTTATTCTTCCTCTGAAGATCTCAGCTGATATGTTCATTGCAGCAGATGCCTTACAGGGTACTGCACAGTTTTATCAGCCCATTTCTTGTTGGTGAAAGTAAGGGGTTTATCATCTGCCTAAGGAACTAAACAGTCACAGACTCTTGTTGACCAAGTTGTTTATTTCAGCACTAGCATTTCATCAAAAATATAGTGGTTTCTGTTGTGTTTGTTGTTGCAGTTTCATGCCAGCAAATGCTGCTGGCCTCCATGTTCTTCCTCTACTCTTAGTCTCCTTAGTTTAATGGCTTCGCCCTGAGGCAGTTCAAAGCCATGGCCTCCAGCAGGTAGGTATAGGTCTTTAGGAAATCTTTGTCAGCAGGCTCATGCTCTTTGTCAGAGAAATCCTACACAGAGGTATTCAGGAAGATCTAGTCATTTTGCTTGTTAAATCTAGCTTCCATGCCACTGCCTGTTTCCATTTAGGGGTTCCAAACATGGTTTCCCCAATGCCATTCCCTAATTATAAGACTTTAATTCAATTCAGATTATATTTTGTTTTATTTATTTATTTTTTTAGACAGGGTCTTGCTCTGCTGCCCAGGCTGGAGTGCAATGGTGCAATCACTATCATGGCTCACTGCAGCCTCAACCTCCCAGGCTTACGTGATCCCCTGGCCTCAGCTCCACAGGTAGCTGGGACTACAAGCATGGGCCACCATGCCTGGCTAATTTTTCTTTTTTTGGTAGACATGTGGTCTCACTGTGTTACCCAGGCTAGTCTTGAACTCCTGGGTTCAAGCAATCCTGCCACCTCCACTTCCACCTCTGGGATTACAGCCATGAGCCACCATGCTTGGCCTTGATAATGTTTTATAGGTTCATTTGGTAAGTCTGTATTTTCATCCCTTTCTTCAGGCGCACCCCTTACCTATGTAGAGCCAATGTGGGGGAGGTCCCTTACAGACCCCACTCTTGACAAGGAGAAGCCACAGGACACCACATCATGGGAATTTTCTTTTACACAAATAAATAAGTATACAGGCAACGCTGTATAGACACAAACACACACACACACACACACACAGACTTCCAGTTAAGTTACATAGGTTGATGCCCTTCTAGGGACTGACCTGCCTATCTGCTTTAAAACTGACTCCATTTTACTTCAGCTTGTCTCTTTTGTTGCTCTAGGAGAAAAACCCAATATCTGAAATTTTCCCATCAGGTCCTTTAACAGAAGAAGGTATATGGCCAGTATCCACTCTGGGCAGAGAGTTTTAGTTATATGCTTCCCCAACTTCCTAGCTGGAATAAGTGGTTCTATACTGCCTGTTACCCTTCTTTCATTCCTCCTGCTCCCTGAGTTAGATACATGAAACTGACTCTTATTATCAAATTCAGCATCTCATAGTAGAAAAACTAAGGTGTTCATACCCTCAGGATATACAAATAATTTCTAGCAGAATCAGCAGTAGTTTTAAGGGAGTCAATTTTCAAATCCCTTGCTTCCATTTATAGATGTCTTTCCTGAAAATTATCAGCCCTGGTTATTTTGCTGGTTCTTACTTTTCCCAGTGCCTTTCTTCTTCCTTAGGGAAAAAAGACACCCCTACCAATCCTAATCTTTGGTGCACAGTATAAAATCTTTCCGGGCTGTAAACAGAGATATTTCAGATATTGTGCTGGTATTGATGTGGAGGGATTGAATTTAATGAATACATCATAAAGCATTTTGCAAATTTAGGTATATAGTTTCTAATTTTATTTTATGTTTATTTTATTTTATTTATTTTATTTTTTCTTTTGACACGGATTCTCACTCTGTCACCCAGGCTGGAGTGCAGTGGCGTGATCTCAGCTCACTGCAACCTCTGCCTCCCAGTTCAAACGATTCTCCTGCCTCAGCCTCCAGAGTAACTGGGACTACAGGCGTGCGCCACCACGCCCAGATAATTTTTTTTGTATTTTTTTAGTGGATACAGGGTTTCACCATGTTGGCCAGGCTGGTCTCAAACTCCTGACTGCAGGTGATTTGCCCGCCTCAGCTTCCCAGAGTGCTGGGATTACAGATGTGAGCCACTGCACCTGGCCTCTAATTCTTTTTTTTCAGCAACTGGTAGATTATTAAAAATATTTCTTAACCTAGAAGTCATTTTGTGACTTTGGGCACAAAACTCCGAAAGTGTTTAAATAATCAAATGACTGCTCTAACCAAGTTCCTTTTATTTCCATTTACCAATTTGTATGAATAAGATTTCTGAGCACTCTATAAAATTAAAAGATGGTGATAGAATTGGCACTAAAAGACGTACTCATCAATGAACTAATTTTGGGGGAAAGCTCATTAATGATGCCTTTCTAATAAAATTTTATTTTTGTGTTTACTGTTGTTTTATTTTTTATGTTTGCTGTTACCCGATATATTATTATATATTAAATATATATTAAACAGGAGTTTAAGAAGAAAAATAAACTATGTAAAATTTTCAACTTTTAAAGAAATGTGCATCCTGGTTTGGTTTTTGTTTTAAATAAATGGTGGAGGATATCAAATCACAATAATATTTATGTCCCAATGTATATATTTCAAAGAGTAGCATAATGGTTTTATTTTAAATTATCAACATGTTGATAATTTATAATCAATTATAATTGATATAAAATTAAATCCTTGCAAATGTTTAAATTTTTGTTGAAGAATATTAGATGTCTTCCTAAACTTACATGAGGAATTTTCATAACTATTTCAGGCAATACATATTCAAAAATGGTAAAGACCACTGTTGTATAGCATGCTTTCAGGAAAAAGTAACAGAATATTCTACAAATAGTGGTTTAAACAAATAGCAGTTTAGTTTACTGATAGAACCAGAAATCTGGAAGGAGGCAGTTTCAGAGCTATTGAGGAAGCAGTAATAGTATCTGCTATAACCTACTTTAAGGAATCATTGGTGTTTCCCCTCAAATTCGTATCAGCATTCTCTATCTCTCTTATTTTTTCCTTTAAGTTTTATTTTTACTTGATTACAGTATTTATCATATTATTATTTGTTGTATAATTATAAAATACATGTTTTATTCCCATTAATGGACCAAGAACTTGCCGAGGTTGGAAACTTTGTCTTGTACTTTGAATCTCTTACAATGTACATCACAATGCGTTACACTCAAATCATAGGCTCTCGGTTCAAGATTATCAAGTTCTACTGCTGGCTAGTGATGGAAAGCATTCAGAAGGCACCAACTGAATACTTGTCAAATACAATTGATAATTGGCAGAAGAAGCAAGTACTAGAGCTAGAATGAGCCTTAGGTGCTGTCCAGTCTAGTCACTTGATTTTTATAGATGAGAACTTGAGGTTCAGAAAGGCTCAGTTCAGAGACTAGCTCGCAGAAGATATAAGACAAATCACCACCAGAAATAAACACTAAAATTGGTCATCACTGGATGATGGGATTGCAGGTTAGTTTTGTATTTTACTGGGAGCGGGTGAGGTAGGGGTACATGTTAGTATCTACCAAACTTTATTTCAGTAGACATGTTGCTTTTATATTTAGAGGATGAAAAAGCCAGATGACTCACTCCAGACTGGAGTGCAGTGGCGCGATCTTGGTGCACTGCAACTTCCGCCTCCCAGGTTCAAGTGATTCTTGTGCCTCAGCCTCCTAAGTAGCTGGGACTAGAGGCGTGCACCACCACCCCCAGCCACTTTTTTGTACTTTTAGTAGATATGAGGTTTCACCATGTTACCTAGGCTGGTCTTGAACTCCTGACCTCAAGTGATCCACCCGCCTTCTCATCCCAAAGTGCTGGGATTATGGGCGTGCGCCACCACTCCAGGCTGCAGTCTTATTTTTGAAGACAGATACTGAAAAACCTTCCAGAGTGTCATAATTATAAAAACGCGATCATTTTAATAAAATAACACAACAATGTATGAATTGTCTTAAATAACATCTAGTAATTATTTCCTTGAAAAACATATTACTATATTTAAAGTCTAATCATTAATGTATGATAGGTTTTTTTAATCAGAAATATGTAGCACAGAGAAATGAAATACTGACTAAGATAACTAGAGAGCTACATGCAAAAAAGACAAGAGCCTCAATCCAGCTAGAGAAATTAGTATCTAATTTCTCAGTAAAAGTAACCTACGTTTTGAAATTCTCTTTTAATTATTCTGTTGACTTTTTAAAACTACAAATATTAAAATGTTAAAAATAAAATTAATATATGACTACATTAAAAATACATGTAAGCATAAAAATGGAGTTACTTCTTATTAATTTGGCCTCCATTTATGTACTCTGTACATGGTTCCAGAAAGTTTTCCTTTCTTTTTCCAATCACTTATGAGATACTTGCTTTTAAATAGAGATAAATATGATTTATTAATCGATTGTGCAATTGATATATTTTACTTTTATTTCAGTTTGAAGTAGAGGATATTTACCTGAGGAATTGTATGTAAATCAAACTTATTTTAAATGCACATGGGTAACTCATTATAATCCTATGATGAATTCCTTTATAAAGCAAATACTCACCCCTTATTTTATCTTTTGTGTAAATATCGAGTTTGCTTAAAGCAAGATTTGCCTGGATTAAAGGTTATTTTCATTGGGAATACTTTTACACTTTGAAATTTAGCATCTATTGCTTTATAGTGAAAGTGTCTTTAACTCTAGACTGAGATAAATAAGAAATACAGATCGATTCCTCCTCTGATTTATTGTGATTCCCATGGGTGAGTCATTTAGCTTACGTGTCTTAAGTTTATTTATAGAATAAATATAATACAGTAACAGTCCTTTCTTATATATTTTTACAAGGTGCTTAGGTGTAAAATACAGAAATATTATTAAACTAGGTATGAAACATTTCAAAATGATGATAATGATGACATACTTTATATTGTACACTGTATTTTATTTTTTCAGATAATTTTCATATGCACCACTGTTTTTAGTATTTTTACTACCTCTCTCAAGTAGTCATAGCAGGTATTAGACCCCATTTTATAAATAATTTGACTTTTCTAAAGTTACACACTACACATCGCTCAACCAAAAGTCAATTAAAAAGACAAATGTATTAAGCCTCTATTAATTGTTGGTTAACATGCTAAACCTGTTAGGGTATAAGTAATGCCCTTTAGCACTTGTTTCTTTATAGACATTTAGAAATTAAAAGGTAATTATTGCATGTTAAAACTTATGGAATAAAAGTTTACATATTACTATATTCCACTGTACTGTTAGGGGAAGAAAATTAATATTTATTTTAAACACCATCTGCCAATTTATTAGTGTTGTTTTAAGTCTTACAAATACTGAGAGTGGTTAATTTTATTTTATGCATGAGGAAGAAACTGAGACTCAGAAAATAAAATAATTTGTCAGAATTCACCTAACCAGTAAGTTCCAGAGCCTGTATCCAAGCTTAGGTCTTTCTGATTTAGTAACCACATCAGGCTGAACTTCCTGAATTTACATTAGCAGTTTAATACAAGAAATAAAGTTTAGCAGGGCCTCTTGAGCATAATTTTAGAGTTGACTTTTTGTTACATACAACATGTTATTGAGTGAGGAATACCGTTAGCATCCTGGTCTTCTAGTCCATAGAACATAAGAACCCAAAGGAATCTTAAAAGATCACACAGCCCAGTGTTCTCATTCTTTTACCTTCATATAGAACAGCATAGCAACCATAGTTGATGAAACTCCATCCTGTATCTCAAGTCATTCATTTGTCCATTCATTCAGAAGATATTTATGAGGGTGTACTAGGTGCCGGGTGTACAGTAGTGAATAGGATGACATGATCACAGTTGTTGTGGTTCTCACATTACTCACAGTGTGATAGAGGTAATAGAGATTACTCAGTAAGCACACACACAAATGTATAATTATATGCTGACACATAAATGCATTATTATATACTGAGCTAAGTACTCTAAAGAAGAACTTGTAAAAATTGAATTTGAACTAGACATTGAGATGGGGACGGCTAATGAGCTCTCTAGGATCTAAGTGAACTGGTGGCAAGAAGAGCTTTTCAGGCAGAGAAAGTAATACGTATTGTGTTCAAGAAACTAAAGGATTCTTATGCTAAAGCATATTGAGCACAATATAGGAAGGAAAAGCATGTGGTATGTGATGAGACCAGAGAAGGTTCGGCAAGGAGCACATGATGCCAAGTCTGGTAGGTCATGTTACAGATTCTTTCTCCTAAGAGTGTTTGGAAAACCACTTAAGGTTTTGGTTTGCTTTTGCTTATTTATTGTTCCCTTGGTATGAATGAACTCCCTGTCAATTTCTACATTGACAATCATAAGGAGGATGCCCAAAGGCCAAAAGGCATCCTCCTTATGACTGCTACCAAGATCTGTTCTTACCTAGCCACATGGCTTCTTAATACTCTGTCATCTTGCCCTAATTTTTATTTCCATATCTCAATCTATGAAACCCTGTTATAGTATATTGGGTTAGGAGTTTGGCATATATTTCTACTTCTTTGTCCCCCTCCCTCCTCTCTCGTGTATAGTTTTTCATACTTGCAAGTCTCTTCAATAAAGTAGTTATAGTTCACAGGGAAACTGTCGGTATAGAAGACTGTATACCATTTCCAAAGTTAATTCATATATTTAGTGATAATCCACTTAGACCAGTGTTACCCAGCAGAAGAACTCTTTACAATAATGGAAATGTTCTGTATCTTCACTGTCCAGTATGGTAGTTATGAAACCGTATATGCCTTTAGCACTTGAAATGTAGCCATTGCAATTAAGAAACTTAATTTTTCATATGAATTTAAATTTAAGCCGAAATGGGAGGATCACTTGAGGTCAGGAGTTCGAGACCAGCCTGGCCAACATGGTGAAACCTTGTCTCTACAAAAATACAAAAATTAGCTGGCGTGGTGGCACATGCCTGTAATCCCAACCAGTTGGGAGGCTGAGGCAGGAGAATCACTTGAACCCAGGAGGTGGAAGTTGCAGTGAGCCAAGATTGTGCCACTGCACTCCAGCCTGGGTGATGGACCAAGACTCTGTCTCAAAAAAATAAATAAAAATAAATTAATTAATTGAATAAAGTAAATTTAAATAACCATAGATGGCTAGTGGCTACCATATTAGCACAGATTTAGATCATTTTATATATATTAGCCCCACTATTAAGTTAAAATGAAATTATGCCTCTGACTCCAAAAACAGAAACTTATCTCTAACAATAAAAATCCATATTATAAGTTGCAATAGCTCTTTCCTTCTGAAAAGTACATTTTTAGGAGACCTCAGTTAAGAATCTTGAGGTTGATTTTGTCCTTTTGTCTACATATAATATTAATTGACTTCCCATGAAATCCTATACATTTCTGCTACCTGTAGTTCAACACTGTGGGTGAGAAAAGGGGGAATTAAGGAACAGTGAGAAGGAATTAGTGTGGAACTCTGCATCTGCAGAGATTTTGGTTTTAAAACCTCTTTCCTAAAGGTTTATTTTCCAGTCATTCTTAAAAAAAAAATTATTTCTACTCCACAGGGTTACCAACCACAACTGCTCTACTGTACTTGAAAGAGCACTGTACTGAGGGCTCAATAGGTGATAACTATTCTTGTTATCAGCAGTGCTGCGGTGAGGATTAAATGAAATAATATGCCACGCTTAGTTCCTAGACCTCTCTAAACTGCGTCTATGTCCTAGGGGGAGAACTGAATTTGGAAACCACATTCAACCCTTATGAATTGTGAGGACAGGCAATCTGCCTGTGTCTCTGAGCCTAGCCATTCTTTACAGTTGATCAGTTTTAAACTCTTCTGTGCTCCCTACTCCCAGATTTTTCTACCACTGTTAGTCTCTCCATGAAGCCCGTGTGGAACCTTGGCTCCAGTGTAAATACACATAAATAAATACCCATTCTCTTTCAGAGCATTTTTTTCTTCCTCTGCCTTTGCATAAACTTGACTCTGACTTTCAAGGATGCTACTTCCTGTGTTTCCTTGTTTGCTCATTTTTCACTAAAAAGTTATTAAGCAACTTTTATTTTCCATGTATTATGCTGGATTCTGGCAACACCAAAAAGAAAGAAAGAAAAGAAAAAGAAAACCAACCCTTCCATTATGCCCCCAAAACATGATAGTACTTGAAGGAAATGAAGGGGAAGTATATGGTTAAAAATACAAGATATGGAATCAGACAGACTGAATTCAAATTCTGATTCCAGTACTTGCTAGCTGTGTGAGCTTGAATGGTGACAGGACTATTTCATAAAATCGTTGTAAGAATTGAATGAGATAATTCATGTATGGCCATGAGAATGATAACCAGCACACAACTAACACTTATAGAGTGGTGATAGTGCTTTTACTGCAACTTTGATTACTACTTCTACCACATTTTCTAGCTGCTACCACTATTTCTGTTAGTGTTATTATCATTATCCTTTTCTCAAGGACCTCTGATTTATTATTAAGATAAAGAATCAACTGCAATATACGAATATAATAGCTTTAGTGGATATATCGGCAGAGACATTGGGATTGGAAAAGGAAGCATCTAAATCTGCCAGGGTGAGTTCAACAGGCTGCCCAAAGGAGGACGCCATTCGCCTCCTCTCATTCCTATAAACCCTAGGACACAGAGGCCACCATTTTCCTACAACATCATTGTCCCTTTCAGATTATTCCTTTTTTACTCCTGGGTAAAACTTTTTTTGTTGTTTGAGGTTCATACTACCATCTACCTTTCCTTATTTGCCCTCATTCGTACAGGACTTTGGCGCTTGAATTAGTCTTTCTTTCCTGCATCAACCTCAGCTATCCTAATTGGTGGCAACATGTGTAATGGTTGGAAGGGACGTGGGCTTTGGAATCAGGAGACCTAACTGAATTCCCGCTCTGCTGCTTAGTTATGAAGTCTTTGGCAAACCTCTTAATCTCTCTGAGCCTGTTTCTTTATTTGCAGAATGGTAATAATAACTGTCCCTAGAGTAGTTTAAGGATTAAATTGCCTTAGTAAGGGCTCAATGCATGTTGGGTACTCCTTTGACCAACAGTTGGATGGAATAGTACATGCTGGCACTTAGCACACTTTTTTTTTCCTCCTGGAATTCAACGTTCTTCATCTGACTGCTACTTGAGAAACTCCCCTGGCTACTCTTATATATAACCATCACCCAGAACTAATAGAGCTCTGAAATTTTGAATGGTATGATACCATTTTCTTACCACAACCTAATACTCTTTCAGCTTTTTTATCTTATGTTCACTACCTGTGTTCTTTAGGCTCATTAAGACTGCTATTTAAATTTGGATAAACTTATCCAAATATACTTTCACTCCCCTTTTTCTTAGACTTAGAGGAAAAGATCTCTCTTCTCCTGTCCAAGGCTAATTCATAACACCTATGCTTTTGATTGAAAGGTTTTTTTTCCTTTCCAAAAGTTTCTTTCATCATCCACTACATTTTGTAACCTCCCCTTTAATTTTCTTTAATGTGTTTTCTGTCTCTCATACTTTGAAAGCCAAACTTCTAGAAAGAATAGATTACAGTATAGTCCCTTCTGCTCCATCCTACCATGATATTATACTCCTGATTTCTTCCTACGTCACTTTTTAGAAACTTCTCTGGAAAAGTTCACCAGTGGCCCCTCCAGTTGTGTTTTCTCAGTTCCTGTCAGACTTGATTTCTCTATATTTAACACCAGTGACCACTCCCTTCTTAAAACGTTTCTTCATGGCCTCAGTGGTACCACTGTCTCTTGGTTGTTTGCTGCTCTGAACATTTATTTTTATTCTTCCTACCCAAATTCCACTAGAAAGAAGAAAAAAGATATAAACACACAATGACAAAGAAGGAACACTTCAGCAGATTAGAGATTTCAGCCAATTTCTAGAGCTAGAAAGCACTTGGAGATTTGTACCTAAACAGGCAGGTAGAATAAATATAAACTTAAGAGTCTGATGAAATAAATGCTGATTTGTCCCTCACAGGCCCTAGAAAATCTGAAAACTTCTAAATAGGGTGGGGCATGGAACTGAAATAGTATGTCTCAGTCAAGAAAGTAAATCTTTCTTTTCTTCAGAAATTTACTAATATGAGAAAAATAGACAAGATAGTAAACCTGTAAGTTTCCACCATGAGGAGACACTTGTATGATCATCCTGTGGGTAAACTTATTTGTTGAAAAAGCTCTTCTGATCAGTTTTGTAGTGCTTTTTAAATATTGAATAGATAAGTAAAGATCACCAGATATTTGAGGAAAGACTTCAGTATAAAGAGAGGAACAAACAGGAAAAAAGGACCTGCTCATCAAAAGATGCCATAGACAGATAATTTATAAACCAAGTAGAGTAAAATGTTAATAGTAGAATCTAGATAGTGGTATATGGGTATTCATTCTAAGATGCTGTTAACTTTATTGAATATTTGAACATTTTCTTCATACATTTTGAAGAAAAAGTGAAAGAAATGAAAAATAAAATGGGAGATTAAAATGGCGAAAGAAATCAAAAGAGATCTACAAAAATGAAGAGACTTCATGGTTCATAGGTTGGAAGATTCAACATAGTAAGGATGTCAGTTCTCCCCAAATTGATAATTAGGTTTAATGCAATTCTTATCAAAATCCCAGCAAGATTTTTTGTAGATATAGCAAAGATTATTTTAAAATGTATATGGAAAAGCAAAGGAATTTGAATCACAAAAACAATTTTTTTAAAAAGAACAAAGTTGTAGGAATTATCCTACCAGATTTCAGTACTTACTGTATAGCTACAGTATTCAGGACTGTGTGGTATTGGTAGAGGGATAGACACATAAATCAATGTAACAGAATAGAGACCCCCAAAAATAGCTCCCCCCGCACACACACAAGTATAGTCAATGGATTTTTGAGAAACGTGCAAAAGCTGTTCAATGGAGGAAGAATAGTCTTTTCAACAATATTTGAAACTAGTGTTCTGGAAAATTTCCTTTGAAAGAATGAAAAGAAGCTACACACTGAGAGAAAATATTTGCAAACCACATATCTAGCAAAAGACTAGTATCTAGAATATATAAAGACCTTTCAAAATGTAATAGTTATAAAACAGTTAAAAAGCAAAACAATCTAGTTAGAAAATGGACAAAAAACATGAACATCCATTTTACCAAGGAGGATACACAAATAGCAAATAAGCACACAAAAAGATGTTTAGTGTCATTATCTATTAGAGAAATGCAAATTAGGACCACAATGAGATATCACTACATATCTATCAGATTGGCTGAAGTAAAACATAGTGACAGCATCGAATGCCAATGAGGATGTGGAAAAACTGGATTACTCATACATTGCTGATGAGATTATAAAATGGTGTAGCCATTCTGGAAAATGTTGGCAGTTTTATGAAACTAAACATGTAACTACAATACTAACCAGCAATTGCACTCTTGGTCATTGATCCCACCGAAGTAAAAACACTGTTCATAGAAAAACCTCTACACTAAGGTTAACAGCAGCTTTATTCATAATAGCCCAAAATTGGATATAACTCAGAAGTCTTCCGATAGGTGAATGGTTAAACAAACTATGTTCACCCATGCAATGGAATACTGCTCAGAATTAAAAGGAATAAACTATTGATACATGCAACAACTTCTCTGACTTTTCAGAGAATTTTGCTGAGTTTAAAAGCCAATCTAAAAAGGTTACATCCTGTATCATACCATTTGTGTAACATTATTTAAATGACAAAATTATAAAAATAGAGAATGGGTTAGTGGGTTAACAGGGATTCAATGTAGGAGATTGAGGGTTGGAGTGAAATGGATATGGCTATAAAAGGACAACATGAAGGATCGTTGTAGTAATAAATTGTTCTGTATCTAGTCTGTATCAGTCTCAGTGTCTTAGTTGTGATGTTACACTATAGTTTGCAAAATATTATCATTTTGGGAAACGGGATAAAGGTGCACAGGATCTCTACCAACTGCACGTAAACCTACAATTATCTCAAAATAAATATTTCTTGTAAAGATTGATAAATCACTTAGCAGGCAAACAAAAAGACAAATTTTAGGAGGAAAAAAATAAGAAGAACTAACAGATCAGCTCAGGAGATCTGACATTTAATTATTAGGCATTCCAGAGAGAGAAAAAAAACAAAAACTAATTTTCTCATACTGGAGGACCCAGATCTCTAGATTGCAAGGTCTCACCCAACACAGTAAATGAAAAATGCTCACTACTAGAGAAATTAAAAACTTCTAACAGCATCCAGAGGAAAGAAATCCAGATCACATTCCAAACAACAAAAATAAGCATTTTTTGTTGGCCTATTGAAAACTTAAGAATATGAAGAAGAAAACAAACAAGCGGGAAAAAATCAACTCAAACAATACGCTTCTCAACCATTCTCACTATTTGAGTGAGTTCTTCAGCAAAAGGTGGAAATGAACTGAGAAGCTGTGGGATACAGGAAACAAGAGGTGCAGCAAAGGAGAGAAATGATGTGAACACCCAGTGAGAGCCAAGGAAGTTCCAGGACAGATCTAGAAAACAACAGCTGTGAGACCAAGTAGACAGAGGGCTTTGGGAGGAGATCACTGGAGGCTGAAGAGGAGGGAGGAGTAAGGGATGGGCATATTTTCAGATATTTTTTAATATTTGAAAACTAACAGTGATAAGAATAAGAATGTAATAAAGACAGGCTGGCAGGTATTTAGAAAAATTAAGAAGGCTGGCAGGTACATAGAAAAAATAGCAAAAACAAGACAAATATCAACTTTAGGAGAAACAAAAAGAAAAGCTTAGTAGCAGAAAGTATTCATGTAGTCATAATAATGTCTGTATTTACAATTGATTAATCAAAAAGATGCTATAATTGGAAATAGAGGGTTGGGAGTTAAAAAAGAGCTAAGTCTGACAATAGAAAGTCAGTACTTCACATCTAAAATCAATGAATTACAAGCTATTGGTATAACCATATTCTTTAGAAATATAGCATTAAACACAAAATGAAAAGACTAAAAGAGTTGACAGTGGTGTCTCTCAACAGAGCTTAGGAGTCAGGATAGATGGAACAAGAAATTGCTGTTTTTAATCCTTTTAGTTTTTTTCTTTTAAACTGTGCGAATGCGTTTAAGAAAAATGTTTGTCTTTAAATAAAAAAAAAAAAAAGGCACAATCCAAAACAGGGGAAATATCTTAGTCAAGCTGTCAGAGGAACTACAATGAAAGATTAATTAATTTGGTAATTAATCCAGGTGTTATTTACTAATACCAATAAATGTACATTCCCCCATCACTGGTGGAATTTGACCTGCCTAGAAGCATCACTATCACTATCTATGAGCTTGAGAAATTCTATATTAAGGCCTAAACAAGGCCTATTAATGTAGAGGCTGTTTGTTCCTGGTTTTAATACCACAGAGGCTAGAGAATGCAAAGAAGTCTTGGAGCGTCCCAGGAGATGTAAACCCTTTCTAGCCCCTTGCCCTTCTGCAGCGTGGTGTGGTGAAAACACACCTTATGCAAGTAAGCTAACATTTTGAGCCCTCATTTCTGTATTTGGAACATGAGCCTAACCTTGTAAGGATTTTATGAAGATGGGAAATAAAACATGTCACGTGCTTAGTACATAGAGGTACTTGGTATTATGGTTGTTGAAATCATAAATAGCATTAATAGTAATGTTAGTATCATTCCCTGTGATCGTGGGCCTTTAGTGATTGATTTGCCATAATACCTCTCTCAATCTCCTAGTCCTTGATGTTTACAGTTAGTTTTTTTATGCAGAATAATGCCAGAGGACTGGGCGCATAGCTAATGCTAACAACTCCCGTGGAAAAGGTATTGCCAGATACATCGGTATTAAGAGTCCCAGGGGCAGCTGAAGCAAAATGGGCTGGGCTAGGCTATGTGAGAAGGCAAGGCTTTGATGATGCAGTGACTTCTATATTTTTAATGTTGTTGAACTTCATTCTCAGCCAGAATCTAGGTTGTTATAACTGTGGAGGGAATAGGTCCAAGGTACCTCAGCTGATGCTGCAGAATTCATATCAAGGGCTTTGTGTATTGCTCCTGGGGGCATAGCTAGATAATGTAATATTGTTGTATTTTTAACATTTTTTTTATAACTCCAACAATCAAAGGGTCATAATGTGTTGTAATGATGCTATAATTAAGTTGTGGTAAATGATAGCATTTGTAGGTTTTATAACCAGAATTGATTCATAAAATGAATACAGTCCCAGCAGTTTATGTTAACATAATTAAATGGAAATGTAATTCTAACTCAGTTTGCTTATTAAATTGAAAATTACCAGGTTATGAGCACTTTTACAGTTCTGTCAAAATTGGTCTAAGTCTAGAATTACATGAAACATCCATTAAAATAAAGCATATTTAAGGCTGTGTTGCTGGTGACAAATTTCTTAAAGCACATGCGGCTCGATCATGTGAGAGCACGTGCTTTTAGTTAGGTTCCCTCTAACTGCCTTTTTCTTTCCTCTGCAGCCATTGGTTTAGCCCTGGGGCTAGGACAGAGCATGACCAGGTAAGGACCATTGTAATCCAAAAGGAAGTTACTCAGCCTCTTTCAAGTATTTAACTGTCTCCCTTCAGGAGAGTAGATCAGCTTTATGAGAAAAAATACAAATCCCCGCTCATTTTAAAAGGTGTTAATTATGTCAACGATTAAATACACTGACCAAATAAATGCGTGATCCTTAATCAGCATGAGAGTTTTCTTTCCTTTACTGCCACTGTCTTCAGTCATACTTGTGACCTCCATGGAAAGACTCTGAAACTCACTCATTTGTAGGACCTCACTATTGATCTTTATTTTTCACAAAGTTAAGGTATCAAAACAGTACATGTGCTTAAAAATTAATTTGTATTAAATCTAAGTTCAGCCAGGAAGAGAATATTTGTATCTGAAGTTTGGAAGGTAGGAAGAGTTTCTTATACTTTTACATTATATTTCTAGATGAATTTTTTTAAATTTCTTACTGGTATACATGGCAGCACAATGATTAGTTGACTCAGTGAGAAGTTGACATTCATTACAGTTATTTTTACATGTAAAATCAGCAGTTACCCCTTGATTATATTAGTTCTTTCTCGGAAGCATGCTTAAACTTGTGATGTTTTAAAACATATACATTTTAGAGTTTGCATCCTTGCAAAGTTTTTATCTTTTATTGTGAATGATAAAAGTTATTTTTAAAATAAAGGGGAGTGGTCAACCTCAAATCTTCAGGAATCATTTCTTCTGAGGGGTAGGCAGAGACTTAGGTAGTAAAGAGGACTTTGTGCTTTAATGGTAATTGGTAACATTATAATGTTTGATTTCTTGGGCTGAGCAGCAGGTTCACAGCTGTTGCATATACCAGAGTTCCTTTTACTAATAAAAGGAAGGTGCTACACACTTCATTTTGAACCCTTCTTTATTTTTTAACACACATAAGCTTAATAGAAATACCTTCCATTTTCATGATTTTTTAACTTGCTTTTTTCCATGAGAGTGAGTTACATTTTAAAGATACTTCTCACATTAATAATGGACTATGTGCCACTATTTCTATGAATTCAGAATGAACTAAGCTAAGCTACATCTATGATGTGTTCCTCTTATTATTTACAATACAAAAATTAGACTTTCTGCTTTCCTAAATGGTTCTTATCCCTCTATGTACAATGCTTACAATAATATTCCGCTTTTAGTATTAAGTTGCATCAGGATATATTTTATCTGAAAATACAATTTTATAAAGCTCATTTTCTACCCTTTAGAACTTGAGAAGTACTAAAGCAATGTTATAAATCTAGGTTTTAGACTATGGTATACCTGGTTGCTTCCAGCCAAGCTTTATTCTGAAATTAAAAATTACCTTTAATAGCTAATACCTTATAGGGAAGAAATTGACCAATTTTTTTTTATCTTTTTAAATCTTTTTGACCAATTTTTGAGTCAGCTTTTACTTAAACTTTGATGTGCCATTTCAGATCTGTATCCTTACTAGGTAGATTATTAATTAATAAATCCAGTTAATTCTTGTTACATATGGTAGTTATGTTCTATGTAGTCAACTCAAACACTGAATCAATGAATACTGAACCATTGCTTGTAGGGGAAATACAGGGTTAGGTTTCTTTGAGCCCCAGGTCTCATCTTCATCAACTGATCAATACATAACCTTGTTTTGTGTGTGATTCTGTTTAAAGATACCTTATTTAATGTCTGTTGTTGATTCATTAACATCGAACTCAGGGCCAACAGCATTATAACTCATGCCTGAATGAAGCTTATCTAAAGCACATATTTTCTCTTTAAGACCCATCACTGTCTTCTTGCAGTTAGGAACACTAGACAGCACTTTAGCACTATGCTTGGGGCCATTTTAAATAGCGAAGTCACCAACAGAAGCACAATTATGCAAAACAAACAAACAAACAAACAAAAAACCCAAAAAACTCATAGCATTAAACAGACTGCAAGAAATACACTTGTTTATACTATGAGAGCTTGAAACAAGGCCGTGTCACCTGGCTGGAGCTCAGCTGGAAACGTGTTAGAGGCTACTCAGATTTTTACCACTCTGGCTACACATGTCTGCAAATGACTGCAAAAGCAGGGGAAGTATTGGTTTTTGTGTTACAAATAAATGTTAGCAAGTAGGTGTATGGAATCTGAATAATGACAATGAATTGTACATGTATGTATATGTACAATACATTCTACTTACATAAGGGATAATAATTTCTTAGTTCAACTCAGACCTAACTGTATAGCAGACTAAACTGTTGTCTAAAGTCAGGTGCAAGTGGTGAAATGCAAGACCATGAAGTATAAAATCTTTTAGTTTATTGTTGAAGGAATGACTAATTAGCATGCATGATTACCTTATGCTTTTCTCATACCAACTTAACACAAAGAAACAATAATATTAACCCTACTTTTAAAATCCCATCTCTCACTCCTTTCTCCATCTTATTGATTCTTCTTTCTTGCTATTCTTCAGTGCTAAGTCCCATTTCAATTTACTATACATAGTGATCGTGCCTTTACTATACATTTGTTAAATAACTTACTCACCAGCCACTATCTATTGAGGACTCTCTATTTTTATTAAAAGAGTTATTTGTAAAAAACAACATAGTTTTTCCCCTGAGGTGGTTATAGTCTGGAGCAGGTAAGCAGTAATTATACTATGTTGGTAAATGTTTCAGAAAACCATAGAGAAGGCACTATGAAGGCCACGAAAGAGAAATGTGAAAGTTAGTTCAGGGGTGGAAGGAAAGAGGGAGAGGCAACTATAGGAAGCATCATTTTTTGTTTTGTCTTCTTTAATTCTGAAGCTTTTCTTCCTTGAGACATTTTGACTGAGTTTACAAGAAGTATCTTAGTGAGTCAGATCATAGTTTAGTTTTTACTTAGTTCCCCTTTTAATTTTGAGGACACTGTTGAGTGTGAAGAGACTTGAAATTATTTTGCAGACATTTGAGGAATTACCTGAACAGTGGCTGCCAATAGAAGCACTCCTGAGCTTGAGTGCCTTATGTATAATCAGGTAGTAAAGAGAGGATTGGTGGGGAATGAGAATTCTGCTCTTTGCCTTTCCTCTTGGGATGTGAGACTTTTAATAATCTTGAAAAATGTCATGAATAGCCACAGAAACTCTTAGTTCCTTTTCTTTAAATGTAAAAACCATTATCCACAAGGTATACTTTTCTTCCTGGTTTAATTCAGCAGTTTTTCCAATTGTACCTAGGTTTTTTACTTACAGATTTTAATGTAATTCTTATATGAGTTATTTTTTAATATACATCTGCAGGTCACTAATAAGGGGATTGTATCTTCGTTTGGCCTAAGTCCAGCAATCTGAAAGTTGGAAGGTAAGAAGCACTTCGCACCATATTCACAAGTTCTGTTTTTGATCAGAGTTGACATTATTGAGTCAGAATCCAGAAAGCAACCTCACTTGTGACACTGATAGGAGTCCAAGGGAACAGAAAAAAAAAAATGTATCAAGAAGAAGAATGAAAAAATTTTCAGAGTCTTTTGAGCTGCTCTTGCTTATTAGAGCAGGGATCAAGGATTCTTGTTTGTTTTGAATTCATAATCTGACTTTAAAAAAAAATATGTTGGGAGTCTTCTTTTTTTTTTGAGACAGAGTCTCACTTTTTCATCCAGGCTGGAGTGCAGTGGCGCAATCTCGGCTCACTGCAACCTCCGTCTCCCGAGTTCAAACGATTCTCATGCCTCAGCCTCCCTGAGTAGCTGGGATTAATTACAGGCGCCTGCCACCATGCCCGGCTAATTTTTCTATTTTTAGTAGAGACAAGGTTTCGCTATGTTGGCCAGGCTGGTTTCGAACTCCCGACTTCAGGTGATCCGCCCGCCATGGCCTCCCAAAGTGCTGGGATTACAGGCGTGAGCCACTGCACCTGGCCAGGAGCCTTCTAAATGCAAATACATGTTGTTCAAGTAACACCTTAGATTAATTTTTTCATCTTTGCCCCATAAAAGATCTAAGCTCACATATTAACTTGTGATTCATGACCCAGAGATCTCTGTAGTTTTATCTGAGCTTCCTTTTGAAGTTGCAGTGGTATCCCCAGATGTATAATTGTACTGATAAGGTGAGATAAGTTTGTGATGGGTTTTATACATATAGATGCATTGCATTAAGTAATGCCATTGTTTGACTTGTTTTTATGTACAAAGCCCATCAAAACTATACATTTGAGGAAGAAAACACATTATAATATAAATCTAATAAAAGGAGCTATAACATCAACGTTCAGAGAGGGTGCTATCTCATTTAAATTCATCCAGATTGGTGGCCTCTCTGAGAACTATCGAAACCTAGTAGATACAACCTAATGTTTATTTTGGTCCTTATAATTGCATTTTTCAAAACTAAACTATAAATTTTTTATTTTTTTTTCCATAACATTTGGTTTGGGATTTTGAGTTCTTTGTTTGAACTGTTGTAACACAAGCCTCAGGAATAGTGTTCAAGTATCTGTCTTTTATCTTAGAATTAGAAAACATAATTAACTATTAACTATTATTATTAATTTAATGTAGAGGTAGAGATTTCATCATCTTACTTCTAGCTATCTGTGTCACAAATGTTGGTTTGTATATATATTTTTTAAAAGGCACTAGACTTAGAAATGCCAAAGTAATTAATTTTCTTTATTTTCAGAAACAATTTAGTGTTCATGGTACGAAGTGTTTCTAAATTGAAACACTTTCAGATTAATGGATTTAAGATAACTGGTTGCTCTTTTCTATAAGTAGTAATAATGAGATATGGCTTCAGCTACATATCAGATACCAGATCTCACTTCCTGTTCCTTTATTTCATTCATCCATTCATTCAGCAAATATTTGCTGAGCACTAAAATGCTCCAGACACAGTGCATGAACCCTGAAGATATAGGCAAATTGCATAACCCAAGCAAAGGGCCAGAGATGAGCAACAGCATGGTACATACCCCAAACTAAGAACTTCACTATGGCTAGGATATATAATTTAGAAGAAAGAAGGTTAGGTTGGGGTAGGAGGAAGCATAATAAATTATGAATTTAGAGATGTAATCAAATTATGAAGGGTCATGAAAGCCTTGTACAAGATTTTGAGTTTGATCTCCATAGAGTCATATAATTAGATTAATTTTAGAAAGCTCATAGTGTCTGCAGTGTGGAGAGTAGATTAGAAGGAAGCAGGCCTGGAAGCAGGGAGATCATTTGGGAGACTTTTCCAGGACAGAGAAAATGGTGGTCTAAACTGGGATGGTTGCAAGGGGGATGAAAAGAAGTAGATATTTAAGAGAAAATTTAAGAATACTTATTTAGTTCAGACGTTCCTGAAAGAATGAGCCTAACCATATTCTTGATCATCTAAGGAAGGTCTATTCCTTCTCAAGGACAGCTAAGTAAACTAATAATTGATTCTAAGTGATGTAATTGAACAGTTCAAAGCAGTTATTCGTCATTAGAAATTATTGATACTGGTCAGATAATACCTACTGAGAGCTAGTCCCATTAATTTTCATCATAATTATAATCATAGCATTTAAGCCATATTATTTCTCAGCATTTCCTATGTTCCAGTTTTATAGCACTGAATATTTTAAATGGTTTATATTACTTAATACTCACAGTAGCTTTACAGGTAGATATTATTGTTATTTCCATTTTACAGGTGGAGACCAAGGCTTAGAGAAGTTAAGTACTTTGCCTAAAGTTACACAGGTTGTAAATGGTAAAGC
This sequence comes from Homo sapiens, assembly GCF_000001405.40. Lineage (NCBI taxonomy): Eukaryota > Metazoa > Chordata > Mammalia > Primates > Hominidae > Homo > Homo sapiens. Next base: position 217,492,626 of record NC_000001.11, on the reverse strand, counting down.
TATTATTGGAACCTAGTGACTTTTTAGTTACTGGCCCAGCTGGGATTAGAACCCAGCTCTATCCTGTATTATTATTTCCAAGACTTTTATTTTTGTTGGGGTTAATTGCTAATATTCTGTACAACTTCGTTTTAGCCCAGTCTTGCATATAATCATATTTTCTGCATAAATAAGATAAGCTAGAGTTTGAGTGAGCACATAGTGAAGAATATTGACTATTTGTTTTTTTCTTTCCAATTAGTTAGGGTAAAGCAAGTGTAAAGGGAAGTGGATGGTAAGGCATTTTGAGGAGGCAATCAAATATGTTTTTTTCTAATTATATATTTCCAAGCCAATAATTTCTTTGAAGAAGAATGTTTTAAGCGTGTTTCTTTACCATGTTAGGCCAGTAGGTACAGAGAAAATAATATTAGCTCTTTATGTCAGCATAGGTAACAAAGCCTTAAAAAATTCACAGCTGAATGCAACAGTGAAGGCCGTTGACAAGAGAGGTTGCATTACTTCAACCAGGGCTACTGCAGTGAACCAAAAAAAGAACTGAGTTCTAGGCTTCCATCTCCAGGCTACATCTTAACTGACTAAGAGGGCAGTTTAGCTGTCCAGGAAGAACTCGATTGCTAACTCTCACTGATAATTTTGCAACAGTGACAATAAAGAATGAATTTTAAAAAGAAAAACTTGTCTCCCTGAACTATTGAACTCCAGAAAAAGTAGTACTTACAGTCTTTGCTTTAAGAGAAACCAGTTAAAAAAAAAAAAAAAAAGCCGTGCAAATAAATGAGTAGTGTCCCTTTGAATGAGAATATTTTCCTACTTGCAAAATAATATAATGAAAATATTTTTGTTTCTATGACTTTGTCTTAACACTTTGTGTAGCATCAGCTTCTGAGAGATAATCGAGCTGAAAGAGGACACAAGAAAAATTGTTCTGTGAGAACAGCCAGCAGGTAAGCAATTCAAAATCGCTTTTTATTCATTCATTTTCTTTTTTTCTATGCCTATAAGAATGTAATGAATTGTTGTTAGGTTGCCTTTGGTTCTAAAAAGTCACCTTAAAATATTTTATGTATTGTTTATTGGAATCTATTTTAGGATTACGAGCAATGAATAAAAAGATATTTTATTTATATTTTTTAAACTTGTAAAAAATAATTAATTTTTAAAATAAAATATTTATCTCCCTTAATTACTGAATTTTAGATCAGCATTTACACTAATAATTCATTTTTAATCTAAAAAATTGGCTTAATCTCTTTCCCTAAACTTAAGTGGCATTTAGACCTTATGAGAGAGAAATATGTGTATTCTAATAACATATAAATGAGTAAAGACTGGGAAGAAAGTAGTCTCTTTTAAAGAGTGCTTTTATAATCTTGTTCATTTTTTCCAATGTTAGTTTTTTCCATAATACAAAGAATTTCTCCCAGTTTGTTTTTTAGACAATATATTTTCAAATTGTGCAAATGGTGTTTCTGAAGACTTAATTTTTGTTTAGATGAAAATGGCTACCCTTCTTGTCAGAATGTTGATTAGAAAAACTGCCCTGATATTTACATTTATTTTATTCTTAAGAACAGATAACTGACCTCAGCAGCCACCATTGCATCCCATGGCTTCCCAGTGCTAGTGTGCTATCCACTGACTTTAACATTCCCAAGTAACCAAAATACAGCTTCAAAGTGCCATGTCATGCAGACTAATGCCAACTGAGATCCCACTGGGTATCTGCAGAAGCAAATGCAAATCCTACCCAGCATACCTAATTTAGACAATCAAAAATCACCAAACACAAAATGGGATAATTCACCATCAGTGATAGTCAACATAAATGACTAAGAGATTTTCTCCTAAGATTGCCAGATCCTAAAATTGTAAGATATAGATTATAAAATAACTATGGATGAGATGTTTATAGAAATAAAATGAGCAAGCAACAAAACACCATAAAAATGAATCAATAAGAAGTGAAAAATGTATATAATTTTTAGAAATGAGAAATGTGATTGTTCAAGAGATAATTAGTGAAAGGAAAGATACATCTGAAGAATGAGCCAGAATATAGTATAAAAATTCAAGGAGATGGAAAACTGAAGGAGTACTTAAGAGACAAAGAAGATCTGTGATACAATCAATCATAGTCCTTGAGGAAAAGAATGGAACAGCTGAAAAAAACATGAAATTTGATGAGATGGTCGCTAAGAATTCCCCAACCTGGTAAAAGTTATAAATCCATAGATACAGATACAAAAAGCACAGTGAATAACATGCACGATAAATAAAACGAAATCCACACCTAATAATATACCATAGTAGACCAAAAGCAAAGACAAATGTTAAAAGAATCAAGAGAAAAGGCAAATTATCTACAAAGGAATGACAATGATATATCAGATTTCTCAGTAGCATCGGTAAGGCCAGAAGACAGTGCAATCATCCTCATTGCGCTGCATGAAAATAAATTGTCAACCTGGAACTATGTACCTGGAAACCCATCTTTCATGTACAAAGATGAAGTAAAATAAAGATTTTCAAAAACGAGGAATATTTACAGACCTTTGCGAAGAAGTTTTAAAGGGTGTATTTCATAAAAGTCCCAAGGAAGTTCTGAGATGCAAGAATGAATAACGAGCCAATATACTGATTAAAATGTTTATATAAATAATCATTGCTTCTATAAAGTGATAATTGTAATAATGTAATTTGTAGGACTTTTTAAAAAAAATTTCTTTAATTTGAGACGGAGTTTCTCAATTCTTTTTTATTTGAGACGGAGTTTCTCTCTTGTTGCCCAGGCTGGAGTGCAATGGTGCGATCTCCACTCACTGCAACCTCCGCCTCTCGGGTTCAAGCAATTCTCCTGCCCCAGCCTCCCAAGTAGCTGGGATTACAGGCATGTGCCGCCACACCCGGCTAATTTTGTATTTGTAGTAGAGACGGGGTTTCACTATGTTGGCCAGGCTGGTCTCAAACTCCTGACCTCAGGTGATCTGCTTGCCTTGGCCTCCCAAAGTGCTGGGATTACAGGCATGAGCCACTGTGCCCCGACAATTTGTAAGACTTAAAGGCAATCTAAAACAATGGACAAAACAAACAAACAAAAAAGAAAATAAATAAAAGAAAATAAAATAATGGACAGCAATAGCGTGTTAAGTTTGCAGGGTTGGCGATTATAGTTAAAGTCCAATGTAAGGTCCTTGAATTGTTTAAGATGTCTACTTCATTAGTCAGTTAAGCATTTGATACTTGATAAGACTACATTAAGTATTCATTGGTAAAATATCTAAATAACTACTAAGTCAATAGAAAGAGAGTATATAATTGCCAAACCAGTGGAAGGGGGAAATGTAATTAAAATATTGCCCCCGTCAAATAATCCATTTTTTAAAAATGGATTAATTAACTATTTAAAAATAGTTAATTCCAGCACTTTGGAAGGCTGAAACAGGAGGATTGCTTGAGGCCAGGAGCTTGAGACCAGCCTGGGCAAAATAGTGATACCCTCCATCTCTACCAAAAAAAAAAAAAAGTGAAGAGAAAAGAAAAAGCATTGAGAAAATAAGATACATAGAAAGCATAAAATTAGACAATTGAATCATACACATAAACACACACACACAGATCAGTAATCACAGGAAATATTTATGGTTGGCTGCTCGAAGAGGCCCACACCTGTTAAGCCACAGCACTTTGAGATTACTTGAGACAAGGAGTTTGAGACCACCATGGGCAACATGCAAGACTCTGTCTCTACAAAAAAAAAAAAAATTTTAAATAGTCTATGGCGGTGCATGTCTGTAGTCCCAGCTACACAGCAAGCTGAGGCAGGAGGACTACTTGAGCCCAGGAGTTGGACCTTACAGTGAGCCATGATCATGCCACTGCACTTCAGCCTGGGCAACACAGTAAGACCCTGTCTCAAAAAAAAAATAGTTTTTTAAAAATTAAAATAAAATAAAATAATTTATGATTAAACATGTCAGTTAAAAGCAGAACTAATTAGGTTGGACTTACTGGAAATATCCAGTATATGTTCTTTATAAAAGACACACCTGAAATATAATGACAGGGAAGGGTGGAAAACTAAAGAAGGAACAGGATATATGCTAGATGCATTATAAAGAAAGCTCTCATACCAAAGTGATTTAGGAAAAAAAACTTTACCAAGTTTTAAAAAGTCATTATTTTAGGATAAAAGATTCAGTGTATAGGCACTCAAATAACCTCAAAATGTATAAAGCAAAGAGCAATAGGAGAACATGGAGAAACTTACTAACCCACCATCATAACACTGCTATTATTGATAGCTTAAGCCACCCAGAAAATTTATAAATGGAAAATTTCTGTAACACAAAATTAGCAAGCTGAAATTAGTAATATTATATAAAACCTTGCATCCAAACTGGTAGTAAAAACACATTCTTCTCAAAGACACATACAACACTTACAAAATTAATCACTTACCAGGCCATAAAGCTAGTATCAACAAATTTCAGTGAATATGGATCATAAAAAATATATTCCTTTACTGGAATGTGATTCAGTTAGAAATCAGTACCAAATTTTTTTTTTTTAAAGGTTACAGTTAAAGGCTGGGTGCGGTGGCTCACGCCTGTAATCCCAACACTTTGGGAAGCCAAGGCGGGTGGATCACGAGGTCAGGAGTTCGATACCAGCCTGACCAACATGGTGAAACCGCGTCTCTACTAAAAATACAAAATTAGCTAGGCGTGGTGGTGTGCTCCTGTAATCCCAGCTACTCAGGAGGCTGAGGCAGGAGAATCACTTGAACCCAGGAGTCGGAGATTGCAGTGAGCCTAGATCACGCCACTGCACTACAGCCTGGGCGACAGAGTGAGACTCAGTCTCCAAAAAACATAGGTTACAGTGAAAAAGTGCACTTCTGGCCGGGTGCAGTGGCTCATGCCTGCAATCCCAGCACTTTGGGAGGCCGAGGTGGGCGGACACCTGAGGTCAGGAGTTGGAGATCAGCCTGGCCAAAATGGTGAAACCCTGTTTCTACCAAAAATACAAAAATTAGCCGGGCTTGGTGGCCCCTGCCTGTAGTCCCAGCTACTTGGGAAGCTGAGCCAGGAGAATCGCCTGAACCCGGAAGGCGGAGGTTGCAGTGAGCCAAGATTGGGCCATTGCACTCCAGCCTGGGCAACAAGAGTGAAACTCCGACTCAAAAAAAAAAAAAAAAAGAAGTACTCTTCCAAGCAACTCATGTGTCAGAAGCAACTATATTAATATCAAGACATGTGGATTGCAATTAGATGGTAATTGGAGGAAATTCTACTGCCTTAAATGTTTATTTATATTAGAAATTCGGTCCCAGCTCCTGTTACAATCAAGTTTCTGAACTACAGGATTACTGCCACCTCCCTGAAGATCAACCCAGCAGAAATTTAGAAAGAGAAAATACATAGGAAACTTCAAGAAGCCCTTGGTATTATAGGTGCTATCTTAAACTTGTGTATGTAAAGCAGGGTGGCTTTGACTTGAGACAGGAGGCAATCCAGCCTGGCTGAGGGAAAATAAAATATGAAATACAGGGAGAATAAAATATGAAATACAATTCTGTACTGTTTTATCATTGGCCATTGCCTTGGGAGAACTGCTGCCTGCCCCACACAAAGACTCAGACCTCTGGTCTAAGTGTTTTCTGAAATAAACTCAGTAGTTCACAGTGCTGTTTTTGAGGAGCTTCATGGAACTAGGTGAAAGATTATCATGTCCTTGCTGCAGCCCCTCTAAAACCCAGTGCTGAAGAATTAGTCCTGCTCCTCTCTGGGAGTGAGAAGAGGGAAAAGGTATTCTCCTAACCAAAGGGGTTATTTCATGGGATGGGGTGTGATGACTGTGGTTTTCCGGTGCCAGAGCCTCTCCACTCTAAGGCTCACAACCCCAGTTGCTTTCCACATGCCATTGCCTGACAGACTAGCCAATATTCTCAGAGGAAGATGAACTCATAGGCTAAGACAAGACGTTTGAAGAGGCCAGGCAGAGTAGCTCACACCTGTAATCCCAGCACTTTGGAAGGCCAAGGCGGGAGGATCACTTGAGCCCAGGAGTTCAAGACCAGCCAGTGCAACATAGTGAGACTCTGTCTCTATAAAACATTTAAAAACTAACTGGGCAGTCGAGGCTGCAGTGAGCCATGATCATGCTAGTGCACTCCAGTGTGGGCAACAGAATAAGACCCTGTCTCAAAAAACAAAACAAAAAGAAAAAAGACATTTGACAAGAACAGCCTTTTCAAAAGAAAAACAATCGATTGGATTACAGATTCCAATAGAAGCAGAAATGTTAGCACAAGAGAGTCAACAAAATTCTAATTAGCATGATAAATATTAATCAAAATAGATATAGGAAGATATTAACAATATGAAGCAAGAAAAAGAACACATAATCAAGAACCAGATATTTATTTAGGTCTTAAGATCTGCATAACTGGAGAGATACACCTTGTTCATGGGTCAGAAGACTCAATATCTTAAGATCGGTTTTCTTCAAATTGTCTATGGATTAAATACTATCTAAATCAAAATCCCAGCAGGCAATTTTATAGAAATGGATAAGCTAATTCTAAATTTCATATGGAAATGCAAAGGACTTAGCCCAAACAACTTTCAACAAGAAAAATAAAGTTGAAATGCTAACACTACGTTATTTGAAGACTTTATTATAAAGCTATGTTAATTAAGACAGTCTGGTACAGTCATGCACCACATAAGGACATTTCAGTCAGTGACGGATCACATATATGACAGTGGTCCCAGAAGATTACAATACCATATTTTTACTGTACCTTTCCCATGTTTAGTTATGTTTAGATACACAAATACTTACCACCATATTACAGTTGCCTACAGGATTCAGTACAGGTTTGTACCCTAGAAGCAATAGGCTATACCATAGAGCCTAGGTGTGTAGTAGGCTACACCATCAGGTTTGTATCCTTGTCATTAATTGATGCCTGACTACATTTATATGAAGATAGAAAAACAGATCATTAGAGAGAAATAGAGGTCAAGAAATACAGCCACATGTGCACAGACAACTAACTGATTTTCACCAATTTACAAAGTCAGTGGAGAAAGTTTGACAGTCTTTTCAACAAATAGTACTGGATCAAGTATATTGTCATTTGCAAAAAAAAAAAAAAAAGATATTCAACCCACACCTAACACCGTACACCATGTAATGGTTAATTTTATGTGTCAATTTGACTGGGCTAAGAGATGCCCAGATAGCTGCTCAATAAATATTTCTGGGTTTGTCCGTAAGGGTGTTTCTGGAAGAGACTAGCATTTGAATCGGTAGACTGAGTAAAGATCTCTCTTATGCAGATGGGCATCATACAATCTATTAAGGGCCTGAATAAAACATAAAGGCAGAGGAATGGCAAATTTATTTTCTCCTCTTGATCTGAGAGATCCATATTCTCTTGCCCTCAGACATCAGCACTCCTGTTTCTTGGGCCCACAAACTCAGATGAAGTCTTACCCCATTACTCCCTAGCTTTCAGCTGAATTACTCCACCAACTTTCCTACTTCTCCATTTTGCAGACCACAGATTGTGGGACTTCTCAGCCTCCATAATCACATGAGCCAATTTCTATAGTAAATATATTTATGTGTATATACCACATAGAAAACTTAACCCACATGGATAACAGACCTAAATGTAAAACCTAAACATATAAAACCTCAAGAAAACACAGGAGAAAATCTTTGCAACTTTGGTGTATTTATAGGCAGGGTTCTTCAGAGAAACTCAGTTCATATAAGTAAATATATATATCTATATACACATATACATATATATCTATATGGGATATAGATATATATCCATCCTATATATACCTATACCTCCTATGTATTTATATACATATGCACATATATCACCTCTATGCACACATATATACACATATATGTTCATATGTGTATACACGTGTATATATAAGTATATGTGTGTATATATGTATACACGTGTGCATATGCATGTGTATGTGTATACATATATATGCACACGTGTATATGTGCATCATATATATATATATATATATAAATAATTATATATAGAAAGATTTATTTGAAGGAATTGGCTCACACAATTATAGAGACAGAGAAGTCCCAAGATCTTCAGCTGACAAGCTGGAGACTCAGGAGAACCAGTGGTGTAGATCTAGTCTGAGTCTGAGGGCCTGAGAACCAGGAAAACCTGTGATGTAACTTCTAGTCTGATAGTCGACAGACTCGAGACCCAAGAAAAGCCAATTTTTTAGTTCCAATCCAAAAGCAGGAAACTGATGTTCAACCTGAGTAGTCAGGTAGGAAGAGGTACCTCTTACTCATCCTTTTTGTACTCATCCTTTTTGTGTTCTAAAAAACAATTGATTAGAAGAGGCTCACCCACATTTAGGAGATAAATCTACTCAGTCTACCAATTCAAATGTTAATCTCATCTGGAAACACCCTCACAGACATAGACACAATAATATTTGACCAAATGCCTAGGCACCTCATGACCCAGTCAAATTGACTTGGTATGTTGGTTAAAAGTAACCAACATATGTTGGCTTCAGCAAAGATTGCTTTGATAAAACTTCAGAACACAATCCAGGAAAGAATAAATTGATAAATTGGAATTTATGAAAATTTAAAACTTATGTTCTTCAAATGACACTTCAGAAAATGAAAAGCCACAGACCTGGAAAAAATATTTGCAATCACATATCTTATAAAATATTTATATCAAGAATATGTAAACAACTCTGAAAACTCAGTAATAAGAAATCAATCCAATTAAACAATAAGGAAAAGTTTGACTGGACACCTCACCAAAGAAGATATGTAAATGGAAAATTGCATATGCAAAGATGTTAAACATCATTACTCATTAGGAAAATGGAAAGTAAAACCACAATGAGGTATCACTCACAACAATTAGAATAGCTAAAATAACAAAATGAATGTACTATATTACATTCTGGAAACCAGTTTTGAAGTTTCCTAAAATGTTAAACATAGACCTACTATGCATTCCACGTGAATACTTAAAAGACTTGTACACACCACACCACTGCACTCCAGCCTGGGTGATAGAGCAAGACCCTGTCTCCAAAAAAAGCAATGGGGGGTCTAGGCACAGTGGCTTATACCTGTAATCTCAACACTTTGGGAGGCCAAGGTGGGAGGACTGCTTGAGCTCTAAAGCTCAAGGCCATCCTGGGCAACATAGTGAGATGCCATCTCTACAAAAAGTAAAAATATTAGTCAGGCATGGTGGCGCATGCCTATAGTCCCATCTACTCAGGAGGCCAAGGTAGGAGGATTGCTTGAGCCTGGGAGGCAGAGGTTGCAGTGAGCCAAGATTGTACCACTGCACTCTAGCCTGGGCGACAGAGACAGAATGAGACTGTCTCAAACAAACAAACAAACAAAACAAGATTGGTATACAAATATTTGTAGCATCTTTATTCATAATAGTAAAAGCAAAAAGGAAACAACCAATATATACTAAAACTTCGACAGAGAGTATATGGATAAACAATGTTGGTATATCCATACAGTGGAAAGCAATTCAGTCACCAATAAAAAGGAATGAAGAATTGATACACATAACACATTTATGTAAAATTCTAGGAAACATAAACTACTACATAGTGAAAGAAAGCAGATCAGTTGTTGCCCAGACATGGGGTGAGGACCAGGGGGATGTGGGAGGAAAGGGCTACAAATGGGCATGTAGAAACTTTTGGGATGATAGATATGTTCATTATCTTGATTATAGTGATGGTTTCACGTGTGTATGAATGTGTCAAAACTTATCAAATTGTATACTTTAAGGATTTGAAGTTTATGTATGTCAGGCACCAGGATGATAGGGAAACTGTCAAAACTCTTCAAACTATTTTTTTTTAAATAAAATCTTTAGTGGCTTTCTCTTTCATTCCAAGTAAAAACTGAAGTCTTTTCTTTTTGGCCTACAAGACTATATGTGATGTGACTCACCCCTTGTGGCTTCCTCCCTGACCTCATCTCCTCCCACTTCAACTCTTATTCACCGTGAGCTCCAGACACACTGGCCTCTTAGTGGTTGCTCCAGCACACCATCCACACTCACATCTCAGGGCCTTTGCACCTGCTGTTACCTCTGCCAGAACACTCTGTCTACAAGTACCCATATGGCTTTCTCCTCATTTCCTTCAATTCTCTGCTCAGTGTAAGGTCCACTGTCCACCAGTACCATCATACCCTGTCCCCTCTCCCTGCTTTATGTGTCTTCCCTATTGTCTCTATTTTTCCTCTTTTTAAGCTTCGTGAATACATGGTCTTTGTTTTACTCACTCATGTAGCCCCAATACCAAAAACAGTGCCTGGCGCTATTAGGCAATAAATGTTTGTTGCATAAAATATTTGTAGAATAAATTTAAAATGAAATCTAAGGAGTAGAGTACACTGATTAAGTGCGTAGGCCCTGGAACTGAGGTGCCTGACTTCCAATTCCAGTTTAATCACTTACTAACTGGGTGATCCTGAGCAAAATACTGACCCTCTCTCTCTCTCTCAGTTTACTTATCTATAAAATAGAGAAAATGGTAGTACCTACCTCATAGCATTGTTGTAAGGAATAAACAATAACAAATAAGTGGATGTTAGCTGTTATGATGACTGTATTATTATTGTTTCTATTTTTCCTGTATGTTTCCTAAGCACTTGGTTTTGTTTTGTTTTTTGTTTGTTTGTTTTTTGGGCTTTTTGAGGCAGGGTCTCACTCTGTCTTTCAGGCTAAAGTGCAGTGGTACAGTCATAGCTCATCATATGTAGTCTCAAACTCCTGGGCACAAGCAATCCTTCTGCCTCAGCCTTCTGATTAGCTGGGACTGTAGGCATCCACTACCATGCCTCACTAATTTTTTTATTTTTTGTAGAGATGGAGTCTCACTATGTGCTCAGGCTGGTCTTGAACTCCTGGCCTCAAAGAATCTTCTTACCTCAGCCTCCCAAAGTGCTGGGGTTACAGGCATAAGCCACTGCACCTGGCCTTAGGCACTTGTTAAGTTGAATTTTTCTATCACACTATTTTTATACATAGTTTAGAATGTTAAATTGTTCTATAAACTTATAACAAAATACAGTGGTCCCCAACCCTATTCTTTACCATTCTCTAATTTCACTCTTGAAAGGAAACTACTCTCAACTGTTTTAGCTGTCTTCTGTTGACCTCTGTATTTCTAGTATTACATATTTATATTGCTATTTCTTAAAGTTTTCAGTTTAATATTGCCTATTGACTTTTTAAAAATTTGTTTTACTTTAATTTTTGTGGGGACATAGTAGGTATGTGTATTTATGGAGTACATGAGATGTTTTGATACAGGCATGCAATGCATAATAATCACATTATGGAAAATGGGGTATCCATCCCCTCAACAATTTGTCCTTTGTATTACCAATAATCCAGTTAGACTTGTTATTTTAAAATGTATAGTTAAATTATTATTGACTATAGTCACTTGTTGTCCTATCAAATACTAGGTCTTATTCTTTCTTTCTATTTGTTTTGTACCCATTAATTATCCCCACCTCCCTGCTACCCTCCCACTCCCCTTCCCAGTCTCTGGTAATCATTCTTCTACTCTCTATCTCCATGAGTTCAATTGTTTTGATTTTCAGATCCCACAAATAAGTGAGAACATGATAATATCTCATTGTGGTTTTGATGTTTGTCTTTCTGTGCCTGGCTTATTTCACTTAGCATAATCAACTCCAGTTCCATCCATATTGTTTCAAATGACAGAATACCATTATTTTTAATGGCTGAATACTACTCCATTATGTATATGTACATTTTCTTTATTCATCTGTTGATGGACACTTAGGTTGCCTCCAAATCTTGGCTGTTGTGAACTGTGCTGCAACAAACATGGGAGTGCAGGTATCTCTTTGATACACTGATTTCCATTCTTTTAGGTACATACCCAGCAGTGGGATTGCTGGATCATATGGTAGCTCTATTTTTAGTTTTTTGAGGAACCTCCAAATTGTTCTCCATAGTGGTTGTACTAATTTACTTTCCTGCCAACAACATTAAAGGGTTCCCTTTTCTCCACATCCCTGCCAGAATTCGTTATTACCTCATTTGGATATAAGCCATTTCAACTGGGGTGAGATGATATTTCATTGTGGTTTGATTTGCACTTCTCCGATGATCAGTGATGTTGGGCACCATTTCATATGCCTGTTTGCCATTTGTATGTCTTCTTTTGAGAAATGTCTATTCAAATCTTTTGCCCATTTTGTAATCAGATTATTAGATTTTTTTTTTCCTGTAGAGTTGTTTGAGCTCCTTATTTTTCTGATTACTAATCCTTTGTCAGGTGGGTAGCTTGCAAATATTTTCTCCCATTCTCTGAGTTCTCTCCTCACTTTGTTGATTGTTCCCTTTGCTGTACAGAAGCTTCTTAATTTGACGTGATCCCATTTGTCCATTTTTGCTTTGGTTGCCTTTGCTCATGGGGTATTACTCAAGAAATTTTTGCCCAGACCAAAGTCTCCAGCTATTATTGTATTGGGGCCTATATCTCTCTTTAGCTTTAATAATATTTGCTTTATATATCTGGGTCCTCCAGTGTTGGTGCATATATATTTAAAATTGTTAAACCCTCTTGCTGAATTGACCCCTTTATCATTACGTAATCTTCTTTTTCTCTTCTTATAGTTTTTGTCTTGAAATCTATTTTGTCTCACATAAATATAGCTATTCCTGCTCTTTTTTGGTTTCCATTGGCATGGAGTATCTTTTTCCATTTCTTTATTTTCATTCAATATGTGTCTTTACAGGTAAAGTGTATTTCTTGTAGGCAACAGATCATTGGCTCTTGAATTTTTATCCATTCAGCCATTCTCTGTCTATTAACTGGAGAGTTTAGTCCATTTACATTCAGTTTTATTATTGATAAGTAAGGACTTACTCCAGCCATTTTTTATTTGTTTTCTGGTTGTTTTGTGGTCTTCTCTTCTTTCTTTCTTTCTTGTCTTCCTTTTAGTGAAGGTGATTTTCTCTGGTAATATGATTTAGTTTTTTGCTTATTTTTTGTGTCATCTGTTGTAGGCTTTTTGATTAGAGGTTACCACTGAGGCTTGCAAACACTATTTTATGACACATTATTTTAAGATTATAACAACACTGTTTGCATAAAGCAAAAAGAAAACTAATTAAAAACTATGCCTCAACCTCATTCTCTACTTTTTAACTTTCTGTTATTTCTGTTTATATCTTCTTGTACTGTCTTGAAAAATTGTTGTAGTTATTATTTTTTATTCATTCATCATTTAGTCTTTCTACTTGAGTAGTTTAGACATCATAATTACAGTGTTACAATATTCTGTGTTTTTCTGTGTACTTACTATTACCAGTGAATTTTGTACCTTTAGATGATTTCTTATTGCTCATTAATGTCCTTTTCTTTCAGATTGAAAAACTCCCTTAGAATTTCTTGTAGGATGTGTCTGGTGTTGATGAAATCCCTCAGGTTTTGTTTGTCTGGGAGAGCCTTTATTTCTCCTTCATGTTTGAAGGATATTTTGACCAGATAAACTATTCTAGAGTAAAAGTTTTTTTTTTCCTTTAGCATTTTAAATATGTCATGTCACTCTCTCCTGGCCTATGAGATTTCCACTGAAAAGTCTGCTGCCACATGTATTGGAGCTCCATTGTATGTTACTTGTTTCTTTTCTCTTGCTGCTTTTAGGTTTCTTTATTTTATTGTTCACCTTTGGGAGTTTGATTATTAAATGTTTTGAGGTAGTTTTCTTTTGGTTAAATCTGTTTAGTGTTCTATAACCTTCTTGGACTTACATATTGATATCTTTCTCTAGGTTTAAGAAATTCTCTGTTATCCCTTTAAATACACTTTCTACCCCTATCTCTTTCATTTCCCACTTTTTAAGGCCAATTACTCTCATACTTGCCCTTTTGAGGCTAGGTCCTGTAGGTGTGCTTCATTGTTTTTTATTCTTTTGCCTTTTGTCTCTTCTGACTGTGTATTTTTAGCCTGTCTTCAACCCACTAATTTTTCTTCAGCTTGATCTATTCTGCTTTTAAAGACTGATCCTTTCTTCAGTATGCCAGTTGCATTTTTAAACTCCAGAATTTCTGCTTAATTCCTTTTCATTATTTCAATCTCTTTATTAAATTTGTCTAATAGAATTTTGAATTCCTTCTTTGTGTTATCTTGAATTTCTTTGAGTTTCCTCAAAATAGGTATTTTGAGTTCTGTCTGTTTCTCCAGGATGGTCCCTCGTGCCTTATTTAGTTCATGTGGTGGGGTCATGTTTTCCTGGATGGTCTTGATACTTGTAAGTGTTTGTCTGTGTCTGGGCAGTGAAGAATTAGGTGTTTATTGTAGTCTTCTCATTCTGGGCTCATTTGTACCCATCTTTCTTGCAAAGGCTTTCCAGATATTAAAAGGGACTTGGATATTGTAATCTAAGCTGTATCTGCTTTAGGCGGCATCCCAAGAACAGTAACACTGTGGTTCTTGCAGACTTGTAGAGGTATTGCCTTGATAGTCTCGGACAAGATCTGGGAGAATTATCTGGATTACCAGGCAGAGATTCTAATTCTCTTCCCTTACTTTCTCCCAGTCATACATAGTTTCTCTCTTGTTCTGAGCCTCATGAAGCTAGCAATAGAGTGACACAAGCATCTCCTTGAACACCACCAGAAGGGCTGAGGGTCAGACTTGAAGCCAGCACAGCATTAGGTCTCAACCAAGGCCTGTTGTAACCACACTCCCTGACCCCAGGTAGGTCCAGAGGTGCCATCTGGGAGCCAGGGAATAGAATCAAAAAGCTTAGAAGTCTACCTGGTGTTCTGTTATACTCCACTGATTTGGCACTCACACCAGTAGTTGCAGTCCTTCCCACTCTTTCCTCCCCAAAGGGGAGAAAGTCCTTCCCACTCTTTCCTTTTCCAAAGGCAGAGGATCCTCACCCCATGGCCACTCCTACCACAGGCCATGGGGAGTACTGCCAGACTATTGCCAATGTTCCCTTAAGGCCGAAGGGGTCTTCAGTCAGCTTGTGGTGGATGCTGCCTGGCCTAGGACTCACTCTTCAGGGCAGTGGGCTCCCCTCTGGCCCAGGACAGGTCCAAAAATGCCATACAGGAACCAAGTTCTGGAATCAGGGACCCCAGGATCCCACTTGGTGCTCCGTGCCCCTGTGGCCAAGCTGGTACCTAAGGTGCAAGACAAAGTCCTCTTTACTTTTCCCTCTGCTTTTCTCAAGCAGACAGAGTCAGCACAGCTGGGAATGTGCTGAGTCTCTCTTGAAGCTAGCAAGTCTCAGAGGCTTACCCAAGGCCCTCAGTGTGGTACCTAGGTATCGCTGCTTGTTATACAGGGCCCAAAGGCTCTTCAGTTAGCAAGTGATGAATCCTGTCAGAACCAAGTCCTTCCCTTCAAGGCAGTGGGTTCCCTTCTGGCCCAGGATGTATCTAGAAATGTCATCCAGGAGCTAGGCCCTGAAAAGAGGGCCTCACAACTCTGACTGGTCCCCTATCTGGCTGTGGCTCAGCTGGTATCCAAGATGCAAGACAAAGTCCTCCCCACTCTTCCCTCTCATCTCCTCCAGAAGATGAAAGGGATCCCTTTTGGAGTTATGAGTTGTGCGGCTTGGAGTTAGGAGAGGAGTGATGCTAGCACTCCCTTAACCACCCCCGCTAGTGTCTCAGTATGTTGCATGCCCCCGCAGTCAACTATCTCTGGGCCCAGTTCAGCACTAGGACTCTCCTAGGAGTTGCAGTCTTTGTGGCATAGACTGCCTTTCAAATTTATTTAAAGCCCCAGAGTACTTTAGCTTATGGTTGCGAGGTTTGCAGAAACTCAAGTTTGGACCGCTAGGATTGGTGATTCCCCTCTGGCTAGGGCTGGTTTAAATGTTTCCTCCGTGGGCAGGCGTCAGCTGAGTTTGGTTCCGTTTTGATTTCTGCTATAACAGGGCAGCACTGGGTTCAGTGCCTCACAATTGCTGTGCTCTCCCTCACCCTAGAGCATAGACGTGCTTTCATACTACACCACCAGTGCTGGGGGACAGGGTAGGGGCAGCATCAGTGATTCAAGACTGTTTTTCCTGCCTCTTCAGTGCCTTTTCCAGCAGTATGAAGTTAAATCCAGGTATTGTGAGTCCTTACCTGATTTTTGGTTGCTATGAATGAGCTTTCTTTGTGTAGATAGTTGTTACATTGGTGTCCTGGAGGGGGTGGCAATTGGTGGTCTTCTATTCTGCCATCTTGCTCCACCCCAGGTGCTGTGCATATCGATTTCTTGCTGTGTCCCCCACAACAATACACACACACACACACACACACACACACACACTCATATCTGGATTTCTTTCCCTCTTTTCTTCCAGACCAAATAAATATCCATTGTTTTCATTAATATGATTATCTGTGTAGATATTCACAGATATATCACTTTTAGTTCTGGTTATCATTGTTTTGTTTCTTATTTGCTTTTTGTTCTATGTGCCTATCCCTAAACTCATCAGACGCCTCTTGACAGAAGTTAAACACCTCTCAGTTAGTTTTCTTGGTGGCATCTCTCTTGGAGCCCTCCATTTTTCAGGCTCGTTCTGGACTGTTTGCTTTCTGGACCTGCTGCACATCTAATGTCCTGGCATCTCTCTTAACTATCATGCTTGAGATTTCCTTCATATATCCCCTGTGTGGGATTTTATGTGCCCTGGATCCAAAGGCATTATTTTTCTTCAGCTTTCCCAGAAGAGAACAGAGATGGTTAAATTTATGGAATTTTGCATGTCTCAAAATGTCTTTATTCTTATCTTACATTAATTGATTTAGTTGGGAATTGAATTCCAGTTTGAAAATTTTTTTCCTCAGGGTTTTGAAGGCATTGCTCCAATGTCTTTCAGTTGTCAGTAGTTGCCATTTTCTCTGTGCTCCTAATTTTTCAGTATTGGAGCACCCTTAAATGATCCTCTAACTTTTTACACTTTTCTTTTATGTAGTATTTTCTTGGAAGATTTGGAGGCAGTTTTCTCAACACTCTGCCCCAAGTAACTTAATGATATTTAAAATTATCTTACTCTTTTCATTTCCAAGATCTCCTCTTGTTTCTTTAATTTTTTGTTTGTTTGTTTTGTTTTGTTTTTTGAGATGGAGTCTTGCTGTGTCGCCCAGGCTGGAGTGCAGTGGCACAATTTCGGCTCGCTGCAACCTCTGCCTCCCAGGCTCAAGCAATTCTCCTGCCTCAGCCTCCCAAGTAACTGGGATTACAGGCATCTGCCACCACATCCAGCTAATTTTTGTATTTTTAGTAGAGATGGGGTTTCACCATGTTGGCCAGGCTGGTCTCAAACTCCTGACCTCAAATGATCCACCCACCTCGGAGTCCCAAAGTACTGAGATTGCAAGCATGAGCCACCGCGCCGAGCCTTCTCTTGTTTCTTTGAACATTCCTTTCATATCCTCTTTTTCTTGGTTTGTGAGTGCATATTTTTTTCTTCTCTCCGAAGCCTTCAGTTATGTTAGGCACAGGGCAACTTGAAAAGGTGAAATACGTGTGTAAGAAGAGAAAGACTACTCATGTTTAATTCTTGTTACAAGTTTTGTTAAATGCAAGATAAAAATTATTCACCTTTTTTATTTATATGCATTTTTCTATGTTACTCTCATTCAATCCATTTTCTTTCTTAGTATTTTTAATAGTATCTTGACTTTTCTTACCCCTTTTGGATGAGTGACTGCACTTCCCTTTTTCAACTTGTAGAAAAACATAAAGGTGAGAGAAGAGAACTATAATGCATTAAATCAATAAATTGTAGGGTCATTTACTCCCAAAATATACCAAGCAGGTAAAAAAAGATAAATGCATAGATGGTCCGCTGTTCATGATTCAAAGCCAAGACTTTGAAGTGCGTGACTAAAGCATGCCCTTAACGTAGGCATTCCTCACAAAAGCTCTGAATAAAGTGCTATGCAGTTATGGCTTTAGTCTTTGGAATGTAGGACATCTCACCCTCAACTCCTCAGGGGAGTTTTCAGGACCTCTGTAAAAAGGGATTTGGGGACATATTTACCAATGCCACTTACTGTAATTCACTTTTGTGGTGGTTTTCTTTATGTCCAATTTATGCCATTTCTCCTTTTTTGCCACATTCACATTAATTTTCATCTAGGCTCTTTAACTTAATTATGAGTGCAGAAGAATTGTCTCCCAACTCTTTGACCTTTCTATATCTTAACAATACCAAACAAGTGACCTTTATAATTTCCTTTAAACAAATAGCTCATTTTAACTATTTTAATCCTTTCTATGAGGAAGTTCTACTTCATCAATAATGGACACTGTATTCAAGGTATCCTATACTTCTCTCTTTTCCTAAAAGGGCAGGATTCCTGTGGATTTCTTAACTTGCTTCTCATGCTTCACTATCTCCCCTTGTGGCATCAGTTACCATAAGCAGTGCCCATCATTACATGCCATTTCATCATATTCTGAATATTAATATTCTCTACTAATAAAGTATTGATTCATACGTTTATTGTAAATAACATTCTTATTCTTCTCACATAGGATGCATAATGAGTCCTATAATCAAATTTCAAGGGAGAAACACACTGATTCTTAATATGGATTTAATTTTTCTAATTGATTCAAGTGATATTAGTCTTATAATCTTTCTTTTAGTTTGTTGTTTCATTTTTATTTCCTGAGGGGTGTCCTTATCGTAAAGTAGATGTGTCAGATAGTGAGTGATGTGAAGAATTGTCATCATGACATTATTTTCATATATTCATTTGATGTGTTTTCCTGAGATTTTGCATCATAGTCCCTAGAGTTACATGTTTCCTGTCTCATGTTCTTCCACCTTGCTTATATCATGTTGATTATGTCCCTCTACACTTCTGTTTGATAAGTCTATGGGTTTTTTTTTTACATCCTTTCTTCCATTTCTTCAGTGTTTTCTGTCCATTTGCCTGCTATGAAGTTTTATCTTAGTTTTATTGCCTCTTATCTATCTAATATTTTATGCATGTCTCAGGGTTTGTTCGTGCCATTCTGTCATTTTCATGTACCTCAAAACCTTTGAAACCATGATGACAATTCGGGAAAACATGAAATTCTTTTCATAAATAAATACATAAAGGCATATTCAGTTGTTATTTTTTTAAAAAAACTACCTATTACCTGTCATTTTCAATATTTAGTAATCAACAGGCATGGTTTTTGAATGGTCATTACATGCAATCAATTATTAGCTAAAGTGAACACACACACACACACACACACACACACACACACACACACTGAACTAAACCTTGAGGCAATGCACCTAAGTGTTTTTTAGACAGAAATACTAGTGATGTCTAGATTTATTAAGCAAGTTCACTGTGCACCAGTTACCAACTTATCTCACTAAGGCAGAACACACTCATGTGCCACAGGTTATATGAAGCAGATTGATTACTCACAGATAGGTAGTAAGGGACAGAAGTTTATGATTCATTGTGAGCAGCCTCCCAAGGCTCAGGAAAGCTGCCTGGGACTGATAGTTTCCTCCACACATGCCCAGTCGCACCACAGCTGAGGGATCCAGAAAGTTAGCATGCCCTGGGTTATATACCTTAGTGGTGAAAGAACTTGCTGTGCTAAAGAGTTGAAGGGCATCCTGTTTCTAGGGGGGACTAGGACAATGCCAAAGCCATTTCAGCCAGTTCCTCTCTCTGTACATTCTTTCTCCACTTATCCTTGAGCACTACAGGTGAGAAAACGTGGAGAACGGTTCTGCAATTTTCAATCTCTTTTTTTCTTGGTATTTCTGTATTTAAATATAATTTTATGCTTCTCAAAATTAGAAAGAGCTTTCCCACTGCTATCACCTCATTTTAGAGCTACAGCTAAATAATGTCACATTGTTTCTCATGTCAGAAACCTTTGGTTAGCACCAGAAAGTTCAATATAGCTTTTCCAAATTGAAAGTCTGTTGGACTGGGCACGGTGGCTCACGCCTGTAATCCCAGCACTTTAGGAGGCCGAGGTGAGCAGATCATGAGGTCAGGAGATCGAGACCATCTTGGCTAACACAGTGAAACCCCGTCTCTATTAAAAACACAAAAAAATTAGCCCGGCGTGGTGGCGGGCGCCTGTAGTCCCAGCCACTCGGGAGGCTGAGGCGGGAGAATGGCGTGAACCTGGGAAGCGGAGCTTGCAGTGAGCCGAGATCAGGCCACTGCACTCCAGCCTGGGCAACAGAGCAAGTCTCTGTCTCAAAAAAAAAAAAAAAAAAAAAAAGTCTGTTGAAAACATGCACTAAGCGATGCCTAATACTAAGTGATACGTCATTTTTGAAAAGATCTTGCTGTTTTAACACATTTTTATGCTTATGATTAGTCTTTATTGCTGTAAGAATCCATGCAACAAACTTGATCATTTGTGGCAGCTTTATTCAATTGTTTAGATTCAAAGCCTTTTCTTACGGATATGGCACCGTTTTTTTGAAGGAGGAGGGTTTGAATTTGCCATGTTTTCTTATATGATTTTTGTCCTTTACTGTTATGAAGCACAAAAGCCAAATTATTTAGTAGTCTGACATGTAGTTTGAAATCAAGTAAAAACATTTTTATTGCTGACATTATTAAATTGTACTTAATTTTTTAAAGTGTCTTTTAGAAACATCTTTAATTTACTTTCACTTAGTTGCTAAACACATTATATTTTTCACTTTTTATCTACTTAATGTCAAATGATTTGATAATCCATGGATTCTATGTGACATAATTTCTTAGGTTGTCTATTAATAGTGAGAAGAAAGAAACTTTTTTTCCTGTCATTTTGCCTGATTAGCACTACAAGGAGTCTTCTAAAATGAAAAAAAAAGTGACAATAGATTTAATCAGAGAAACAAAACAGATCTCATCACATTCATGTCAGCCCTCTTCCATCAAGTTAGAAAGAACATTCCTATTTACATTAATACAGAACACGTTTGTTTTTATATGATACAGATCACTGTATTTTGTTGCAGATGTAACAGATAGAGTTACAGCTGCTCTTTATTTGACCATCTAAAGATCCAAAGATGTTTAAGGATTCAGTTTGCTCAGTCTTCCCCATACTGTCATTTGTTGTTTGGAAAGGAGACATAATTTGCAACAGATACAAAACTATTTGTCATTTTGCAGGTTTGCCAAAAATAAATGAAACTATTAATTATGACATTTTTGAGCAGCTGTTAATAAATTAGGATAGGGTAACTGTTCATTAGAGTACCGCTTAATGACATGGGCTATATTTGTTTAATGCTGCTTTTCCTAGAAATGTATTAACAAAATTAAGTATATCAACAATAGCAAGTGATGCTTTATTTTAATGGTTTAAGTTGTCTATCCTACCTTAGTAAATTTAGGATTTTAAAACAAATTCTCTTTTGTCATATTTCAAAGCAAATTCTATCACTCGACATTTTATATTTTATATATTTATATTTATATGTCCAAAATAATGGTTTAAAACTGCTTTTAAACTAACTTTAAAAGTAAAATTTCTAGTTTATTCTCATTTTTTCCTTTCCATACCTAAAATTAGCATTAGATTTTATCGTTGTAAAAGAAGTTTAGCCTTTCAGATAGAAAAATATCTTAGTTTTTTTTATTCATTCTTATGTACGCATGAATGAATAGAAAGTATTCATATATTTGCTTTAATTAGAATGTATACTTTCTATATTTGTTTAATTGGAATGCATTTAATTACATATATATTCCAATTAAAAAGAAAGCTCAAATGGCGTCTAAGTATAGAGATCCTTAGAGTAGAATAATTGGAAGCATACCACATATACAACATAAAATGGTTTTTAAGGGATTTAATTAATCTGTTTTACTCTATATAACCAAATTATTGTATTGTATAAAACTACACTATTCTCACATTGCCAGTTCTCATGCTTCCTGTCCTTTTGGCATCCTGAAATTCTTCCTTGCCAAGATTTTAAACTAATGATCATAGAGGGTTATTTTAAATTGTCATTATATGAAATAAAATTAGTTATCAGCCACTTAGAATTTTGGAGGGTGCTTTTCAGTTTTATATGAAAAGCCCACACAGAAAAAAAGGAATTTGACATTTAGAAATAAGTAATATGCCCAGTGGGTGGTAAATAAAACAAAAACAAAACACTACTACTAACTAGTGAAACTCTTATTACTTACGTCTTCTCTTTTTCTGGTAGATGAACTAGATATTTTCAAATGCCAGAAAGTATGAACAGCCTCTCATCTCTAGGATTGCAGTTGAATTTGGCCATGGTCACTAAGGATGGAAAACAGTTAGCATGTGAAAGCTGTTCCAGTGACCCTTAACTGAAATGAATTTGTGGTCTAAAGTCCATTTCCTTAAGGACAGGTGTTTGTTTCACAGTTGGCACTCTCCAAATTGGTCCTGTGATTAAATGGGCATGGACACAGAACTAACCTTTAACTCCCAGAGATGATTCTCCTAGGAAATGATTAGGATACACCTGCAGGCCCATATCACAACAGCTTGTATCACTACTGCAGCCTGGGTTATAACTTCATTATGGGTACATTTGGGGATCTGTTAATCCAATGTGTAAGTGCCAGAATATTTCCCAAAACAAACAAGCAGTCCTAATTTATTAGTAAGAGAATCACTGTAGAAATTAATATTTTAAATCTGCAAAATAATAAACAACATCTGCTGCTTGATCATTTGTACCTTACCGTCCTCAGGAAAAAACCTATTAAATTCATCTGCCACACTGAAAATACTTTCAATTTTAAAATATTACTTTATGTCTACAGAAATCACATCAACCCTTGAATATTTACTGCTCATAATATAACAAGAATTATTCTGCAATCTAAAACTTTAATGCATATATAAGTATAATTAGAATGTTTTACTTAATAATGAATAAAAATATTCAAATATCAAATATTTGGCTATCACTCATTTTAGATAATTTTCATTTCCTTTCAATTACAGGAACAATTTAAAAATAGCAAGATAATGTCTTAAGAGTTATAACTATGTTTTTAAAAGAATCAATTTCTTTATAATCAGTACCTTTCCTTTGCTTTTTTTGTAGAAATAATTGTTTTTCAAATTGTTTTTCATCATTCCTTAGTGATTTATTTGTATACCAAGATATTGGTGGGAATTTACCTTTGTTTATTTCATATACTTCTGATCAGTTCCAACTCATGCCCAATTATATTACACTAAATTAACATAATTCAACAGATGTTGATATTTAAATGTTTTCTGGCATTCAAATCTTGGACAGCTGTCTTCGAGCTTGGGGAAAAGGCAAACATTTAGAGTTAAATGCTGAACATATGCTTAAATTACTAATTAGAAAGATGGAATAAAAACTACTATTATCCTTTCTAAGGACAATAAACCTCAGATAAAGATTTTTGTAATCTTTTTAAATCAAGTTACAGTCCAGGGGTCTATGCAGACTCCATGATTTAGACCTCATGGATAACTTAATTTAATTTCAAATTTGGTCACTTAAAAATTATGAAGAGTCTCTTTCATGAAGCCTTGAAAAAGCTGTAATGACTTATACTGGCAATCTTAAGGATTGAAAAGATGCTTTTTCACTTACATTGTCAGGATGATGAAAGCAATTTTTAACAATATTTTATCATAGAAAATTTTTTATATACAGAAATACAGACAAAATATAAACTCATTGTGTCTATTAACTGGCTTAGATAATTATCAACGTGTGGCAAACCCTGTTTCATCTGTATCCCCACTGAAATACATCAGTGTGTTTCTCTAAAAGGTAACAGCTTCTTAAAAAAAAAAGTCTCAGTATCATTATCCCATCTATAAAAAATAACAATAATCCCTTAATATATGAATATGTATATATGCAATTGATATTTACATTTCCTTTATTGTTTTATTGCATTATAATCTCTCAGATTCCCTTTGATATATAAATTCCCCTTCTCCAGCTCTCTCTTCTATCTCTCTTTCTCTTTCTCTCTGTGTGTGTGTGTGTGTGTGTGTGTGTGTGTGTGTGTGTGTGTGTGTGGTTGTGTGTGCATTCCTTGACATTTTTTGGTTGAAGACATCAGGTGTTTGGCCCATAAAGTTTCTCACATATTGGAATGTTGCCGATTTTCTCTACATGGTGTCTTTTAACATACTCCACTGTCCTCTGTGTTTCCTGTAATTGGTATTTACATCTAGAGAACTGATTAGAGATTCAGGTTTGGTGTTTTGTTTTGTTTGGCAAGATTGTTCCAAAGGTGATATTGTGTACTTCCCTCACTTATATCTCTTTCCGTGATTTATTTGCCATGATGATTATTGCCCAGATTTATTCACTAAGGGTTGCAAAATAGTGCTGTGTTAATTCTTTTAATATGTTCTAGTTACTTCTGTTGAAAACTTCCTCCTCCCCAACTATGTGATTACTTTAAGGTACAGATCATGTAGGGAAAGCAAGAGAAATACTTGATTCTTTCCCCTTATTATATGCCAGTTTTCAAAATGAATTGGTTCCTAACATTTTCCAAAGGTGAACTCACTGATTTAAACACATTTGATATGTTTCGTCCATTAGTTATAATTCTAATTGATGCTAAAATTGTCCCATCTGTGGCCAATGGGAGATTATTTAAGGTAATTGTGTGTTTCTTTGCTGCCAGTCTTTGCTTTCTGATATGTTTACATTTTCTAGGCTTTTCTTGGACCTTTTCTGGCTTAGACCAGGAGTCACCCACTTCTCCAAGAAGTGCTGATTCCTTTACTATAATAGGAAATAGGTTTAGAAACCACAGTCTGGATGTTAGGAATGTCTGTGTTTCTAGGCCTTTTCAGATAAATGAGTTAGGATTTTTTTTTTTAAAGAAAAATCATATTGATTCATACTGATAGTTCCAGTTCAAATTCAAGACTTTATTGTTTATACTTTCTGTCATTGATTTTAATCTTTTTCCAACCATATTAAAAATATTACATCTCAATGACAATGGAATACTCATTTTATTTACCCCACCATACACAGACAGCAATCTCAGAATCACCATACTGTCATCACTACCAGTAAAATAATCACTAAAAAGTGTTTTTTCTTTTTTCTATTTTTATTTGGTACTTACTATAAGTACGCTAGGAATATGCAATCATTTTCCTGTGTTTTAAAGTAACTTGAAATAGTTTCTAAGTATAGGTATACCAATGTATAATTAGTGTCATTTTCAGCAACAGGTTTCTTTTTAATGTATTTAATTTTGTTTTATAATAATATAAAAATACTCATGGGATCCACAATCAAATTTTCACAAGCAGTTATTTTCAAAGAAGTCTCGCTTCTACCTGGTTCCCTCCATTTGTTTCTTCCCCAAAATGGGTTTTGTTTTGCTTTTGAGACGGAGTCTCACTCTGTCACCCAGGCTGGAGTGCAGTGGCATGATCTTGGCTCACTGCAACATCCGCCTCCCAGGTTCGTGAAAGCGATTCTCCTGCCTCAGCCTCCTGAGTAGCTGGGACCACAGGCACGTGCCACCACACGTAGCTAATTTTTGTATTTTTAGTAGAGACGGGATTTCACCATGTTGGCCAGGATGGTCTCAAACTCCTGACCTCAGGCAATCCGCCTGCCTCAGCCTCGCAAAGTGCTGGGATTACAGGCGTGAGCCACCGCGCCCAGCAGATATATCCTTTCATTGGCTTTTGTTTCCCTGTTTTTAAGAGAAGCAAACATCTCTCTCTCTCTCCTTCTCTTACTACCTTTACCTTTCTTTTTCTCCTTTCTCTTGCCCTCATTCTCAGTCTGGTATACCATTGGACTTTGAAGAAGGCTTTTTTTTCTAATAATTACCTGTTTATTATTACCTCTGTGTAACAGTTTCAGGCCCTCTCCCTTCCTTTTTGAGGCCCCTTGCTGCTGGTTCCCTACTGTGAGCAATATTGAAGTTAGCTGGCCTCATGTGCCCTCCTTTCATTTGTTCGTATCTATAAGACAGTCAGGGAATTTATTTTATTTTTCCTATATACTTTTTATTGTCATCCATTTTTAGCCAGGCATGGTGGCTCATGACTGTAATCCCGGCACTTAGGGAGGCAGAGGCAGAGGGATAGCTTGAGCCCAGGAGTTTGAGACCTGCCTGGGCCATATAGAAAGACCCATTCTCCACAAAAAGGAAGAAAGAAAGAAAAAACAAGTATTTTCATCCACTTTTAGGTAGTTATACTGTGTGTACATTGTCTGACACATACAGCCATTTAGTACTATACTGCCTCCTTTTTTTTTTTCAGTTCTAGTTTTATTTAGTTTTAGTTCAGTCCATTCAGTTTTAGTTCTATACGTAAATATATTTTTAATGATTACCACAAAATCTTAAGTCAATGCTTCTGTACTCTTTTTGTCTGAAGTTTATTCTCTAGTTTTTTCCTCTGGAAGTGCTCATTCAAACAATATTTCCTGAGTTCTTGCTTGTTATTAGCAGTTTATGCATGAACTGTATATTTAAAGGTCATTTTGGCCAGATATGCAATCCATGGCTCATGTTTTTCTTCTCCTAACTATCTTAAATATGTTACTCCAATGCCTGTATAAAACGTTGCTTTCTATATCTGATATAGTCTGATTTTCTTAGACATAAAAGTGACTTGGTTTTGCCTAGATGCTCAATGTGCATTTTCCTTTTCTTTAAAGGCCAAGAGTTTGACTAGACTACATTCTAATGTTGATAATTTTAGGTGATTTTTCCCAGGGATGAAGTTATCCTTTTTTAGTAGCTAGTTGTTATTGTTTTATATATTAGTCTGTTTTCATGCTTCTGATAATGACATACCCAAGACTGGGAAGAAAGAGATTTAATTGGATTTACAGTTCCACATGGCTGGGGAAGGTCTCACAATCACGGTGAAGAATGAAAGGCAGTTCTTACATGTTGGCGGCAAGAGAGAATGAGGAAGAAGCAAAACCAGAAACCCCTGATAAACCAATCAGATCTCATGAGACTTATTCATTATTATGAGAATAGCATGGGAAGACTGGTCCCCATGATTCAGTTACCTCCCCCTGGTCCCTCCCACAACATGTGAGAATTGTGGGAGATACAATTCAAGTTGAGATTTGAGTGAGGACACAGGCAGACCATCTCATTTTAAAAATAAATTTCAAGATGTTCTCCAATTATAATGTTTTATATTTGTTTTGTTTTGTTGCTTTGACTTTGTTGTTTTAAAAATTTGTATTATACTTATATTGGATCTTCTTTGCCTATCTTCCGTAGCTATCACTTTCTTTTAATTTCCTTTTAATTTCACTTTCTAATTCACTTTTTAATTTATCACTTTCCTTTTAATTTCTTTTTTTAATTTTAAAGTTTTTATTTTTTGCCTTTTCCATTTTTATTGTATTTTCATATTCTAGTTCTCCATCATATGGCTCACTCCTCTGTTCCTTTTAGTTTAATTTCTGAAATGATTTTTTTCCTTTTATTTCTAATTGCTTCCTAAATGCTATCATCTCTTCTTTTAAATCTTCCTTCTATCCAGTCCCTTTATTTCTCAACCTCTCTAGTTGTGACTTTTTCATATATCTTCTATCATTTTCTTAATTTGCTTTAACTTGTTTTAGAATTATCAGGTGTAGTTTTCATTTTTGTGGGCATATCTAGAGTACTCTTACGGTCTCTAAGGACCTTATTTTTTCCTTTTAATAATCGTTCTTATTTATGTATCTGCAACACTGTTCTGAATGAGGTTTCCTGTACTTTTAAGAAGGAGACATGAGACAGGATAGCTTTCTAATTTCATGGCTTTATACCTCTCTCTTCTGTTGTTTTCATAAACCAATCAAAATTCTGGCCTCATATTTTCCAATATCTGCCTCTTGTATTCCTCTCAATATTTTTATTAAGACCGTCTGTTTCCTTTTCCCCTTGGCCTCTGTTCTGCTCCAGTTCGCTTCTACTTCCACTGTTTTTCCTTGGTGTGGGTTTTTTATCCTGGGAAATCACTTTAATTTTTTAATTTCAAGAATTTATATGATCCAACTAATTCAACACCACAGAACTATTACATCTTGGTCCTCTTGCACTCATTTATAAACTGGTATCTTTCAGTACACCTCCTATGTTTAGCATCTTTGTTCATCTTGTCTCCCTGTACTTTCCATTGAGTGGTAGAGCTTTGGAGGTTTTCCTGTGCTTGGGGCCATTTGCAGATTCCTCTCTTTTTCCTGCCCAGGTGTTGATATGGCATCTCATAGCTGCCAATAGTTTATATCCAACCACCTGTTTGAGGATGAGAAGGGGAGGGTTTGGGGAATACCTTGTTGGCTAGGTATTGGTGTCCAGGGGTTTTCAGTAATGCCACATGTTATTATATACATTCAACAACAGTGTCATTGCCACCATATTCGCAGAGTACTCTTAATTATGACTTTCTTTGTTAAATTCTAGGATTTCAGGGCTTCTACATAGCATGTTTATTTTTAAGTGAGTAAATAAATTATTAGAGTGCTAAGTGGTCAGGGTTTAATTTCTTTTAGGATGGTATTGTCTGTTACTAGAAAAAAAATGATGTTTCATGCAGTCCTTCACACACCATTAAGTGCCTTTTATTCTGAGTATATAAAAGACATTAGGCTAGGTGATATGTGTGGAACCCAGATGCTATTCTGTCTGCATTCCAGGAACTTACATTCTGGCCAGAAAAACCTGGATTCTGTCTTTCACTCCTTTCAATCTCTCACCCTTGTTCTCTTTATCCATTCTCCACATCATAACCAGAATGACTTTTAGGGAACCCAAATCTATTTATGTATAATTAAACCTTGAACTCCTGGGCTCAAGCTATCTTTGTGCCTGAGCCTCTCAAGTAGCTAGCACTAAGGTACACATCACTATGCCTGCCTTTTTTTTTTTTTTTTTTTTTTTTTTTTTTTTTGGAGTGATAAGTTCTTGCTATGTTGCCCAGGCTGGTCTTGAACTTCTGGCCTCAGGCAGTCCTCCCATCTCAGCCTCCCAAAGTGCTGGGATTACAGGCATAAATCATCCTGCTGGCCTACTTAAAAATTCTTAATGGCTTCTCATTGCCTTAAAACCAAGTCCTAAACATGGCTAGCAAGGCCTTCCTGGTCTAGCCTTTCTTATTTTTTCAGCCTCATATCCAATTACTTCTTACCTTGAATGCGATATACCAGCTGCAATGAACTTGTTTTACTTCCTCAAGTAAACTATACCATCTCTACGGTAGATTTTAAGACGCATGAAAAAGATATAAAGTGTTGTGGGAAATCAGCTTGAGAAACTATGATTTGGTGTGCTGTGTTCTGCCATGTTAACATAAATGACACTTTCATATTTTAGTTTGTAGAATACATTTAGACCTTATTAGCTACTAATAAATCTATTCTATTTCCAATTTGTACTGTAACAATAAAATATGATCTCAACCGCAGAGTTTCTTTACTCTTTTGTACTTATGATTGGGCCTCAAAAATGCCAAATTATGCCATATTCAGTTTATTTTATACAAATTTCCTTTGTGGGAAATTATGGGTAACATTTATTGACTGCATACTGTGAGGCACACATTTCTTTAATCTTCACATCAACTCTGTGAGATTGGTTCTGCTATCATCTCCATTTCACACATGAGAAAGGCCAAGCATAAAAGGATTAACTAACTTGCCCAGGTTCACCCAAGTTGTTAAGTAAGGGAGCAGGAATTGAACTTTGTCTCTTTGGGCTGCACAGTCCACACTCTTAACTGCTGTGCTCTTCTGCCTCACAAGATGAGTAGATGAGTAGGTGAGGAGAAATGAAAAAACAGATAATTTAAAATATATGAATTTAGTTGAAGAAAAAGATTTCCCCATCATGTTTATAGCGAACACCATAATAGCTAAGATTCATTGAGTGTTAATGATGTATTTTAACTCATTGAATTTCCAGTATTACCCTATGAGGTAGATATTCTTATTATCCCCATTTTACATAGGAGGAAATAGAAGGGTTAAATAGCTTTCTCAGGTCAAATGGTGGATAATTTATACAGCAGTGTCTTTTTTTTGTTTTTTAGTCTTATTTCTATGCCATTTAAAAGTAAACTTGACTGCTTCCTGAAATCTGTTATCTTGCCTTTAGTCAAAACTGTTGATTCTTCTAAAATAGTCACTTAAACAGTATGTAGATCGATTTATGTGCAAAGAAAAGTGACAACATTTTGCAATCATGACTAACCTGATCGTTGTTGAATCATTTGGCATTTGATTTCTGAAGTTTATAAAACATAGGGACTTGTATGTTTTTCTAAAGAAAAGCATTGTAAAAATGAGAAGAGGAAAAGACAGTTTATATTTGAAGTTAATTTTTGTAGGGTAGTGTTTTTCTCCATAGACATTTAAAATCAGTAGACCTCTTAAATACAGCAAGTAATAGACCCAATTTAACAAAATTATAAACTGCCTTTGGTTCAAAGATCTTAATGTCAAAACTATCCTGAATATAAGTTAATGCTCCCCAACTTTCCAGTTATTTCAATTGAAGTGAATTAGGAGAATCCTGAAATCCTCTTCCTCCCAATTGTTGAACATTAATGTTCACGTACTTATCACAAGCCTCGTGATACCTCACCTAGCTATTACAGTATGTTTTATAGTCTAGTAAATATTTGCTAACAAGTCTGTAAAAGTTTTAGGGATATAACATATATCTACCAAAAACTATCAGGGAGGAGGAGGGTCTGAAAGCATTCTTTTCATAAAGTTACAGTTAGTGAAATGCAAAATTATGTAGAAAGGGAAACATTTTAGAATAAAAGTACATGCATATACTGTAAAAACTAGCTTCAGTTAACAAGCTTAGTTTTGCAGATATTTTTATTCTAAAGCCCAAGAAATGGAACAAATATGTTTTGTAGTGTTCTGTAACTAAGCATTTATATATTAAAGAAATTGGAACCACAATAAAAAGACTGGTTAACATGAAAACAGATTACTAATTTAAAAAAGCCTTGACATGCCTTGTTAAATTTTATTCAATAACTATTTATTAAATACCTGATATGGCAAGGCATGTAACTGCTAAGGAAAATGTACTTAAAGAAATAAATCAGATGTGGGCCTTACTGCCTTCAAGGAATATACAGTCTGGCTAGAATATTAGTTTGTGTACATATATAGCTGTAGTTTAAGGCAGAAAATACTGTTTTCTCCCATGAGTAAGAGATTATTTCTGGCAATGGGTATCAGAAGACTCTGCATAAAGGAGGTGGCATTTCAACTGTGTCATAGGTTTCCAATTGAATTCCACCAATAAGCAATAGTTTAACCTAAATGCAAGTAAGTTTGCATTTACATGGTAACACTGTCTGACATATTTCAAAATAGAAATAACTTCTTATATATTTCAAAAGTTTCTGATATTCTGGCCTAATATTAAGACATTTAGTCTTATCTTCTCAATATGGAGATAAAAGTAGCAAGCACATTTTTCTTTGCTCTTTAGTAGTCCTACTCAGAAAATGTACATTATAGCATATAGAACTGTTACATTATCATTACCATATTACTTTGCACGACAAGCAAAGTCATGGGACACGTTGCAGAAAATCAAAGCTGAATTCAGTCTTCAGCCTGTATTTGCCAAATCAATTATGCAAGTAAATTGTAGACTCTCTTGAATGAGTGGGGACTCTCAACTTCAAGAGTTAGCTTGGAAATGGATCCACATTTGACTCCATCTCTGCCTGAGAGCAACTTCCAGAATTGTGTCTATAGAGAATTATGGAGCGGACTTTTTCCATTGAATTCAATTTGTCAGTATGATTAATAAACTGCATAAATTAAATAAGTTTCTTAAGGGGAATTTTCAATAATTGTGAATAGACAGATTTATAGAATTTACTAAAACTTGATGTGTGCAGAGAGGTGTCATCTCCTCCCACTGCTCCATATGTGCCAACTCCAGTTATACTGAGTTGCCTACAGAGCGACACAGCTATGGCACGTCACGTGCACATCTGAATGCCTTTGTGCCTCTGCAAATGTGTTCTCTCACTTAGGGGCCTAGAATGCCCTTATATGCTGGTTGAGGATTCTCTTTGAAAATTGGTTTGGAATCATTTTTCCCACATGATCAATAGACTTGAACCCCTAGAAAATGAACATCGTATCT
The DNA here is from genome assembly GCF_000001405.40 of Homo sapiens. Taxonomy (NCBI): domain Eukaryota; kingdom Metazoa; phylum Chordata; class Mammalia; order Primates; family Hominidae; genus Homo; species Homo sapiens. The sequence continues at coordinate 217,460,408 of NC_000001.11, read as the reverse complement.
TTTTTATTTCTCAATTAAAAAATGTATTTCCTGTCTGATGGCATAGGGCATGGCATACATTACGTTTTCAGCAGAAGTTTATTAAGTAGGTTATAATAAAGTACGTTGGATGATGTAGTAAGGTACGGGGGAAAAGTAGTTCCTTGGAGTCAAGAAAGCTTTGTTACAAATACAATAACTTAACTTTCTGTTCATGGGATCTTTGACAAGTAACAGTTCTGGACTTCAGATTCCTCAGATATGTAATGGGTTTTTATGAGGATTACATTATGTAAAAATTACTGGCATAATACCTTTTATATAGTTAAAACTCAGTGAGCCTGGATGTTTGTAGTAGTTCAGATAATAAATTCCAATACTTAAGAAACCAACATGTATTAAATGGAAAAATAAAATTAAATATATATATTCTCTACTTTGCTCTTTAAATTCTATTATTTCCTGTGCTGATGAAAGAAAAAAACTTAGCACGTATCTGTCCTAACATGCTACCTCAGAACGGAACTTAGAGCTTGGCTTAGAGTCTGAGATATCAAACAGAAGAATACAGTAAAAGGTCAATTCAACAAACATATCCAGATATCATATAGTGCACTAGATGAAGTAGATCCAAAAATGAGTAAATGCATGGACTTCCCTCAAAAAAGTTAGGAATATTAGGAATATCTCATAATTTTATTATAGATATTATGAATGGCAACCATAGCATCCTAGGAAACATTTAATAATAGTGTCATTATCAAAGAGAGAGTGTGGGATTACATCTGAATCTGTAGTCTATTTTGATAGGTTTTTTATGTGAGATCCAAGATATCATTTTTAAGCAAATTACAATGAGCATAATTGTTGAAACTCTACACTAAATATCAATGATAAACAGATTCCAGAAATGCATAATTATAGCTGAGAATGAGGTAAACAGTTTAGTAAGTGCCTACTATTTCCTAGGTACTGTGGTGTGAAGAATAAAAGAATACTCCAAGATGCCTCAAATATCAGATTCTACTTGGAGAGACAATATCCAATTTCAGTTCAGGCGAAATGAATTTTCCTCAATTTCCCCAAAGAGGTGGTCTGCTAGTATAGCCCTGTGGATTTATTACATTGCATAGTAATTTATTGTTCATGTTCATTTCCTACATTAGGTTATGAACTCCTTGAAGGTGGGAGCTATCTTACCCTTCTGTTTAGTTTAGCATCTAAGAATAACTGATACTTTGTCAAAATTTGTCAATTGTTAAGGGAATGTTTTTGAATAAATTTAAATAACAGTTCAAGAAAGAAGTGTTATTATTTTAAAAAATTCATGATTGATTACCACCTGAAATGTTGAGACAATGATAGTTATGGTGGTTTTATTCATTTTAGTTCAATAAGCTTTTCTTGTGCTTTTAATATATGAAAAACAAAGCTAGGTTCTGGGAATTAGACATGGTTCTTTGCCTCAAGTTGTTTTCCATATATATTTAGCTGACAGTCTCCTCTAATCTTAAAACAACTTGAGGCAAATACTATATACTGTATGGTAAGATATGACAGCAACATGCACAGATTGATATGGAAATACGGAGAAAAACACTTGGAAGAGTAGCAAGGTTAGGAAAGTTCAAAGAGGAGAAAGACGTTTAGACTTGAGGGCGCTAAGAGGACTGAAGGAAAAAAGCAGGCTCTCTAACATGGGCAGAATTAGGAAACAGAAAAATTTTTAGGGCAGAATTAGGAAACACAGAAAATTTCTTAAAGTAGCTAGAATACATTGCTCTAATGTTAGCACATATATATGGTCTCGATGAGTACCAGTTGTTAAGAAAAAAAATCTAAAGGACCTGGAAAAATACGGGGCATGATGTAAGCTAAGATATAACAGCAGGTCTCTCGAATCGATTTTTAGAAACCCCATTCAACATTCCCCCAGATGTGAGAATGTCTTCATTTACATATGGTAAAGAAGTTGTAATAATTACCTGAATTTCATAAAACAGCCGCTACCATTTTCAGTTATCATTTGTGTGGAATAATGAAGCAGTACAAAAGAAATATTTAACTGAGCTGGTTAGGAATATGGTGTCGTGTATTTCTTAACATACACAAGGAATGATATCATTGGACTAGCAGTCCCTCTAGGCTTTAGATAAAGCATGAAGCATACCATATGAAGGAAGCAAGACATCTTTTTTTTGAGACGGAGTTTCGCTCTGTTTCCCAAGCAGGAGTGCAGTGGCGCGATCTCGGCTCACTGCAAGCTCCGCCTCCCGGGTTCACGCCATTCTCCTGCCTCAGCCTCCGGAGTAGCTGGGACTACAGGCGCCCGCGACCACGCCTGGCTAATTTTTTTGTGTGTTTTTAGTAGAGACGGGGTTTCACCGTGTTAGCCAGGATATTCTCTATCTCCTGACTTCGTGGTCCGCCCGCCTCGGCCTCTCAAAGTGCTGGGATTACAGGCGTGAGCCACCGCGCCCGGCCAAGCAAGACATCTTTGAAGAGAAAGTACCAAATGGTGGCCAAGAGAGAATCTGCAGCAATAGGCTGATGTCAGAATATCAGTGGGTTTTCTTCTCAAGGACTCTTGTGAGTTTTAATTGAGTTTTTGAAATGAAAATGAGTGTTTCATTCTTGTATGTTATGACACATTTAAAGCAAGCAGAAATGGACAATGAAGAAAAAGTTAACCTTTCTATTAACTACCAAAAAAATGCCTACATGATTTTTTCAAATGACCCTAATTCTTCCTTTATTGTAGCATAATGGCAATTTTCAGATGTAATGAGTTTACTCTGCTATGTGTTTATTTGGTATGTGTTTAGTGACACCCTACACTAAGCATTCTTCTGCATGTATTGTATGGAAAGTGCCTTCCATCTGTGACTCTAGGTAAATTACTTAACTTTTTTGTGCCTGGGCTCCTTATCTGTAGGGTGGGGATGATAATAATAGTAAGAGTAATAGCTAACAGTTATTGAATATATACGTGCTAAAATGTTTTACATAAATGATTTCTAAATGAAATCTTTTGAGGTAAGCATTAGTTTAATCATAATTCTTGAAGTTAAGGAAATTGAGGCAAAGAGAATGTAAGTAACATGCCAAAGGCTGATAAAAAGCCTTCTCAAACATTGATAAGCGGACTTTTTCAAAGCTCTAGTGAGAAAGCAGACATGGTGTTACAAGAAGGAACATGTCCTGACTCTCTGGCTCATCCCAAATGCAAATCAAACCAATGCAACCTAAAGCTTCAATTTACACCACAGCTGCCCCAGTGTGAAAAGCTTGACTTTGCCTTTGAGAAATTCATCCAGCTGCCAAAACCACTTACATTTATCAATACCATTGTTTTTCTTTTTTCTAATTAATCTGGTTATAATTTGTATCTTTCATTGCGTGCTTAATGTAAGAAAAAATATTAATAATGAGAAGGGTAAAGAAGAAAATTCCCACAAAATGCCATCACACACAAATCATTATCATCAGTATTTTGTTGCACAGTCTTCCATGCCTTTCAACCCAGGCCTATGCATATTCATTGATTTGGATATTTTAGTTTAGCGCACACACCTATTCTGTGTTTTTTGATATTGTGATTTTAAAAGGTGACCTATATATGTGGCATATTTTTAAATATTCCAATGATATTTTAAGACAAGTATTTTCTATTTTAGGTTATGAATAGTTTGCTTTAAAACTACTGAGTCTATTTTTTTGGGTAACCCTCTCTGTTAATCATTCAGAATCAGATAAAATTCATGCATCCTCTTGCTAGAAAAGTATGCATACCTGTATTTTGCACATAATTTCAGTAAGTTTCTGGCTCTTCTGAAGGCTCCCACCTTGTCCCCTGCATCTCACCTCCTTGCACACTACATTTCAGCCCTGCTGACACTGCTTTGAGGAGTCAGGAGAGTCCTTCACTAGCAGGGTGGCAGCAGGAATGAAATGAGGCCCTTGAGCTCCTTCAGAAGCCTTCTGACACAGTGGTGCTAAAACGGGAGTGTTCCCTGTCACCCCTCGCAGGAGGTGTGACAGGGGTGTGGCTTGTCTGTTGGTCCACTGTGTGCCCTCAAACCCCTAACAGGAGGTGGAACACCCAGATGGACAGATACAGGAGCCAGGGGTGAGCACTTTGGGGCTCTGGCCCCACAGTAGCATCTAGGGGTGGGTACTTGTGACTCCCAAAGCCCAAGTGGGCATGGTGTGTGTTACAGTGCACTCTTTTAGCTTTGCCATCCACAGACAGCTTAAGTGTTAACCAGCTCAGTGCCCTCTTGGTACCCAGGTCCTTGTCCAGCACCCAGGAAGAATTCGGTCACACAGGGACTTGAGGATGGTAAATGCCGGGCTTTTATTGAGTGGTGGAGATGGCTTTCAGTGAGATGGATGGGGAGCTGGGAAGGGGACGGAGTGGGAAGATGGTCTTCCCCTGGAATTTGGCCGTCCAGCAGCCAAATTCCTCTCTGACTATCCCCAGCCAAATTCTTCTTGACGTTCAGATGCTCCTTCTCTTCTCTCTGCCACACCATTCTGCTGTGCTTCTGCTCTTTTGTCTGTCTTCTCCTTGTCTGCTGCTGGAGCCTGGGGCCTGGGGTTTATATGGGTACAGGATAGGGAGGTGTGGCAGTCCAAAGGCAACTTTTGGGCGCAAAAACAGGAATGCCTATTCTCATTTAGGACCATAGGTTTCCAGGCTTGAGGGTGGGACCTTTGCTGGGGTACTGCCATCTTCTACCTAGTGTTTCCCTGTCTCCTGTCCATATCAGTGGCTCACTCACACTAGGCACATAGGAAACACAATAAACAGTAGCTCCAGAAGAGGCCACCAATTACCTGTAGCAGGATAAAGCAGACTGGGAAGAAGGAAGTTTGGACTCGAACCCTCTGACTAGAGTGGAAGAGGCACTAACAGGACAGATCCATCTGAAGCAGTGAGAGGAACTACACAGTGGCAGGCAGATCATTCTATCTAAGGGGTAGAGCCTCAGACTACATGTGGTGGAAGGTTAATCAACATAGAGTCAAGAGTTGCCAACAGGTAGGCAGTGAACAGGGATAGGAGCCAGGGGCAGCTGATGCTTGGAGAAGGGTAGGCAGGCAGCATTAGAAAGAGCCTCCATCACCAGATTCCATTTCATGGCCAGGAATTGAGCATCTAGGAGGTCAAGGCAATTACCGAGTTCTGAAAGAACTAAGTTACTACAAGGTTTGTGGTAAGGTAGGGTAAGTCTAGAATAAAGCTTGGATCCAATTACTGAAACCCAAGTACTAACTTCAGTGCACTGAGCTAAAACTTAAACCACCTCTTGCTAAGATCAGGTTTGAGGCAGAATGTGTAGTCAAATGACCAAAGCCATCAAGAGAGAAGACCAGAGCCAAGAACTGGTCAGGCTGTGATCCACGATACCAAATGCAAAGGGTTGCTATGAATGTCCAAAGAGATCATGCACAAAAAGCTGCTTTGAAAGAAAACACCACCATTAAAAACAAGGATTTGGTGGGGTGCAGTGGCCTGTAATCCCAGCACTTTGGGAGGCAGAGGTGGGCGGATCGCTTGAGGTCAGGAGTTTGAGACCAGCCTGGCCAATAAGGTGAAACCCCCGTCTCTAGTAAAAATATGAAAATTAGAGGGCATAGTGGTGTGCACCTGTAGTCCCAGCTACCCGTGGGGGCCGGGAGGGTGGGCGTGGTGCTGAGGTATGAGAATCACTTGAACTCAAGAGGCAGAAGTCACAGTGAGCAGCGCCACTGCACTCCAAACTGGGGTACAGTGAGACTCTGTCTCAAAAAGGGGAGGAAAAAAAAAGGAAAGGTTTTTTTTTTTTTTTTTTTTTTGAGACAGAGTCTCGCTCTGTCGCCCAGGCTGGAGTGCAGTGGCGCGATCTCGACTCACTGCAAGCTCTGCCTTCCGGGTTCACGCCATTCTCCTGCCTCAGCCTCCCGAGTAGCTGGGACTACAGGCGCCCACCACCACGCCCGGCTAATTTTTTGTATTTTTAGTAGAAACGGGGTTTCACCGTGTTAGCCAGGATGGTCTCGATTTCCAGACCTCGTGATCCGCCCACCTCAGCCTCCCAAGGTGCTGGGATTACAGGCGTGAGCCACCGCACCAGGCCAGAAAAACAAGGATTTAATTCAATCATTCTAGTCGTTATAAAACATTTATACTTGAAAGTGCTTGATACTTATTGTATTGTGCGTTTGGGTACTAAAGGAAAAAAAGCTAGATACTGATGTCTGTCTGTTCAGTTTAATACGTTGAGACATATTGACACCAAGTAAAGCGGGGAGGGTAATTTGGATCTAGAAAAGGAAGTTCACATGGGGCTGGGTTTCCCAACCCCCATCCTTATCTCTGCCATTGGAATGCTCCTCCAGTGACACCACAGACCTGCTTTATTTCTGTGCAGCTGATGCCCTGTCCAGGCTGATATTTTTCTAACTGACAGTGAGTGTTCTTGCCAAATGCCAGGGCCCATAGTCACGTCTGTTTGTCTGTTTTGCAGCTTGTCCGAGGCTGCTTGGGAACACATTTTATCCAGGGGGCAGCTTTAACTAGGCCTAATTCTCTGAACAGCCTCTGTTTGTAATTGCATGCAATGAAGAGACAAGTTCCTCTTGTCTTCTCTTTACTATTATTGCGTCTGACACTGCCTGCTTCGGTCCTTGTCAGCCCGTGTCAAAAGCCAGGTTTTCAGGCAAGGTGGTTCTCAGTAGAGTTTTTGTTTCTGTTTTTTGTTTTGAGTTTATTGGGTTGTTGTTTTGTTTTGTTTCTACTTTTTTCCCTCCAGATAAGATGTCCAGCTTCCTGCCACCACCCCATTTAAAAGATAGCCTGCAGCCAACGATGGGAATAAACCAAGTGAAGTTGGTTTAAAAAGCAAAATAAAACAAAAAGACTTCTTTTTGAGTTCTGCTTTTCTAATATTTAATAGGAAAATTTTCAGAAGTAATACTTGGGAAACCATGTTTCAAATCGTAAGTGACAGACCCGTAACAAAAATGCACCATTTCTTTATCCTTTCCACTTCAGAATAGGTTGGTTTTGATTTGTCTCCCTTCTCTTCCTCCCCATGCAAATATCCCAACTAAAACACATATCTAGTTGATTGGTGTTTTTCTGATACACCTTACAAAAGGATCTTAATATTGTTCTTTAATAACTTTGGGTCTGTTCCTAGGACGTTGCATTGTCATTCTCAAAACACTGCAGAAGAAAGAAACAGAAAATGCCGACCATCACCTTGAGTAGTATTCCAAATGTTCTGCTTTGCAAAGACAAATGACTCATTTAGACTGAAGAAACAAGGCTGCCTTTGAGACATTCATTGATTTTAAATTAAAAAATAACTGCTATTGTTTACATGAAGAGTGACAACTAAATAACAGAGTAGACCTTACTTAGTGTCATTTGTAGCAACTCCACTGCACCTGTCTGAAAGAAGGGGGGTGTGGGGCAAGCCTAAATGGGGTGATCTTATGGATCAATAATCCAGATCTCTCAATGCTGTGTAGCAGACAGTCAATTCTTGATAGAATTACTGAAATATACAGCTAGCTGTTTTTCTTATGGCTCAGGTCTTCAGGTTTGGTGTTGCTGAGTTTATTAACTTTATTCTCCTTGAACATTTTTCTCTTTTTCTTTATGTAGCTATGTTGGGGGTCGGGGAAGGGAGTTGAATGAAAATGTTATATTTCATTTGCTCTGTGAAGATACCCAAAATGTTTGGTCCAGCAGATGGAAAAAAAAAGGTTTAGAAGAGGGAGTTGGTTGTTCCTGAAGTTTGTTTTTCACTATCTTTGTAAATAGGCCTACATAATAAATTTTAAGAAGTATGAAAAAATAGTTATAAAGGCAATATTGACTTGGGAGAGTTATTTTTAAGCAATTAGAATACTCCAATTACATATAACTAGTGCAAAAACAAAGTAAATAGAAACCAATGGTATTAATAGTCACAGTGAGCATCTAATATCAGGCACTCAAGTATTTCTTCTGATTATTTCTAAAAATGTGTTTCTTAAGAAACGTGCCCTGGCTAATAATTGTTTTAGCTTAGTTTGAGCTTTAAAAGTATCTGAAATCAATAAAACCAGCCTTAATTCTTTTAAAATTTTTATTGATATTTAATATTTGTACAACCAAGAAGTTTCATTGTGCAGTAACTTGCATCATTCTTTAGTTATTATAACTGAGATGAGGAAGTGAGTGTCTGAACTATGGCAAACCTAGTTGGTCTCCTCCCTCTTCAGTCTCAACCGTGTCCAACTCGAGCTCTCTACCAGCATCCATGCATCTGGTCTACTTTAATGACTCCACATCGCTGTTAAGTCCAAACATCTTCATGGGACAAAGGTGGCATGTATGGCCCCATGGTCCAGCCGCAGTGCTCTTTTCCATTCGTGTTATACAGTCCCTTCTGCCAACACTGCTCTGCAGGCATCCTGAACTACTCATAACTCCCTGAACAGAGCAAACTCTTTATCACTCAGAAATTCGTTCAGCAAGTATAGAAAACCTGACCTGCAGTGGCTTAAACTGTAAGAATGTTTATTATGTTTTAACAGAGGATCAGAAGTAGCTAGTTCATGAGTTGGTTTTCACAGCTTGATTACAGAAGACCCGCACTGCAGAATTCAGATTCCCACTTTATTCCCTGTTTTCAGAATGGTACCTTCCCCTCCTCTTCAGCTATTTCTGATATCTGAGCCTGTCTGGTATATGCTCTACAGAAGGTAAACTTTGCTCCAGTCTTTTGCTAAGGGGAGATTTCAATAGGGATAAGATATGTGAAAGGATACTTTTTTACAAAAAGGTAATATTATGACTCTCATATGGATATAAAGTGGGTATGTGTTAAAGATTTTATTTAACTCATTAGCTAATGAGGGAACTGGGCAGATGTTATAACCAGTTGAAAGGAGAAGTCAAAGAAGCTCAAGTGTATATGGAGTAAAGGAGTATTGAAATGATGGTTTAAATGGACCCAAAACTAGCTTTTCCACAGAAAGGAAGGTTGTCATTCCACAGGACAGAATTTATTTGTGTTTCTGTAGTTAAGAAGTATTTCCCATTGCTTTCGGTTAGCTACAAGGTAGAGTTGTAAAATAGATTCCATAGAATTAGCATTCAATGACTGAAAGGGTATACTCCTGAAAGCATAGTTTTTCCATGGAAGCACAAATTTTATCCTACCAAGGAAAAAATGTATATTTGATGCAGCATATTTAGGATTGTTGTAAGGACTAAATAATACAGTCTTCACTAGTCGTTAATAAAGTTGGTTATGCCTGCCGCCACTACCACTGTACCTAATGATTTCATATACACATATTTATGTTTTCTTTCGCCACTCTGACTTTAAATTCTTCCAATAATGAGAACTGAAAGTTTCATTTCCTTTGTATCTCCCATCTTCTCTTTTCCCCCTCCCCATTTTCACCACCACTGGAGTCTTATGCTAAGTCCATAATAGATACTGATAAATGTTTGCTGAATAAGTAAAGGAATAACTTTAAATTTGTACAAAAAGAGTATGTCTTCTCTGTGACATCATTCTACTTTTTAAAAATGTATATATAATCTTAAAAAGTAGACACAGTCATAACTATTCATTTTTCTTGGCATCATGAGCCAAGACCATACCTCAAAATCCAATAAAAATGTTATAGTCATGCATGTTAATGAACTTTTGGAGAGCCAAGCAGAGCTAAGTTAGTCATTAACAGAATGAATTTTTGAAAGGTTTTTTGAAATATTTTAATAATTATAATTATTTTGTAACAGAAACAGTATGCGCTCAATAAAAAGGTAAAAGAAAACTAGACAAATGCTCATTTACTGTTAAGATATGTTGATAAGGTTTTGTGGTGTATTTTTTTGACTGCATGTGGCCCTTAGATTACTCAGATCATTAATTATGACTGTACTTTGTGCTTTATAAATAAAATCTATATTTGAAATAACTGTACTCTCCAGCACTAATTTTTCATTATATTTAACCATATGAGTATATGTGTTTAAATATATACCTTGAATTTTGAATTTTACCTGAATAAATTTTAGTTAATTTTTCCCTTTTTTTCTTCCTAATAATCTGTTTGTTCTCAAATTAGTTTCTTTAAAACCTCAAGATACTGTCAGATATCTCTCTGTCTTACTAAAAGAACATGGGTTGTCATAAACATGCTTTCATTTATTTCTGCTTCATGTTCCCCAGGCCCTATCCCAACCCTGCATCAAGGATTATGATGCAGGAAATGAACACAGAATCTTTCTATAGCTTGAAAAGTTTGAAGACTTTAAATGCTTTCTTTTTTGTATTCGTCTTGATTTCTAACTGGCCCATTTCTTATTTTTTTATATAACTTTTCAATTTAGGAGACCAAAATTAGACAGAAGAATCTAATTATATAGTAACTGGTTCCAAAAATAGCAGAAGGTCCACTTCTCGGTTTTTATATATCATGTTTTTACAAATATAATCCAGTATCATGTTAGAATGTTAAATAGCAGTAGACCAGCATTAATGCATTCAAATTATGTTTTCTCACTCAGCTAATAAATAATTAACTGAAGAATTCTAATCATATAAATTATAAGGGAAGCATCACTATTTCCTTCTATTTAAAATGTTTTAAGAGAATTCACTGCTGCGTAATATCCTAAAAGAAATTGATCATACTTTTCCTGTAATAAATGTTGTTCTGACAGTAAAGCATTAGTAACCAATTGATAACCTAGCAACAATATTGTGATCTCTTTAGATAATTAATCTTAGCTATTTTCCTGTCAGAAGCAACAGTGCTTGATTTTATGTTGAGCCAGAAAGATTGCCAGTTTTGAAAATTAAAAAGCATTCCTTTTATATTATTCATTCCAGTAACAATTTATGATGGCGCATTTAGCTGCTGAACGCTTGTCAACAAATGTAATTATGTTTCGATATAAACAAGATTGGTGATTTTACTACGCAGCTCCATCTTTGTTGAGAACGTTTTGATTTAGGTTCAGATGATACAAGCTGTGTATTTATGTGTCATTTTTTCTTCTTTGTTAATAGTTTTTTCTGATAATTATTCGTAGGCAAACAAGCATGCATTTAGGATCCTTATGCACGGGAGATATCAAACGGAGAAGAAAAGCTGCACCTTTGCCTGGACCTACTACTGCAGGTAAAACAAAAGCAGGGTTAGAGTGGAGCACAAATGTAGAGTTCATAAATCATGAAGAATAAAATGTAGATACTTCTTAATCACTTGCAATGAAGAAGAAGCACAGTTGCAAGAAACTATGAAAACAAATCATTTGCATGTGGTATCAGGGTGTATTACATGTTCCATGTGTAGATCTTCCAGGTTAACGTATATGTTACATCCCTGCCCAAATGCAAGATTTCGTGTAAGGTATTAAAAGGATACAAAAACTTCAAAGGCTATATCTTTGGCCTCTATAAATTTACAGTCTTGTTGGGAAAATAAGGCATAAATAGATGAAATGACAAATAACCCCAGAAGAGATTAATAGTAATAAATTCAAAAAGTATAGCCGCAGCCCCAAAACACAAGACCCCATGTGGTAGGAGATGGACACCTGACTGAGCAAATGTGGCAGTCTGGTTTCTAGTCCCAGTTCTGTAGCAGTCTTAGATTCCTCATTCCTTCTTTAGACAACATTAGTACTAGATTGCGAAAGCTCTCATTTCTACCTCAAAAATCATGTCGTTCTAATAATATGCCATTCTAATAATGAGCGTGGTATTGAGAAGACTACAAGTACTGATCAGAGGGAAGTCACTGTAGATCGGAGAGGACAGGAAGCCTGCCTTACTGAAAGGGCAAAGACTCGCCTTGTAGTGAAGGTTGTGAATAAAATAGTATGTATTGAAAGTCTCATGCAAGAGCAGTGGTAAGGGAGGCACAGATAAAGTCAGTGATAGGAGGAAGCCAAGTGGACATTAAAATGTAGACACCAACATATAAATAAACAGCCGTTAGCCATAATGGATTTGTGATGCAGCAAGCTGTATGAGAAAATGTTTTTCAGTGTAGATACAAAGAATAATAGCCTTGACCTATTGTCTGGGATCTTTAACCATACACATTTAGAAATTTTCTCTTAGCTTCATTTGGGCAGCCTTTATAGGAAAAGTGATTTTAATTATAGACTATGAAAATAAGATTCCTATCAACAGGAGAGTAAACAGTAAAAAGAAAAATATATGTAAGTATATGCATGGTTTTATGGGGGTGGGGTAGCATGGTGAGTTTAAGAGGAAAAAAAAGATGTGAAACTTACATTCTCTATTTTTTTTTTTTTTTTTCTGAGACAGAGTTTCACCCTTGTCACCCAGGCTGGAATGCAGCAGTGTGATCTTGGCTCGCTGCAACCTCCACCTCCAGGGTTCAAGCGATTCTCCTGCCTCAGCCTCCCAAGTGGTTGGGATTATGGGCGCCCACCACCATGCCCAGCTAATTTTTGTATTTTTAGTAGAGATGGGGTTTCACCATGTTGGCCAGGCTGGTCTTGAACTCCTGACCTCAGGTGATCCGCCCACCTCGGCCTCACAGAGTGCTGGGATTACAGGTGGCTCGTGAGCCACCGCACCCAGCCACGTTCTCTATTAGGGAACCTATTCCATAGTAAAGCACTAGAAAATTGAAGAATAACTTAAAATTGGAGCACTTCTAATGCAGTTGTTCCATATAAGGGACTAGATTATAAAATTATGCATTTAGATGCATACCTGATCATCTTCTGGCTGTATTGAATTTTCAAGATTAGGAAACACCTGTGTGTAGAGTGCGTTTGTATTTGTATAGAATAATATTTGCCACTTGTTGAGTACCTACTGTGTACCAGAAACTTTATTATTTTATCTTTATAACAACTGTATGAGGGAGATGGTGTTATCATCACCTTACAGATCATAAAATGAAGATGCAAAGAAGTGTTAGGTTAGCTACCTAAGATGACAGAATTATTGAACGCAAGGGAAGGTTTCAAGCCTAGGTCTGCATAACACCTAAATCCATGCTCTTTCCATAGCAATGTACTTACAGCCTCTTTGTAAGAATATATATATTTTCTTTATATGCACATTACATATATATAAAGATTGTCCTATTGCATATGCTGACTTAAACGCACTACTATATGCCTTAAGTTTTATAGAAGATTTATCTAACTATTACTATGTAGAAATGCGAATATTCATGAAATATTTCTAATATATCTCTTCATACAGGAACATGTAGCCACATTTTGGATGAAACACATGTCATCAGTCTTGCAATTCAGATCTTTCATAAGGCAGGTATAGGATTCTTTAACATCTGCATTCCAGTTGAATGGTCCCTGAATTTTCTTATCTTTCATTGATTCAACCATTAGCGGCAGAAACAGTACAAGAACAATCTTAGGAATTCTACTAAAGCACCTTAGTGGCAGCAATAAGGAAAAGAAAATACTGGGGTCACGTCCTAACACTCCGAACATATGTGAAATGAGAAGGAAAATGCATAATGGTTGAGGAGCGGATAATATAATTATTTCTGCAAGGCGATTTTGACGTTACAACTCAGTAACATCAGAAGAAATCATTTATATGGCATATGGGTACAAACATTGAACTTTAGCCTAAAACAGTTTTTTTTATATAAGCTTACACCAGCATATACCAGATTTTATATTTCAAAATTGTGATTTTCTTAATATTCAGGATGTTGGTATTACTACATTTTTACTTAGAAGATAAAATTCATAGAAATTTAATGCACTTTTAATTACTCAAAAAGTAGTGGAGCAGGAGAATTGCATCACTTATTTTCGAGGCATTTTTAAAATCTATGCATAACTGTTTGTCTCTAAGAGGAAGAGATTGAGGTTATCTTAAAGTCCTCAGTTTTAAATAGAATATCTTTTAATACCAATGAATCAACTCTAAGGTGAAGATTATTATCCAAATTCAAGTAAGAAATGGTTTTGCATAAATACACTTTGATAATGAGGGCATGAATCCTAGATCATCTTGTCTCTGAAAATTACAGTTTTCAAATTCTGAAAAAGAGTCAGTCACATAATAAAGAGTTAGTTATATTTGTAAACTTCTGATTTTTAGCTAAGGACAATATTCTTGCCCTTTTATAGGCCCTTGCAGAACTCCTGAAAAACACATTGAGTTGAGATATATTTTCGTAGTTTCTTTTGCCTTTAGTCAGCATTAACTCTAAACAAGAAAAATGCAGATGATAACAGTCTTTTATTTGAAATAGGGAGTAAGAGTTAAAAGACTGACAGCTTGAGTATTGTTTGATAATCCCCTCTGATTTATATGTGAAATATTATATAATCAAACAGCGAGTTTAGAAAGGATTTACCAAAAAATTGTCAGAAAACTATAATTAGGCACTTTAAATCCAAAACTGCATTTGTATAACAATTTATGACTGAAGATAAATTGTATTCATAATAAATAACACTTTTAATAAAAGATTTAAAGCCTCCTATGAAATTAATAACCCAGAATTGATTACGTTTACCTGCTAGTGTATTGAAAATTTTTCTCACCCTCTTTTAGCAATAGCTTTGAAGCATAATTTCAGTCGCTTTAGAAAGCGCTAGACTAACCAGCAGTGTTGTCATTTGAACATTTATTAATTGTGACAGGAACACCAAATTTATTTCAGTGCTTTAGCTTATTTACTGCTCTTTCACCTTTGTATTTTGTATTGACAAAGGAAAATGAATATTGATAAGGTTAGATATTGATTTTTTTAATGTATAGCTTGTTCTCTGCGTCATTCAAAGTCACATAATGAAACTTAGTGGATGTCTCAGTAGCAAAGGATGTAGATTTACTATTATAAAATTGAGAACTATCGAAGCAAGAAGGTTTGCCAGCAGAATGCATTTTATAGTTTGAAAAATGTCATCTGTAAAGGTGAAGAAAAGCAGTGAACAAAATAAGAGGAATATTATTAACACTTTTTAAAAAGGCGTTAGCAATGTTGGTTGTGGTCCATGTTTTTGGTAGAAGGCATAGCTTATTGAGGATTTAATAGTAAAAAGATTTAAGTTCCTTTTTTGAGATATTATGGCTACTATATTTTTAAAAAATTTTGTCCACTGTACAGTATGAAAATTCAATGTTATCCACAATTAATATTGCCTATTACTATTTTGCTTTCTATTGAAATAATGTCATAGTAAAATATTTATTATAAGGAGTCAGCCTTTTTTCTATACATTTTAAGTATAGAAGTGAAATGCCTTTTGAAGTTTAATGTCTTGATATGCATATTGTTCCAGGGTAGTTTTTTTCATGAACATGTGAGTTCTGGCAAGAGGTTACATTACAGCTTTTTGTGACTTTTCAACTTTTTTCTCCACGTCCTACTGATATTTCAATAGGAAAATAATCTTCTTGAATATTTAAGGCAGTGAAGGCAGGTTGTAAATAATAATAATGAGTGAAGACTTTTTAAAGGCTCATTTGCAATTAAAAGTCATGCCAAATATAATCAGAAATGTGTGGTGCAACCAAGCTCCTTTTCAAGGTACTAGATTTTATTTGTCCAAATTTATCTTATCAATAATTATATTTTTATTTGCTGCTATCCCTGGGTGCATATAGCTGCTGTAGATTATTGTAGCTCTTTCAAGATTTTAAAACAGGCAGACTTTTCCAAGGGGATTGTTATTAATTTTAAAACCAGACTCTATCTGAATGAATAGTAAAGCCTAGGATATATGCAATTCTTCACCTCTTGACACATACACCACCAGCCCACTCTTCGGTTGTGTTTTAGTAGAATCTTAATAAACAGTTTTCCATTATCATTCAGTACAGGATGGACAGAGTAAGCACACGTGTTAGATAGAAAAGATAGAAAAGAATTGCTGTTTCCTGATAAAAGACTAAATAATGAGAAAACACTTAAACTACCGAACACCTGAAAACACTGAATAAAATTTGAAGCCATCTTTTTACAAAGATAGCTGAGACTACAGGAAAGAAAGGGAAATGTTCAAGACCAAAATGGCCCTGAGCAGCCCCCACACTCACTCACACTACTGGCAAGCTCAAAAACCTAAGGCATGTTCGTTAGTTCCCCCGTGGACAGGGAGTCAAGCCTGGGATCCCAGCGTAAGTCTCCTTATCAAGTCAGAACCTCTAAAAGCTCCATCATCAGAAATGGGCAGACTGGAAACAAAACTTACCCACAGGCACTGTGGAAGATAAATAATCTTGTTTCTGCCTGGGCTCCAAATAGAAAACTCTCTGAAGATTTGTGACCAAGAGGCTGCCCTCACAATGAGTTTCTAGTTTTAAATTACACTAAGCCAAAAATTAACATAAAAACTGGTTTCAGAAGCACATTCAAAGCCACTCTAGAGGTGCAGGCCTTCAACCCAGGCCTCAGAGAAGCACCACAAATAAAAACCTACCAATGACGATCTCATAAACCAAAACTAAAAAGTTAGTTATAAAAACATATTCAAAAAAGAAAGGAAATAATTGTAGACAAAGAAAAGACAGATGTGGTAAAGAATCGAGTAGAAATTTGAGATTATTTTATTATGAAAATATCTTAAAAACTGTGCAAATCACTGAATGGGTTATATGACAGATTAGATACAGCTGAAAAGACACTGAATTTTAGGCGAGATCTGAAGAGTGATCTCTATGCTACATAAAAGCAGCACAGAGAGATAAAATGATTGAAAATATAAAAGAGGCTGAAGGACTTAAGGACAATGAAGTTCAACCTATGTCCAATAGAACTTACAGAAGGAAGAGTAGAGAGAATAAGATGGTGCAATATTCAGGAAAATAAGAATTTTTAGAATGGAAGGAAAACATGAATTTTCATATTGAACAAGTACGAGTCTATATCAAGAAATATTAAATATAAATAAAGTCACATTGTAATAAAACTTGAGAACACCAAAGACAAGGAGAATGACTTAAGAGCAGCCAAGGAGAAAAAATATAACCTACGTAAGAATGAAATTGTACCGGTAGCAAACTTAAAAATAGCAGTACAATTGAGAATGTAAGAGAGAATATTTCCAAAGTGCTAAGACAAAATAACCAAGTGAACCTGAGTTACATATCCAGCTAAATTATTACCCAAGAGTGAGGATGAAATAAAGTCATTTCGGATAAAGACTGACCACTACTAAATTTTATACCTCTTGTAGAAGAAAACAGAATCCATTAAAAACGAATGAAATTCAGGAAGTAATGGTGAGCAAAGAAATTGTTGAGCGTGTACTAAAAGCTAAATTAATATTGACTGTATAAAAGTAATAATGATGGTGACAGTGACCATGTAGATGATTAATTTGGATGTGTAAAAGTAAGATGGACAATAATATGTAAAATGTGAGAGAATAAACAAGATATGCATGTTGACTTTTAAAGGTCATCACTTAAAAGGATAGAAATATTGCATATAGTCTTCAAGATAGTATAAGCAAGCAATAAATTCCAGAAAGGAAGAAATAAAAATTCACAGAAAAAGCAAAGCTAGTAGCATTATATAATATAGTAAAAATAAATCTAGGTATATTAGTAATCATGATAAATGTAAATGGAGAAACTACATCTGTTAAATTTAGGGATTATAATGGATAAAAGAAGAAAACTCAGTATATGCTTTTTACCATAAATACAACTAAATATAAGGTTTAATTTAAATATTAGCCAAAGAAAGCTAGAGTAGCTGGATTTATAACAAACAAAATGAATCTTGAGGTATTTCAGGAGTTAGAATACTCTCTTTACTCAGATTTGCTATGCTTGTTTAGATTTATACTTTTACCAGGAGTTAGAAATCTGTGAATAGAATAAAACCTTAATCAGTTGGGGAAATATGGCAAAAGAAATGATGTAATAGAAAATGTTTTTTGTTTTTGTTTTTCTTTTCTTATACTTTAAGTTCTGGCATACATGTGCAGAACGTGCAGGCTTGTTACATAGGTATACACATACCATGGTGGTGTGCTGTACCCATCAACCTGTCATCTACATTATGTATTTCTCCTAATGCTATCCCTTCCCTAGCCCTCCACCCCACAAGAGGCCCCAGTATGTGATGGTCCCCTCCCTGTGTCCATGTGTTCTCATTGTTCAACTCCCACTTATGAGTGAGAACATATGGTGCTTGGTTTTCTTTTCCTGTGTTAGTTTGCTGAGAATGATGGTTTCCAGCTCCATTCAAGTCCCTGCAAAGGACATGAACTCATCCTTTTTATGGCTGCATAGTATTCCATGGTGCATATGTGCCACATTTTCTTTATCCAGCCTATCATTGATGGGCATTTGGGTTGGTTCCAAGTCTTTGCTATTGTGAACAGAGCTGTAATAAACATACATGTGCATGTGTCTTTATAGTAGAATGATTTATATTCCTTTGGATATATACCCAGTAATGAGATTGCTGGGTCAAATGGTATTTCTGGTTCTAGATCCTTGAAGAATTGCCACACTGTCTTCCACAATGGTTGAACTAATTTGCACTCCCACCAACAATGTAAAAGTGTTCCTATTTCTCCACATCCTCTCCAGCATCTGTTGTTTCCTGACTTTTTAATGCTCAGCATTCTAACCGGCATGGGATGGTGTCTCATTGTGATTTTGATTTGCATTTCTCTAATGACCAGTGATGATGAGCTTTTTTTCATATTTGTTGGCCACATAAATGTCTTCTTTTGAGAAGTGTCTGTTCATATCCTTTGCCCACTTTTTGATGGGGTTGTTTGACTTTTTCTTGTAAATTTGTTTAAGTTCTTTGTAGATTCTGGTTATTAGCCCTTTGTCAATGGATAAATTGCAAAAATTTTCTCCCATAGGTTGCCTGTTCACTCTGATGATAGTTTCTTTTGCTGTGCAAAAGCTCTTTATTTAATTAGATCCCATTTGTCAATTTTGGCTTTTGTTGCTGTTGCTTTTGGTGTTTTAGTCATGAAGTCTTTGCCCATGCCTTTGTCCTGAATGGTATTGCCTAGGTTTTCTTCTAAGGTTTTTATGGTTTTAGATGTTACGTTTAACTCTTAATCCATCTTAATTTTTGTATAAGATGTAAGGAAGGGGTCCAGTTTCAGTTTTCTGCATATGGCTAGCCAGTTTTCCCAACACCATTTATTAAATAGGGAATCCTTTCCCCATTGCTTGTTTTTCTCAGGTTTGTCAAAGATCAGATGGTTGTAGATGTGTGGCGTTATTTCTGAGGCCTCTGTTCTGTTCCATTGGTCTATATATCTGTGTTAGTACCAGTACCATGCTGTTTTGGTTACTGTAGCCTTGCAGTCTAGTTTGAAGTCAGGTAGCGTGATGCCTCCAGCTTTGTTCTTTTTGCTTAGGATTGTCTTGGATATGTGGGCTTTTTTTGGTTTCGTATGAACTTTAAAGTAGTTTTTTCCAATTCTGTGAAGAAAGTCAATGTTAGCTTGATGGGGATAGCATTGAATCTGTAAATTACTTGGGCAGCGTGGCCATTTTCACAATATTGATTCTTCCTATCCATGAGCATGGAATGTTTTTCCATTTGTTTGTGTCCTCTCTTATTTCCTTGAGCAGTGGTTTGTATTTCTCCTTGAAGAGGTCCTTCACATCCCTTTTAAGTTGTATTCCTAAGTATTTTATTCTCTTTGTAGCAATTGTGAATGGGAGTTCACTCATGATTTGGCTCTCCGTTTGTTATTGGTGTATAGGAATGCTTGTGATTTTTGCACATTGATTTTGTATCCTGAGACTTTGCTGAAGTTTCTTATCAGCTTAAGGAGATTTTGGGCTGAGACAATGGGGTTTTCTAAATATGCAATCATGTCATCTGCAAACAGAGACAATTTGACTTCCTCTCTTCCTATTTGAATACCCTTATTTCTTTCTCTTGCCTGATTTCCCTGGCCAGAACTTCCACTACTATGTTGAATAGGAGTGGTGAGAGAGGGCATCCTTGTCTTTTGCCAGTTTTCAAAGGGAATGCTTCCAGCTTTTGCCCATTCAGTATGATATTGGCTGTGGGTTTGTCATAAATAGCTCTGATTATTTTAAGATACATTTCATCAATACCTAGTTTATTGAGAGTTTTTAGTATGTAGGGGTATTGAATTTTATCAAAGGCTTTTCTGTGTCTGTTGAAATAATCACGTGGTTTTTGTCATTGGTTCTGTTTATGTGATGTATTACGTTTATTGATTTGAGTATGTTGAACCAGCCTTGCATCCCAGGGATGAAGCCGACTTGATCATGTTGGATAAACTTTTTGATGTGCTGCTGGATTTGGTTTGCCAGTATTTTATTGAGGATTTTCACATCGATGTTCATCAGGGATATTAGCCTGAAATTTTTTGTTGTTGTGTCTCTGCCAAGTTTTGGTATCAGGATGATCCTGGCCTCATAAAATGAGTCTGGGAGGAGTCCCTCTTTTTCTATCCTTTGGAATAGTTTCAGAAGGAATGGTACCAGCTCCTCTTTGTACCTCTGGTAGAATTTGACTGTGAATCCATCTGGTCCTGGGCTTATTTTGGTTGGTAGGCTATTAATTGCTGCCTCAATGTCAGAACTTGTTATTAGTCTATTCAGGGATTCGACTTCTTCCTGCTTTAGTCTTGGGAGGGTGTATGTGTCCAGGAATTTATCCATTTCTTCTAGATTTTCTAGTTTATTTGCGTAGAGGTGTTTATACTATTCTCTGATGGTATTTTGTATATCTGTGGGATCAGTGGTGATATCCCCTTTATCATTTTTTATTGTGTCTATTTGATTCTTTTCTCTTTTCTTCTTCATTAGTCTGACTAGCAGTCTATTTTGTTAATGTTTTCAAACAACCAGCTCCTGGATTCACTGATTTTTTTGAAGGGTTTTTCGTATCTCTCTCTCCTTCAGTTCTGCTGTAATCTTAATTATTTCTTGTCTTCTGCTATCTTTTGAATTTGTTTGCCCTTGCTTCTCTAGTTCTTTCAATTGTGATGTTAGGGTGTTGATTTTAGATCTTTCCCACTTTCTCCTTTGGGCATTTAGTGCTATCAATTTCCCTCTAAACACTGCTTTAGCTGTGTCCCAGAGATTCTGGCACGTTGTGTCTTTGTTCTCATTGGTTTCAAATAACTTATTTATTTCTGCTTTAATTTCGTTATTTTCCCAGTAGTCATTCAGGAGCAGGTTGTTCAGTTTCCATGGAGTTGAGTGGTTTTGAGTGAGTTTCTTAATCCTGAGTTCTAGTCTGATTGCACTGTGGTCTGAGAGACTGTTATGATTTCCGTTCTTTTGCATTTGCTGAGGAGTGTTGTACTTCCAATTACGTGGTCAATTTTAGAATAAGTGCGATTTGGTGCTGAGAAGAGTGTACATTCTGTTGATTTGCAGTGGAGAGTTCTGTAGATGTCTATTAGGTCTGCTTGGACCAGAGCTGAGTTCAAATCCTGAATATCCTTGTTAATTTTCTGTCTCGTTGCTCTGTCTAATATTGGCAGCAGAGTGTTAAATCTCCCACTATTATTGTGTGGAAGTCTAAGTCTCTTTGTAGGTCTCTAAGAACTTGCGTTATGAATCTGGCAGCGAGAAGACAGGTGTTGGCCTGTCTTACTAGGTTGGGGAAGTTCTCCTGGATAATATCCTGAAGAGTATTTTCCAACTTGGTTCCATTCTCCCCATCACTTTCAGATACACCTATCAACCGTAGGTTTGGTCTTTTCACATGGTCCCATATTTCTTGGAGGTTTGTTCATTCCTTTTCATTCTTTTTTCTCTAATCTTGTCTTCATGCTTTATTTCATTTAGATGATCTTCAATCTCTGATATATTTTCTTCCGCTTGATCAATTTAGCTATTGATACTTGTGCATGCTTCAGGAAGTTCTCATGCTGTGTTTTTCAGTTTCATCAGGTTATTTATGTTCTTCTCTAAACTGGTTATTCTAGTTACCTTTTTTCAAGGTGGTTAGCTTTCTTGCACTGCATTAGAACATGCTCCTTTAGCTTGTAGGAGTTTGTTATTACCCACCTTCTGAAGCCTACTTCTGTCAATTCCTCAAACTCATTCTCCAGTTTTGTTCCCTTGCTGGCAAGGAGTTGTGATCCTTTAGAGGAGAAGAGGCGTTCTGGTTTTTGGAATTTTCTGCCTTTTTGTGCTGTTTTTTCTTCATCTTCGTGGATTTATCTACCTTTGGTCTTTGATGTTGGTGACCTTCAGATGGGGTTTCTGTGCAGACGTCATTTTTGTTGATGTTGATGCTATTCCTTTCTGTTTGTTAGTTTTTCTTCTAACAGGTCCCTCTGCTGCAGGTCTCCTGGAGTTCACTGGAGGTCCACTCCAGACCCTGTTTGCCTGGGTGTCACTAGCAGAAGCTGCAGAACAGCAAAGATTACTGCCTGTTCCTTCCTCTGGAAGCTTCATCCCAGAGGGGCACCCGCCAGATGCCAGCTGGAGCTCTCCTGTATGAGGTGTCTGTCGACCCCTGCTGGGAGTTTTCTCCCAGTCAGGAAGCACGGGGGTCAGGGACCCACTTGAGGAGGCATTCTTTCCGTTAGCAGAGCTCAAGCGCTGTGCTGGGAGATCTGCTGCTCTCTTCAGAGCCAGCCAGCAGGAATGTTTAAGTCTGCTGAAGCTGTGCCCACAGCCACCCCTTCCCGCAGGTGCTCTGTCCCAGGGAGATGGGGTTTTTTATCTATAAGCCCCTTACTGGGGCTGCTGCATTTCTTTCAGAGATGCCCTGCCCATAGAGGAGGAATCTAGAGAGGCAGTCTGGCTACAGCAGCTTTACTGAGCTGTGGTGGGCTCCACCCAGTTGGAACTCCCAGCAGCTTTGTTTACACTGTGAGGGGAAATCTGCCTACTCAAGCCTCAGTAATGGCGGACGCCCCTTCCCCCACCAAATTCAAAGCATCCCAGGTCGGCTTCAGACTACTGTGCTGGCAGTGAGAATTTCAAGCCTGTGGATCTTAGCTTGTTGGGCTTCATGGGGGTGGGATGTGCTGAGCTAGACCACTTGGCTCCCTGGCTTCAACCCCCTTTCCAGAGGAGTTAATGGTTGTGTCTCGCTGTCATTCCAGGTGCCACTGGGGTATGAAAAAAAGCTCCTGCAGCTAGCTTGGTGTCTGCTCAAACAGTCGCCCAGTTTTGTGCTTGAAACCCAGGGCCCTGGTGGCGTAGGCACCCGGGGGGATCTCATGGTCTGCGGGTTGTGAAGATCGTGGGAACAGCGTAGTATCTGGGCTGGAGTGCACTGTTCCTCAAGGCACAGTTCCTCCAGGCTACCCTTGCCTAGGGGAGGGAGTTCCCTCACCACTTGCACTTCCTGGGTGAGGCACCGCCCCACCCTGCTTCTGCTCACCCTCCGTGGACTGCATCCACTGTCTAACCAGTCCCAGTGAGATGAACCAGGTACCTCAGCTGGAAATGCAGAAATCACCCACCTTCTGCATTGATCTCGCTGGGAGCTGCAGACTGGAGCTGTTCCTATTCAGCCATCTTGCCGGCAACTCCCCATGCATCAGAAAATGTTGATGATATAATATTGCAAGTTCAGTGTTCAGTCGGCTGAAAGGGTAACATTTGGGATCAAATGTCCTAAGTTCAAGTTCTAACTGGGGTACTCTTTAGCTAATTGACTTCGGGCAGCTGAATTATCTCTCCAAACATCAGTTACATCTACAAAATGGGGCCAATAATACTCCCCTTTCAGGTTGATAAGATCAAAAGAAATTATGGATACAGAAGCATTTATAATGTATAAGGGCTACAGACGTCATTGTATTCTACGTTATCCAAATGTGTCTGTGATATATTGTCCATATACAAAGTGCGATATATTGTTCATATACAAATTGAGAGAACCTAATATTGCAATTCATATATTACTCAATGAATTTTTTTAGTGGTTTGTACAACATCTCTGCTAAAAATTCTTATAGGGAATCAGGGGAATCAGGTAAAGAAATGTGTGTAGGCTTTTGGAGTAAGCTTAACCAAAGTTTGAATCCTAGCTTACTCACTGTGTGGTCAAGGTTAAGTTACTTCAACTCTCTGAGGACCATTAAAATTTCCTTTTTGAATGAAGAGTATAAATAATGAATGTCAGATACCTAACAAATATACCACATGCTTTGTGTAGGCATGCTTTCTAGTAGGAAGACCAAAAATGGTTCTGATTATATTGTAGCAGATAAACATTCCTGTCTGACTTCAGGGCCAAAACAGTTTTCTATTTGTAAGATTTTTTTTTTTTGAAAATGCATACTGTTTGATACATAAGCATTCCATAAGAAATATGTTTCGGTTTAATTAAAAACATATGTTAATAAGAACACTTCCTCCTCTAAACATGTCAGTAACAGATCATGTCTTTTATTCTTTACAAAGTTTTTATCCCTTAAGGAAAAAAAAACTAGTTTTACATTAAATTTCTGTTATTTAAATGTCAGTGCATCATATATTTATGCACTTAACTATTTAAACTGATTTTAATTAACAAAAGTATCATGAAGTATGTCTGCAATATTGCAGATAAAATTATAGACTAGTCTGAATTAGTGAAGCATTTCTATATTAGTAAATGAAATAATTAAAATATTAGACGAAGAATAGTAACACCTACCACTTTCTCTCATCTTAAACTGTGCTTAATGCTGTTCTTTGAGTTCATAATAATAATAATCAAAAATCCATGTCCCTAAATTAGTTGCTGAGAACAGAGGACAGTATCATAACTTATCATTGTTATAATGTTCCTAATAATAATGAGAATAGCCCAGCCCCTCAGCTGGCTAGTCAAGTAATGGTGAAAAGAGTATGGGAAGAAAGAGTGATCACAAACTAATAAATGCCTTGTGAATACAAGATAGGGACAGAGGCGGAGTGCACTAGCTGTTCTATGGGAAGCAGCATGTGTCACCTCCCCTTCCATTGGCTGTTTATCCAACATCAATACAACACTTTAGGAGCCAAATTACTAAACAAGCTGCCAATTAGGCTTGCAGTCAGCTGGATAGATTAGTGGCTAAGAGAGGCCGATACAAGATTTTCATCTCTTGAGCCAATTATGCAAGTGAATTACCCTCCACGGTACTCTTTGGAAGATTTGAGGGGAAAGGACTGACTCAGCTGTAATAGATATGAGAGATCCAGCAGACAGGAGGCTGGGAGCGGAAGCAGGCAGAAAGGTTAGTAGGAGATGTATTGCTAAAGCTGCCTGAGCAGGAGAGCCTTCTAGGAAAGGTCTTAAAGGATTTTAACACTGCCAGGAGCCAAAGAAAGGGAAATTATGGTTGTGGTGTATACTGCGCTGAGGCTGAGTTGTTCCACTCCCAAGTCTTAATCTCATAAAAGAAGGATGAGAAGCCAACAGTAGATTTCACTCTAGAATCATTTTCCATGAATAATGAAGTATCTGTTACTTTTTTTTGTTTTTTGGGTTGTGTTTCTATGAGGAAAGATTTAGCATTTGAAGAATAAAATGTTCATTTTTCTTCTGAGTACAAGATAATGCTTTGTTTTATGTTATATTGTTTTATTTTTATGAAGAAGAGAAATGAAACCATCATTTAAAAAAATGAGAATGAGTTCTTTTCCATCTATATAAAAACAAAAGCATGAGAGTATGGTGGTCACCCCTGGGCTACCCTGCTTGAAATACCAACATTTTTCAATTATAATAGTGAATCAATTATCATTTGCTGTTCACTTTAGGACTGAAAATTCACCATAATTTAGCAGTTTTTTAGAAATATTTTAAATTGGCCTTACTGTTTTCTTAAATATTAAACAAATTTTAATTCTGAACTTTTGCAAGCTATCCTATCAAAAATGTGAGTAAACAGATGTATAGCCCAGAGCAGCAATAGACCTCTGGTCTGACTTTAGCTTAGGGTAGAAGTAAATTAATTCATGGCAATCACTGAAAAATCAGGGATATGAGACAACACGCTAAGGCACTGTTTAACCTGGCATACCTGATTAGCAGCTATCCAGAAAAAACTACATACCTTGGAGGTCTGTCCTGGTTACCACCATAATCATGGCTTCAAAATAAAAAATTAACTGCTTTTTTGTTATATTAAACATTTTTGACAAAAGATTTTTATGTTGTGCGTGCTTGCGTGTGTATGACTAAGAGGTCCATTTTTCACTGTCACACACAACACACATTCACACATATATTTATAATCTCTGTATATGCATTTTGCCCTTCTCAAGTGGTCAATAATTTTAGTCAAGAATTTTTCTTTG
Organism: Homo sapiens; assembly: GCF_000001405.40. Lineage (NCBI taxonomy): Eukaryota > Metazoa > Chordata > Mammalia > Primates > Hominidae > Homo > Homo sapiens. The sequence continues at coordinate 217,434,186 of NC_000001.11, read as the reverse complement.
ACATTGTTGGGTGTTGCCACTCAAGAGGCAAGTAGTTGAAGGTTCTTTCTGTTACATGGTAAGGTACTTGTTTCCATGAGCTATGAATCCATTTGAGAAATCCAAAGCCAATTAATCATTGGCTAGTTCTTACTCCCTTTAAGGAATTTAGCAAATGGCAATGATGTAGTCTTCTTCTTGGTCTTGAAATGCACTGAAGATTGAGAATACCAAAATGTTTAATAAACGGCTTTGAAAATCAATTGATGACTACTCCATAGTAAATAACAGGGGTGTAGGTATTAAAACTCATGTCTAGCACTTTGTGGCTTTCCTTGTTCTACAAGTGAGAATCACAGAGCGTGACTCACTTGCTGTTCCCCACAATGTGAGACACAAGTTACCAGAGAATATACACCGTTGGTTCAATGCTGACATTCCTTTTACTATTATTTTATTTTTTACTGTGAAATACATAGTTCAAAGAATACACTTAAAAATGTATATGTACAGTTTGGGTGTGGTGGCTCACGCCTGTAATCCCAGAACTTTGGGAGGCTAAGGCAGGTGGATCACCTGAGGTGAGGAGTTCAAGACCAGCCTGGCCAACATGGTGAAATCCTTTCTCTACTAAAAAGTACAAAAATTAGTTGGGTGAAGGCACACACCTGTAATCCCAGGTACTCGGGAGGCTGAGGCATAAGAATCACTTGAACCTGGGAGGTGGAGGTTGCAGTAAGCCAAGATTTCACCACTGCACTCTGGCCTGGGCAACAGAGTGAGACTCTGCCAAAATAAATAAATAAATAAATAAATAAATAAATATATATATATATATATATATATGAACAGCTTAAAGAACAATAATAAATTGGCCATTTGGGTAACCACAACTCAGGATAAGAAAGAGAACACTACTATACTCTGGAGTTTCATCGTTAATATTTTTGTTATTCTTATTGATGTTTGAGATCCAAGGATCCTTCTCTGCTGGTACCACCATTCTGAACATAGTCTCAGAGAAAGAGTAGGACAGAGAGTTCCAACTTTTTTTTGTAGTTGGGGAGAAGGTGCCGTAATAATCCTGAGTCAGGGAAGAAGAAAACTGATGATGGGAAAGGGATAGGGGCAGGGTGAGGTGTAGATTGGTGCTAAAGAGACTCATGAAACTTTGAGAGAAGTAAGTGGTTATGTCAACAGCTGACCATTTCAACCTCTGTCTAGGAAGACATGGTCCACATTTCAGAGCAGAAATATGCTAGAGCCAGGACTCAGCTGCTATACCACAGGCATTCTACTGATATTTGGAAAGTGTAGTATAGGAGGCCTATGGAGGGAATGGTGTCAAACTCTGTGTCCCTGTAAATTTGAGCCCTGGTGTAAGAGATTGGACTGGGCCGAATATGTTCTCACTAAGACAAAGGTTCTTTTAAGATAGACTTTCATCTCTCTTTTTTTTTCTCAAAGACTGCAATATTAGTTTGTCTGTTATTCACTTTCTTCTAAAAGGGGAGTAACCATAAGAAATGCTCTGATAATTAAGACTTCTGATTGCTTGTATTGGTTAGCTCCAGATTTACTATATTCCCTTTTCATACACCATAATCTAATACCTGCTGCTAGAGAAGGAACAGAAATGAACCAGTCAAGGAAAGAGCCAACCTATACCACACCTGGGACAGATCAACCAAGGCCAAGGACAAGCCCAAGCTTGCAATTGAAGGAAAGAGCTCAAGTTCTTGTATTTTTTGACTGTTATGGTGTTTGTTAATTTCTCCATCCTTGGATTTCAGATATCTAGTACTTCTGAGTTTTTCCCTAGAACAAAATATACAGTATCTATGCTCAACTTTTTCTATAAGAGCCTACAAAAAAAATTCAAAGTCTATTTTTGAAAATGTCATCAAAGAGAAAATGCTTAAAATAGATGCATTTCTCAATTACCTGCTAAGAAAATATGGTAAACAACATCTATATCTAAATTTCATGTTAAGCACTAACCAATCTCCTTTTTCAAATAAGGAATCAAGGGAGGGAAGGAGGGAAGGAGGGAGGGAAGGGAAGGAAGAAATATATCTATCTCTGGAGGCCTATGAAGGGAATTGTGGTCTATGTACCTGCAAATGTATATAATATATTTTTTAAGTTTTATAATATATATCTCTTTAATATTATTTTCCTCTATTTTCTTTCTACTAACTTATATAATCATTTAAACATGGCCATGGAAGGAAAAGGAGGAAAGGAACTAAAGGAGGCATATGTTACAGACTGAATAATAAATAACAAGGAGAGAGATTATAAGAATGTAAATTCCTAGGAATTCAAGATGCCACCAGTTGTGCTTTTTGTTTGGTTTGGTTTTAGTTTTGGTTCTGTTGAATGTCAAGGTCATGGGCAAATGTGAGATATTACAATATAGGTTGGTGATTTTCTGAATAATCCATAAGGCTAACATGGTAATGAAAATAAATCCATTAGTAGAGTACTTTATGGTTTACTGAGAAGTTTCTTTACATACATGATCTCATCTGTCCTACAAAGTTCTGTGAGATAGGCAATGTAGGTTGTATTATGGCTGTTTCACAGATGAGGAAACAAAAGCCCAGAGAGGCTGAATAGCTCACCCTGCTGTGAAGTGCTAGAATTGAAATTCTAAACAAGATCTTTCTTCCATTGTTCTCTCAACTACAAAAAGTATCCAAAGATGAATACGCAACCCCCTCTAGTACCTGGTTGAAAAACAAAACAAAACAAAACTTAGGAGAACATCGTTTTCATAGCCTAATATCTTCACCTGTGTTCATACTGATTAATGTGTGCTGTTGTTTTATCATTTCAGGATTTGTAGGTGAAAATGCCCAGCCAATCCTAGAAAATAATATTGGAAACCGAATGCTTCAGAATATGGGCTGGACGCCTGGGTCAGGCCTTGGACGAGATGGCAAGGGGATCTCTGAGCCAATTCAAGCCATGCAGAGGCCAAAGGGATTAGGACTTGGATTTCCTCTACCAAAAAGTACTTCCGCAACTACTACCCCCAATGCAGGAAAATCCGCCTAAGAAAAGCAAAGAAGAAATGTTTTACAGACTTTATTCACTATGTCCCATTGTTCTAAAATGATAACATGACTTCTGTTTTTGAAGCAAAAATCTACATTGCCTCAAACACATCACTCTAGCTTCCTTACTGCATACAGTCCTGCCATAGTGAGAGAAATGGGATTTCATCACAATTCATGGTGCTAAAATGAAAACCTCTGCACTTTAATTTTTTTCAGTAATTTCCAGCTATTTCTAGGTATAAAGAGCAGCTCGTTTCTCTTATTTATTTTAGTCTCATGTGTCAATACTTTCCGATGCTTTGCTTAATTCATGTATGTGTGCAGTGCTGCAATGCCCAGACAAACGTGAGCACACCCACCAGTTTCTAAAATGGAATAGACAGGAAAAGATTGTGTTTTATATCATCCCTATCTATTGTAACCCAAAAGACCTACCATCGCATCAGTGAAGTCCGAACACATCTTTGTTTGAAAGGCTTGTCAATTTCATATTCCTTGAATTGGCTTCTTGGTGAGGATTTTCTGACAGAGTGATACCCATCAATTTTCTATCCTTAGACAATGTAGTGTGAAGTTCACAGTTGACAAACAACAATTAATGTTTCCCTTGGATGTTTTGACAAAAATAAACCTCATCGTTGTTATCACCAGAGTGCCCTCTACCTTACTTTAATGCAGATTTTATAAATTTTACCTCATTTAGAACATAAAATAATTATTGAAAGAAAAATGTATTTTTTAAATTCACCGTGATTGAACTGTAAATTCTATTAATCCAGATGTACTTCTACCTCTGTTTTCCCAAAGATTGATATTATTTTTAAGATCAACTCAAGTGTAGTAAACGGATTTAAAATTTTAATCATTGGAGTAATTTATTACAATATTGAATCAATTTACATGAAAAGTTAAATGGCTCTCCCAGAACTCAGATTTCTGGCAATGACCCAACCCATTTAGAAGGTGAACAAAAGAAGTAAATGGTACTGATTTGCCCTTTCTAGGACCCAAGATGTTACTTTAAAACCTAGCAAAAGAGGTCGTTTGTATTACGTGCCTAGTATTGAGCTGTTTCTGAGTCATTTGCTTCATAGTATCAGAAATTCTAAATTGCTTTTAGTTTAGAAGATCTTTATTTATTATCTTCATTATTAACAACTTATTATGATGATGATTATTATCATTCTATTTATAATGGCCTTTGCTGGTTGAGTAAAGACTGAGATAACACATGTGAATCACCTTTCTAATGGGTTTTTAAAATCTTGTCACTTTCCAAAAGAGTTTTTTTGTTTCTTTTTTTTTTTTTTTTTTTTTGACAGAGTCTGCCTCTGTCGCCCAGGCTGGAGTGCAGTGGCGCACTCTCGGCTCACTGCAGCCTCCCCCTCCTGGGTTCAAGTGATTGTTCTGCCTCAGCCTCCCAAATAGCAGGGATTACAGGCACCCACGACCATACCCGGATAATTTTTGTATTTTTAGTATAGACGGAGTTTCACCATGTTGGCCAGGCTGGTCTCGAACTCCTGACCTCAAGTGATCCGCCCACCTTGGCCTCCCAAAGAGCTGGGATTACAGGCATGAACCACAGCGCCCAGCCCCCAGAAGAGTTTTTAAAAGGTGTTAAAGGAGGTTTATGCACGTAACAGACCTTTCTCAGGTGGTCCCCTAAAAAAAATCCTGCCAACTAGGGAGGGGAAGTCCAACCTGCTATTTGAAAGCCTTCACGGTTTGCCAAATGTACATTTCTTGAGAATTATCTTCTTTCCCAGGGATATTGTACCTAGAGGACAGGTTGGTTAGGGAACTATGGACGACCAGAAGAGATGTTCTTTTGAAGCATTCTTACTGGATAAAGTAACCCCATGGTATCATTACTTTCTACAAGTTTTTTACTTACAAATTTGCCATTTTTTTAACTGATATTTTCTAAATGCTCATTCTGTCTATGTAGCCGGGGGGAGATTATATACAAGTTTTAAAACTTCTTTGTGATAGTGTATTGTGCTCTGGGGTCTATTCAAAATTTGGTGTTTGAGGTTTTGTTAATTTGATTGCCTGGAGATCTGCTAAAATCCTAGAATCTCAAAAAGCCAAGTTTGAAGCCACTGAGAGCAAACAATGAGGTCATTGTTAGCCTGGTTCCACACTCCTGAGGACTTGGCTGTTCTTTTTCACCTTATTATGTTCTAATGGAAGTAAAAACCCTCATAGTGAAGAAGAGCAGTATATACACCAGACTAGTGTATAGGAACTTCTTCATTAAATATTGCAGTCCTTATGAGTGCTCTTTATTGTTGCTGTTCTGGACAGGTACAAATCTTCTGAAGCAACTTCTGTGGGATGTTAACTTAGCTTCTCTAACACCTAAAAAAATTCTTCTTTGTATTTTCAGCTAATAGAAGACAGTTCTTCTTCATCTTGACACCTAGAGCCCTCTATGTGATTCACAGAGGACTTAAAATACTTCTTACTCTGTTGAAGTGTTTAATTGTACAGAATATATGTACTCTACAGTATATGTGAATCAGCACTCAAAGCAGAGAAGTGATAACATCCCAAGCTTCCCCCATACTTCTACTGACATGCCCTCAGTCTTTAAGAAAACTCAGTACAGACCTGATGTTCTGGTTGTACCTGAACTTAATTGGAGAAACAAACGCAATTAAAATACGAATTTTTTAGTGCAAATCAAATGTCTTTCACCATCTGAAGCCCACTAATTTGTCTTTTATATATAGTTAATTTTTTGCCAGTTACAACGTCCATAGAACCCCAAGATTTAGAATGTATCATTTATATTTCCTCTAAAAGGTAGTAAGATATTTCTTCTGCTGTTTTGTGAAGCCACTCTTCTACAGTATCTGTAGCCTTATAGCAAATTAATTGGTTGTACTAAAAATTTTAGAGACTGCATAGGTCTCCCTTTTCTATCCTAATTACCTGCAATAGCCTAGAGACGCTGAGCATGATTACATTAGCAACTTGACTGTTTAAAAAATTTGTTATACTTGATAATGACCAGACTGTGTGCTGGAGTCATTTGTTTCCTTCTTTTCTGCTCCCCGAATACACTATTTAATTTGGTTACTTTTATTTTTAAACTATATGGCACCCTTTTAAATAAACATTCATTGCTAATTAAAATCTGCCAATAAATTGGTCTCAGCATTTAAATACCATATATTTTATAACTCATACTGTGGCTATCAAACAGAAGTTAACACAGTAGGGGTAAAGATATACATAATGTGTACCTATAGGTGTATTTATAATGCCTGTGTGCAGTATACAGACATAATTACAAAATACTGCATTTTATTAATGTTTATTTTAATATTGAGAATTGGCATTCTTGTAAATTGAACTGACAATTGCTTCTATTCAGTACACTTTATTTTGAGCAGATATTTCCGAAAAGAGAAAAAATCACTGTTGACATGCTTTTTAAAACTGTTTTCACCTGTATTTTGTCTTTCAAAAAGAAAAGTGATCTAAGTTGGCATTGTAAAGAAATTGTTAGCAAAGAATATTTTTTTTTATTTTTTCTTTTGGTAGAAAGTCATGTTAATAGTACAACAAAGAATCAAAGAATAAAACATAATGTTTAAGAACATTATTTATAAGTAGTCATTGTCTTTGTGCTTTAAATGTTTCCCTTTTACCTTAGAGTTATTTTTTAAAAGTTGAAAGTACTTTAAAAATTGGTTTAAATGAGTACCCATTGACAATTATCATTTAATAGTGCAGTTAAGTTCAGCGAAAAATTTCAATATCTCAAAAAAATTAGAGAAAAATATTGGTAAATGTATTTGATTCACAAATGTATTCATAGCCGATTGTGAGCTGCTCTACCACATTTTCCTGTTTTTATTGTTTCTGTGAAGCTTGATTAGACTAACTTGCTTAAGGTCTCTTTCCCCTCAAGGATTCTGTGATTCTAATGTAACAAGGTACACACGCTCTCTCTGACCACTTAAAGTATCAGAGTTCAAATCTGTTACAATCACTCCATTTCCTTTTGGAAAGTTGTGCCTCTCATAAAGCTGCTTGGACATTTTAAGTGTTTTGTAATATGCATTGAAGTGTTGAGTTTTGTTTGCTGTAAGAGGCATTTCACTATGTTGATTAAACTTATCTTTTCTCCCAAAAAACTGAGTAAAGTTGTCAAAATAAGTAGGGTTTTTTTTTTTCATGCAATAGGTATTAAATACTCATTTATTTAACAGGCTTGTAGTAACATATACTCAACTGGCAAGCGGACCATAAAGGCTCCTTCTGCTGGGTTCCTACTAAGCAAAGACTCATTACTTTACACACCTGACACTTTAAGTAGATCCAGATTTGTCTCCAGCGAGTCAGTGCCATTAACTGCCAGGAGTATGATCTACTATTGCCACTTTTAGTTTTATCTGTACATTAGAGTTGTCTCCTGTCTTTGAATTGTCAGACAGTTTAAATCATTCTCAGATCCACATACTTCCCTCCTGTTGCAATATCAGAATGTCCTGTGTTTGTTTCTTAATTTTTCAAGGCTGAAGTAAGGTTAAAATTGAGGGCTATTTTTTGTGTTTCTTTTTTTTTTTCTTTTAGTTTGAACTTTCAAGATAAATTGCTAGTATTTTAGGAGTGTGTATAATGCTTGATTTTCCAGCTGTAAGACTAGAGATAAAAGTATATTACAATAGTATCCCAAATAAAACAGCCAAAACTATCTTCTGTCTGTTTGCATCTTCCTATTTCTAAAAAAAAAGTTTCTTTCTTTCTAAAATCAATATTCTTCAATAAAAATAGAAAGACTGAGAAATAGTATACTAACTCAATATATGCTTTTCAAATCCAAACAAATTCTTCCATCACTTATTGAAGTTAATTTCTTCAAATGCCAGGATTTCATATGTATGACATGCAAATGATTTAGCGAAGAAAAAAACAACTAAAGTTCTGTTAGATGACTGACAAATCTGGGATTCTAAAGTGTCTCATTGATGGCTGTAATTCATTATGGAAACAGTATAGATGATCCACATTGCATATACGAGGCATGAAATTCATAAAATAATTTTTAGATGGTTGTGAAGCACTTGGGGAATATATATTAAAAGTTTGAAATTTATAATGTGAAAAATCACAATATTTCTAATACACTGGCCACAGCGTTGTTACGTTCTCAGCAATAAGTACAGTGGCCTGTAATCTGTAAGGCTAGATTCTTGATCGTCCCACATCTTTATATGCCTGTCCTTTTATTGTACCTCTTCTAATTCCTTTGCTGTTTTTCTAAACACACATCTTAGTCTACTTCACATGTTTTAATATTACAAGACAGTCTTCCAAAAGGAGGGAACAATTGCCAAGCACATGGGAAAGCAGCATGTTTTGACTCCCACGCCATTGTATTTCTCCATTAAGTCCCTTAACAACTCAGCTAGAAACAAGCGGCAGATTTTTTTCCCTGACTCAGTGAGTAATTGTCTGCACTGCAGTGACAGATGTGCAATATAGCAGCTTCTTCAGGAAAAAATTAACAGTTTATCCAGCATGTCAGCTCGCTCTTTTTAGTGCTTGGGAGGTCTTGGCCCCATTATGGATGATTTAAAAATTGAGGCAAGCAAAGACCAGCTGCCTGCACTGAAAGCTTTCGTTAGTCGGCCTCATCTGCATTCCAGGACTCACTTACATCCAGAAATTGGTGGAGCCCCTCTGGCCACAAGATGAGTATGGGCTGACAATGCCTTGATTTGTTGAGAGAGAGAATAAATGGGTTTTTGAGAAGATGAGGAAATATCACCATTACTGGCCAATTTACAGCATTTTATCTGTTCTTCAAACATGTCACTTTTGTTATTGTTGCATGGTAATTACATAGTGAAATGGAAAGAAAACAAATTCTGGTTACGTATTCAGATGGATTGCAAAATCATATAATCCTGATAAATGCCCATTTATGATACACATGGATGAAAGGTTCATTTTAATTTTGAATGGCTAGCTCAGCCATAAATAGGATATAGGATTAAATTCCAGAGAATCTGATTACATCAAAGCAAACAGTCTTTCTCTTTACTTCTTCAGATTCAGGGAGATACCATGAGGCATTTTCACAAACAGGATTTTCCTGAGACAATACAAAAAGTGAATTCAGAAGTGCATTTTCCAAAGAATAACTCGCAGTGAAGCCCAAGAGAGATCTTGTTCTGGGGATCGGTTGGCCTTAAAGGCTTCTCAAGAAGCCGGTGGACCAAAAGATTCAGTGTGCCAAAAGACTTCCACCTTGGAGGAATCGCCCAATTTTTTGAAGCTCACATTCCTGGTTGCTTCCCAAATCTCACCAAATATTTGGAGAGTAGAAATCAAATGCTTTTCCTTGTGTTCCTCTTTGGAAGATTATTTCTCCCCCATTCCCAAGCCAGTTATAGTAAAAGAATGTGGAAGTTTAGCTGATCATGAAAAGCTCAGAGATGCACAGGAACAAGGGGGAGCGGCACCCCAGGGCTACTACTTAAAATGTCAGGTGTGGAAAGTAATGAGTCTCTGCTTAGTAGGAATCAAGCAGAAAGAGTCTTCATGGTCCACTTATCAGGTGGGTATATATTACTGCAAGCCTGTGAAACAAAAGAGTATTTAGTACCTATTTGCTCCCAATTTTGCTGTGGCAGGGAAAAGGGGATAGAAGAGGTACATTAGCACTTAACTGCTTTGGGCTGGGGTGGGAGGTCAGGGAGTGGTGAGAGACATGAGGTCACTTCTGTTCATGACCTGTTGGTCAGAATTGCCCACACGGGCCCAGCTGAATTGCAGAGAAGCTGTAGATAGTAGGGGAGCATGTGGATATTTGGTGAGGACTAATTCTGACATATAAACTTGATAGGAAGCATCCAGACTGAAATATCAGGCTGGGCACGGTGGCTCATGCCTGTAATCCCAGCACTTTGGGAGGCCGAGGTGGGTGGATCACCTGAGGTCAGGAGTTAGACACCAGCCTGACCAACATGGAGAAACGCTGTCTATACTAAAAATACAAAAATTAGCTGGGTGTGGTGGCGCATGCCTGTAATCCCAGCTACTTGGGAGGCTGAGGCAGGAGAATTGCTTGAACCCAGGAGGCAGAGGTTGCAGTGAGCCAAGATTGCGCCATTGCACTCCAGGCTGGGCAACAAGAGCAAAACTCCGTCTCAAAAAAAAAAAAAAAAAAAGAAATATTGAAGCAGCCTATACCATATTTCATTGAATCTAAGATGCCATTGATTTTAAGATGCACCTCAATTTTATGTACCATTTAGAAAGAGAGGAAAACTACCAAATTGCAGTGCACCACCCATGACGACAATGTATCCCAATTTCGGCTTTCTGGGGAGAGAGGGTTGGAGAAAAATGTTTATGTATTTTTACTTCCCTAAAGATCCCAATGAAGGCTGGCCACTGTGGCTTATGCCTGTAATCCTAATACTTGGGGAGGTAGAAGCAGGCAGATTACTTGAGGTCAGGAGTTCGAGACCAGCCTGAACAACATGGTGAAATCTCTTCTCTACTAATAAAAATAGAAAATTAGCCAGGGGTGGTGGTACATGCCTGTAATCCCAGCTACTTGGGAGACTGAGGCACAAGAATCGCTTGACCCCGGGAGGTAGAGGTTGCAATGAGCCGAGATCATGCCACTGCACTCCAGCCTGGGCAACAGAGAGAGACCCTGTCTCAAAACAAAAAAAATAAATAAAAATAAAAATAAAAAATCCCAATGAAGATAGTCATAATAAACAGTCTTCTTAATTTCATAGCTGCCCCCACCGTGGGCACACCCTTAATAATAAACTTCTGCTGTGGCTCCAAATGATACTAGGTTTTAAAAATTACATTTGACTAGAACCTATAAACAGTAAAAGTACAGAATTTAACTACCTGCCACTCAGTGACTAATTTCTCACTAGAGCTGACTGCAAGTCACTCAGGAAACATCAGCCATGCCCACCAAGGCCTTTGAAACCTACCAAGCTCTCCCTTGCATATGCTACTGATCGCTGAGAACCATGAAGGAAGACACCGAACCCAGTGCCCAGCTCCAGTGGAGAATAGAGTTGTCCCAGGACTCTAAGAATAGCTAATGTTTTAACAGTTTCCTCAGATATGCTGTTTATTACAGATGCTCAGGTTGAAACTCTATCTTTTCACAGTCATTTTGGGAGTATATTCTAGAACAGTGTCTACCAGTCTTCAAAGTGCATAAGAAGCACCAGAGGAGCACTTAAAAAACTGGTATTCTTAAACTCTACTCTCAAAGAGGCACCTGAGAATGAGAATTCAGTTGAACAAGACTGTCTTAGAAGAAATAGATGAGGTAATCACCAAACCTTTGCCCATATAGACAAGCTTGGTCTTCTATGGTGGATCTAACTGTGTCATCTGCCCAAGCTCTCCTTTTCTGGGAAGTATTCTAAACACTATCACTCTCTGGCCCTCTGTGGAAGAAAATTCCTGGGAATTTAGTATTAGGACTAAGAGATTTCATTACAGCCTTGATGTGACTGGTCTCTTGAAGGGAGGATATCGGGAAGCAAACAAACAGTCTGTAAATGAGAAAAAAATGAAACAGGATCAGAGAGAACAAAGAAGGAGAGAAAATGTTTGTGTTTCCTACAACCCTAAAGACCTGGCTTAAGGTTGTCAGATGTTCTCTTCCAAAAAGACAAGAGGAATCTCACCTGGAATGTGGAGGAAGCAACACTTCTTTAGGAGAATATGACCTCCTTCCGTAGGACTGGCCTTTTACATTATTGGACAAAATATATTATTGGACAAAATACTGACCATGTGAGCCAAACATCTTATTAGCAAACAGACAAATCAGAGGGTGAATCATTCACATTACACAAAGATTTTTCATGTTGTAAAAGAGCACAGGGTCCTTTTAGGTAGCACTTTCTGAAGTGCTTATTTACAGATCATTAAATACTTAACAGAGGGAAAAAGTAAAAGCTGAAGTGCTTAAGTCAGTATTTATTAAATATCCACCCTAGATTCAGATAACACAAATCTAAAATTATAATGACAGTTAATTGTCCAGTTTTTCAATTTTTATGTTAGCAGACAAGAAGCTAAAATAACAGCCTGCCCAGGTTAATACATCCCGAGTGTTCTAACACAGTTGTAATTCTTTTCTGAGGTCTTATTCTCAATCCCATAAGACACCCCCTTATCTTATAATACATGTCCCTTTTTTTTTACAGGCTAAATTAAGAGGCTTTCTGTTACTTCCATATAATACTAATTATCTGCTGGATGTTGGCTAATGCTTAAATGTATTGTAAAACACTGAAAAGTGCTATGTTTGACCAACTGAATTTTCTCTGTGCAATCATCTCAGAATTTATAGGAGCTGTTACACCTTATAATGTTTTAATAAAGTTCTATCTTGTGGCAAGAGAGGATTTTAAGTGACATCATTGCCTAATTTTCTCTTTAGTTCTCTTTGTTTTGGTGTCAGAGGGTGGGGACAGGCTTTTCCTCTATTGCTCAGGCTGATGTGCAGCAGCCCAATTACTGCTCACTGCAGCTCCAACCTCCTGGGCTCAAGTGATTCTTCCACATCAGCCTCTTGAGTAGCTGGAACTACAGGTGTTCACCACCATGCTCAGCTAATATTTTTTTTTGTAAGAGATAGGGTCTCACTATGCGGCCCAGGCTGGTCTCAAACTCCCATGCTCAAGCAATCCTCCTGCCTCAGCCTCCCAAAGTGCTGGAATTACAGTTGTGAGCCACTGAACCCAGCCTCCCTTTTTAAAAATTGACCCAAACTCTATCAAATTCTATCCCTCTCATTCCTATCTATAGAGGAAACCCATTACTTCAAGGGACACTCATAAGATTAGAAGAGAATCCTGAGTAATACTTAGCATTATTTTACATATAAGTAATAGATTACCTAAATTGTTGGACAACATCCAGCAGAGAATTAGTACTATATAAAATAACGGTATTATTTTACTAATGGTATATAACATGTGATTTTTTCATTGAGCTCTTTTACAGTTTTTATGTGCCACAGAGTAAAGGATAGCATGGCAAGGCTGTGAAAAACAGAAGCCACGTCCTTTGGTCTTTCCATTCTATCTTGTAACTATTGCTTCTCACACTCAGGCTAGTGAGTTCCGCTGTTAGCTGTTGAGGGGAAACGTCTAAGTGCCTCTTCTGTGCTGGAGATTTCATACACCATTTCTCAATGGACATCACCGAGAAGTTTTACTACTCTTTGGTTCTTCTCAGTTACAAAGATTAGATGGCACTTCCACAATGCAGACTAATTGGGGAAAATCTCATTCCTAAATTAGCAGAAAGTCCAAATTATTTAATACTTACAGATATGCCGCGTTATTGTTTATTGAATAAAATTTTTTATTTAACTGGATGAATATTCCGATCCACATTGGCATACAGTATTTGTATAGTATCAAGAGTTTCAAAAACTTTGATTTTCCTTAACTACTTTATTTCCCCTGTAACTTGCTTCTGCCATTAACTTACATGACAAAACTATGATTGTAGTGCACAGGCATACTAACCAAGCCCATGTTCCAATTACCACAAATTCAAAATGTGTAATGCCCACATACCTAACATTTGACAGTATCCCCTGATGTATGTCTCATGATATGTCAGTCTTCTGATCATAGATACAGAATAACACTAACTTGGCAACATGACCTTGAACAAGAGCCTAAGCATGATTTCCCAGAACAATGAAGAAGAAAGTGATGGGTTTTTTTCTTTTAAAGAACTGGGGTCCAGGGTCAGTGACCCTAACTCCATATATAATTTGTAGAATTGGAACGGGTTCAGAGAAAAGACAGATGATTAAAGGCTAAAGGGACTGACTTTAAGGAAAATATAAGCAATGAATAATGTAAAGTTTGCTAAATAATGGCCACAGAGAGGGTTTAATAACCCCAAGAATATTTTAAAGACACAAACATTAAGGAGGAATAAAATTTTTTCAATAATTACCCTTTAGTTCTAGAATGTGAAAAGTATGTATTGGCTGGTTTAAAATTTTTAAAAAGTGGTGGGGGCTGGGGGGGCGGCACTGGGTTTTGAGTAAAAAGAAGCCAAAAGACATTTATTTTAAAAGAAGACGTTAAACTAATCAAAAGGTGAGCTAGTATGAAATAGCAGTCTAAATTAGCTGAAACCCTTCGTGAATCCGTTGACGACAACATTTCAGCCCTACTCTAGGGTGATGGGCAGAAATGTTTTAACACACCTAAGAGTCTAACCTCCTCTCTCCATTTCCTAATCATGTCTGGCAGTAGGTTGAGCGAGCAAAGATTTTTTGGTGCACCTCACACTGGGTGCAGGCATTGTGCATTCCTGTGTTGATGAGTAGCGTAGGGTTTTTCTGTGACCCTCTCCCGGTCCATTCTTTAATCTGACTTTTGCACCTGTGAAAATAACCACAGCACCTCGCAGGTCATTAGGCTAGGTAAACAGCTCATTACAGAGTGAAATGAGACCAATGATAGTCATATTCTGCCAATGCAGAATGTGTCTATTTCCTATTATCTAATTAAATGCCACTTCCTAAGTATTTATGGAGCATCTGCCATGTGCTTATCACCAAGTTGGTTGCTGCAAGGATTCATAAGAATTTTATACTGTACTCTCCACCCACAAGGGATTTAGCATCTTTTTGGAAATATGCAACATATATTCAGGAATGATATTCAAAATAGTTCATAATCAGACTGGCACAGGCACCAGCCAATGAGACTGGAAACCCATCTTATCTGAATGAATGCCAGCTATTAATAACTGACAGAGTGTGATGGTGCATGCTGGTGAATACCAGCCTTGCTTTCATCTGATTTTTTTTAACTGTTGAAGAAAAAAAAACGTTTAAAATCTTATACTGACTCTAATCAAATGCCAGTATATATGATGGAATGTAAATGCCGGATATGCAGCTCTTACTTGTCCACAGCAGACACCATGAAAGTGTTACTTTCTTGTCCAAAGTCAGAGTGGCTGCTTGCACAATTTTATTTGAGGGAAAATATTTTTTTCAAGCAAATGCTGAAGAAATGAGTGTGACTATTTCACACAGGCAGCCTCCAGCTGAATTCCTTAACTAAGAGGAACATTCAGCGAAATCTGTAAACAAAATGTCTGCCAGAGGTGACAAGAAAATGTAGCTCCATGCCTTCCACTGAGTATAATTTCTTAGTGAGGCCAGCTGGCATTTTGCAAAAGTTTACCTGTTGTCAAACCTGCTGGTGACCGTGCTGTTCTGATTTAGAAATAAAGGATTGACTCAGAGGTGTCTAAAATCATTCTGCAGGATGATAATTCCCAGCTTTAACACCAAAATAAGAGGCAAATCATCAGGGCTGGCTCCTGTTTGGATCTCACGCTTAACTCAGTCTTTATAGGTTGTCCGTGTCGCCGGGAGAGGAGGTCACGGGGTAGGCTCGGGATGGGCTTAGCAAAAGCAGGCTGTCTCTGTTTGGTGCTGCCTGCTGCCTGTGGAGGGTTCCCCCATCTCGGGCCCTGTGTGAGTGAATGGCCCATAAGTACACAAAGTGGTTTTTGAAATCTGAGTAAGAGCTCAGCTATCATCTATGAAATTGTGGATCATGGAGTAGAAATTATGAAGAGATCCTGTTTTTCGCTTTGTTTTATTGGCAAGCATCCTGAGTGATACTGACTCTTTCCATAATAAACTGTCATCGGACACAATTGTTTCAGAATATGGTCTCGGTGTTTGATTGCAGGGTCTGCAGACTCAGACAGTGGGAATGCAATGCTTAAGCTTCTTCACTTATTGCCTGCTGGTGTACAAATATAGGATTTGGCAATTTAGCCTAAAGCCTTCGTCTCTCCCGCTACATCCACCCGCTCTGGGAGGCTCCAGGAACGCAACTTGCCACAGGCTCCCAGGCAAGAGGAGGCCCATAGAGCTGATATCAGAGCCAAGGTGTGGGCCTGCCTCATGTATAATCCACCCTCAAAACACAGTCTGATGGACCCCTTGCTAGAGTTGAACTTTGGACTCCCCACCACTGAAATAAAAAAATAAATAACTGCCAAATCCTCATAAATGCTGAAAAGAAGCAGCTGGTAGCCACTTTAATAATAGGAATAAAAATAAAACTAAAGCTGGGTACAAAAAAGCTTATATCTGTAAAAAGAGAATTAATGTAAAGAAGGGGATCAAAGCCACGTTTGTGTCATGCCACTTTGTCACAGAGGCAGGCAGGAGAAGGGAAGGCATTTCAAAATCAGAAACCAGCTTGACGCCCACCAGATAATAGCACAAAATGCACCTTAAAATCCCTGTGTTAACATGCTCTGTTGGGACAGGGATGGAGTTATTTCCATTTCCTCTTACAGGAGAAGAATCCCCCTATAACAACAATATTGATGGGATAGCTTTCTTTGTACAGAGGCATCCATGTTGACCCTGCCTGGCAGCGGAGTCCTTCCTGAATTTTGTTTAATCCAAATGCTTTGCTAGTAACTGAATTCCCAAGTCCTTGATCACTGGGCAACCTGTCTATCTGCTGAGCCTAAGGTCATTTTTATGGAACATGGTTAACCAGGACGGGATTTGGATACATGTACAAGGTAAACAATGATTCATAAAATTGAGGGTTTAAATCTGTGTGGGAAATGTTTGGGGCTGCTATACGTTCATGTAAACCCTGTCAGTATTTGGAGATTTGGAGAGTAATCTGTTCATTTAGTTTTCTTTCTGCCCTCATCTGGCATTCAACTTAACAAGGGAAGATGAGAGTAAGGTGCTGAGATGCAGCATGGAATGCTGGGAAAGCAGCAGATTCGCGAGCACAATCCTCACCCTTCAGTTACACACTGGGTTGTCTTGGGCAGCCCCAGCCCTTGGAAGCCTCAGTTTCTTCCCTTTTCTTCTCCTGTTTTGCCAAAGGGTTACAATGAAGATCAAATGAGGCCAGGCATGGTGGCTCATGCCTGTAATCCCAACACTTTGGGAAGCCAAGACAGGAGGATCAATACAAAAGTTTGAGATCAGCCTGGGCAACATAGTGAGACCTCGTCTCTACAAATAATAATAATAATAATAATTAATTAATTAAAAAAATAGCCGATCATGGTGGTATGTGCTTGTAGTCCCAGCTACTTGGGAGGCTGAGGCAGGAGGATTGTTTGAGCCAGGAGTTTGAGGCTGCAGTGAGCTATGATGGTGCCACTGCAGTCCAGCCTCGGTGACAGAGCAACAGAGCAAGACCCTGTCCCCCATCCCCCTCCCCGCACATAAAATATCCAACAAAGTAATATTATGTAAAGCATTTTGAAAATTAAAATGCTATGGAACTCTGTACAAAACTGTTTATGACAAGTACCCCAAAAGTTTATATAATGAATTAAGTGTTCAAAAATTAATGACTTCTGCCCACAGAGGTAATTTTCCTGCTGAGCCTTAAAGAAAATTAAGCCTTCTATAGACAGAGATGGAGGTAAGCTCGGCCAGTGGAGGCAAAGGAATGTAAACCGAGGTGGAAAAATGTGTATATGGCTTGTTCAAAATCTAGAAAGTAGTCTCATTTGCCTAGGGCATGAGACATTGTAGTATTTAAGAAAATTGTTTTTTTTTCGGTGTCTATCACAAAATTTTCCATCCTTTCATTTCAAATGTTAGTTTCTGCAATGCCAATGGGTAAATATTTACAGCTTAATTCGTATTTTAGCTTTTTTATGCAATAGTCCCTGCTGTAGACAGCGTTAACATGAGCCATAAAAAATTCAAAATAGTTTCCCAATTTCCTTTGCTGTTCTTTGCTATAGTGGCTGATATTTTATGATAATGTTTCTATTGTTTTAATATTCTTGCTTTTCTCATTCATATTCTAAGAGATTATCATTAGTGCCAACACATTTGATTTATCATTTAGAGAAAGCACTTGTTCAAAAAGTCAGTACTGGGTATTAGATGATGATTGCCTGCAATGAATTTCTTCTCAACATCTGCAAAGACAGTTTTGCCTTTTCTTCTTCCACTTAACTCTAAATGAGAGATCTTAAATATACTTAAATAGGATTCATATCAGCTTAGAAAATCTCTTCTTAAAACCTAGGGTGTTAAAAACAGTTTCTAACGCCTATTTTTCTTGGTTAAAGTAAAATACACACATGTGTACCAACGTAACATTAAAGAATGATACTTACACTCTTTTCCTAAAATCCTGGCTAATACTATACAATTAAAATACTTTTCTTCCTTTTCACATTATTTCTATTTCTATTTTATACTTACGAAGTATTTTATAATTTATCAATTGCTCTTTATTTCAGAAAATATTTATTTCTTCTTGACCATTGGATCATGAACATACAAGCAAGCAAGAGTAAAGCTGTTATTTTAAAATAAACTTTCAGGCTTGTTATACCTGTCTCTAAGTGAAAATACTTCCATTATACATACTGTGTGACAACTCCAACTGTATTCTTCATATGTATATTGCAGGATTAATTTCTTTTTATTTTATTATTATTTATTTATTTATTGAGACAGATTCTCGCTCTTTTGCCCAGGCTGGAGTGAAGTGGTGCGATCTCAGCTCATTGCAACCTCTGACCCCCGGGTTCAAGTGATTTTCCTGCCTCAGCCTCCCGAGTAGCTGGGATTACAGGTGCCCACCACCACACCTGGCTAATTGCAGGGTTAATTTCTAACAGTTGACTGGGGCTTTTTCACATTTAGGTTATAGCACATAGAATAATCCTAAATAAAAGTGACATTACAAAGAAAATGTTGTGTAAGCAAAAAATAATTATTTTGTCTTAGACAATGTCGCAGCCAGCAATCAATTCAAAATGTCACATTCATTGATATTTGTCACCTTTGTATGGTATCTGTTATTTTATTTGAGGCCAATGAGACATTTTTTCATCTATTTTTGACCCCACCATGTCCCAGCCATAATATCAGAAGCTAAGTGGGAAAGGCAGAAATATAAAACTAAGTTAAATTCCTTGCTTTAAAGAATCTTGAATAAAGATAGAAGAATGCAATTATTTGTTTAAGTCCATAAACAAATAATTGTAATAACATTTGACCCAAACTATAAGATGGGTCTGTACAAAGCATTAAAGAAGTATAAAGGAGGAAATGACCCATTCTGTCCTCACGGAAGACAATGTTTTTGCTGGATCTTAAAGAACGAATGGGGGCTGGGCGCGGTGGCTCACGCTTGTAATCCCAGCACTTTGAGAGGCCGAGGTAGGTGGATCACCCGAGGTCAGGAGTTCGAGAGAAGCTTGACCAACATGGTGAAACTCCGTCTCTAATAAAAATACAAAAATTAGTTGGGCATGTTGGTAGACGCCTGTAATCTCAGCCACTCAGGAGGCTGAGGCAGGAGAATAGCTTGAACCCAGGAGGCAGAGGTTGCAGTGAGCTGAGATAACGCCTGGGTGATGGAGGGAGACCATGTCTCAAAAAAAAAAAAAAAAAAGAAAAGAACGAATCAGAATTTGGCAAATAGAGAAGAGGGTAAATATTCATGGAAAAGGTAAGCACTCAGACAATAGCACAGAGCTGGGAGGACATGATGTAATTTTAGAAAGGACAAACGGTTTGGTAGAAGTGGAATGCAGGGTTTTTGAGAGTAGTGGCATGAGATGATGGAGGTGAAGTGGGACCAGAGAAGAACAACTGGTTGGAACAGAGCCTGGCACATAGTAAGAACTATATGAGTATTTGTTAACTAAAACACAAACAGTGCAACGGACCCCAGTAGGCACAGCCATAATTCAGGGAACAGAAAAGAGGTTTAAATATTTTAATTAATATCTTCAGAGACATTTGAGAGACTATTGCTGCTATAACTATTACATGAAGAACTTGCCATGAACAGGACAAATCAAAGAGCAAAAAATATTCTTGGAAGTTAGAAATACAACTGCCAGCAGGCACAGTGGCTCACGCCTATAATCCCAGCACTTTGGGAGGCCGAGGCAGGTGGATCACCTGAGGTCAGGAGTTCGAGACCAGCCTGGCCAACATGGTGAAACCCCATCTCTACTAAAATTACAAAAATCAGCCAGGCGTGGTGGCATGCACCTGTAACCCCAGCTACTCAGGAGGCTGAGGCAGGAGAATCACTTGAACCCGGAAGGCGGGCATTGCAGTGAGCCGAGATTGTGCCGTTGCACTCTAGCCTGGGTGACAGAGTAAGACTCTGTCTCAAAAAAACAAAACAAAACAAAACAAAAGGAATGCAACTGCCAAAATAAGAGGTCCCACAGTGGAGATGAATGATAAATTTACCAGGGCTGAAAGAAAAGAGATGGTAAATATAAGGAAACTTAAGAATAGTGAAGACTAGTCATATTTAACATTAATTTACGAAGAGTTCCAGTAGAAGGGAATTTGGGCAATGGAAGGAAAAGAAAATCCAAGAAATAAAAAAAGGAAAATTTACCTGGGCAAAATAAATTTAAAAATCCATAAAACAATGTAAATATTCACATGGAAATGAATCACTGAGTGCCAAACAGGACAAATACAGAGAAAACTGATATATTTTTGAAGAGGTAAGGGAGGTGTATTTGTGGAACATATTATCTACACAGGAATATAAATCAAATGGGCATCAGACTTTTCATAACAGTTAATGGGTTCTAGGAACCATTGGAGCAGTGTTTTCAAAGTGATTGGAGAAAAGATTTTGAACCTAGAGTTCTGCTAGACAGTAAAACTATCAATGATAAGTACGAGCAAAATAGAGAAATTTTATACGTGCCAAAGCTCAGAAAGCATTCTGCTTTTAAACTTGATATGAATAAACCCCTTTTGAACCCTACAGGAAAACAAATTACTTGAGTAAGTGGTCCAGTGGAATAAAAAGAATCTATGAAAGGACATATCCTGGGATATGAAAATAGAGAAAGAAAAGATCGAGTCAGAAAAATTAAAACAGAATCTTCCACACTGAAAGGTTTGCCTTAGGAAAGTTTAAGTGATGTAGGATTGCATGATTCCGTCTCTTCTAAATGGCTCCATCTACGCTACTTTGTTCTAAACTTTAAAACGTTTACATAACCAGGCCCGGCGCGGTGGCACACGCCTGTAATCCCAGCACTTTGGGAGGCCGAGGCAGGCGGAGCCCAGGAGTTGGAGACCAGCCTCGCTTACATGGCAAAACCCTGTCTCTACTAAAAACACAAAAATTAGCCGGGCATGGTGGCCAGAGCCTGTAATTCCAGCTACTTGGGAGGCTGAGGTGGGAGAACCGCTTGAATCTGGGAGGCAGAGGTGGCAGTGAGCCGAGATCACCTCACTGCACATCAGCCTGGGTGACAGAGCGAGACTATGTCAAAAAAAAAAAAAAAAAAAAAAAAAAGGCCGGGCGCAGTGGCTCACGCCTGTAATCCCCCACCTTGGGAGGCCGAGGCGGGCGGCGGGCGGATCACGAGGTCAGGAGATCGAGACCATCCTGGCTAACACGGTGAAACCCTGTCTCTACTAAAACTGCAAAAAATGAGCCGGGCGTGGTGGCGGGTGCCTGTAGTCCCAGCTACTGGGGAGGCTGAGGCAGGAGAATGGCGTGAACCCGGGAGGCGGAGCTTTTGCAATGAGCCGAGATTGCGCCACTGCACTCCAGCCTGGGCGACAGAGCGACACTCCATCTCAAAAAAAAAAAAAAAAAAAAAATTACATAACTGTAATATTTTAGATTCTGTTTCTTACTTTCAATTTTTAATCAACCTGTAGACAATATTTGAAAGGTCTAATAGAATTACCAAAGAAAAACAAACATTATAAACCTTGACAATAAAAATAGTAATATAAGAAACAAAACTGAGGGAGTAGAAGAATGCTAATTTCCTCACAGCTAGTTAGTAGAGTCTACCTAAATTGATAAATTAAGAAATACTCAATGAATATATCACTGGTAAAAATAACATAATAAAACATGGGCCATGGAGATGAGATCGGCCTGTAGAAGACTGGATTAATTATTTTTAACATACACAAAATAACTTTGGGATATTGTTCCTACCTTGTGAGAATCTGAATGCAGCTGAGATGAATACAAATCAGAGATAGCTCCACCTCCACTCCTGTCACACAGCTGCCTCTTCCTCATTCTTTAGGTCTCAAGGGCCCTTCTTAAAAGCTGTTGGCAAACCATACCATCTAAAGTGGCCTATCATTCTACCAATTCTTAGCCTTAGATAAATTTATTTATGACACCTCTTACATAAATCAAATGTCCAGAGCAAATGGCATGGTGATATGGTTATATACATTAAATTAGGTGTTGCCTGGTCTGATAATTTTCCAACATTAACAAATAAAGTGAAGCTAAATTGTGGGTTCATTTCTTTCAGCTGATATTTTACATTCATGATTAAAGAAACTTACTCCCATAAACCTGAGAACATTTTCTAGGTAGTGAGTGTCTTCTAGAAAATTTATAATAGTTATGAAGGGATTTTTATATACCTGTGATAGCTCAGAAAACACATAGAAGCAGACATGTAAGACAATACTCTCGTCGAAAGAATTACATAATGGAAATTAACATTATGAAGATAGGTCATCCATTCTAACATGTAAATACATAGAAGTACAACATTGTGTATCAGGCTATAAAGTTATAGAACTCATTACCCGTAAGGAGTCATACTGGAAAGAAATATAAATGAATTCAAATAGAGTTTAAACACAATCCTAAATGGCAATGCTAAAAACAGTTATTAAAAGAAAGTGGAATATAGTCAACGATTCAGCTGATTATGAACATCAGTTGATGTGTTTTACAGAGAAAATGTAGAGGTTTCATTAATGTGGAAAGTCAGTTATAAGAGTGTCCATTGTATATTGGTATATTATATATCTTATTTCACTAAATAAAACTATATGTATGCTATATATTTTACTGTGTATATAATTTGTGAATTTTAATCTATAAATTTACAATGATTTCAAAGAGAACAACCATGATCAATTCCTTGTAGCTACTGTTGGCAAGCAGGCTGCAAAGTAAATAGGCTTTATTTCTGCTCAGTCTTAACATAGCAGCCTACATGTATTGTCAGAGGCAAAAGGAGAAAGAGGGTCTTCTTCCAGAATCCATTTCTTTAATGGATAGCATTGCTGATCCAACCATCTCTCTCACTTATGAGTCAGGGAATTTATTTTTCTCAGAGCTGAAATATCTTGAATAAAGACAATATAGATGTAATATCACTGTATAGATACAAACACTTGCCACAGGGAACAGGGCAGTAGCTCTTAGTTGGTCACTAATGCTTTGCAACCTAGTAGTTTGTCAGAGAAGTAGCTCACGCAGAGCAGAAGGAGGATTCAGGATGGTTAACACAAAGAATGGGTAGGCATGGTGGAGTGTAAGAGGAAGATCAACATATAATATTATAATACTCTCCAAAAAGCAAGAGGTGTGAATGTACTGAGAAACTGGAAAAGGAGAATTTGTTATTGAGGGAGAGATCTGAAGGAAGGGAATCAAAAAGAATGGACAAAAGCCTTTTTGGAAGTATTTTCTCTCAGTGGTCCTAACATGCAGTAGAATAAGCACAGTCTTCACAACCAGGTGATCTAATTTTAAGTGCCAACTCTGTCATGTTAAGGTCTTCAGGAAAACTCGTCACCTTTTTGCAGCCTAATTTAGATCTGTCCTGACTACCAACATGGGATAAAAAATAAATAAAACTGTTGACAAAAAACAGAGGATGCCAGAGAATCTCCTTAGATTAACCTAGTTCTAAGATCAAGATAGTAGTACTGGTAGTTATGAAAATGCAAATCAAAACAGGGAGCTACCATTATTCATCTATCAGATTGATAGAAATGAAAAAATTAGTATCATAAAGCTCAGTGCTGGCAAGTACATGGGGAAACAGGCTTTCTCAAACATTGAAGGTAAACAGCTTTTGGGGAAGGGAATATGACAATATCTTCTAAATTTTAAAGTGGGCATACCCATTGACTCAGCAATTTTCACATCAGGGATGTAAAAGCCATGATACATATTAATATAAGTGCAAAGATATATTGCAACATTGTAAAAGCATAAACTGGGAGCAACTTGAATGTCTATTAGTTGAATAAATTATCAGATAGGCCAATTAAAATGAAAAATCTCTTAAAAGTAGTAAGTGGATATATATGCTTGGGTTTAGAAAGCTGTGCATATGTTGAGTGAATGAAGCACTTGTACAGAATAACATTCACACTAGAAGCTAACTTTGATCTTACGAAGAAAGACTCTATATCTATATATAGATATAGATATTTGTACAAACATGGGGACAGATGTGAAAGGAGGCTGTTGACCTCCATTATCTCTAATGGGTATAACCAGAGTGGGGATGGGATACTATTATTTGTTCATCTTCTCATCCAAGACGTTAATTTTTGTAAAGAGAGAGTCTTTATTAAAATATTTACATATTATACAACAAATAACAAAAATAAAAGGCAATTTCAGGCTTTCCATTTGTGATATTTTACATTATATTAATATATCACATTATGCCTATCACAAATACCTAACAGAAAATAAAGGAGTAGCAATTAACTAAGTAGGAAAGTTCTATCATTTAAATGTACATCTCTATTGTTGCCAGCTTTTAATTTTAATGGCATATTTTCCCTAACTAAAAAAAGCACCACACTGTCATGGAGAAAAATATCAGAAATACAGAAAAGCACAAAGAAGAACACAAAAATTTTCAGGATAGTACTTTGTACATTCATTTTTTTACAGTATAGTATACATCCTTCTTTATCCATCTCTCACTCTCTTTTTTTTACATATCCATCTATCTATATGGTATGTAATTAATTGTATGTAATTTTACAAAATCACCAAACATTAACATACAGTTTTTTAAGCTACTTTTTTCCCTTATGAGTATAAGGAACACTTTCTTGTCTCATACAATACCATTTTTAGTGACACCCTCAGAGTATTCCATTGTATAAAGGATTAATAACTTATCCAACTAGCCATCCATGAATAGATATTTGGGCTATTATGTTTTAGCAGAAAAAAATATGTACAGCACTTCTATCCAAATTGCTAGACATGCTTTCTAAAATCATTTTGTTATTTTTCAGGTTATTTTTTAAGAAAAACATCAATAAATAAATTTTCTTAGCTAAAGACTGGATTTGTTGAATGCCTCAAACTTACAAGAATGTAGGTATCTCCTGAGTCCTACGCATGGCAAAAGAAGGACTGTGGGTACAGTTAGCGTGTGGGGCCCGAGTCTCCAGGGATGCTAGAGGACAAAGTCACTGCAATCTTCCCAAGACCTATAACATCACACTGTGACCTGAGGCAAGGATGCTAGAAGACCCCATAGCCAGTTCTTCATTTTGCAGTGGACTTGAATGAAATGATGATAATTATTGATCCAACAAACTATAATGGCTTCGCCTGAGTCCTTGGGGACTGTTGTGCAAATGTGTACTTAGGGACTCTTAAATACGGCTTATTAATGGTTTGACAGGACATAACTGTTTTGAAGGAGCCATTAAAGACCATGGTATAAATCCTTTTGGGTTTTCTCTTATTTCACTCAGCCTGTCAGAGATGCCACATGCCTGTATTCAAACAGGCTGCTGAAAGTAGTAGGTGATGCTCTAACTTCTGAACAATACATCCATGGTGTCCAAAGCAAACTGGCAATTTCTTCTGAAATTCATTGATTCTTCTACTTTATTTTCCTTTAATGTATTGAATCCATTCTCTTTAACATTTTAAAATATCATGTATAACTCATTAGCTACTTTAATTATCTCCCATTTTCTAATTAACTTCTGTAGATTTTAGAACTAGGTACAGTAAAAATTTTTGGATACTTAATAAGGTCTTCATAATGATTCAAATAAAGTCTGATAAATCTATTTCCACAATTTTTACATTGTAAAATATTTTATTAATGGTTGTCAACCACATCAACACGGCCCAACTAGTAAAAAATGAGAACTTTTAATCCTCATCATTAACTCTGAAAGCTCTCTGAGCCATGGTACATTTTCACTGACACAGTTTTAACTGCCCTTAAAAATAACATTGTAATAGCAGAAACACTGAGCAAACTTTCACTTCAGCCACATTCCCAGTGCCAAAGTCAAGCATGTTTTTTCTTTCATAACCAAGTTTCGCTGAGACACTTATGGAAGCTAAATTATGATGTTTTGCCAGCATAGATCTCATTTTGAGTTATCTTCTTTGTTTTACAAACCTAATCTGGAGGACTGGACTTCTAAGGCCTGTGATATGTTGCCTGAGGAGCACGCAAGGGTTTAAATTGCATCTTTTCAATGCATTCTGGCACTGCTGCCTGAAGCCAATACTTGTTTTTTAACTGGCAACCTGCCTCCCATGAATGGAGGAAGCAGATTGCCTCTTTGCTGAATCCTTAGACAAGGTACTGATATAACAACAGTGGACAAGCAGCTGGGAGCTGGGCTGTCAGCCTGTCACACACTGACAAATCTGTTGTTCATATTCAGGCAGGATGTGCGTGTTCACTCGCCATCAGTATCATCCATCTAGCGCGGGGGGTGCGGAGTAGCCTCGTCCCCTCGTGCCTATGGACCAAACGCTGTTATTACATCTTTCTGAAGGATCACAACGAAACAACTCATTTACTTTTTATGATGGGGCCTGGCAAATGAGACAAGTAAGACAGCCTGCTCAATTTTTGTTTCTCTTTCTTCGTTCAATACACCAAGACAGCCTGTATTACCATTTCATGTCACATACATAAAATCATAACTCTAAATGGCTCCAAACCGCTTTTTTGAAAATCCACAAGGCAGAAGGAAGGGCAAATATAAGAAATATTAAATTAAAATGCTGTTGTTAGAGGGGAGAAAATCATTTGAACACAGTGTGGGGTGGGTTTTTTTCTCTCTCTCTCTTTTATTTTTCAGGCAGCACTGACTTTCAGAATGATCTCTAACAAATTTCCCCTAGAGCCACTGAATTTGTAACACTCAGACTCTCCCTCTCTCTGCAGATTCATTTCAGGCTGAATGTGAAGCCCACCTGAGACTAAATTTACAGTTCCCTGGACAAACCGTATCTATATTTATATGGGCCTTTGTAAATCAATGCAATATATTTTCTTTTTAAAATGTAGGTAGGCATTTGTGTGAATTTAAACATAATTGAAGCTGTATCCCAGAGTTCCTGATATGATGCCATTCACCGTTTGTTGGTCCTTACCTGGAATATTTAAAAACAAAATTCTGGCTATGGGCTATCGATTTGCATCAGTTACACAAATGTGTAGGTGTGTGTATATGTATGTGTGTGTATGTATATATATGTATGTGTGTGTGTGTATGTGCACACACACACAATTGTCTTTTACCCCTTCTAATCATATTCACTTTATGGCTCTAGATAAAGAGACTAAATCTACCCTAATTAGGATTGCTGTGTAGTGTTTAGTGGGCTGTTTTGTGTTGTTAATTCTGATTTATCAATTTTTTTTTCTTTTCCCATGGTCAGCCCAAGAGTTATGTCTTCTGAGGAAATATTTTGTGCAATATTTCAGGTAATCTATTCCATAAGATCCACAAAAATGTGCACCAATTCAAAGAAGCAAAACAACATTTTAAGTTAAAGGCACAAATGACCCTGAGAAGCCATATTAACATTTAAAAATGTTCATGCTACCACTGTTATCAGAAATAAATCATTGTAGTTTGTAATTCAATCTTAAAAATTCCTTTAGGTTAAAGATGCTTTTGTGTCAGTAAAAACTAGTTAAAACAATAATAATAATATTTAGTTATTTATTGAGCTCTCACTATGTGTTAGAGTTTTTTTTGGCATTTATGTCTATGTTAGGAAAAAGAAATCCATTAATTTAAAAATTGTTAGGGTAGTAGATAGAAGGAAACAGCTGGCAATGCATGTTAAATAAAACCCTCAAAGAACAGTTTCATCTTTTGTTTACTACCTACAGTACAAGTTTACTGTATTTACATAGTTATTTTTGTATAAACACAGACATTAAGCAGTAATATTTACCACAGATTTTCATCAAATTATTTAAATAACATGAACTTTTAAGGATTGCAAAGAAAGCAATATAGATGTAATAAAACTTTTATTTAAATGTAAAATAACTCACACACACAAACACACACACACATACAAACACACACATATACACATACATATACATACATGTGAGGGAAAAAATATGTCAAGTAATGGTCTGTCATTTAGGAAATACAGATTCCAGGTCTGGGTTAGTTTCTAGAATAGCACAATGTGAATGTACTCTTAACTGGGGAAATATCTTTGATTTCTGGAATTGTCATTACCCCCTTGATTTACCCTGGTTTAAGGCATAACATAGCTTTAAGTAAGTATTTTAATGTTATGTTTATCTTATTTTTATAGGTCTGAATAAGAAAAGTAAAAATACTCCATGTTTAAATCAGTAGCACAGAAAAAATATGAAAGGTTAATTTACACTTTGCATTTTTCTTAATAGAAAGAACCCATAAATATTAAGGAGGACAAAATCACTCGTGTCAACTTCAATAATATCCACATTAACTCCTCTGTGTACTATGTACTCTAACATTTTAAGAGTGTGCCTTTTTTGAATACAATAATGATGTAAATTCTCCGTCCTTATGAAATAGCTGGGTACTCTTTCTTCTACCCTGAAACCCTAGTGATTTTTGATTGACAGGAAGATTACCTAATAAACCTTCACTACAAACTAATTAATCACTTTGAATACAACACTAAATTGTCAGGCATAAAAAAGCAAATGAGATGGGTGTTGAAGACCATTTTCAAATGACCTTAGTTAAAAGCCAAGTACAGACTTAATTCTTCTTTACCATGCCTTCCTCATGTTCATGGAAACGGGTTCAAATGTACACTTGCGTGTCCCCTCCCAGATGCCTGTCTGCCACTCCCTAACAGACATTTAGCTTCTGCGAATGAAACCACACCACAAATCAAGTATTTGCTGAGCTCTAGAATAAGGCTATAACAATGTTACCAATTACAGTACAGATTATGAAGTTTTCAGGTATTAATAGTATCCTGGACCTCCCACCTCTCTCAGCGTCTACAGCACTTCTGGTCCATATCACTGTAACAGCATTTATTGCACTGTAGCGTAGTGACTTTTACATGTCTTGGGGCACATGAGAGGAACATCGCTTATTCATTTCTGTATCCTCCATGCGTGACAAAATGTCTGGCACTCGATACTTGTGTAATAAATACATGAGGTCTAAAACAGAAGATGGTGGGTGATATGATTTGTCTGGGTCCTCACCCAGATCTCATCTTGAATTGTAGTTCCCACATGTTGTGGGAGGGATCTGGTGGGAGATAATTGAATCACGGCAGGTGGTTTCCCCCAGACTCTTCTCATGGTAGTCAATAAGTCTCACGAGATCTGATGGTTTTATAAGTGTTTTCCCCTTTTGCTTGGCTCTCTCATTCTCTTTTTCCTGCCGCCATGTAAGACCTGCCTTTTGCCTTCCGCCATGATTGTGAGGCCTCCCCAGCCACCTGGAACTGTGAGTCCATTAAGCCTCTTTTTCTTTATAAATTATGGTATGTCCTTATCAGCAGCATGAAAACGGACTAACACAGTGGATTTCAGACATCTTTTCTACTCACTGTATTTCCATGCAGACTCAATAAAGTTAAAAGGAGTACCGCCTATTTTGGCTAAAAGACAATGTTCCTCAATAGTATCAAGATTTCTTGTCCATTGCTTTTTTTTAAAAAGAAAGAAAGAAAGAAAGAAAGAAAGAAAGAAAGAAAGAAAGAAAGAAAGAAAGAAATTTCTTAGTCAGTCTTGATCATTAAGGCAATTTTATGTTATACACAGGGCCCACAACTTGATTGAAGTTTGAGACAGTTTATTATACATTAGTCCTGTCAGTTTCATTTGTCACTGCCAATTTGGTGAGATGGGATCCTCTTGGGCTTCTTTTCCTCACTATCTATGCATTACCACTAATGGGCTCATCATTTTGGTCCCACCAATCTCTAAAAGTGATACCTCTGTTAAGGAGAAAAATATTAAAAGCAGAGGTTTTTAAAATCCACTCAAGGCATATATTTTACCAAGTCCCTGTTCCACTTTCTTTTGCTGTTTATCTCAAAAAGAACAGTCACAGTCCTCTAAAAATCTATCTTTACCACCATCCGCCATGTCCAACTCACTGAACACACAAAAGATTCCTCCATCTTTCGTGCTGCATGCGTTATACAATCAAACTACTACAGGTGGGAGTACAAGGCCCTGCAGGAACCAGAAAACATCTATAGACTCCCTCTGTTCCCACTGGCAACAAGTAACTTCTCAAGGTTTACCTGATACTCATCTTCTAACCTCAGTCCTAAAAATAAATGAAGACAAAACAAACAAACAAACAAATAAGGGACAGTCTAAAGAAACACAGCACTAGTAATTTATTACTTTGGAGGGGCTCTACCCACCCCCAGCTCCATCATGAGCTGGCTCCTCTCTGCTGTACAGTGTTGCCCGCTGTGGCTTTTGTTTGCTGTACTCATTCATGGCTGGCTGGCTGTGCTGGATGAGTGGGTAGGATACGTCTGGTCTCAGGATCTGTCTGTTGAACTCCAAACATGGACATTCCTCCTACCAGACAAGCAGAGGCTTCTTGGGATATTAATGAGTCCCCAGCTATTTCTTGGGCCTCCCTTTCCCCATCCCCCTTTCTCTGCCTGGCTGTCTCTCTTACTGCCTCCACCCAACCCCGGCAGTCCAGCCCCGCTCCTCCAGCTCCCTCTCCTCACAGCTTTTATCCAAGCTGCTCAGAAACAGAGAAGGAGAGAGGAATTATTTATTGTGCGTCTGTTTAAAATGAAAGGCTTTTACATTTTAATGAGCACTAAATAGGTGCGAGGAAATATTGTTCATTAGCTGTAATCTGCGGAATTGCTTGAGTGAACTTCCTTTGGAGGCTGCTTTAAACGGTTCACTCAAGTAAAGCAGTTTGTATGGTAATTAAGGGAGCATTTTTCTGTCAACATCTGTGCTGCTGTTTATAACAGGGGAGGTAGTTTGCAGCTCCACTGGAAGAACTGGAAGGGGTAGGTGCTGGAAGAGGCAGGTGGGGTGGGGCTAGTCCTTTGGTTGACAGCACTGGCACAACCATTTCTTCCTGGCACTCTTTACCACGACAACAAGCGCCTTTTTCTTGCTCTCCTTCCATTCAAACTCTAATACTTCTTTAAAAAAAAAATCCTTCCCACTCTTCCTGGATAGAAGAATTATCTCTCTGACATCTCTTCATTAATCACATCCTTCACTTGGCAGCCCAGGCAGGGAGATTCAAGCTGCTTTGGAGAAACAAGTGTTCTTCAGCTTTGTCAGATGGTTTCTTTCTGTCTGTCATCCATTTTTCTCTCTCCCCATCGCCCTTCCACACACATACAGTGGCAGCAAGGTACCAGGATTAGGACTGTGGAATTCAGGGCAGGGATAGATTGCTGGGAAACAAAGAACTAAATTGGATACTTCAAATCCCTGCCAGGATGAGAGGACCAGTCATCCCTCCATAACACATGATGGCCAGTCTTAGCAGCACCAGCAACCAGCCTGATTTGTGGTTTCCCTGGAAAGACTTGTAGGATGACGTGCATCCTCTCCAATGAAAGTGACCTCAGCTCTCATGCCCTCAGACCAGAGAGTCTCAGGACAGGGTGCTGATCTGGAAAGTTCCAGGACATAGTGAAGGCAAGAGAAGTTCATTAGGAAGGTGGCTTGGCTACACTGAAGCCAGGATCAAGAAAGACAAGAGCAGGCAGTCAACAGTTGCAGGAAGGCAGACAACAATAACTGATGGTCCTGCAGTTAGGACTGGATTGGGCAATGCCCCAGTGCCTGGAGGAACCACAGAGGAGCAAGTCAGAGCCACAATCCTGGGTGAAGTTGGAATTCATGAACACAGGGATCAAAGAGGGAAACTTTGTATGGAGAATAAGGCAAGGATTCAGTTCCTAGAACAAGTGAGGCATCAGGACTGGGCAGAACCAGTAACTATCTCAATTGTATATGTTATCTTTGAAACATTAATAGGTCTCCCCTTCTTTTCACTAAAGGCAGAACCAGTGAAGATTGTTGAGAAGAGCAGTTACTTTCTCCAGCCATGAAGGTTATAGCCATACGGGGGCAAGGAGCCAAGCAGATTTTAACTGCTGAAGGAAAACTAAAAACTGTTTACCAACTAGACTGTGGGATTCTTAAAGGCAAGGAAAATATTCCATTTTTCTCTACTTTTCTTTCTGTTTTTTGGGGGGGTAGAGGGAAGGGGGATACCTGGGAAGTATCTGGCACATAGTAGGTACTCAAAGAAAATGTCTTTTTAATCAATAAATAAATGATTGAGGATTCTGCCAGTAATGGGAATGACTTATAATAATGGAATAATGGATAAAACTGAGAGTGGCGATGGCCAGCTTTTCTTCTCCTGGGGACCTTTTATTTAACTGAGGAATTGGTAAAGAATCAATAGCCTTAAAATTGAGTATTCTTGTTCATTCCATTCAATATCTTGATTTGGAAAAATACACTGAGAAACTCCCATTAAGTGCCTGCTGAAAGTAAGTATAGTAAAACCACAGTGTTCTATTTCTGACCAGTTTCATCATAACTCTGAGTATCAGGAATTCTCGTCCCTTATTAAATATCATCTTCACTGACAAAACTTGTTATTAAGCACAGTGTTTTATGCCCATGCTATTTTTGCCTTGACTATATTTGATTTTTTTTTTTTTTTTGAGGCAGGGTCTTGCTGTGTCACCCAGGCTGGAGTACAGTGGTGTGATCTTGGTTCACTGCAGCCTCCACCTCCTGGGATCAAGTGATCCTCTCACCTTTCAGCTTCCCAAGTAGCTGGGACTACAGGTGTGTACCACTATGCCCAGCTAATTTTTGTATTTTTTGTATTGACTGGGTTTCGCCATGTTGCCAAGGTTGGTCTCAAACTCATGGGCTCAAGCAATCCGCCCAGAGTGCTAGAATTATAGGTGTGAGCTACCGCACCTAGCATGTATTTAATTATTAATCCATCTTTAGATTCTGTGTTTGGTCCCAAGGCAACTTCAATAAATGACTAATTTTGAAGTCAAAGGCATAAACAAATGACTGAAGATAACTCACACTGAGAGATAGCAGGAATAACACAAATCTACAAGTGACCCCCAAATTACTCTCAGTTTAAAATAGCTGCCCTACCCCACTCCACTGGTATAATTAGGCTGGGAAAACTCTGTCATTTGCATGTTTTTCTCTTTTCTCCATGGTACAGCTCTTCTCTAAGTGAGCGACTGTAGTAAAATATGGGAGAGAAAGCAACAGAATAGAGAAAAACAGAAATAATTAACACTAGATCATTTTCCAAATATTTATTTAAGTGTTATCTATGACCCAATATATGTAATATATACTTGCGGCATCTGATGTGAGTGCTGAATGGCAGGGATAGTGGAGCCAAAGTATCATCTCTAAGAGCTTTGAAATTTAATTTTTCCACAGGACACATTGTCACTCTGTAGATACTGTGTTAAGCCTGATCCTAGCCATCAATGGGCTTTAAGTATATTCATGGAGACAGATTATAAGTGAAAAAAAGTACAATGGAGGCTCCTAGATCCCATCACATGTGTGTATACTGGATAGAGTAGGAGCATAAGGAAAAAATTATCAATACTATCTGAGAGAAGGGGACAGAAGGAAAATATACGGGACCGGAAGATGGATGGAGTGGAAGTACAGTGAGTTGTATGGGTCAAGGCAAATACTCATGCATGCATCTTGAGGAATTTCACTTTCACTAGAGTTTGTAGACAATGGAGAATCACTGAAAATATCAAGTAAGACACAAATACGATCCAATTTGAATCTTAGGCAACTTAGGCAGCAGTGGAGATGGGATTAGAGGAGTAGAAGACTTGAAGTAAGGGAAACCAATTGGGAATCAATTTTAAATAAAATTATTGTTTTGTAATATTATGAGTGTGGGGGAAAGTACATAGAGAAGATAAGATCTAGAATGACAAGATCCAGAATGTAGGCAACCATCCTGATGACAGTGAGGAGGAGTTGGATTTTCTACAGACACAGTGACTGTGGGACTTGCAGACTGATTCGACATGGAGGGTAACGAAAAGAGTAAGTTTAAGATTGGTTTTAAAATCTATCTGTTCAACACAACAAAGTGTAATTGTTCATTATTACTGTTTGGACTATATTATTTTTGTGTTATGAGTTAGGCACAGAACCAGGCCCTGAGAATATAATGAAGCATCAGACTTGAACTGTGCCCCAAGATTCCAAAGTGGGTAGTTGATGGTGGCACCTCTTGTAACAGGGAATATTAACATAGGAGCAGGTTGGTAATCATTTTTCTTTTTTTCGATTGAGATATAGTTTACATGCAATAAAATCCACTCTTGTACAACCATTACTACTAATTCCTGAAAATTTCCATCACCCCAAAAGAAACTCTGTGTCTATTAGCACTCTTTCTTCATTCTTGACAGAAAACATGTTGTGTGAATTTGGTATCTTAACCTGAACTCGCTTTAGGAATATTGAATTAGAGATGGTTGTGGGGTGTCCAAGTGGTGCCATCTAGGACTTGTTCAGGTCTGGAGCTCAGTGGGGAAGTCTGTATTGGAAATGGAGATTTGGGCCTTAGCAAATGGGAGCTAGCAGAAACCATGGAACAACTATTTCTCAGAAAAAGGATCTCTAAGGACAGGCCCTGAAGAATGCTAACATTTAAGATTTGAGCAGACCAATGGCAATGTGATTTGAATCATTCTAAATGTGCCTTTTTACAAGTATAAAACTCATCTGGTCATTGGCATATCCATGAAATTTGCTGTCTATAGAAAGCTAGATATCTACTATCATTATTTTCCTAGATTGGCCAAAGTGAACACATCCAGAGGGTGGTCATTATTCACGCTCCTTTGACTATCTTTTTCTGCAAATTATAGTACATGCTGTACTCAGTTATAGAAATTCTTAAAATATCAAATCTTTACATTTCCTACCAATGACATGCTGAGTTCCTCAAGGAGAGGGACCAGGTCCCAAGTTCCCAACTGGACATAGTGCTTATATATAGGAAATGCAAAATAAATGTCTATAAACAAGAGAGGAATGGTTCTATGGGTACTTATTTTCTGATAAGACATTTAATCTCCATGGTCATTCATCCAATCATTTATTCATTCAACAAATACTTATCAAGTGCCTCATATGTGCTGCTACAATCTTACAGATGCAGGCTAAAATGTAAAGAATATTAGATATTTTCTTATTTTA
This sequence comes from Homo sapiens, assembly GCF_000001405.40. NCBI lineage: Eukaryota > Metazoa > Chordata > Mammalia > Primates > Hominidae > Homo > Homo sapiens. Next base: position 217,398,775 of record NC_000001.11, on the reverse strand, counting down.
CATTTATATTTTATATTCACATTTCATTCTGTTTATTAATAATAAAGCAAGGTAACTATTGAATCAGTTCTAAGCATCAATTTTAAAAATAGGTATGTAAATTTTTAATGACACTAGATATTATCTTAAAATTATTTCTCTTTATGGTTGGTTTATGTGATTGCTTTTTGTCTTGTACATTTTTAGCCCATTTAAGTAAGACAGTCAAATATTTTAAAGTAATCTTTTCCGAACTGACAGAAGGAGTTCCCTTTTGCTGGCTTCATGCCCAATTTGATTATTTAGTATTTATGAGTGAAGCATTGCATAATGGGTGCTATCAGATTATTTTAAACTTGAGCCAATTTTTATTACTGTATGTGAAAAAATAGATTTTGTCAATGGAATTTGACATATGTAATCAATAAATTGCCATGTTTTGAAAACTTCACTAACAGTCAGTTGGGGCTTCTATCCTAATTTAGGTGTCATTGCAGGTATTATCATACTAAAATTCAGCATTAAGACCGAACAGGGCATATTTTGGTGCTCCATTAACATTTGCCTTGGAATTAAAACTTGATACATTCAACCGCTTGCTGCATATATTAATGGGCTCCTAAAACATGCCCCAGAGTGACTTTTAGTACATACACAAGATGGCTTTTCTTTAACTTTCCACTTAATTCTAATCCTTCTCCAAATATTTTTAAAAAGTGTTTTTCTCAGCCTAAAACACATTTTATAAAAAAGTCACAATAGAGTATAAAAGACAATTAGAACAAATTGATTGGACTGCTTTCTTCTATGGTATGCAAAACATTTAAACGAATATGTAACTGGAGAAATAGAAACCACCATTGAGGAAGAAATTTTGCTTACAGATGAGTTAGAGAAGGTCACTTACAAACTTTTTTTTTTTTTTTTTGAGACAGGGTCTCACTCTCTACACTGAAGTGAAGTGGCACCATCATAGCTCACTGCAAGCTCGAACTCCTGGGCTAAGTGATCCTCCTGCCTCAGCCTCCCAAGTAACTGGGACTACAGGCATGTGCCACTACACCCGGCTAATTTTTTTAAATTTTTATTTTTAGTAGAGACCAGGTCTCACTCTCTTGCCCAGGCTGGTCTTGAACTCCTGGGTTCAAGCGATCTTCCTTCCAATTTGCCTCCTAAAGTGCTGGGATTACAGGTGTGAGCCATAGTGCCTGGCCTACAGACATATTTTTAAAGCTTCTGTCATGGCCTCATCTATCTCTGAAAATGCTGAATTGAATATGGGGGGGTGGGGCAGGAGCTAAACACAGATAAGTTACTTTGCATAAGAAATGGTAAATATGGGGATTATGAAATAGAGATAGGGTCTGAGAAGGGTTGAAGAGAATGAGATGTGAGTGAAGGCCAATCATTGCAAGCAATATGGCACAGAGACTGTTAATAATAGGGATTTGTAATGTTCGAGTTTTGTTTTGCTGCAATAGAAATCCCTCCATATCTTCAAACTTCTGTAAAGTCTGATATGCACACGTATGCCTTGTTCTGCAGAACAAATTGCAAGTCCTAGGAGAACACATAGGGTTCCTTCTCCCTCCAATGCTCCTCTGTCTTTTTCTCTGGCTTCCACAAAGCCTATCTTTAGCTCTCACCTTCCTGTGGGTAACAGTTGTGTTAGATACTTCTTCTCTGTGCAACACGATTTTCCCTCATTGTATGGTAATTGATTGTCTCTTCCAGTAAACTCATAGTTCTTGAGAGTTGGAACTGTGTTTTATTTTCTGATTTATACCCAAGTGTAAGCAGAGCATGGAATACAAAGTTGGTGCTCCATAAACATTTGTTAAATTAACAAATAGAATTTGTGGGAGCATTCTATGGAAGATACTGTTGAGGTGGCTGTTGAAGGAATGACTGTCAACTATTGTTTAGTTTTGATTCCTTGCTTTTTCTTATGGTCCATAGTTAACCTTTCATAAATCCTGTCAGTTTTGTCTCATATCAAGAATCCAGCCTTTTCCTCTTCTGTTCAACAGATGCTATGGCTACTTACTGGTAAAAAAGACAGCGGGACTTACTAGTGAGTACAGGCTCTCACACCTGTACAAAAGACACACCACACATCTATTTGTTGTCACTACTAACATCATAATAATCTAGGACATGTGATTTATAAAGCTCTTTAACATTCAAATTTCTGATTTTTTTTTCTCATAAGGTGCCCTTAGAGTAGGTGCTCTTGTGTCTTAATTTGGGGGTGGGGAGGAGAGGGTAGACTCAAAAAGATAGAAATATGCCCAGGGTGACATAAATAATTTAATAGAATTGGGATTAGAACCAAGGCCTTGTGATGCCTAGTACAATGCTGATTCCACAATGTTTCAAAATTCAGATATTGTGATATAATGTTAATATCACTAAAAATGTTTTATGATCCCAAATTTATATTACTTTTTCAAGTATGTGAATTAAAACTTAAGTTAGATGCCCCAGGGAGTTAGATAAGCACTTTTTTCCTGAGTAAACATGGGGGAAAAACGTGGAAAATCTACACACAAATAATATTAAAATATAAATTATCAGAAAACAATGTACTCAAAATAGCTAAGTCTTCTTTCTGAAGCCTGCTGAATATAACAAAAAAGTAGTCTCAAAGACCATGTAAAATGTGATCTCAGGTTTGATTTTGTTGTTTGAGATTACCCATCTTTCCATGGGTTGTAACGTTTATTCCATGTTAACATTTTTTAGCTATTGATTTTAATCTGATTTAATATAATACTATAAACATGAACAGATATGATGTATAAAATATTAATATTGTATTGTTCTCTGCCATTTGCATATAGGCAACTGATATGTTTTTCAAAATTGATTTTTTACTAACTCCAAGGTGATGACAATAAAGTTGAACAAATAGTTAGAGGCGTACAGGGGTACTGATGGCCAAGAAAGAAGCCTACATGTCAGAGAATCACTGGTCATTGATGTGTTTTTTCAGAGCAGATATCTTTGATGTGCCCTTTCAGCCATTGGTATCTGACTTGGATTGTGTGATCCTTGAAGGGAGGATGTACCCTTACTGCCATCTTTGTCAGTGCTAACTCGGTTGCAAAGAACAGAAATTAACTTAAAGGAGCTCAAATGCAATGCAGAGGAGGAGGCTATTTTAAAGATGGAGGAGAACCCCATGGTAGCATATATTACTGGGAAGAGGGCACAGCCAGACTTCGTGGGACTAGAAAATTGCCCGAGAGCTCCTCTAGCTATCTCTCTTTCTAAGGTTATGTTGTTTATCTCTGCTTGTTTCTGCTTTCTGCACCGTTATTTTCTCTACTAATCTCCCCTGCAAGGCAAAATTTTGGGTTCTGCTCATTAAACTTACCTTGTTCTGGTTTGCTGTGCTTCCAATTGTAACCTCAGCTCTAAATGACATTTTAGTTCCAATTTCTGTGTATCATAATTGGAGAGAGAGAAAAAGAAGGGAGTAAGGAAACAAAACAAACCCAACAACCTTACTAGCTCAGTCCAAGCCAGGATCAAGTTCCCCTTGGGTGGTGATGGTGGTAGGAGGTGTCGTGCATCTACCTCTAGTCCAGTCAGCTGAAGCTGGAGAGGGATCATGAGGCATAAATAGGGATGCCTAAGCTCACTGATTTCATAGGGGCTACGGGCTGGGAAGGAATTTCAAAGTAGCAGCTGAAGACAACGATAATTGTTGCTACCATGTCTGTTTAAGTCACCTGATAGACCCCTTTCATGAACTGTTGATGACAAGTCTTGAAGGAGATGAAGGACAAACAGGGAGAAATTCTTTCTTTTCCTCTCCCATCCCTCTTTCTCTCTTTCTTCATCTTCCTCTCTCTCTCACACGTGCAAATACACACACACACACACACACACCCCAAGGTAATAATTTTAAATAAACTTCTTCTGTCTCTTTTTTCAACTTTCTACAGATTTCACCTTGCCTTAATAAATATCATTCCATATGCTTCTAATTTTACAGTAATAATGAGGAAAGGGAAGGAGAAAAAGGAGATATGAAGTCAGATTATTATTACAGTCGAATGTTGGAAAACCAGCTGGCAACTTATAATTTACTGCTGTTCATTAATCAGATACCGCTTAGATCTCAAATATAAGATTTCCTCCATGCATATTCTTGTACAAGATTAGGAGATGAGCATAATAAAGATAAATATTCAATGATAATATAACGTTTTGCCTTGTCTGGTAAATTACTCTGTGAATATATTTTAAAACCTAAGGGTTTTTTTTGTTGTTTCTCTGTCTAGAGCTTTATTATAAACTTGTACATATACCATGAAAGACAACCAAATACCATTTAAAAATTAATGTTTTTATCACATCAACCATGGAAAGTCAGTACAGGGAAAGAAGTTTGGGTTTGTGGATCCAAAAATAAGAAATAAGAGTGATGAAATACAAGCTTGGATGGGAGCATTGTAGGCTTGGGGAAGAAAGCCAATGATCAGAGCAGAGTTAGGATCTGGAATCCAGACCTAGAGCACATTTGGGTAAAGCATCACGCAAAGGTCAGTACCTAGCAAGCAGGTGCTTGGCAGACATTTGCTGCTTGAAGATGGGACACAGCTTCAGATCACATGCAAGCCATGGGTCTGCACTACAGGCAGATATGTAGCAGACACTCAGAAATCTAGCCAAAGAGAGCCTGAATAAAGAGGGAATGCCAGACCCAAGTGAAAAGTCTGGCCAGCAAGTAGAGGGCACTAGTGCAAAGCAAAGAATTTTCTGACCAGAGGGTTTCTGCATAGTGGATGTAACTGCTCTTGGCATGAAGAACAAGAAACCCAGAGAGGATGAAAATTCCTAGGGGGTAGGGGTAAAAGATAAACCCAACACTTTTTATAAGGAAAGACTTAATCTTGCTTATATTGTGACGTAGATCCTACAGAGATAGCTAAGAATATAATCTCTTGGCTTCAACAGACTATTATACATGACACAAATATAGAAAAATTCAAGAAGCAACATATATATTAATAAATTCTATACAATTATCTTTGATTATATTATACGGCCCCAACTTTGGCAGGTATCTTGTACATTTAAGGAAAGTTTTGTAAAACCCTGTTTAAGTTAACCACATAAACACCCTTGAACATGTTCTTTCTTCCTTCATATATTCAGATGTTTCACTAACTGTTTAAAAATACCACTCTCTATATCGTGTTAGTAAGCTGTACTTCTTGCCTTCAACAAAATTCGAATTTAATAAAAGTGTCTGATTTTGCTTAGTATTAAATTATTAATACATATTTTTACTTGATGGTGAAATTAAACTATAGTATTTTAGTTTTGGGAAGAATATTCTCTGGGGAAGCAAAATCGTTAACTTCTACCAAGCAATTTACTAAAGCATTTTCTAGATCAGATAAATGCCCACATTTAAAAATGTTTAAACATCATTTATATAATAGTAAATATAACTATAATAATATATGTTGATATAAAATATATTAATGAGAAATTTTAGAGTAATGTCAATACAATGTTTATATTATTGCATTTATAACAAAGATAGTTTTTCAGGGCAAAGATTTTTCTTAAAAGGGGTTAACTACTTTATGATTATAGAAGGAATGCATTCTAATTAACAAAAGTCACAAACAACCTGTTTATTTAGCATATTTGTGGGACCATTTCGATTTAAAACATTCAAAGCACCTTAACAGGGTGACAAAATATCTTCATTTTACAGAAACTTGATTAATTTCCTGCCTCAAATTGCTAAATGTTTATAATCATATCTTGCAATGGAATTTCACTTCACTTAAAAAGTGCTAGAAAAAGAGAGTTTCGTTCATGCAATAAGAAAAGTCAGAATGTAATGTAGTGTTTACTGAACAATATATATAAAATATGCTATTTTTTCCAATGGCACGCTCCAAACCAATGAGATCATGATACAACACAGATATGAAAGAAATAAAAGCTAAAGGAAGCACAATCATTGTGCGAGTTATAAAGCTCTTTTCAAACATGGTTGCGTCTAGAATTATACTGTTAGCATTAACTACTCTGCTAAATGTAATTTCAGAGCAGCTTGGCTATGCTGGGACCAATAATGTTTCAGCAGATGTTAACAGTGAGGGAATTTAAAGATTACAGAGTTTCATGGGTGTAGTAAAGCTGCAGTGGGAACAGAAATATTACCGTAGCTGTTATGTTCTGAGTGCATCACATTTACTGACAAGTAATACATGAGTGATAATGAGGACCAAGGGAATGGAACTTTATACTTACTGGTCAGCAGCATATAAATTCCATAAATTAAACAAAGTTTTATGTATTCTTCATTTCTTTTCAGACTGATCTTCCTCAGAGGGCCTTTGTTTCATGTTAATTCCATCATCAAAGCTTTGTTCAACCATCCTGTTCTCTTTAGGAAATGTATATCCTTGTTCAGGGTTTCCTTCCACAAATACATCTCTGTTATTTTTTAAACTTGTAGTGATCTCCATGTGGAATTTGAGGGAGCCTCAACATTTTTTATTATGGGTTTTATCAGACTACACACTCCTTGCAGAAATCCCACCCTTGTCCATTTAAAAGAGACAATGTTCAGCATATTTCTTCCCTTAATGATCTAAAAGGAACAATACTGTGATATCTGAAGATGTGAATGGGAGAAAACTTGGTTAAGGACATTGTCTTTCCTTATGCATAATCTGGAGGTGAGGACAGTGAAGGGGGGGGGTCACTCTATTCACCTGGGGGCTAATGGACAATGGGCATAATAGTTCATATAATCTACAGTGTGACCTCCAGCTTTTTCAATGGGCCAAATAATCAGCCACTAGAAAATAAAAAATTCTTGGTGGACTGAACATATTTCATCCTAATAACTCCACTGGATCTCAGAACAGAGCCAGAGTTAGATTACGAGATTTCTTACTTACAAGACTGTGAGAAGCAGGACTGATATGATACTTTCAAGTCAGCAATACTTACAAAATTTAGACAGTATGAATGTTGGAAATAAGAGCTAAACTAATAATATTTGGTGACTTCTAATAGACGTAAAGTTAGCCATGTACAAACGTAGTTTTTCCTGGTCATATAGATACAAAGAAACAACTTCATATATCTTGGACCTCATCTCACCACACTGAGACATTGACCAGATCCTGGAGTAAAATTTTCAAGTAATATGTAGCATATAGATACTCCCACTTAAAATCCAGAGGCCAGAATGCCCATGTGGAGCCCTCACCTGGTACTTCCGGACACTTCCACCCTCTTCCTTCTTTGTGGCTCACTTAACTCATGTGTGTGTCTCACTTGTTGCTAGACAGTGAACCTGATGGAGAGCTTGGATTGTCTTATTTCTTGTTGTTCCCCTGACCACTAGTACTTTTCCAGTGCTTTGCAATAGTAAGCAAAGAGATAATAGAGAGTGAGAGAAAGGCAGAAGACATTGCCAAAGATCCTAGCCCTAGTTAGCTAGACATTATGTAAATTACTGAAAATCATGTTTAAAATTATGTTATTATGCAAATACACATTTCTAAATTTTTATATACAATAGTATGTTAGTCTTTCTACTTACCATACATATTTCTTTTCTTCCTATTTAAAGACTTTTTTTTTCAGAGCAATTTTAAGTTCAGAAAAAAAAAATGAAGAAGAAAGTTCAGAGTTCCCAAATACCTCCTGCCCCCACACATGCACAGTCTCACCCATTATTGACATCCTCACCGGTGTTGTGCAGTTGTTACCACTGGTAAACCTACACTGATACATTATTATCACCCAGAGTCCAGAGTTTGTGTTAGGGTCCATGCTTGGTTTCGTACATTCTACGGGTTTGGACAAATGTATAATGACATGTATCTATCATTTTAGTATCATACAGAGTATTAATACTGCCCTTAAAATCCTCTGTGTCTGCCTTTTCAACCTTCCCCCACACCAACCCCTGGCAACCACTGATCTTTTTATTGTCTCTCTAGTTTTGCCTTTTCCCCAGCATTGTATTGCTGAAATTATACAGCATGTGACCTTCTCAGATTGGCTTATTTCACTTAGTAATATGCATTTAAGGTTCCATCATGTCTGCAACTTGATTGCTCATTTCTTTTTAGCACTGACTAATTGATTGTTTGGATGTACCACAGTTTATTTAACCATTCACCTAGGGAAGGACATCTTGGTTGTTCCAAGTTTTGATAATTATGAATAAGGCAACTACAAATATCCATGGGCAGGTTTTGTGTGGACGTCAATTTTTAACTGCTTTGGGTAAATACCAAGGACTGATGGGTTTTACAGTAAGTATATACTTAGTTTTGTCAGAAACTGCTAAGCCATCTTCCAGAGTGACTATACCATGTTGCATTCCTACCAGCAATGAGAGTTCCTGTTGCTCCACACCTTTGCTAGCATTTGGTGGTGTCAGGATTCTAGATTATGGCCATACTAATGGGTATATAGAGGTATCTCATTGTTGTCTTAGTGTGCATTTCCCTAATGACATATGATGTAAAGTATCTTTTCATATGCTTATTTGTCAGCTGTATATGCTCTTTGATAAGATGTCTGTTCAGGTTGTTGACTTATTTATTCATAGGGGTTTTCTTTTTACCATAAATAATTCTTAATATTTCAATAACCTTCTGAATTGAGGAACTGGAAGCGACATTACTTTGCCACTCTGTCATTTATTAACATCTTTTTCGTCAGAAGGCTGAGGATTTTTTTACCCCCCAGAGATTCAAGAACGTGAAGTTTCCTCAATAACCCTCCCTAATCTTCATCTTTATACTAGCTTCTCACTGGTTATGGTCAAAGGAAAACTCTACGCTTTTAAATGTGGAAATCTGGTGGGAAATAGAGACATATTATCGTGTAAAGTATTTTTATTTTAAATATTACACATACTACTTTTCTAACTTCACATTGCTGATGATTTTATCTGTTTCTAAGCTAAGAAGTTGGACTTATTACTTATGGCAGGCAGGAGCCAGTGAATCAGCATTTGCATCAGTTCCGCGATCCCCAGTTCCCATAAAGCAACGTGAAGAGGACCAGGTGGCACCTGTACACATAGTGGATTGTGTTCCAGGAGGACTGCTGAGCTTGAAGCCTGGCCTTGGCTCCAGAGGGCGACCCCATCTCTCTCTTCTAAGGCTGTTCCCTGTACAAACATCATGGAAAGAGGAGTCTAGAGCCAAGAGAGAGAGTGCTTCTGCTAACAGGATCTACAGACATGTGAAAGACACATGGAGAATATCTCCCAACAGTGATAATCTGGAAGTGTCAGATTGTTCACCTTTTATCTAGAAAACTGTTTTTTTTTTAATTGAAAGTCACTTTCAGACTCACATGGTTAGGCCCCCTGTAGTACTGGTAAGACAGCTGCAGGGTTTTCTGGCATTAAATCGCTTCTCATAGACTCTAAGACAGATCTCCCTTCAAACAAATTCTTATGCCATCGTAGGATGTATAAAGGGTAAAAGTTATGCACTATTGAAATATAAGTGGTGAAAGCAGTTTTAATTTTCTTGCTGGCACTATTATCTTTTAAGTCCTAATAATCTCTCCCATGCTCAGGCCATGAGCCTATAAATCGTACAAGTTCAATTAGCAGTGCAGGAGAACTTTTCCTCAACAGTGCAAGGGACTGATAAAAGCAAACAATACAATTCTAGCATGCTGCTTATTAAAAAGAAGACACCCACACAGCCGACAGCAGACTGAAAGCCTTTTTATTTTGACGGTACTCTTTGACTGTCTATCATAAACTTAGCAAAGCAGGCTTTCTCCATCCTGCTCTTCTTTTATTGGATATAAATCACCCCTGACAGGAAGTTTTATGTTCGAATCCGTTTACTGTCCTTGTTGGTAGTCTTTAAATTAATATTTATAAGCTGAAAGAGGCCTAAAAGGATGCAGCAGTAAAATAGCTAAATGCCTTAATTGGGCTTGAACCGATTTCCACCTCCTTGGCCATTGACATGTTTTAATTACCCCTGACCCAGGCATCCATTGTCAATGCCGTCCCTATACCCACAAATCACTGGCTTTGGAGGAACCACGGTGGACAAAGGAGGGGTTCAGAAGGGTTTAGCTTCTGTGTCACATGTGATTTTTGAAAAGCTTTAGTAGTCAAGGATAGAGACAGAAGAAAAGAGAGTTATATGAGTTAAGCAGTGGCTGGCCGGGTATGGTGGCTCATGTGTGTAATCCCAACACTTTGGGAGTCCGAGGCGGGCAGATCCCTTGAGGTCAGGAGTTCGAGACCAGCCTGGTCAACAAAGTGAAACCCTTTGTCTACTAAAAATACAGAAAAATTTTAGCTGGTCATGGTGGTGTATGGCTATAACCCCAGCTATTCGAGAGGCTTGAACCCAGGAGGTGGAGGTTGCAGTGAGCTGAGATCATGCCACTGCACTCCAGCCTGGGTGACAAAGCCAGACTCTGTCCCCCGCCCTCCCCCCCAAAAATAAAAGAGTTAAGCAGTGGCTGAAAAACAATGGCTTGGGAATTGTTCTAATTGGAATTGTATAATAATGGATTTTTTTAATTCCATAAAAATGCACAGCATAGCCTAAGATTACCTGCAAATCAAAAATTAAACTAACTTAGCCACTGAATTTTAATGTACAGCATGAGCTTTACACCTTGGGGTAATGTTGGTTCCATGCCTCCATCCTCCACTATTACCTTTGTCAGTAACCCTTCTGATATCAGCCTCATTGTGATCATTCCTGTTTTATTTAGGGTTCTACATTTTTCTTCCTTTGCCTAGCCAAATGCTGCAGGCAGGCTGGCCCCAGCCTCTGGGGATAAATTTTGAATGGTTTAAGTCAATCATGGTGTAGGCATGGGCACATGACACAATTATTGGCTAATATGACATTAGAGAAAGTAGAGGAGGGCACGTCCGCAAAATCCGTTCTCACTTTCAAGAGCACAATCAAGGACGGCCCTTTTAAACTCAATGTCCTTGGAACTAACGTGGCCTTCTTGGCACTATGAAGGGAGCCAAGCTGAGGTCAAATTCAACACACAGAGGAGGACAGATCCAGTGGGATCTCAGAGAAGCAGAGCTGATGTCCTCACATGCCACTCCTAGATACTGCCCTAATAGGGACTTCTTATTCCAAAGGTAATAAAGTCCTTTAGTGGTTAAGCCCATGAGAGTCAACATTTTCTGGTACGTGCATCCAAAGTCATCTACTTTCTCTAAATCAAGATATATGGTGGCTGGTCATGGTAGCTCACACCTGTAATCTCAGCAATTTGGGAGTCTGAGGCTGGAGGATCACTTGAGCCCAGGACTTTGAGACCAGCCTGGGCAACACAGTGAGACTCCATTGCTACAAAAAATTAGCTAGGCATGGTGGCACATGCCCCTGGTCCCAGCTACCCAAGAGACTGAGGTGGAAACATTGCTTGAGCCTGGGAGGTTGAGACTGCAGTGAACTATGATCATACCACTGTACTCCAGCCTGGGTGACAGAGTTAGACACACACACACACACACACACACACACACACACACACACACGGTATTAAGTAGGATATTGAGACCTTAAAAGTTCAGAATTTATATTAAAACAAAGCAAGATAAGCATCTATATGTTCAAGTTTTCTACAAGTCCTTACTTTTTGCTCCATAAAATCAATATATGCTTCTGTGTGTTGCATCTCTTTAGGAAAGCTTGTATTTAGAATTCTACTTTTCCTCCTCTACAAACCCCATCTATAGGATTACATCTGTTCTTGTGCATGTTGTTCCATATGCTTATTGTTTCCAAGCATACCTGTTAACTCTGCATCTTGCTATTCTACAGTCCTCTTTCTCCAGCTGTTCCAAGGGTGTATAACTTTGGCTTGGAACACAAGTACAAAAAAGTGAACTCATTGTCTTTCTCCAAATAAATTCAACTTCCTTATTTTTTTCCATCTTTTACAATGGCAGTAATCATGCACTCCATACTTCCCTTAGGAGTTGTCTTTACTGTCTCCATCCAGTCAGTCATCTAATCCTAACAATTTTTCTCCTATAGTGTCTCCTGACTGCAGTCAGGGGTTCGAGCTGCAAGCAAGAGAAAAGAGATCTGGCAATATCTTGCAAAATGGGATTCTGTTGAAGGGCTATAGGCAGCTTCTAGAACTGATGGATGGCTTACAAAGCAAGCAAGAGGTGAGAGGGCTGGAAGCCCAGGCAGAGGAAGTCAGGTCTCTTCACCTTTGCTGCATTGCCACTGCAATAATCTCACCTTCAACTTGTTCCATATACCTTTATCACCTGTTCAAGATTCAATGTCCTAGGAGAAAACATTATATTTGTCAAACTGAAGGCTCATCTTCCATCCTCCCCTCTCATTCCTGCTGTTCAGGAGAGAAAGGGGGAATGTGGTCCCTTTAGATTCCAGAGTGGGAAATGGAGAGATGGAGAGATGGACACCAACCCACCAAGACCATATGCAATGAGGGATTCCTTCAAAAGGGAGATCACAAGCTCATAGAAAGGGGTGAGTGTGAGGAGTTAGAGGCTCAATGGTTAAATAAAAAAAATTATGTACACTAACCATACATTTTACCTTTCTTTCAATTTCCACAATATGGTTCTAATCGAGATCTCTGCCACTTTCTGTTCTTCTTGCTGGGTCAGCCACTTATATGGCTTTCCCACCTATACAGCTGTACACTCCCCAAGCCTACTTTAATCATCTTCAACTTCTAGAATTAGTGACCTCAAATATGGCCTCAAATTTAGAGATTTTCCTGCTTAAGGACTTCTCTGTCCTAACCCAAGTAGCCCATCACCACTTTTCAAGTTCTCTTGCTTACTTTATCTTCAATATGACTCGTAAACTGTATCCTAAATTTCCATGTTGCTGCCACATCTGTTTGATTTACGCATAATCCATTTTGCTTCTGTTTCCTTTTGCTCCCACACTTACTATTTTTAAAAAATTGTACTTTAAGTTCTGGGATACATGCACAGAACGTGCAGGTTTCTTACATAGGTATACATGTGCCATGGTGGTTTGCTGCACCCATCAACCCATCAGCTACATTAGGTATTCATACTAATGCTATCCCTCTCCTAGCCCCCCACCCCACAAAAGGCCCCAGTGTGTGATATTCCACTCCCTGTGTCCATGTGTTCGCATTGGTCTCGAGTGAGAACATGTGGTGTTTGGTTATCTGTTCCTGTGTTAGTCTGCTGAGAATGATAATTTCCAGCTTCATCCATATTCCTGCAAAGGACATGAACTCATCCTTTTTTATGGCTGCATAGTATTCCGTGGTGTATATGTGCCACATTTTTTTTATCCAGTCTATCATTGATGGGCATCTGGGTTGGTTCCAAGTCTTTGCTATTGTGAACAGTGCCACAATAAACATACGTGTGCATGTGTCTTCATAGTAGAATGATTTATAATCCTTTGGATATATACCCAGTAATGGGATTGCTGGGTCAAATGGTATTTCTGGTTCTAGATCCTTGAGGAATTGCCACACTGTCTTCCACAATGGTTGAACTAATTTGCACTCCCACCAACAGTATAAAATCATTCCTATTTCTCCACATCCTCTCCAGCATCTGTTGTTTCCTGACTTTTTAATGATCACCATTCTAACTGGCCTCAGATGGTATCTCATTGCAGTTTTGATTGCATTTGTCTAGTGACTGGTGATGATGAGCATTTTTTCATATGTTTGTTGGCCGCATAACTGTCTTCTTTTGAGAAGTGTCTGTTCATATCCTTTGCCCACTTTTTGATGGGGTTGTTTTTTTCTTGTAAATTTGTTTAAGTTCCCTGTAGATTTTGGATATTAGCCCTTTGTCAGATGGATAGATTGCAAAAATTTTCTCCCATTTTGTAGGTTGCCTGTTCACTCTGATGATAGTTTCTTTTGCTGTGCAGAAGCACTTTAGTTTAATTAGATCCCATTTGTCAATTTTGGCTTTTGTTGCCATTGCTTTTGGTGTTTTAGACATGAAGTCTTTGCCCATGCCTTTGTCCTGAATGGTATTGCCTAGGTTTTCTTCTAGGGTTTTTATGGTTTCAGGTCTTACGTTTAACCTTAATCCATCTTGAGTTCATTTTTATATAAGGTGTAAGGAGGGGGTCCAGTTTCAGTTTTCTGCATATGGCTAGCCAGTTTTCCCAACACCATTTATTAAATAGGGAATCCTTTCCCCATTTCTTGTTTTTGTCAGGCTTGTCAAAGATCAAATGGTTGTAGGTGTGTGGCATTATTTCTGAGGCTTCTGTTCTGTTCCATTGGTCTTTATATCTGTTTTGGTACCAGTACCATGCAGTTTTGGTTACTATGACCTTGTAGTATAGTTTGAAGTCAGGTGGCATGATGCCTCCAGCTTTGCTCCTTTTGTTTAGGATTGTCTTGGATATATGGGCTCTTTTTTGCTTCCATATGAAATTTAAAGTAGTTTTTTCTAATTTTGTGAAGAAAGTCAATGGTAGCTTGATGGGGATAGCGTTGAATCTATAAATTACTTTGGGCAATGTGGCCATTTTCACAATATTGATTCTTCCTATCCATGAGCATGGAATGTTTTTCCATTTGTTTGTGTCCTCTCTTATTTCCTTGAGCAGTGGTTTGTAGTTCTCCTTGAAGAGGTCCTTCACATCCCTTATAAGTTGTATTCCTAAGTATTTTATTCTCTTTGTAGCAATTGTGAATGGGAGTTCACTTATGATTTGGCTCTCTGTTTGTCTGTCATTGGGGTATAGGAATGCCTGTGATTTTTGCACATTGATTTTGCATCCTGAGACTTTGGTGAAGTTTCTTATCAGCTTGAGGAGATTTTGGGCTGAGACAATGGGGTTTTCTAAATATGTAATCGTGTCATCTGCAAACAGAGACAATTTGACTTCCTCTCTTCCTGTTTGAATACTCTTTATTTCTTTCTCTTGCCTGATTGCCCTGGTCCAGAACTTCCAATGCAACATTGATTAGGAGTGGTGAGAGAGGGCTTCCATCTCTTGTGCCAGGTTTCAAAGGGAATGCTTCCAGCTTTTGCCTGTTCATTATGATATTGGCTGTGGGTTTGTCATAAATAGCTCTTATTATTTTGAGATACGTTCCATCAGTATGTAGTTTATTGAGAGTTTTTTTTAGCATGAAGGGGTGTTGAATTTTGTTGAAGGCCTTTTCTACATCTATTGAGATAATCATGTGGTTTTTGTCATTGTTTCTGTTTATGTGATGGATTACGTTTATTGATTTGAGCATGTTGAACCAGCCTTGCATCCCAGGTATGAAGCTGACTTGCTCGTGGTGGATAAGCTTTTTGATGTGCTGCTGGATTCAGTTTGCCAGTATTTTATTGAGGATTTTTCGATGCAAAATCAGGGATATTGGCCTCAAATTTTATTTTTTTTGCATGTGTTTCTGCCAGGTTTTGGTGTTAGGATGATGCTGGCCTCATAAAATGAGTCAAGGAGGAGTCCCTCTTTTTCTATTGTTTGAAACAGTTTCAGACGTAATGGTACCAGCTCCTCTTTGTACCTCTGGTAGAATTAAGCTGTGAATCTGTCTGGTTCTGGGCTTTTTTTGGTTGGTAGGTTATTAATTACTGCCTCAATTTCAGAACTTGTTATTGGTCTATTCAGGGATTTGACTTCTTCCTGGTTTAGTCTTGGGAAGGTGTATGTGTCCAGGAATTTATCCAGTTTATCTAGATTTTCTAGTTTATTTGCATAGAGGTGTTTACAGTATTCTCTGATGGTAGTTTGTATGTCTGTGGGATCAGTGGTGACATACCCTTTATCATTTTTTATTGTGTCTGTTTGATTCTTCTCTCTTTTCTTCTTTTTTAGTCTGGCTAGTGGTCTATTTTGTTAATCTTTTCAAAAAAACAGCTGCTGGATTCATTTATTTTCTTGAAGGGTTTTTTGTGTCTCTATCTACTTTTCTTCTGCTCTAATTAATCTTAGTTATTTCTTGTCTTCTGCTAGCTTTTGAATTTGTTTGCTCTTGCTTCTCTAGTTCTTGTAATTGTTATGTTAGGGTGTCTATTTTAAATCTTTCTACTTTTTCCTGTGGGCATTTAGTGTTATAAATTTCCCTCTAAACACTGCTTTAGCTGTGTCCCAGAGATTCTGGTATGTTGTGTCTTTGTTTTCATTGGTTTGAAGGTACTTACTTATTTCTCTCTTAATCTCGTTATTTACCCAGTAGTCATTCAGGAGCAGGTTGTTCAGTTTCCATGTAGTTGTGCGGTTTTGAGTGAGTTATCCTGAGTTCTAGTCTGATTGCACTGTGGTCTGAGAGACTGTTTGGTATGATTTCTGTTCTTTTGCATTTGCTGAGGAGTGTTTTACTTCCAATTATGTGGTCAATTTTAGACTAAGTGTGATGTGGTGCTGAGAAGAATGTATATTCTGCTGATTTGGGGTGGAGAGTTCTGTAGATGTCTATTAGGTCTTCTTGGTCCAGAGTTGAGTTCAAGTCCTGAATATCCTTGTTAATTTTCTGTCTCATTGATCTGTCTAATATTGACAGTGGGGTGTTAAAATCTCCCACTGCTATTCTGTGGGAGTCTAAGTCTCTTCGCAAGTCTCTACAAACTTATTTTATGAATCTGGGTGCTCCTGTATTGGGTGCATATATGTTTAGGATAGTTAGCTCTTCTTGTTGCATTGATCCCTTTACCATTATGTAATGCCCTTCTTTGTCTTTTTTGATCTTTGTTGGCTTAAAGTCTGTTCTATCAAAGAGGCTAGGATTGCAACCCCTGCTGTTTTTTGCTTTGCATTTGCTTGGTAAATGTTCCTCCATCCCTTTGTTTTCAGCCTCTGTGTGTCTTTGCACGTGGGATGGTTCTCCTGAATACAGCACACCGATGAGTCTTAACTCTTTATCCAATTTTCCAGTCTGTGACTTTCAACTGGGGCATTTAGCCCATTTACATTTAAGGTTCATATTGTTATGTGTGAATTTGATCCTATCATTATGATGCTAGCTGGTTATTTTTCCAGTTACTTGATGCAGTTTTTTCAAAGTGTCAATGGTCTTTACAATTTAGTAGGTTTTTGTTTGTTTGTTTGTTTGTTTGTTTTTTTACAATTTAGTATGTTTTTGCAGTGGCTGGTACTGGTTTTTCCTTCTATGTTTAGTGCTTCCTTCAGGAGCTCTTCTAAGGCAGGCCTGGTGGTGACAAAATCTCTCAGCATTTGCTTGTCTGTAAAAAGTTTTATTTCTCCTTCACTTATGAAGCTTAGTTTGGCTGGATATGAAATTCTGGATTGAAAATTCTTGTCTTTAAGAATGTTGAATATTGCCCCCCAGTCTCTTCTGGGTTGTAGGGTTTCTGCAGAGAGATCCACTGTTAGTCTGATGGGACTCCCTTTGTGCATAACGCAACCTTTCTCTCTGGCTGCCCTTAACATTTTTTCCTTCATTTCTACCTTGGTGAATCTGAGGATTGTGTGTCTTGTGGTTGCTCTTCTCGAAGAGTATCTTTGTGGTGTTCTCTGTGTTTCCTGAAGTTGAATGTTGGCCTGTCTTGCTAGGTTGGGAAAGTTCTGCTGGATAATATCCCGAAGGGTGTTTTCCAACTTGGTTCCATTCTCCCTGTCACTTTCAGGTACACCAATGAAACGTAGGTTTGGTCTTTTCACATAGTCCCATATTTCTTGGAGCCTTTGTTCATTCCTTTTCATTCTTTTTTCTCTAATCTTGTCTTCGTGCTTCATTTCATTAAGTTGATCTTAAATCTCTGATATCCTTTCTTCTGCTTGATCAATTCAGCTATTGATACTTGTGTATGCTTCAGGAAGTTCTCGTGCAGTGTTTTTCAGCTCCATCAGGTCATTTATGTTCTTCGCTAAACTAGTTACTCTAGTAAGCAATTCCTCCAACCATTTTTCAGGGTTCTTAGCTTCCTTACATTGGGTTAGTACATGCTCCTTCAGCTTGGAGGAGTTTGTTATTATCCACCTTCTGAAGCCTACTCATTCTTAGTCCAGTTTTGTCCCCTTGCTGTCCAGGAGTTGTGATCCTCTAAAGGAGAAGAGGCATTCTGGTTTTTGGAATTTTCAGGCTTTTTGCGCTGATTTTTCCTCATCTTCGTGGATTTATCTACCTTTGGTCTTGGTGTTGGTGACCTTCGGAGGTGGTTTTTGTGTGGACATCCTTTTTGTTGATGTTGATGCCGTTCCTTTCTATTTGTTAGTTTTCCTTCTAACAGTCAGACCCCTCTGCTGCAGGTCTGCTGGAGTTTGCTGGAGGTCCACTCCAGACCCTGTTTGCCTGGGTATCACCAGTAGAGGCTGCAGAACAGCAAAGATTGCTCCTATTTCTTCCTCTGGAAGCTTCATCCCAGAGGGGCATCCGCCAGATGCCAACCGGAGCTCTCCTGTATGAGGTGTCTGTCGACTCCTGCCGGGAGGTGTCTGCCAGTCAGGAGGCATGGGGGTCAGAGACCCACTTGAGGCAGTCTGTCCCTTAGCAGAGCTCGAGCGCTGTGCTGGGAGATCTGCTACTATTTTCAGGGCCATCAGGCAGGAACATTTAAGTCTGCAGAAGCTGTGCCCACAGCCACCCCTTCCCCCAAGTGCTCTGACCCAGGGGGATGGGAGTTTTATCTATAAGCCCCTTACTGGGGCTGCTGCCTTTCTTTCAGAGATGCCCTGCCCAGAGAGGAATCTAGAGAGGCAGTCTGACTACAGCATCTTTCCCAAGCTGCGGTTCGAACTTATGCCCAGTTTGAACTTCCCAGCGGCTTTGTTTACACTGTGAGGGGAAAACCTCTTACGCAAACTTCAATAATGGTGAACGCCCCTCCCCCCACCAAACTCCAGAGTCCCAGGTCAACTTCAGACTGCTGTGCTGGCAGCAAGAATTTCAAGCTGGTGGATGTCAGCTTGCTGGGCTCCAAGGGGTGGGATCTGCTGAGCTAGACCACTTGGCTCCCTGGCTTCAGCTCCCTTTCCAGGGGAGTAAATGGTTCTCTCTTGCTGGCATTCCAGGTATCACTGGGGTATGAAAAAAAACTCCTGCAGCTAGCTCAGTGTCTGCCCAAATGGCTGCCCAGTTTTGTGCTTGAAACCCAGGGCCCTGGTGGTGTAGGTACCAGGAGAATCTCCTGGTCTGCAGGTTGTGAAGACCGTGGGAAAAGCATAATATCTGCGTTGGAATGCACCATTCTTCAGGGCACAGCCCCTCAGGGCTTCCTTTGGCTAGGGAAGCTTTCCCTGACCCCATGTGCTTCCTGGGTGGGGCAATGCCCCACCCTGCTTCTGTTTGCCCTCTCTGGGCTGCACCCACTCTCTAACCAGTCCCAATGAGATAAGCCAGGTACCTCCTCAGTTGGAAATGCAGAAATCGCCTGCCTCGTGCATTGTTCTTGCTAGGAGCTGCAGACTAGAGCTGTTCCCATTCAGCCATCTTGCCCAGCTCTTGCCCAGCTCTCCCTAATCGTTTTTTTTTTTTTGTTTTTTTTTTTTTAGACAGTCTCACTCTGTTGCCCAGGCTGGAGTGCACTGGCATGATCTCAGCTCACTGCAACCTCTGCCTCCTAGGTTCAAACGATTATCTTGCCTCAGCCTCCTGAGTAGCTAGAATTATGGGTGCCTGCCACCACACCCAGCTGATTTTTGTATTTTTAGTAGAGACAGGGTTTCAACATGTTGGCCAAGCTGGTCTCAAACTCCTGACCTCAAGTGTTCTGCCCACCTCGGCCTCCCAAGGTGCTGGGATTTCAGGCATGAGCCACCACACCCGGCCCTTCTTACTTTTTTTAAGCCCATGAAAAATGTTTTATTCAATTAATTAGTTGATCATTGTCTCCAGGAGTGCCTCTTACCAAATCCTACCATCTTTATGTGACCTTCTCATATCCAATATCCTTTAGTATTTACATATGAAGTAGTTCAGTGAGCTGTAAAACATGAATTAGGCAGTAAGATGCAAGAAGGGCAGGAATTGTGCCCTAGATCCTGTTGTAGGTTAAGCACATAGGATTCGGAAGTAAGAAGACATTCAGTAAATGTCTCTCATCCTGTTTATCTCAATTCAAATGCTTGCTTCTCTGAGGCAAGCGCTTTCAATACTTCTGGGTGTTTTTTGTGTATGTGTGTGTTTATAATCTATTTCTAAATAACTTGGTTTTCTTGATTTTTCAGTTTTTGGTTTTTATATCCTCCTATGAAAAGAGTATATTTACCTAATATCCCATTTAGGTCTTAACATTCCCACTTCCCTGCCTTAATACATCCATATACCATCCCTCCTCCTATCTTTCCGAATTAGTTATACTGACTGCTATTTTGGCTGAGACTTTATTTAGTATTTACATTATTAGGACTATCAGAGTAGTATGTACAGCTGGGTCACACTCTACTGTGGTAACATTTCCTTTTTTCCACAATCTTTTTTTCCTGGCTTCAATTACTTGATTTTCATTAGGAGATTAGGCTTTTATTCACCAGATATTAGTTTATCCCCAAACTCCCCAACAGATTTCTACAAGTTATTTCAATATGCTCAGCTATACAAGACAATCCAATTGGTTTCATGTTTCTCCTGGCAATGTCTCTCCTGGAGCCCTCTGACTTCCTGTGCTGCTAGCCCTCTAGGCTCCCACCCACATGACACTATGGACTGCTCTTCACCATCATCTTGGAAATCCTTCTTGTCTCTCATGTGTTAAATCCCTGGTCTTCTAGATTCCATGCCTTCAATCTCTTGTTTTCACAGAGCACACACTTTTAATAGTTCCCTAAGAAAATAGTAATAGGAGGTACATTTTTTTCCCAAGCCCTGCATGTTTACAATGTCTTCATTTAAACTCACACTTGATTGATAGTTTAGCTAGGAACAAAATTCCAAATTGGGATCATCACCTCAGAATTTTGAAGATATTTCTCCTATGTTTTCTAGCTTCTAGTGTTGCTCCTGACAACCTGTGATATCCTAACCTAATCTCTGTATTTCACCAGTTTTTTATTTTAGTTTGTCTGGCTTTGCCTTTTTGGAAGATTTTAAAATCGTTTTACCTCTAGAGAACTGATATGCATGATGGTAGGCCTTGGGGCAGATCTTTTTAAAATTCGTTATGCTATGAAGGAGCAGGCCCATCAAGAGCTCAAACTGTTAAATTCAATGTGCAATTCCTAAGCCTCATTTTACTTGACTTATCAGTGGCATCTGACCTCATTGGTCAGTCTGACATTCTTTGCCTCCTACTTCACTGCTCACTCCTTTGCAATCTTCTTTACTAGTTCTTCTCTACTTCTCAGACCTGTTAAATTTGATGTGTCTCAGAGTTCAGTTCTTCCCTGTCTTCACCCACTCCTCTGGTGATCTTCTCCATGCCACTTCTCTTTACACACCAGCTATAAGCTCCAGAACAACATGTTCAACAGCCTCCTTGACATCTTGACTTGGGTTGCTGGTAGACACTTTAAATACCAGGTATGCTCCTGTCTTAGGGCCTTTGTTACCTGGAAGATTTGCTCAACTTTATTTTGTATTTATTCTGTTCAACTTTTTTGTTTCTCTAATAGTGACAGGAGTTCTTTTTCCTGTCTTTTGAAAGCACCCTTTTTTTTTGTGGTTTTAATATCTTCTCTTATTTTTTGGAAGATTTTCTTTTAATTTTTTTAAATTTTTTTTTTTTGAGACAGAGTCTCACAGTGGCATGATCTCAGCTCACAGCAACCTCTGCCTCCTGGCTTCAGTGATTCTCCTGCCTCAGCCTCATGAGTAGCTGGGAGTACAGGCATATGCCACCACATCTGGATAATTTTTGTATTTTTAGGAGAGACAGGGTTTCACCATGTTGGCCAGGCTAGTCTTGAGCCCCTGACCTCAAGTGATCCACCTGCCTCGGCCTCCCAAAGTCCCAGGATTACAGACCTGAGCCACTGCACCCTGCCCTTTCTGAAGATACTAATAGGGTTTTGAAAACGTTTTTCATCTGCTTCACAGTTTTTCTCAAATCCCTGCATTGCCTTTCCTCTCTGCAGTTTCCTTGCTATTAGTCTCTGCTTTTCTTGGTAGAAATTTTCCTCATATGTCAGGTGATTCTGAGCTGTCTGTTTATATCTCAGATTCAGCCACTAGCAAGACCATAAAGAGCCTCATGTGTTTTTGTAAGACTTGTTGACTGATGTGCTCTACTATAGATGACTTGGTGAGAACCAGGCCATTTCACAGAAGGACCTTCGATAACAGGATCTTCTTTTAAATATGTCCTTTTTCTTGGATTTCTCATAGTCCTCAGTCTCCTTCCTCATGGGTGTAGTTCTGCATTTTGGTCACCAAGCAGAAAGGAGGTGGGGGTCTCAGCGTTCAGCAGATTTTCACTTAATGGCCTATTTCTAGTAAGGACTTTCATCCTTGCCTTGCAGACTGTTGTTCCAGAATGCAGGTGTCTCTGGCTTGGACTCTCCAGAGGATGGCACTCACTTCTTCTGCTGGTTTTGGGGAGGAACTGTTGCCTGGCTGGGGGATGGGATCCAGGTGGGCTAATTTCTCTTTATACAAGTTTTCAGTGAATCTTCTTTTTTTTCCATCCCCTTGCTACATGACTGCCTCCTTGAGTTACTTGTCTCCAATTCCCAAGGCAGGGTTCTGAGGTAAAATTAGTCTATCTCCTAACTTTCCTTATGACAGGCTCAAGTTTCAGATTTCTTGGGTCTGCTAAGTCCATGGCCACTTCTCCATCTATTTTCCAGTTTCTTAAATACTGATTCCAATTTCTTCCTGAACCTTCTTTCTCACTTTGTCTTTGCAGATTTATGCCTTTTTTCTTTCTTCATTGTCACTTTAGTATAGTTTCAGAAGGAGGCTGACATAAACAGGTGTGCTTATATAATAGATCTTCTTTTATGACACATTTGACTCGGAAAGCATAAGAACTAAATCTGCTAAGTAACAATGCATCATCCTTCTGGGTAATGCTGTTTTTTGTCAGATGCATACTGTGATGTGAAATAACAAGATTGGCTTTCTGATGTGGCTCATAATCTACCTCTAAAGGCAATTTAAAAAAATCAGTGTCGAAATGTTTTGAGCAATAGCTGCCGGCTTAGGATAAGTGTCTAACCTCCAAGGGGACTGCTTTGTAGGGGACAACAATCCTTTAGATATTTTAATTCTGGTTTTGTATAAAAATCCATTTTTTTACTTTGTTGGATCATACTTCTAAATTACCCTTTCATTGTTTCCCTTGTGTGTGTTTTGTCAGTGAAATCATTAATTCCACCAGGGAACTTTGTGACTCTCCAAGAGTGGTCGTCGGACTACGTCTATCAAAACCACCTGGGAAAGCTGTAAAAATGAACTTTCTTGAGTCTCAAACCAAGCTGACTGCATCTGAATATCTGGAAGACTATGGCCTGGAATTAGATTTTTCACAAGCATCTCAGGTGATTTTTATAAATAGTAAAGTCTGAGACCCACTACTTTAGCATTTTGTGTGATTTGTAGTAATCGTGGGGCCAGGAACAAGGGTGCAGATGGAAGCTCACATTCCATATGTCTAAATATTTAAAGGTTAAAAATCAACCTAAAAATTGTTAAAAATAATACATATCATTCTCCCACCTTCACAGGTATTCTTTTATAATGGTATGGAGGGACAATTTCAAGTGTGGCATTTTCAGGCTCAGTCCCTTGAAGTTCCAACTGGAACATGGAGAGAGGTGACCCCAGCCCCTGGCCCCCAGCCTGTAGCCTCACCCCCTTCTCTTGTCATCCCAGCTCAAACTCTCACCGTGAATGACCTGAGGAGCACATGTATCAACACTGCAGCCCTGACCTCCAAGCCTAGCTCCTCCATGAAGAGCACCCCTTTAGTCCAGGGATGCATACATCAGTGGTACAATTTTCCCTCAAAAGTTCAGACCCCAGGAAGAGGCCTGTGTAGGTCCTGAAAGTGGACAGAAGACCATCTTAGCAGATAATTCTGGGGTCTACTATGCCTGGAACATGGTCTAGAGGGAAGGTGTGGACTCCAGGTGGCCCCATAACTCTTTGCCTGGGGTGGGGTGTGGCCAGATGAAAGCTGGAGGAGAAACCTTTTACCTAAATCTAAGGGTGGCACTGCTCTTCCATGCCTAGCGCGATACGTGATGATACTAAGCGTTTAATTAGACACAGTAAAAATGAGACACAATCCAGTTTGCTTTATCCTGCTAAATGATTTTTAGGGCACTCTATTTGTGATCTTCAGTGAGGCACTGCTATTGTTTTAATCTCTACAGACAGAGAAGCACAGAAAGACCAGGCCTGGCCCCTGCTCACTCAGGTGTGTCACCAAGAACATCCTGGCTCTTTGTCCTTTATTTTGCATGCCAAAACAGCCAGATAGTGCTAACTATTAAGATCCAGATTCCTGAGAAAGGCTCTGCATTACTTGAACCCATGTGAAAAAATTCTAACAGAAGGTTAGAGAAGGTATTTGCAGGGAGCATCTACAAATACTGATTAATGTGAATTGGTTTCAGAACACCCCGCCTCTGTGAGAACTTGTATGCTTTTTCAGACTTAATTCAGCTTATTTACATTTCTGAAGCACACAAATTCCAGCCAGAGGAAGCATTAAGCAAGTCTTGCCTCCTGAGGTTAAAGAAGGATGACAAAATTTGCATAGTGCAAGGATTTTAGCCATAGTGTCATAGGATCCTTGGGGTGTTGCTTTGCCAGCCAGAAACCTCTGTGGCCAGTGGCGCCTTTGCCTGAGTTTTCATTCAGGCCTGCTAGGCTCATTCTGCCCACTTTGCCTAGCAGGCTGCACTCAGCTCGCACTACCTGAATCTCATGCCTGCCAAGGGTCAGTCAGGCATGAAGTGGTGATGGGTGTGCGAGCAAGCAAGTGTAGGGTCCAGCCACTGCACACAACCAGGCATGCTGGCTATGGCAGGGCACCAGCTCCCTGTGAGGCTGTGGCTGGACCTGGTATACTGCAAGCAGCTTCCATGGCTGGTGCGGGGGAATGTTGTGGAACCTGGAAGCTTGGCGACACTAGGAACCGCAGAAACCCAAAGAGGGAGTCACAGCCTTGGCTTGGGGAGCTGTTAGGTCTGGGCTTCCCAAAGGGCCACAGCTCTTCTCTCTTTTTCTCTTCTCTCCTTCTTGTTGCCCACAGATCTTTTTGGCCCACCATTTGGCGGGTCCTGAGTTCTTGTCCTATGTTCAGGAAGAATGAGGTACCCGGACAAGTGGAGGATGAGCAAGGCAAAGAGGAGCTTCATTCAGTGACAGAACAACTTAGAGGAGACCCACACTGAGTAGCTCCTCTCTGCAGGCAGGGTGTCCCAATATCTGCTCGGCTCTCAGCAGAGAGGAGACCCTGGAGTGGGTGGTTCCTCTCCACAGCTGTTTGAACCAACATCTGCTCAGCTCTCAGCAGAGAGGAGACTGTGAAGAGGGCAGCTCCTCTCCACAGGCAGGTCTTCTGGTTGTCTCCTGGAGTCTGGCTGAGTCTGGGGTTTTTATGGACTTCAGACAGGAGGAGGTGCATGCTGATTGGTTTCTGGGCAATCATGGGCAGGCCCAGAAAAAGTACCATAAATTCCCATTCTGTCTGATCAGCTCAGCCCCCAGGCTTCAGGCTGTCCCTGGATTGAAGGTGGGGCTTCAATGGGGAGCCCCTATCTACACAGGAACCTACCTGTCTGCCTCCTGCCATCATCCACAGCACCCAGGCTATTTATGTTGAGGGGTGCCTGCAGGCCAGTGTTGAGCTGCTCTCTGCTCCCGCTTGGCCTCCCTCCCCATGCTCATTGACACCCAAAGTCCAGAGGGGTCCAAGGCAGCAGGGAGCATTGCTCCGAGAGTGCATGCACCCAGCCGGGTGCACCCAGGCTCAGTCTCAACTTGGGTCTGAGATCAGAGTGGATGCCAGGAGCAGGGAGCAGGCACTTATGAGGCTGCAGGGGGAGTGGGGCTTCCCGGGTCCCTGAGAGTCAGAGATGCTGGGCCTGCACCTGCCACTGGTAGGCTGCAGCTGTGCCTGAAAGTGCAGGGCTCCTGCTTGCTCCAGGCCCCCAAGAGCACAGGGATGCCTGGGTCTGGAGCCATGGCTGAGTGGCTGCAGCTGTGTCTGGGGTGCATGAGACTCCTGCCCTGCCAACTCAGAAGTTGGTGGGGCTTCTGCCTGTTCCAGCTCCTGCAGGCTCTGTGGAGCACTCAGCCCCAGCCTTGCCTCCCCAACTGCCGCCTGCGCCATGGCAGCGGCCACTCCAGACAGGCCGCTGCTGCAAATAGGACTGTATTACATTGCTTCAGAGTGAGAATAGACAAAACTTTGCCTGGTGGTGGCCTGGAAGCGACCTGGTCAATAGCCCCAGGACCATATCTGGTGTCTCTGGCTCCTGTAGACTCCCCTGGGTGGTGGCACAGTCAGAGGGAAAAGAAAGGCCTTCTGTTATTTTCTAACTCAACTCACAGGAGGAGGCTGCCATTGACTGGCAGCTTACTTCAGACTTGAATTTTATCTCAGCTGGAATCTTTTCCCATGCATTTCTCCAGGCACTAGTTTAGGCAAAGTATGGGTGAGGAAAGGGGAACAAACAAAGAACTAAAACAAAGATAAACTATGCCTAGCAGGACAGCATGGCTCTAGGGCCACTGCCCTGAAGGATCTGTGCACTGTGTCCAAATGATTGTGCATTTGTTCTAAGGCCAAGCAATAAATGTTTGGGCTTTATTGCAGAAGGAA
Organism: Homo sapiens; assembly: GCF_000001405.40. Taxonomy (NCBI): domain Eukaryota; kingdom Metazoa; phylum Chordata; class Mammalia; order Primates; family Hominidae; genus Homo; species Homo sapiens. Next base: position 217,372,095 of record NC_000001.11, on the reverse strand, counting down.
CATGGAAATATTACTCAGGGCTTTGCAGTCTGAGTGACCAAGATTCAAATCCTGAGTCTTTGTCTCACTTGCTGAATGCTTTTGGGAAAGATACCTAAACTCCCAAAGCTTCTATTTCCTTTCCTGGGAAATGCCAAAGATAACACCTTGTGGCAGGGCTATTGAATACTGAACAAGATAATAAATGAGCTCCAAAAGAGCAAGAGGTTTTTCCTGTTTGTTTACTACTTGTAATCCCAGCACATAGAACAGTGACTAGTACATAGCAAGTGCTCAATAAAAACTTATCTAAAATAACTGCAGTCATTGGCATATGAGAAATATTCAAAAAATAAATTCTCTTTAATTGAATTTTATTTAAAGCTTTATGATGGTAGTACTGTTTGTGTTTCTATAACTCTCATAGATCAGAACTTTTGAATATGTTGAGTTCAGTCATTCTTGTTGATTGCAAATAATGACATCTAGATTTAATATAATTGAAACTCCAGTTGAATGATAATGTAGCACAATTTTTATTTGGGCCATGATTCTTGTATGTCAGAAATCACATATAGCTTTCTGAACAATTTCATCAGTATTGCCTATTATTTGTATATTATATTGAATGAAAGATGGTGAATTAAATTACCATCTGCTTCATGATGTGATAGAAAGAGCACAGGATTTAGTCTCTGATGATTAGATCCCACAAGATGTATCATATGGTATCCATATAACATTAAGAAGTCACTTAAACTTTCTGAGTCTCATTATTTTAAATGTGTAAAATGAGAATGAAAACATTTATATGGCTCCAGAATGACTGGGAAGAAAGGATGAAATAGGTGAAGTGTAAGTAAGTACTTTTATGCCTGTTCTGTTGGGCAGGACTGGCGTGGAGAGTGGATGAAGGCCACCGTGCTCTTCAATTGTGGGTGAGGGAGCCAGCATGGGGGACCCTTTTGACAGCGAAATTTGGTGACCTGTGTTGAGAAGTGGCTTTGGTGAACAGGCCATTTGGGCAGTTGTCAAAAAGAGAGGCAAGATTTGAGGTGGACCAGAAGGCAAAAAAGCAAGTTACCGGTGAAAAGCTACGGATACAACCGCAAATACAGGACAGACTTGGCTGTGCACGGATGGCTGGGACTCCACGGTGGTGCTCAGTTCCTGTGCAGGTGGCCTCGCTCCATCCCCTCCGCACATCTGCCGGGCTTTCTCTCCACTGTAACTCTCAATGTTGTCACTACAAGGCTTAATGTTTATTTAGCGCCTACTGGTGTCAGGTACTGTATTAGATTGCTAGGGCTATCCTAACCCAGTCTCACAGACTGGAAGTCTTAAGCAATAAATTTTTTTTTTTTTTTGAGATGGAGTTTTGCTCTTGTTGCCCAAGCTGGAGTGCAACGGCGCAATCTTGGCTCACTGCAACCTCCGTCTCCTGGGTTCAAGTGATTCTCCTGCCTCAGCCTCCCAAGTAGCTGGGATTGCAGTCATGCACCACAATGCCTGGCTAATTTTTTGTATTTTTAGTAGAGATGGGGTTTCTCCATGTTGGGTCAGGCTGGTCTCAAACTCCTGACCTCAGGTGATCCACCCGCCTTGGCCTCCCAAAATTCTGGGATTACAGGCATGAGCCACCTCGCTCGGCAAACAGAAATATTTTTGTTGAGAATTTTAGAGGCTACATGTCTGAGATCAAGGTATTGGCAGCATTGGTTTCTTCTGAGGCTTCTCTTCTTGGCTTGTATTAGATTGGTGCAAAAGTAATTGCGGTTCTTGCATTAAAAGTAATGGCAAATTACTACATTAAAAGTAATGGTAAAGCCCTCAATTACTTTTGCACCAGCTTAACAGGAGGTCATCTCCTCCCTGCACCCTCACATGGTTTTCCCTCTGTGCTTGTCTGTGTCATAATCTCCTCATTTCATAAGAACATTAGTCATATAGGATTAGAGGCTACCCTAATGACCTCGTTTAACCCTATTTACCTCTTTATAGACTTTCTCCAAATTCAGGCACCTTCTGAGGAACCGGGGGTTAGAACTTCCACATACGAATTTTGGGGAAGCACAACTCGGCCCGTAACTGGGGCTTTACCCAGTGTCTCAGGATGGTTATTCTTTTTCTCATTTAAGAACTTTGGAAATTGAGGAACACGGAGGATGAATTAGTTGCCAAAGGTCACACAGAATTTCTAAATGCTGAATTTAAATTCAAACCCCTTGGACTCCACTGGTTCATGCTGGTAAGCAATTTAGAGAGAGTCCCTAACCGCAGTGAAGGTACTGGCTGCGTTGGCAGTATATGTAAATAAAGACCCTTTAGGCTTCCTGTTGGGTTTTTCAAACAACTTCTCTGGTTTCTGTACCTGAGCTGAGCAGGATTAGAGTCCTGTGACTGATTAGATCTGCCGGCAAATCTCTGACACACCAATTAATGTGATCTCTATCTTAACCTCTTCCTCTCCTCCTTTCCCCTACCCCAAATTTCCCATGCTCTTAGCAAAAACAACTTGAAGTGTTCGAGGAATGCATTTCCTCTCTCCTTGTACGAACTTGTTTCTATTTCTGTTCTCTATTTCAAATGACACGAAACCCATATTGCTCAAAATGTTCTCTCTTCAGGTGTACAAGTCTGATAATTTATGCAAATTTACCATTTACACGCTGTATTTGGCAGAGCCAAAAATGCACAATGACCAAGGCCAGACTTGTAACACCCATTAGCCCTAATACTAACATTGGGCAAATAAGAGAGTCAGTAAATGAATGTCAGTGAGCTATAAAATACATGATAGTGAAACAGTTCTCTCAGTCACCTCTTATAGACAAAAGCTGGCCACCAGAAGATATATAGGCCCAATAAATCAATGAGAAGGAATTCCAAAATGGATAAATCAATACTCAAGCAGTCAGAGAATCCTACAGGTATATGAAAATGACCAACTGGGGCCTTTAAACCTCAGCCAGGAGGTTTAGCCAAGATAGTCTATAATGATAAATACCTCTGTGGAGGAAGCTTGTATTGTTCGTATTTTTCTAAAACACCCTTCATACAATGGCAATATAAACTGACTTTTTTAAACTAAAGAACAGTTTCATAAGAGGTTCCAGTTGTAAATCCATACACCTGGGGATGATCTCCAAGGAATTAGGTCATTTGCATAGATAGTTTCAGGTGTGACTAGTCTACATAATTAAGTTGGTTACCAGTTGCATTTTACAGATGTGCAATCATGCAGTGGCTGTTAATGGGAGTGTATATCAATGCCTTCCTTCTGGAATAGAATGTGACATATGTAAAAACACTAATTGCCGTTTACTGGCTATTTGACTTCTAGGAGGCCAACGTAAAAAGGTCATGTGATGTTGATAAAGATGTTCATTTCAGTGTTATTTATAACTTAAAAGAAAAAAACAGAAATAGCCTCCTAAATGTCCAATATTAGGAGGGTGTGTAAAATCACAATAATATGTTCACAAAAAGATATTAACAGGCAAACAGTAAACAGATATTATCAAGTAAATTTAATGATACAAGAAAGTGCTTATGATTTAAACTTAGATTTAAAAGCAGGCTGCAAGACTGTATTCATATCCCAATATAATTGTAATTATGTTTTACAATTAAAGCCAGAATGATATAGCATTAATCTCTTCCTTAAAGAAGAAATAGACAGACCTAGATATTAGATAATGAATAACTAAGGAGGTTTTCAGTTTCTGGGGCTCTTTGGAGAGCTGCATCTGATGAGTTAAATGTTGATTTTGTACAGGCAAAAAGTTAGAGTTACTACCAGGTTGGCTGAAAACTCCATAGTTACTAACTAAAGAAATTTAATTTTGCCAGATGAATTTTAGACATACATTGTTATTGCAGACAAATAATTAATACTATAATTTTAACTTTTCAAAATTAAAATATGAAATTATCAAAGTAATTCTGAATATTTTCTCATTGTTACAAAAACTCAAATATACAGGAATCAGCTCTCCTTACTTCACCCCACTAATTTAATCCTGTTTGCAGAGGCTACCACTGTTAACAGGTTACCATGTATAATCCTAGATTAGCCCTGTGCATTTTCAAATATGTTTGTATGCATGTAAGTGTATTGTATATTTAATATAAATGCACCTTTTAACTTATTTTTACATAAACATATACATTTATACAAACATACACACATACCTGTCTGTTTCTTTCTTTTAACATCAATGTTATTGAACTGGATGCATTGTTACTCAATATACTTTTAACTGTTAACCATATATCATGAATATATTTCTGTCACTACATACATATTTCTCCTATTCTTTTTAACTACATAAGTTTTATTTATGAGGCTGATGGTATTATGTTTTTATTTGTGAAGAATTTTATTTGAAAACTAATATACAAATATAAGAAAAATTCAAAGTAAAAAAATATGACAGAAAGTAAGCCTAGACTTCTTCTTACTCCAGACCCTCAGTTGCCTTATACACTTCCATATTAGTTCCCTATATTTCAAAGGCATTCTATGAATATATAATCAAAAAATATGTATACATGCATACATCTATAATACATATGATATGTTTTATATGTAATGTATCTATGGTATACTTCCTTTTGTGTTAAACATATTTCTGTGTGTATACGTGTATGTAGGTCTATCATATGTACATAAAATATATATAATTCTTTTGAAAATTGTAAGTATACACCACACCCTTCTGAAATGTCATTCTTTAATTAACAATGTATCTTGTGGCCAGGCACAGTGGCTCAGGCCTGTAATCCCAGCACTTAGGGAGGCCGAGGTGGGTAGATCACGAAAGTCAGGAGTTCGAGACCAGCCTGGCCAAGATGGCGAAACCCCGTCTGTACTAAAAATAAAAACAAAATTAGCTGGGCATGGTGGCGGGTGCCTGTAATCCCAGCTACTTGGAAGGCTGAGGCAGGAGAATCGCTTGAACCCATGAGGTGGAGGTTGCAGTGAGCCGAGATGGTGCCACTGCACTCCAGCCTGGGCGACAGAGACTCAAAAAAAAAAAAAATGTATCTTGTAACTTTTTCATTTTGGCATATATGGATACATCTCATTCTTTCATACAACTGTATAATCTTTTCATATGAATATTCCAAAATGTATTCTACTACCTCCCAATTAATGGGCGTATATAGTGTTTCCAGTCTTTTTCTATAAGTAACATTCCAATGAATTTTCTTGAATTACAATATTGCATATGTCAACAAAAACTCCCAGATGAGCCATAATTTATGTACTTATTCTTCTACTGATATTTAGTTATTTCCAATATCTTGTTATTATAAACAGTGCTGCAACAGACAACCTCATACATAGTACTCAGGGTCATGTATGAGTGTTGCTCTAGGGCAAATATCTAGAGTTGGAATTCTTGAAGGTTTATTAAAATGTAATTTGAATAGATGCTGTCAATTTGCCCTCCAAAAAAAAAAAAACTGATTTGTTTCCACTAACTGGTAATAAATAAACTTTGTCCATACATTTTCCATCACATATTGATTTTTGACAATTTAACAAGTGGAAGAAATGGTATTTAATGATTGTTTTATTTTTAATTATTTCCCTGACTCCTGGTGAAGTTGAGCATATTTTCATGTGACTATGTTCTTTGCAGTTTTCTTTTCTGGAAGTTGTCTATTCCTTTCCTTTTCAATTTAGTTTGTTTTTATTTATTCATAGGTGTTCTTTACATATTTCAAATATTATTACTCTTTATTCTGCATCATTGCAAATGTTTTTTTCAGCTTTCGGTATTTGCTATAATTTCTTTTAACATAGAGTTTTAAATTTTTGATTCTGTCAAATTTATCCATTTTTTTCCTTCACAGCTAGCTTTTATGTTTTATGTTTTATTTAAGAATATCTTTCACACATTTCTTTTCTCTTTATTTGCAACACTTTTATTTTTAACCTTTGGCTCTCTAATCAATCTGTAATTTATTTTTGTGAATTGTGTGAGGTAGCAATCTAACCTTTTATTTTTAAAATGGGTAATCTTCCAACACAATTTGTTAATGCATTTTTCTCCATGGGCCTGAGATTCTACCATTATTATAAAAGGAATTTTCATATCTTTTATTTTGAAATAAATGTGTTTTGAAATAGATTTGTTTCTGAATTCTTTCTACTGTTTCATTGATCTATTTTTTTCCTGAACCAACACCACGGCGATTTAACTATTAAGCACTTTAAAAATATTCTGAAATTTGGTAGGAGAACCTACTGTCTTTACCCCAAAGAATTCTACTCCTTAAAAAATATTCATGGCTTTTTTTTTTGGTATTTTTTGGTATTTTCTTTCTTTCAGGTGAATTTTAGAATTAATCTATCAAATATCTTTCACAAATCATATTGAGGTATTAATTGAGGTTGCCTGGAATTCAGTGGATAATTTTGAGAGTACTGTCAGCATTTAAATGCCAAATTACTCCATATAGTCATAGTTTTTAAGAGGATAGGCAAAGAATTTCCATGCTAATTGAAGAAAATATATGATCGAGTTTATATTTGGAATCCTCTACTTTAAACTTCATCATTCAATAAAATTTCCAACACAGTTCTATAGGCGTCTTGCCGATACTATCCACTAAGTATGAATCAGCTTAAGTGGAATTTTATTTTTAATTAGAAGTGGTTCTAGAAAAAATGGCATTTTCAACTAAAGGAGAGCCAAATCAGGTTGAAAAAGATCTACTTTTCCTTGTTACCTCAATGATTAACAAAATATCTGCACTATCAGTTTATTTGGACTTAACTTTATGCGTGTATTTTTACCAACTTTGTATGGGAAAAACATAATAACTTAGACTTCACTTATTTTAGGTTTTTGTGATACTTCAACTTTAGCTGGACTGATGATTCACTTTTGTCCTACTTAAAAAGAAAGGTTTACTTAGCAAATTAATAGTATAAATAGGCAGTGAGCATGTTTAAGCCATTATGAACACTATTTTTAAGGGCTTTAGCAAATTAATTTTATGCAAATGGTGTTTCTAATGCTAGAGCTGCTAATCTGTTCATTAAAGCCAGAGGAAGCAAAGCTTATTTTGGCAATTAGTTGAAGTTACTATATGTATTAAAAAGCATTAAACTGCATTTCTTTTAAAGTGTACAATACATTTAGATTTTTCACGAATTCAGACTTTTCTCCATTACATAGTATGGAAATTATGAGCTTAGATGCTTGCCTTTGGTAGTAGTTACAGGGAAGTTGCATTGCTGAGAAATTACTACAATAAAATATCATAGGTGCTTTGAGTTCAGGAAAAATATATCTAGTGAACTCATACCTGTAATTGAAAGAGAAAAGCAACTCACCTGTCTGGAGGCACATGGTTGCCCCTCTGACTGAGGGAAGCAGGGAGACTGCACGGGTTCATCTTTCAAAGGCAGAGAATTGCCTTTACTTAACAGGACAATGATGTGCCCTGATCTATTATCAAATGTCAGGCTGCTGCTGCATTTGACTTCTTTCCCTGCTCCAGAAGCACCATGTTGTCTGATAGTGTTTGGAACGAGAGACATAGCAGGTGGCAACTATCGATGTGACCTTTCGGGTTATCTACAGAACACTGAGTGCATTTAAAGGAATAAAGTTGACATTTGTTGTTATGATCATTCATATTCTTGTCATCTGTCCATTGATCTAAGACACTGGTCACATCAATGTCTGGAAGCCCAGTGACAAATGTGACATCTGACTGATAGGCAAAAGCTCAAGTGAATTTTGCCATTTATTATTATAATTATTGTTGAGTCAATTTTCCTTTCCCCAATTATGGGGCCATAGGGTAGTGAGCTGTCAAAAGAAAAGATATGACTGCCTAATGTCACAGTAAGCTATAGGAAATATTTTGATGGAGATAAAGGTTGTCTTTCAGCATCCATGCCTTCCTCTTCCATTATTTCCTCTATAAAATAAGTTTCAAAGTAATGAAAACTATCAGACTATTTCGATGTGCACCGGGGTCTACATTGTCCTAGATGTTTTATATGCCATATTGTTTTTATTCCCATGTGTGTTAGTTATTTTTTGCTGTGTAACTAGTTACCTCCAAATGTAGCAGCTTTAAACAACAAACTTTTCTTAGCAATGAGTTTCTGTGGTCAGGAATCATGGCACTGCTTACTAGATACCTCTGGCCCAGGATTTTCCAGAAAGCTGCAATCAAGGGATCGGGTCAGGTCTTTCACAAGGCTATACTGAAGGTAACAGCTGGGCTGCAGTCTTCTCAAGACTCAACTGGGAAAGGATCTGCTTCCAAGCTCACTCACGTGGATGTTGGCAGGCCTCAGATCCTTACTAACTGTTCGCTGTATACATCAACCCCTTACCACATGGGCCTCTCCACAGGGCAGCTCACAAGGTGGCAGCTAGCTTCCCTTAGAATAAGTGAACTTCTTCCAGAGAGAATGCAAGAGAGTGAGAAAGAACACCTGAGATGGAAGCCACAGCTTTTGGAAATTAATCTCAGAAGTGGCATCCCATATAGCTTTGGCTAGAAGTGAATCACTAGGTCCAGCTCACACTCACGGGGGTGGAGTTGCCCCAACGTTGAATACCAGGAGGCAGGACTCATTCGAGGCCATCTGAGAACTTCCTACTAGACTAGGACAAATGGAGGAAGTGTGTTTCACATTCTTTATGTGCTTTAGAGAAAAGGCAACTAACATTTACGGAGTTACTTGTGTGAGAACATACAGCTAATCTTCTAGAACAGGGATTTGAATCAGATCAGGTCACTCTGATGCTTTTAATCACTGCATAGAACTGCCACTCCAGGTCAGGGCACAGGACTGACCCTCAGGTGTGCCAGAAAACGAATTCTGCTGTCTCAGGAAAGGCTAAGGTAAACACATTCCAGCAGCTAAGCCTTACTCCCAGGACCAACGCACAAGTTTTTAAATTAAACCTTCAGGGTCTGACATAGCTGGCTTTGTTCAACTAATGGCTTTAACACTCAGTGGCTCTGTGATTTTAGTCATGCTTCTTAATGTCTCTGATTAAGATCAAAATAGATAATTTGTGTAAAGATACCTAATATTCATATATTAATAAAATGCCAATTCATCTCTTATGTATGATACATGATAAATATATATATTATATATATATATTTATGTGTGTGTGTGTGTGTGTGTGTGTATAATGTAGTATAATGTATAATTGATATACTTACTTGGTTTTCTTTCTTTTCCGACCCCACCCAGTTGTGGAAATTTAGCAGACAGAAATGTTAGCATTTTCTTTAAGCAAAGGAACTTTTCTTGAGTTACAAAAATCAGTTTGCTAGTTATTATTGCCTACACTTAAGGGTCAAACCTGTAAAGATATTTCACTCCTCATTAGGGGGAATTTTAAATTTCTTTACCTAAATCCTTCACTCACAGTCAGGGACATGTGCTATGGCACCAGGCTAGGACTGTGGAAGACTCTGACAAGATCAGCTGGATTATGTATAAGGGGTTGGTGCCTGTGGATGACAAAGGTGCTTTGGGTGGGACATTAACCTTAATTTCACTTTTGTTTTCACCTCTCCCTCCCTGGTGCATATCTCTCAGTTGAACACCATGAATTGAACACTACTGCAGATGAGACAGAAACACATGTTCTATCCACCCCGTACTCTGCCCCCTGTCTACCCTAGACTACAGTTATTCTGAATCCCATTCTTCTGATCCTTACTGAACCCATAATATCCAATTCTTCATTGTGTAATGTTGCTCTTCCCGATGTCGTAAATCTTTCCAAAGGCCAGACCCGCAAAACACCAGAAGGGGTGGAAGTGAGTGGATGTAGAGGGCAATTTCTGTTTTCCCTCTGTATTTCTTTTGTAAACACAGACTTTTCTTGGAGATATTTTGTTACAGAAAAATCTCAACCAAACTTTTGATAAAATGTATTTTGTTCTGCAGCTTATCTAAAAATGAGAATGTTGTTGGTGTTGGATGGTTTCACACACTGAAGTGTTAAGAGATTAAGCTGCAATGTATCCTTGGGCAGCTTATGATCATTGATTTTTTTCTTAAGATGATTTTTCAAGAAGAATGGTGGTCGGCCCCATTGCCTCTACAGACTTATGGACAAAGATACCATGTGCATTTAAAAATTGGACTGGAGTTCTAAATCATGCCTTTTTCAGACTGTCAGGAATGCAACATTAATTAAATTGTATTAACTAGTATTTATAAAGCAAGTGCTATGTGGAAAGCATTGGGCTAAATAGTTTCATCTCTATTATTTAATACTTATATCAACCCTATAAATTATTACTATCATTGCCATTTTTTAGATTCAGGGGATAAGCTTAAGGAGATTAAATGATTTGCCCAAAGTTATATAGATAGTACTTTGCAGAGCTAAGATTGGAACTTATTTTTCTGATTCTACATAAAAAGCTCCTTCTGTTGCACATCAAACATTGATAGCAACGTGTGGCCACATTTTTAAATACGTTTGCCATAAATTATATAGGATAAATATACTTCTGATAGCATAGATTCTTCATGTTTCAAAAAAGCACTTTTGGGGTCTTACTGTTTGGCAGAGGAGCAACAGGAACTTCTACTTTAAATTTCAAATTCTCTGCCAATTTCCTCGCCCAAATTGCTTGCCATTAGAATCACAAGATTAGCATTAAAGGATGAGGTGTTCTCTAGGACTGAAAGCAGTCATGGCTGAAAAAAGAAAACATAGCCAGCTCTCCACTAAGATAATAGGGGACAGGAATTGTGTGCATAACCGGATCTGCAGTAAACTTTGATATTGTATTTTAGCTGGTGTGTTAGGCTTTTTCTCAAATCATTCTGTTTCTAAATTTCACTAAGAAGAAGCAAAATTAAATATTGTTATGTTAGAATTAGGTTCAGCTATGGTAAGCCATACTCCTCAAGTGGTGAATAAAACAGCTAATTTCTCTGTCATATGAAAACAAGCTGGAGATAGTTGGCCCCAGAGTGAGATGGCAGCTCATCGTCACCAGGACGCAGCCTTCTTTTATTTTTTTATGTTTTCATATTTTTAGTTTTTATTTTTATTTTTTTGAGATAAGGTCTCACTCTGTTGCCCAGGCTGGAGTGCAATGACGTGATCTCAGCTCATTGCAATCTCCGCCTCCTGGGTTTAAGCGATTCTCCTGCCTCCGCTTCCCGAGTAGCGGGGATTACAGGCACACACCACCACACCTGGCTAATTTTTGTACTTGTAGTAGAGACGGGGTTTCACCATGTTGGCCACCAGCCTTCTTTTAGATGCTGCATTGCAGCATTTCCAGGCTCTGGTCTTTGTGCTCCTGTCTAAGATGGCTGTGACCAACAGCCATCACAGATATATTTCAAGCCGCAGGATGGCAGAAGGAGGGAACAGGATTTTATCCTCCTTCTAAAGAGACTTCCTGGAAGTCTTACGTAATACTGTCACTTATATCATGGTGAGCAGAATTCCTCCCTTGGGAAGCTGAAAAACAGTTTTAAGGGAATATGTCAATGTATCCGACTGAAAATAAAGGTTTTGTTAATTTGAGGGAGAAGTTGAGGATATATCATTGGTGGCAATGAGGAAAATTGACCTCAGTTGTGCAGCTACTTTTAATTTTTAAAGGTATACAAAAATGATAATGTCTGGTGAAGTGGTGAAAAAGTTGGAGATCGGAAGAGGTTTGAAAGGTGATGTATGTATCAATTCCTGAGTAAATAAAAGTAGAATTTCCACTTTACACATTTAATAATGGTCACTATTGGGAAGTGTGAAGTTCAGTTAAAAAAAATAGGAACAGCAGTGTATGGCCCAACCGATGATCCAACTGACTTTGACTGTGGCAATAAGGGATATTTATAAGAGAGAGGAATCATCTCCCTGATAAAAAGCTGAAAAGTCTGTTTTCCCAAACATTTTAGTTTTGAATACTAGCCTACATGGCCTGAGCACACGTTAATTTATTGAAGCTAGGTTTGAACTTTTATTATTATTATTATTATTATACTTTAAGTTTTCGGGTACATGTGCACAATGTGCAGGTTAGTTACATATGTATACATGTGCCTGCTGTTGTGCTGCACCCATTAACTCGTCATTTAGCATTAGGTATATCTCCTAATGCTATCCCTCCCCCCTCCCCTCACCCAACAACAGTCCCCAGAGTGTGATGTTCCCCTTCCTGTGTCCATGTGTTCTCATTGTTCAATTCCCAGCTATGAGTGAGAATATGTGGTGTTTGGTTTTTTGTTCTTGCGATAGTTTACTGAGAATGGTGATTTCCAATTTCATCCATGTCCCTACAAAGGACATGAACTCATCATTTTTTATGGCTGCATAGTATTCCATGGTGTATATGTGCCACATTTTCTTAATCCAGTCTATCATTGTTGGACATTTGGGTTGGTTCCAAGTCTTTGCTATTGTGAATAGTGCCGCAATAAACATACGTGTGCATGTGTCTTTATAGCAGCATGATTTGTAGTCCTTTGGGTATATACCCAGTAATGGGATGGCTGGGTCAAATGGTATTTCTAGTTCTAGATCCCTGAGGAATTGCCACACTGACTTCCACAATGGTTGAACTAGTTTACAGTCCCACCAACAGTGTAAAAGTGTTCCTATTTCTCCACATCCTCTCCAGCACCTGTTGTTTCCTGACTTTGTAATGATTGCCATTCTAACTGGTGTGAGATGGTATCTCATTGTGGTTTTGATTTGCATTTCTCTGATGGCCAGTGATGGTGAGCTTTTTTTCATGTGTTTTTTGGCTGCATAAATGTCTTCTTTTGAGAAGTGTCTGTTCATGTCCTTTGCCCACTTTTTGATGGGGTTGTCTGTTTTTTTCTTATAAATTTGTTTGAGTTCATTGTAGATTCTGGATATTAGCCCTTTGTCAGATGAGTAGGTTGTGAAAATTTTCTCCCATTTTGTGGGTTGCCTGTACACTCTGATGGTAGTTTCTTTTGCGTGCAGAAGCTCTTTAGTTTAATTAGATCCCATTTGTCAATTTTGGCTTTTGTTGCCATTGCTTTTGGTGTTTTAGACATGAAGTACTTGCCCATGCCTATGTCCTCAATGGTAATGCCTAGGTTTTCTTCTAGGGTTTTTATGGTTTTAGGTCTAACGTTTAAGTCTTTAATCCATCTTGAATTGATTTTTGTATAAGGTGTAAAGAAGGGAACTAGTTTCAGCTTTCTACATATGGCTAGCCAGTTTTCCCAGCACCATTTATTAAATAGGGAATCCTTTCCCCATTGCTTATTTTTCTCAGGTTTGTCAAAGATCAGATAGTTGTAGATATGTGGCATTATTTCTGAGGGCTCTGTTCTGTTCCATTGATCTATATCTCTGTTTTGGTACCAGTACCATGCTGTTTTGGTTACTGTAGCCTTGTAGTATAGTTTGAAGTCAGGTAGCATGATGCCTCCAGCTTTGTTCTTTTGTCTTAGGATTGACTTGGTGATGCGGGCTCTTTTTTGGTTCCATATGAACTTTAAAGTAGTTTTTTCCAATTCTGTGAAGAAAGTCATTGGTAGCTTGATGGGGATGTCATTGAATCTATAAATTACCTTGGGCAGTATGGCCATTTTCATGATATTGATTCTTCCTACCCATGAGCATGGAATGTTCTTCCATTTGTTTGTATCCTCTTTTATTTCCTTGAGCAGTGGTTTGTAGTTCTCCTTGAAGAGGTCCTTCACATCCTGTGTAAGTTGGATTCCTAGGTATTTTATTCTCTTTGAAGCAATTGTGAACGGGAGTTCACTCATGATTTGGCTCTCTGTCTGTTATTGGTGTATAAGAATGCTACAGAGGTACAAGGAGGAATTGGTACCATTCCTTCTGAAACTATTCCAATCAATAGAAAAAGAAGGAATCCTTCCTAACTCATTTTATGAGGCCAGCATAATGCTCATACCAAAGCCGGGCAGAGACACAACCAAAAAAGAGAATTTTAGACCAATATCCTTGATGAACATTGATGCAAAAATCCTCAATAAAATACTGGCAAAACGAATCCAGCAGCACATCAAAAAGCTTATCCACTATGATCAAGTGGGCTTCATCCCTGGGATGCAAGGCTGGTTCAATATACACAAATCAATAAATGTAATCCAGCATATAAACAGAACCAAAGACAAAAACCACATGATTATCTCAATAGATGCAGAAAAGGCCTTTGACAAAATCGAACAACGCTTCATGCTAAAAACTCTCAAAAAATTAGGTATTGATGGGACGTATCTCAAAATAATAAGAGCTATCTATGACAAACCCACAGCCAATATCATACTGAATGGGCAAAAACTGGAAGCATTCCCTTTGAAAACTGGCACAAGACAGGGATGCCCTCTCTCACCACTCCTATTCAACATAGTGTTGGAAGTTCTGGCCAGGGCAATTAGGCAGGAGAAGGAAATAAAGGGTATTCCATTAGGAAAAGAGGAAGTCAAATTGTCCCTGTTTGCAGATGACATGATTGTATGTCTAGAAAACCCCATTGTCGCAGCCCAAAATCTCCTTAAGCTGATAAGAAACTTCAGCAAAGTCTCAGGTTTGAACTGTTAAAAATAAATATGGAAGCCATCTGTTAGATACACCTTAAGGCCAACCACTCATAACCACATAGCCAAAATTTAAGTCATCCTGATTTCCCTGAAATGCCATCCCTAATCATGGACACAAATATGAGCTTTAGGTCCTTGTCACCATGATTCAGTGAAATTAAACCGATCAGCTATGGACAAATCAGCTTAAACAGCTCTATTTGTCTTAAAAAGAATGATAATGTATAACAGCAAATCACAGACAAAGGTCAGAATACTTCCTCCTTTATGCTTTAAAAACTGGTGGCTCATGCCTCTAATTCCAGCACTTTGGGAGGCCAAGGCGGGCAGATCATGAGTTCAATATCAGGAGTTCAAGACCAGCCTGGCCAACATATGAAACACTGTCTCTACTAAAAATATAAAAAATTAGCCGGGCGAGGTAGTGGGCGCCTGTTATCCCAGCTACTTGGGAGGCTGAGGCAGGAGAATCACTTGAACCTGGGAGATGGAGGTTGCAGTGAGCGGAGATCACACCATTGCACTCCAGCATGGATGACAGTGTGAAACTCCATCTCAAAACAACAACAACAATAACAGCAACAAACTGCCGTCACTGCTGTAAGGCCAGCCTCTTCCCACTTGGTTTGAACTCTCCCAGATCACAGTCTGTACTTTCTCTTACTGTATGACAATAAACTTTTAACATTTTTCTAACTAGATCTGATTGTATTTTTGACAGAGCCTATTCAATCTTCCATCTATTTCTTGATGTAATGAAAAATGTATTACCCACAAGATAAATTAGTATTTGCTTCATTTGTCCAAAATTTATCTCTGTCAAGCTTCAAGTATCTCCCCTTTGAGCTGCCTAGTGTTCTAGGCTGTGAACAATGTTTGGCTCGTTTTACTTAGTTCATGAAGAAAAAGTCATGTAGGGCCCCACCCTGATATTCCAGCAATTACTAGTTGATCCTAGAATTCCCTTTCCAAAAGAAATATGCTTCTATTATTTTAAAAAATGCCCTCATACCACCCATGCCAGTATTTCTTTGTTTCATTAGCAATGTTTCTTTCCTGCTCCTGACAACATTTTTTTTTCTCGCTGACAATGCCCTGACTACCCTAGAAACTAGTGGTAATAGCATAACTAGTTGTACATAAACATTGAAGACTTAGCACTTTCTAATTTTTCTTGTCTGGCCTCATCAGTAATTATGTGGCATTTTATCTCCCTGGTCTCCAGTTAACCTAATGGTGAAATAAATGAAATTGGGCTAGATGGTTTCTGAGATCCCTTACAGCCCAGGAAAAGTCAATGACCCTGTGACCCTACTGGTGTATGAGCTCATAAAAATGTTTCAGAAAGTCCCATTCTTTTAAACGCACAGTAGTGAGAGATATGCCTAGTTCTAAAAATGACACAAAGGCTCCACCTGCCCTCTGCTAACTGCTAATGGCAACCCAATTGTCTAGTCTACATTCTGTACACTACTCAAGAGTGAAAAGAAATTACTCCATGACTTAACGTATAGTCAATTCTCAATTAGCTAAACCATGAAGGTATAATGACATGGACAGAGATTACATTAATTAAAAATCACTCATATTTGGTTTTGGCACTGTTACATTTTCTGTGGAGCACTGATTTCTGAATAATTATATATTGGTCTGTCTAAAAAATTACTCTTCTGTATTTTCTGATGATTCACATTGCATTACATTGCTCCATAGCTCAAGCTAGAGGAAACCAGCCAAAAAGAGTGGTGGGTAATCCACAAACAGATAGTTGAAAATGTAATTTTATCTACCATATTTGATTAAAAATAACTTGAAGCAGTTTATAAAACTACATATGACACCATGTAATTGAGAATTTATCATATTCTGTTAAATCGAAACCTCATGTTGGGGCAATTGAAACATTCAATTACGTGAATTTGTCTTTGGGAAGTTTGCAACTAGTCAAGATAGACTCTTAGTCCGCGTAAAACTTTTACAAATAAGGATAATAACAGCTCCCCTGCTGTATCAATAAATTACCAGAGCTCCTATGTGAGAGACTGACAGCAGCTGTCAGAACACAGTTTCTTTGAAATGCTTTATAAATACCATCTAAAGAGCCAGATTGTTCTTTAACAGCCTTGTTATCCTAATGAAATCACTCTGCTTCCTAATTTTTGCTCCAGACACAACCAAGGTTGGGCAAAGGAAGCCCCATCTCCCCAAATGACTCTAAACACCAAGTTTGGATGACAGATTAATGATTGGATCTGCCTCCCCATTAATTCATTTGCAGGAGACACCTGTGCCAATAACCTCGTTAGGGTTTGGAGCTTGTCCCTAGAAAGGCATGCCTTCCCTCTCACTGAATCCGCTTCCCATAATTCTTAATTACTTTCTATTGCCTAGTGGGGAAAAGGCACATGACATGGAAAATTTTATAGGATGTAATCATTAACCAACTCTATTCTTGAGTGGAGTTAGAGTCTCAGAGAAAATGGTCTGTCTCAATCCCCCTAGCTACTTTCAAAATCACCGGCCAAAGGAATTTTCCACATGTATTTTCTGCTTGAGAGCCATTCCCTCAAAGATAACAGCAAATACTTTCAAGGCACTTGCTTTGTGTCAGGTACTGCTCTAAACCCTTTACATAGCATTCGTCTAGTCCCCCAGCAACTCCACAAGGGAAGTTACAATAGTTATCTCATTTTACAGATGAGGACACTGAGGCACAGAGAAGTGTCACTTGCCCAGGTAGTAGAGTCAGGATTCAAAACCTGGTTGTCTGGCTACTGAGCTCTTCCTCTTACAAACATGTTCTTCTTCTTCTAGAAAGGAGACTTTAGGAAAGAGAGAAACAACTTTTGAACTTGGCCTTCTTTGTTTTGATAACTTATCAAAATTATAGTGGAGATAAAGGGAGTTCTGAGATATCCTTTCGGATTCACAAAACTAACATGATCAGCAATAATGTAGAGATTCCAATTCCACTCTAGCAGTTGAAAGTCTGCTTCATGTGTTTAGCTCCTGCCCTCAAGTCCTGTGAATCTCAGCCCTGGAATCACCTGGAAACCTTGAAAGAATCCTGATGCCCATGCACTTGCTTGCAAGTGTGCTTCACTCTCTCCTACATCCTCTCTCTCTCATCTATCTGTTATCTACCTACCTATATACCTACCTACCTGTCCATTCATCCATATGTATTAGTCCATTTTCACACTACTATAAAGAACTACCTGAGAATGGCTAATTTATAAAGACAAGAGGTTTAATTGACTCACAGTTCCACATGGCTGGGGAGGCCTCAGGACTTTTACAATCATATTGGAAGGAGAAGGGGAACCAAGGCAGTCTTTCATGGTGGCAGGAGAGAGAGAGAGAGCAAAGGGGGAAGTGGCACACTTTTGAACCATCAGGTCTTGTGAGAACTCACTCACTATCATGAGAACAGCATGGGGGGAAACCACCCATATGATCAAATCAGCCCCCACCAGGTCCCTTCCTCAATATGTGGGGATTACAATTTGAGATGAGATTTATGTGGAAGCACAAAGCCAAACCATATATCTATCTATCTATCTATCTATCTATCTATCTATCTATCTATCTATCTATCTATCATCTATCATCTATCTACTATCATCTATCATCTCTGTCACATATATCAATCTATCTCTATCACATCTGTCTATCAATCATCTGTCATAACATAATGTCAGATAATGATAATGCTGTGAGGGAAACTAAAGACAAATGAGAATGGGGTTGTTGGAGGAGGGTATTTTTTTTGAGGATGTCATCTTTGAGAAGGTGATATTTGAATAGAAACTTCATTGAAGTGGGGGAGCAAACCTCATCGATATCTGGAAAAGTGTGTCAGCAAGTACAAAGGCCCTGAGATGGGATCACACTAACTTAGTTTGAGGAACAGCAAGGAGCTCAGGGAAGTTGGCTAGCAGGCAAGTGAGGTGGATACTGCTAGCAGGAGAAGAGGTTGAAGAGGTGGCCAACCACAGATGGTGTGAGACCTTGCAACTTATGGTGAGGAGCCTAGATTATATTGTGAGTGCACAGAAAAGCTCTTGGAGCTAACAAGGAGGAGAGTGGCATGATCTCACATATTTTAAAAGGATCACTCTGGGCATGTGTGGAAAATGAACTAGAAGGAGTGAGTATAGAAGATGGGGAACTAGTTAGGATGTGTATGTAGTTGCTCATGAGAAGGAGACTGTTGACTTTAGCTGAGGGAGAAGGGAGGAAGGAGAAGGGATATAAACCCTGTTAATTGAACATAAGCCAAGAGGGAAGATGAATCAAAGATAATTTTTACGTTTTACTTCCAAAAAAACTGGATAATGCTATTTATAGAGGTTATAAAGAAGAAATGAAGAGTAGGACTATGGAGTGGGAATAGGGTTCAAGAGTTCTGTTTAAGACAGTAAATTTGATTTGCCTTTTGGATCTCCAAGTGGGACTGTCAAGTGAGAAGTTTAATAATCAAGTTTGGAGCTCATTAAAGCAGTCAAGCATGAAGATATAAACCTGGAATTCATCAGTATACAAACAGGTGATTTCTGAATGCTTTATAGACCTCCTAAATTATATTTTTAAAAATATGTTCACTGCTTAACTATTTTGCTAACATATATTTCTAGATGCTTTAATCAAACTTAACTGTGACCGAAAACATTTATGAATCATGTGCAGGCACCTAGATTCTCCTTGTCCCATCCCAGATTGAAAGTAATATAGTTCTTTCCCATTCAACTTCCAACTCATTTTTTCCATTTCAACTTCAAATTCTTTTTCTTATCTCTTCTTATCTTTACTAGACCCTTTCCACTCCTTACAGGCCAAATCATTTCAAAAGGGTATTTCTTTTACAAAGACACTAAAATCCTTCAGTGTGAGTTGAGCTATGAATGCCTAGGGATCGGGGTGGTTCAGTGAACTAATAACTGCCTTCTCACCTCTGGGATTCACATTCCAATATAGCCTTCGATTAAAGTGCCTCTAAATCATCCTGATTATCATTGCCCTTATTATAAAGTGTGCACCACTCTAATTTGTGTTGAGACACTTTAAGAAGTTTTCTATCATTCATGTAACTGCCTGCCTATGAAACTCTCATTAGATTTGCTCTCTTACATCTTCTACATTTGAGTGCGTATGTGTGGATGGCCTGATGAGAAACAAAGGTCTGGAAATCACTTTTTTTAAACATAAGACTTGCAGGGGGATATTTACCTGCAAAATGTTCAGGTTTCCAAAATGTTCAGGGTCCATTTCTGCCTCACTACTTCCTCCTCCTTTTCTTTTTCTTCTGCCTCTGTTTCTTCCTACTCCTCCTCTTCCTCTTCTTCTTCTCCTCCTTCTCTTTTTCTTGCATTAGGTATATTAAGTGATTTTACTGCTAAAAAGAGAGCTCAAGAAAAAGAAACTGACAACTATCCACAACTCAAATTAATCCCTAGGATATTTGTTTTCATATTTGCCCCAAACATTGATGGGAAGCAAACATATTGATGATAGATGTAAGAGTCAAAATAAACCTAACTGAAATTAAAATGTATAGGTATAAAGGTAAAGTCTTACACTGAGATTAAAAGAGCAATGACATGAGTGCAACAAATGGGTGGAGGAGATTAACAGACCCAAACTCTAAATGAGCTAATAGCCTCGGAAAACAGCTAGATAGCTGCAAGAAACAAGCCTCATTAATGGAAGTACAGCAATCAGATCAAGGGAAGCAACGGTTCCTTTAATCAAGCCACATCTAGATTTTATATGCATATTGGCACCACAGAACATTGACAAGATGGAAGCCATTTAATGAAAGATGATGATGGTGAGTGCAGAAATTCACATCTTATAAGGAACCGATGAAGCAAGTGGAGATCTTCAGCTTGTGGAGAGGTAACAACAGGAGAGGAGGAGGTTAGAGCATGAGAGTTGTCTTCAAATCTTTGAAGGACTATTGCGTAAAAAGGATTCACCTTCTTTGAATGTTAACTGCAGAGAACAGAACTAGAAACAGTGAATGAGAAGAAGACATTATGATAGAGGTTCTTAACCCTGGCTACACCTCAGAATCATGTGTTCTTAACCCTGGCTGTACCTCAGAATCATCATAACCTTAAAGTTTAAGATTTATGGGCTCCTTCCCTGTTGATTCTGATTCAGTGGGCCTTAGGTGGGGCTTGGTAATCTGCAGTTTTTAAAACGTTTTATGGAGAATGGTGCTCAGTTTCATTTGAGAACAACTCTAAAGAGGTCAATTTCACTTTAATATAAGAAATAATTTTCTAACAATTACAACTATTACAAAACTGATATAAAAATTAGCCTGTCCTGTAGGAAAATAAGACCTTTAGAGCTGGAAATGTCCACACAGTGACTACATGCTGAAAGGAGGATTTATCTTTGTAAGGCAAATTGTATTTGGTGACTCCAGAGACTACTAGGTACTTTAAAGACCTGTAAGTTCTCTGAGGGCAGAAATGGGATCTGGTTGCCTTTTTCCCTGGGCCCAGGATATTGCAGGTGCTAAAATATCTGCTATTAAATGAATGAATGCCAAGGACCCTTTATCCAGCAGGTAATAGGGACACAGAGGCTGGCATCTGATTTCTGAGACTAATTTCTAAACCTGTGCTGTCTCACACTCAAACTTCGCTCCCTTTCTGCAGCATATTTCTCCCTTACCCTTCACACTGGTGCAATGGAAAGTTCCAACATACAGAGCCAATGTCACAGAATGTCAAATTCAGCTAAAACATAATATAAAGGGTAACACATAAAAGTGTCTTTCCAAGAGAGGAAATAAAGCACAAATAAACATAGACAATTGGGGCTGTTTTGTAGCAATGCCAATGACTACCACATCCTTGGACTCCAGACCTCATACCCATCCTCACAGTTCACCTCCCGAGCATCTCAACCAAGCCAAACCCCAGCATGAGTTTCCCCATTTGCCTACTCTTTTGAGTCACCAGAATACCGAGGATCTGCGCTCTTCAAAATATCATGTAGTACTTTGGAATTTTTTAATCTCAAGATTCTTTAACTCTGACAGGAGGAAATTACAATACTCTTTAGTGCATTTTTCTGTCAGCTCAGCATTAGAAGGATGTCCTTACTGTGCATGATACACACCATGTTTATTTTCACTTCTGTGATTTTATTATATAAATATTATGTTTCCTTTCCATGAACCCAAATGTATCCATATTTTAAGATTCAACTCAAGCTACATTTTCCTCATAGTTTTTTTCTCAATTACTCCAGAATTTGCTAATCTCTCCTGTCTCTGAATTCCTAAAATATTCATATTCGCCTCTCACCAACTCCTTGGTGCCTTGACCAACTCCTGTCTTGAAATGTTGTTCGGCAGTGTGATCCTGTGAGTGAAGAGGATACAACGTATTTCTTGGTATTTTCCAGTGATTTGATCTGAACTGTACACAGCATATTTCCTCGGAAAATGTATGCCTATTGATTTCATGTAAAACTAAGTGCGTCAATCTGGTTATGTTGAAAAAGCATCTGACACTGGAATTTCTTTGATAAATCTACAAGAAAAGATTCCAAATCCAAATTCTGGAATGATACACAGCCTCAGAAGCTCTTTGTGTGTGTACTTACTTATGTGCTGTGGCTATGCCCAAACTCCCTGCCTGCCAGAAAGCTCCATCTCCAATTCTACCTCATCTCCATTCTCACCACAGGCCTCACTCTCACTCAAGGCTGCAGAGGATGATGAAGTCCAACTTGTCAGAGGTGGTTACTTGCTAGCAAAATATTCACACCTTTGACGGAGCTGTCAGATTTTTGTCCCCAAACCAAATGAGCACACAAACTGAATTTTCCTCCCACTAGACTGGAGGGCAACGCTTTAAATCAACTCTCAGAAATAGTTCAAGTCAGTGGCTCTATACCAGCAAAAAGCCAAGGGAGAGTAGCTCTTCATCCATAGTTCATGAGGCTCCTAAGAAAGGTGCTTTCACATTAAAAAAAAAATTAACCATCCTTCCCTGGGTCGGGGGCAATGGAAAGCAGTAAAGGGACGCTAGGGGTCAGACCGTGTGAATGCTTAATGCCTTCGTAAATAGCACGCAATCACCAAGTTTGGATTTTCACAATGAATGAGGAAGCTAGATTAGTAAATATTCTAAAGAGTTATCCCCAGAGACTTACAGAGACCAACCTAGTGAAAAAACAAATAAGAAAATATTAGCATTAGTTAATAATTTATAAAGGTAGTATATACTTTAAATGAAACAATATGAGTTGAAGATGATAGATAGTCAAAGATACACAAAGTTAAGTGGAAAAGAGATAGAGAGGGAAGTGGATTCCTAGCACATACAGGCCCAGATCTGGGCTTCTGACATTTTAAATGCCATCTGAAACATCACTTGTAATGATTTCTATGACTAATAGCTACAGGGTAAACAATAGTAGCAAAACCTCGTTTGATTTAAGAAGGATTTTATGTGAGTGATTCTGGGAAGACAGTATCCTCAATATGTCTACCCTCCCTGGTCAATGCCAATCTAGACATCATCAATAGCCCATGGTGTTCACAAACTGGCAGGTCTTGGACAGTAGTGAAAGCTGAGGCAAGATTTCTTTACCCCTGGGGAATACTTGGCCTGTAGAAATCCATGGACCAGAGAAGGGAGGCAGTGCTGAGCTGCATGAGTGTTCCTGTAAGAGGGACTGAGGGATTGCTAAAAGATTTAGCTAGTGCTCCCAACCCCCAAACCTTAGGAGAGCATGAACTTCTGCAGTTGGAGAAATGGGGAACCATTTATCAACAAGGAATTGGCTACTTGCTGGCTGTTATATCACCAACTCACAGGGCAGTGGTTTCTGCTTCTCCAACCTGTATGGATTTGCAAATGCTTAAGCTACCCCAGCAGCAAGAGCTGACCCTCAAGGATGAATTGAACCATGAAAAAGAAAAGGGAAATATAATTCATTTAAGAGGATCAGTAGCAAGAAAAAGGGAAAACAAGCAGAACACCCAGAAAATAAACTAGAGTCTTTAGAGGAGACAGGCGGAAGCTTAAATGGCTACAAAAAAAAAAAAAAAAAAAAAAAACCCAAAACCAAAAACCAAATAAACAAAAAACATATAAAAAAGACTTAGTCACAGTATTAAAATGCTTCCTCAAAAAAATACTAATTAAATGTTTAAAATTGAGTAGTTCCAGGATCCCTAATGCACAAATAAGAAGTGTTCCAGAAAAGGGAATAACAAATAAATGAAAAGAGGGAAAATGTAAGCATGTAATAGAAGAATTAAATACTTTGGTCAGCATATTAAAAGTTTTCATAAAATTCTAGGCAGACTGATAATAAAGCACAAGTTTAATGTGTGGTAAAGTTCCTGGACTCCAAGAGAAAATTTTAAATATTCTAAATCAAACAAGTTACTTAAAAAAGGATAAAGAAGAATAATCAAATGAGCATCAGACTTCTCAGGTGCGACACTGAAAGCAAGAAGATTTTGAAACAGCAGCTGAGGATAACTGGGTGTAAAGACTCTGGCCCAAGAGTTATTCCCAGCTGAGATAATAATTACCTAAAATAATTTTTAAAAAGAGAAATTGCTAGATGGGCAAGAGCTCAGATAATTTTTCTCCAGGTACTTTATCAGAAGACAGCCCTCACGAACAGGCTTTAGTCAAACAGCAAATGAATCAGGGCAGAGATTTGAAGGTAGGAGACGAAGAAAAGGGGAAGCAAGGAATGAACAATAAACACACCATGACAGACGTTTAAGTGAATAACGATAGTGTAACCAGCAATGTGTGATATAAATGCTACATAAAGATCCTTAATATAGAAATGGCATTCTATAAGGAAAAGCCCAATGATGATCTAAAAGAAAAATAACTAAACGATCTAAGCAAAATAGGAGTTTGTGGGGCAGGAAGAGTGGGGAATAAAAACATCTCAAACATTGTATTCATGGGGGACGGTGTGGATGCTGTGGACTGGATCAGCAAAAATTTTCCGAAAGTCTCATTGAGATGGGCAGGAGCAGTGGAAGAAAGAAAATAGAGGGAACAACAATAGGTATGTAGTTTTCATAAAATAGTATATAAATATGTGATTAATTATGGTTGTTAATAGAAAAGTAAACACTAGTGGAATTATAAAAAATAAAAATAAGTTGTTATGCTAAAGATGAACGGGTTGAATTCTTCTAATGAAAGACAATGGCATATTGAGTTAAAAAGCCAAACTCAATTATGCTATTTACAAGGAACATATTTATAAAAAGTGATTTTAAAATATTGAAAATAATGGGACAGTCAATTAAATGCCTGGCACATGCAAAAGAGGGTGGAAAAAGAGGTGGAGGAGGAAGAAAGGGAGAAGAAAAATAGGAGGAGGGAAAAGGAGGGGGAGAAGGAGTGGAAGAAGAGGAAAGCAGAAGTGATATGAATATTAGTTAAGGCAACACAGCTGCTGTAGTGATAAAACCTGAGATTTCAGGGGCTTAATACGATAGAGATTGAATCATCACTCAAGTAAAGTCCAAAACGGGGGATTCCTTGTGGATCTCTTTTAGGCAGTGATTCAGGAAATCCTTTTCCTTTCACCATTTTATTCTATTATCTTCAACACAAGAGTTCTAAGCTACTGTACTAATCTGCATAAAACCCAAAGGGGAAAAAAAGGGTGAGGAGATCAAATACAAGTTTTTATGGGCTAGACCCAGAAATAGTACAGGCCACTTCTCACATTTCATTGGCTGGAAGCTGTCACATGACCACACGTGCCTGAGCCGCTGGCCAATACAGTCTAGCTGGGTGCCCAAGAAGAAAAGGAAAAGGATTTGATGAGTAGCAAGTCAATTTCTGCCACTTCTATATTACCAGTTATGCGTTTTAGGAAATTAAAATCAAAAGAGAGAAAGAATTTTAAAAGTTTCACAGATAAACATACCATTTATAATAATAAATAATCTTATTTGTGATTTATATATACACAAATATATATATGCAAAATCATATACATGAAAGGATGATTACTAAATATTAATAACGGTTATTGGATCACGAGGTCAGGAGATCGAGACCATCCTGGCTAACACAGTGAATCCCCGTCTCTACTAAAAATACAAAAAATTTGCTGGGCGTGGTGGCGGGCACCTGTAGTCCCAGCTACTTGGGAGGCTGAGGCAGGAGAATGGCGTGAACCCAGGAGGCGGAGCTTGCAGTGAGCCGAGATCGTGCCACTGCACTACAGCCTGGGCGACAGAACCAGACTGAGCCCCCACAAAAAAAAAAAAAAAATGGTTATCACTAGATGGTGAAATTTCAGGTGATTTTTTACTCTCTTCTCTTTACCTTTATTGATTGGTTGACTTTTAAAAAATTGATGCATAATTTTTTACATGTTTATGGTGGCACATGTGAGTATTTGTTACATCCATAGACTGTGTAATGAGCAAGTCAGGGCACTTGGTGTATCCATCATCTTGAATATTTATCAGTTCTATGTGTTGGGAACATTTGGAGTTCTTCCTTCTAGATTCTTTCCAATAATGTAACACATTGTTGCTAACCTTACTCTGCTATGGAACATTGTAACTTATTTCTTCTATCTAACTGTATGTTTGTACCCATTAGCCAAACTCTTTCCATCCCACCCACACACCCTTCCTGTCCTCTAGCATCTATCCTTGTACTCTCTACCTCCATGAGTCAACTTTTCTTTTTAGCTCCCACACATGACTGAGAACATGCGGTATTTGTCTTCCTTAACATAATGTCTTCCTTAACTTAACATAATGATTCCAGTGGTTGACTTAATTTTTTTTTTTTTACAATGAGCAGATGTTGTTTATATAACCAGAAAAAAATGAAACTAATTTTATTGTGGGGAAAAGAGTCTTTATGATAATGAAATGAAGTTTACTTGCTCCCATCTTTGGTTTTTGGTTCTTGCTAAGAAAAATGTAAGATACTGACAACACAGTTCATGTCAAATTGCCAATTAACAACAACTACATTCACACCATGGATGATTTAATTTTCAATATCATAATCTTATTTCTAAATTTTTATTCTGCATATATTTTAGGAGCTGGGAGGTAAGAAGTACCTACCATTTACTGAACATTTAATATACATCAGATCTCTTATGTATGTATCTCAATTTTTTCCTCAAATAATGCTATCAGGCAAAAATAATTATTTTCATTTTTAAGATGAGAAAATTAACAAAAGACTAAACAGCTAATTAGCAAAAGAGTCAGTATTCAAATCCAGGACTAGTTTTAGAGCTTGTATAATTTACCATTATCTCAATTTTTTTCTCAGATAACCCTATCAGGTAAAAGTAATTATCTTCAATTTTAAGATAAGAAAATTAACACAAGACTAAACAGGGTAAAAGAGTCAGTATTCAAATCCAGGACTAATTTTAGAGGTTGTACAATTTACCATTATGCTCTATGTAAGTTTTCAAAAATAAATATGTCATATATCCTCATGTTATGTGCCTTAAGTTTGTCTATGTATCGCAAAGGAAGCAGCTCATTTAATTCTCATAACAGCTCCATGAGGTAGAAATATCTATTTTTAGAGATGAGGCAATTAAAGCCTAGAGAGAAGTTAAGTTCTTCCCAGGACTTCACAGGGTATAAACAAGCAAGCCTTCTGCAGAGAGTAGTTCCTAAGCTCACCTCAACTGCACCATTTTATTCTGGCTGGAACTTTTGTGCTTTAAGATTTCTCCCTGACTCCTGCCTTGAAGCAGCCTATGTGGAGGTCTGCAACTCCAGAGAAACTGTAGACTCATCTCACACTAAAACTGAATAATTAAGGCTGTGAGAGGATTGATGAGTTCCTTCCAAGTTATCAATGCCACACTAGACTTAATAAGCCATCTTTCCCGCAAGGCTTGGAGTTTTTCTTTCCATGGGAACCAACAGAAGCAGGATTTTCCCTCTTGTGCAGAAGAGGTTTAAAAGCACTGGAATCACCAAAAAAGATAATGTTCTTTGATATTCAAGTGTAATTTACATTTCTCTATTCAGCCTCAAGCATGTGCTCAAATGTAATTGACTATACAGGAGACTCGCATGCTGCCCATTGACATACCTCAGGTCACAGATGTCCTACCCATTTGCATGGTGTGGCCTAGTTTTGTTCTCCTCTCAAGATAAATAAATATGCTGCAGACGTGGGGAAAGGGAGTAAAGGATTGGAGGGGGTTATAACATTTCTGTCATAAGACCTCTTTCTCTTTTACACCACGGGTTATTTGAGTGCAAGCTGCTTTGCATCCATGAGTGGTTTCTCCAGCCCACCCCACCCCCATCTCTGGCCCAGACCCCTTCGCATGGTCCTGAGGCCCGTGTTCATCACCTGGAGTGAAAGCTGACAGGAATGAGCACAGGCAGGGAGCAGCGAGACACGCGGGCATTGTCATGCATGACTGACCAGCAGCCATCAACGGCAATTAAACATGGAGAGCTCGGGATCTTTTTGGACAGGTTCAAGTTCCCTGGCACTGCTGTGATTAGATGTTTTGCACTGTTTCCCTGTAGTCAGGATGTGACATATTCCCTTTCCCTTGCTCTTTTCTCATCTCCTTTGTGCTGTCCTGGTGCTGCCTGATCACCCAGCAAAGACATTTAGAGACTTTATTTCGATGAGAGTTTGGTTGAAGCAGATGCAAGAGGAACAAAATCAGAAGTGGTCCTAATTCAGGGAAAATTAGGGTTTTTTAGACGCATTTTTTTTTCCAGATGCCTGAATTTTAGCTTAGTAGATAGAACCTGCCATGGGAGGATTCCTGCCGCTATTTCCTTTTCTTTGTGGTAATTTACATCCTGAATTGGATTCTGTAATTTGGTTCTTTAGAACTCTGCTGTTTTCAAGGGAACTGAAAGAATGCTAAGCTGTGCTTTCTGAGTGTCTTTGGTCACTTAATTCTCACAAAGTTGAGATAGTTTAAGTTGTTGTGATTTTTTAAATGTCTAGTATGAAAGTTGGCAGAATTAGACTTATGAAATGGGCCTTCCAGGGAAAAGGAACTGGATCACTTTAGCAGGGTTAGATACTTAGTTTGGGGTCCGGGAGAAAAGGAATTGATGAAGCGAAGAAACCCTGTCTCTTTAAAGATACATGAAAATAGAGGAAAGAAATGATCATTGTTCTCTGCTTCTAAGATCTACCTATGATCATGATTACCTCCCTATAGTCTGGTCATTCCAATTGTTCTTCCATTAATTAATGGTTCACAAATATTTAGAGAACTCCTTTTGTGTGCAGAGTAGGGCAATGGGTAGAGTGAGGATACAGAAAGGTATAATTCAATGTAACAAACACTTATTAAGTCCTAATATGTGTCAGGAAGTGTCCTAAACATTGAGATATAATGAAGACTAAGATCAGGTGCCAGGTGTCAAGGAAGGGACACAAGCACATCTAAATACAGTGCAACTGAGGGTCTGAGAGGCAAGGTACAGGAAGTGAGACTCTGAAGTCACAAAATTATAAGGGCATCTGGTGCTGGAGCAGACAGAAGACAAATACCTGTAAATTAAATGCAACAAAGTGAAATGATTTTATAAGCCTGTAACTGAGGAGAAGGAAAATGCTAAAATGTATCCAGCAGGTAAGAGATGATCACTTAAATGAAAAGCACAGTGTCCCTATTTAGTACTTTAAGATGTACAGAATATCATTCATGGGGATGGGTGTGCTATGCATTGTTTTATTATTAGGAACATAAAAACAGTTATAAAGGCTGTTCAAGGCTGACCTCTGTTAAATTTTTAAATTCTGAGGTCTCCTTTGTGGGGTTTTTAGAAATTCAATTCAGAAGTTTGGGAAGATAGGTACTATTGTAGCCTATTTGACTCTGAGTTAGGAAAAAAAAAGCGTCTAGTTAATAAGATAGTGTAGTTCCCCTTTGCCACCTTAAAACTTGGATTGAAAAGTAAATGCTGTGGACAAATAGGAGGCTTTTCTAGGGGTCTACCAAGGATAACAATCTTAAGTTATTTGAAAGCGAAATCACTTACAGTTTGATACATGAGAGAGATTTTGCTTTCTTGTTGAGGAGTAGTCCCTGCAGGTATCCTTGAATGTGGGGCTCATGATCTGCATCCTTAATATATGAAAGGAAACAGGAATTGTAGTGCAGTCAATGCAAAGAGGCAGGTGGTACAGGGAGAGACTACACAGGCTAACCTTGGTTTCAATTTCAGCTCTTGTCCTTACTAGCTGGGTGGTTTGGGGCTACTTTCTTAATTTTTACAGGCCTTAGTTTCCTCTTCTGTAAAAGGGAAATTGTACTTCCTAATGTGGTTATTGTGGCATCAGAGAAATGCATGTGAAAAGTACCTAACACTTAGAAGATGATTAAGGTATTATCAATAATTATTGTCATTATTTTTTATATGGGTTGTAGTGACTGCAGTGTTGGAACAGCCTAGGTATTTTGTGCACAATTGATCACTGCTGGTTAGAAAACAAGAAGTAAATGAACAACATCATATTCTGGCTTTATTAATTGTATAAACCCTACTTAAGCTCATGCTTATTGTTTTTGAGTCCAGCTTTTGGAAACTGTCTGTGTGTCCTTAACTTCCTAATGCCTTTCTAAACATTTTTAATAGCTGCTCTCTTAAAAAGTGTCAAAGGAGGACTTATCTGTAATGCATGGGATCTGAAGAATTAAACATGTCAGAGCATCAATACTAGAAAAGCCTCTTGACATTGATTTTTCCTCTCTGTGAAATGGGGATAAGTGGATCATCTCCTAGGGAAGTGCACCTGAGTTGCAGCAAATAAAGGTGACTGGAAAGCAATGTAGGACTCACAGCGAGTGTATCAGTAGTCTTTCCTGAGTAACAAACTATCCCAAAGCTTAGTGATTTAAAACGCAAATCATTGTTGTCAATTTCAGACTGGGTTTGTTAAGGAAATTCTTTTGATGGTTTTTTTCTCAGGCTCACTCATATGTCTATATATAGTGCAAAAGGCAGATAGGTTTGAGGCTGGATGGTCTAGAATGGACCCACTCACACAGTTGCTAGCAGTTGGCTGGCAATCAGTGAAAGCATCTTTTCTTTTGCAAGGAAAAGAAACTGGCTCATTCTAATAGGGTTAAATACTTAGTTTGGGGTTTGGGAGAAAAGAATTGATGAAGCAAAGAAACCCTATCTCTGTAAAGATAAATGAAAATAGAGGAAGGAAATGGTCATTGTTCTTTTTCTTCTAAGATCTGCCTAGGATCATGATTACCTTTGTAAGTGTTCCTTTATATGATTTCTCCAGAAGGCTAGCTTGTATTTTTTTCTATGGTGGCTGCAGGATTCCAACTGCAGCAAGAGAGGGCAAACCCCAATACAATAAGCAAAAGCCGCGTTCAAATCATATTTGTTAATATTCCATTGGCCAAAGCAAGTCACACGGCTAAGCCCAAATTCAAAGGGTCAAAAAGGAGACTCCATCTTTTTATGGAAAGGGCTGCAAAAGACTGTCCCCATTTTTTTGAATATACCAAAGTGAGGCAATATGAATGACAGCATAATCCCAGATCTGTCATTTAGGCAGAAAGGTGGGAATAAAAAGAACTAAACAATTTACAGAGCATCTGATAAGACTAGAGTTGATTGAGATTACTCAAGAAAAACTTCAAAAAGATAAGATATGAGCAGGACTGCTGTGAGTGGGGTTGGATAGGGAGAGTTTCTGCTTAGTGCAGTAGAGAATTGCTGCTGTTAAGAAACAAACTATGTGTTGTTGGTTTGGTTGGCTGGAGTACAGAGTTTAAGCTGGGCAGTTAGGGTGAAGTTGAACAGTCAAGTTGACTGGTGCCAGTGGGAAAAGGCCCTTTAATTAATATTTATTTTTCTGGAAGTCAAAATACATAAATTTTACTCCAGGCTCTATAACTCACTGAAAAATAAAACCAGTCAGGAAGAGTGGCTCATATCTGTAATCCAAGTGCCTTGGGGGGCTGAGGTGGGAGGATCACTTGAGGCCAGGAGTTCAAGACTAGCTTGGGTAACAGAGCAAGACCCTCATCTCTATAAAAATAAAAATTCAAAAATGAGCTGGGCATGGTAGCACGCACCTGTAGTCCCCTCCTCAGGAGGCTGAGGCTGGAGGATTGCTTGAGCCTGGGAGGTTGAAGTTACAGTATGCTATGACTGTGCCACTGCATTTCAGCCTAGGTGACAGAGCAAGACTGTGTCTCTACAACAATAAAAATAAAAATAAAATCTTGTACAAATGATTTCACTTCCTTGAACCCGTAAAATGAAAATTCTAGAATAAATACTCTCTTAATTCCATCTGAACTCAAAAATTGGTTTTACAATAAATACATTTTTACTCAGAGAATTTAGAACCTGCCTGCTTACAAAATAATGTAGAAATAGACTATTTATTCCTCCAATATATACGTATAGCATAACAGACCCTGTGCCAGGGACTGGGAAACATCAATGACCAAGGTGGACAAGGTCCAAGTCATAGCTGGTGAGTGGGTTGGGGGCAGGTGAGTGATAATACAAGGGAAGCAAATCAGTCAACATGACAGTCACCAGTCATGTCAAATACCATGAAAGCAATAAATAGAGTGAAGAGATTTTGTGTGTGTGTGTGTGTGTGTGTGTGTGTGTGTGTGTGCATGCACGCACATGCCAAGGGCTTCTTTATTATAATCATGGAGGGCCTCTTTGAGGAGATGAAAATTAAACTGAAACCTAAAAATGAGAAGAAGCCTGTCATGTAAAGAACAGACATAAAATAATGTTCCAGGCAGAGGGAATAGAAAGCTTAAAAGTAGTGAAAATAGAATATTCTGGTAGGGAAAATTCAAGGTGCTACCATAAAATTTTGTAATATCAAAGAAGAGAACTTCTAGCATAGACAGGGATTCTCTGTAAGCCAAGTTGTTAAGCACTGAATAATCCTATAAACAAAGTCTTTAAAAGAAATCCTAAAAGATACTCCAGACAGCTGAAAAACACTAAGGAATAAAATTCTAGCTTATTAATCACAAGCACTCAATGACCAGAAAAAAAGTATTGGTAAGTTAATCTACAGAAACCAATGCAACTGACTACATAAGAACTCATATATAAAACTGCGACTGCAGAAAGTTAGGCTTAGAGAAGCCAATGATGAGCAAAGTTCATGAAACTGGAAAAAAACATAAAAGAAAAATATAACTGTATTTGGAGACAGAGGCCAAAGATGAAAGAGGTATGTACATATTTGGGGGTTTGGGTTAATATTTAGCACACAGGTTAGAGCAAGAAAGCCAAGTTATTCAACTCCCGTTTGACCTCCATCTTTCTCATCAAGAAGAATGATACTCGAAAATTAAGCATATTGAACAAGAATGTTGAAAAAGACATTGAACTCCAGGCAATAGTGACAGAGACCCCTGTGCAGATGAAGCAGGTATAGAAAAAGAATAAGCTGAAGTGTTGGGATATGCCTATGAAATTTTGACATTGCAGTGAACAGCTATTTGTTGGTAATACATCCTTAATTGCATTACAAGCCTGTATTATTGTGGCTTGGATTTTGTTTGAAAATCAAAAGCAAATAAATATATTCTGTTTATGAGTTTTTAATAGCACTATTGGATCATTTCTATAATGATAAACGTTTACATTCTCATGAAACTTCTTTCTGAAAGAACTATTTTTCCATTTCGACCACCTTTTATCACAAAGCTTAGTCATTTTTCTTGAAGACATACTAAAGTAATTGCCTTGAGCTAATAATTCTTATCATCATCTTCATCCTCATCATCTTCAACACCTTCACAGAATGTATAGTGCTTTGGCATTCTTCATCTTATAGATCTTTTAGATCTGTATATTTACTCTGTGAGGCAGGCAGAACAAATATAAATTTACTTCCTTTCACAGATGAACAAAGAGGAGGCTCAGAAAGTGTAATATTTGACGATAATAGAGATATGGAGCTGCTGATATTACTCAGAACCAGGTCTTTGAATTCCACACCCAGTGCTCTTTATACTTAGCCATCGTATGTTGATTAAGTGCATCTCCCTCTTTCCCCAAAATGTGGAATAAACAATTCTCAAGTTTGACTTATGAATGTACCATTTGCATACAGAGGACTGGACCAGGTTAGATTTGAATTCCAAAGAGCTAAAGAAGCTAATGTCTTTGATTTTTCTCATCCCCATGCTCTTAACATATATGCTGCTCCTCCCGTGGAGATAGTTCTGTGGTCTGATTTTGCCTAGTTTTAGTGATGAAAGGCTCAGTGGGTTCCAACACATGGAGTTATTAGGGTCCTGTGATCACATGCTCTGTGATACTGTGTGGTAAAGCAGATTGCTTCAGGGGGACCCTATGAGTGTCTGATCACAGGGCTGGAGCTATCAAGTCATTCTGCAGATAAATATTTTAATAGAGCAGGTATGTAAGATCTCCATCGCTACCCCAGAGGAACCAGTTCCTGGATAATCCTCATGCTGGCTTATCTCACCAAATCCGTCTCAAAAACACAATGCTGTTCTACTATGATGAGCTAATCTGTAGGGGGGAAAGCTTACACTTTAAGGAGGGAAATGGACAGAGTGTCTGGCATTTTTTGTTAATTTGATAGCTATTTCTTAAACAACTCACAGGCATTTGAAATGAGTTGTTTATTTTGCTTCTGATGCCCCTGTCTCAGAACAAAAGCAAATGTACTATTAATTCTCATTTGCAACACTAGTTTGATTTCTATTTCCATCTCAATTTACTTTGATGTTTTGTGGTGGTGTGGGTACGCGTTTAGGATCTAGAGATGTAGCAATAGAAGGTTGGATTTATTAAAATAAATGCTTATGAAGTTTTTTGTTTTGTCTTTAGAATTTACCTGTCTTTTGGCAAGTTTTCCTTCATTCTTTAATATCACTAATTCGATGATACCTGTTCTTTTAAAAAGTGACCCCTTCTTTTTTTTATTTTTTAAGGACCTCTGAGTATTCCATTAACTGCTAGATTGGTTCCACAATGTCTTTCTAATGGCTTTTTGCCTCCTGGGAGATTTCTGTCTATTTTATATCCTTAATTAATAAGTTCTTTACCAATTGCTACACAATAATGGAGTATTCTTTTAAGCTTAGCGAATATGTTGGTGCTTGTTAACTCATTCTAGGACCTAGATAATTTGAGTTGGTCCTGCTGATGGAATTTCAGTGGACATAACTGTAGGTACTCTAGTCCTAAGAGAAAAGGATGGCGCAATCCATTCTCTGGATTTCAAGTGAGCACAGGGAGGTAACCACTTGTGAGTGGGAAGGGTTGAGTGGCAAATGACAGCAACAGATATAGGAGAACAAAGGTTAAGAAAATCATTTAGGTTCTTGAGAGCTCTTGAAGGAAGATAAAAACAAAAGATGGCATTACCAGTCTCCAGTCTGGAATGCATCTGACCCTAACTTTCCAGGGGCTAGTAAGATGTAAGCCATGGTATGTCTCCCCCTCACCACCTCATTGACTAATTCATTCATTCATCCCTCATATTTTTCAGCCATTATCATGTACCAGCCTTGGACTGACAATGAGGAATAAGATATTCTTCTTACTCATAAGAAAAGGGCCTACGTCAGCTTTTTCCCTAGCAGACCAAGTGATTAAGAGAATATAGAGTGAGGTAGTTCCCAGTTGAATAGTCTTCAGATGCAGTAGGGCAAGACTACTCCATCTTGCATCCTAAAGGCTTATATGCTATACTGAATGATGCGTTAACCTGAATTTTTTTAA
Source organism: Homo sapiens (assembly GCF_000001405.40). Taxonomy (NCBI): domain Eukaryota; kingdom Metazoa; phylum Chordata; class Mammalia; order Primates; family Hominidae; genus Homo; species Homo sapiens. The sequence goes on along the minus strand of NC_000001.11, from coordinate 217,336,771 downwards.
AGAACGAAGAGAGTCCAAACGAAGAAGATGAAATGTTGCCACAAACTGAGGTGGAGGAGAAACGGAGGAGAGGAAGGGAGGCCTTGTTAGTTTATTAGGAGTTTGATAAGTTTTACAGAATTCTAAAATATTAGAAATCAGTAGGACTGAAGGTCTCTCTTTCTGTAGATGAGAAGACAAGCAGAGAGAGGTTAAGTCTATTTCCCAAGATAAAATAGCCAATTAGTGGCAATATGACTCTTGCCTTGCCTTTTCCCATTCAATCCAGTGATGTTCTACTAGATATTTCTGAGCTCAGGTGTCAAATTCATCTTTTTTCACATTCCCTCTGCTCTACATTAGGCCCTCATTGTCTGCCATCCAGACAATGAAATATCTACCTTCTTGACTTTTTTCTTCCAGTGTTTTTTTCTCTCCATTGTATCATCCCCCAAAATAATCTTCCCCATTAAAAGCACCCTGTACCAAAGTCTTTGATGGAACCCATGCCTTACTGAATCAAGGCCAATCAGGCACAGCATTCAAAAGCTTCCTAGATCTGCCTCCAGCCTGTCTTTCCAGACTCTACATTTTCTTGTGCATCCTGTACTTCCATGGCCCCACCCATGCCTTTTACAGGCCAACTCTAAGTGTTTGCTCATGCTTTCCTCTCTGCTCTCATTCAACTAACACATACCAGGGACTATCTTAAGCATAGGGGATACAAAGTTGACCAAGATATGCAAGATCCTTGTTTTCTTGGGAATTATCTTCCAATATAGAGGTTCCCAAATTGTAAGATGCAAATTAATTATGTATATGCCCAAAATACTTATTCCTTCAGCCTTCAGAGCAACAAAGTTTGTTCAGCTTTGGTGGGAACCTGTGGCCAACTGCCTTTGGTCAGTGTCCTATATAAATATTATCATTCTCTTTATGTGCTATGACCCAGAGAAGATTAGGAAACACAGTTCCAGTAAGTTACTTGAATACCTTTAACTTCCTTCACTGTCTATCGAAATCATACCCATTTTTCAAGATTCAGATCAAGTGCAAACTTCTCTATGAAGCCATCCTCAACGTCCCTCATTGGAAATTTCTCTTCTGTATATTTATGTTTACATCCTTCGTATATTTATTCTATCAATACGTATTTATTGGCCACTCACTGGGAATGCTAGACATAAATTTAGGTTTTGGGATTACAGCAATGAAGAATTTATGGCACTTTCATTATACCATAAGCATATTGAGGACAGGAACCATTGCTTAGTCATCTTGGTATCCTTATCTTCTTGAAAAGATTTCTTGATTATTTCATTATTTTCTAGATCTATTCCAAAATATCTGCTTAATATAATACTAATAATGGATTTCTGTGCACTCTCATTTAATCATCACAATAATCTTATGAAGTAATTATACTTAATCAATATGCAAACCGAGAAAATTGAAGCACAAAATTGTTAGTTAACTTCTCCAAGGTCATCTAGGTGGAAGGTGACACGGGTATTCGATAAATCCCTCATGAGTTGAAGTACTTCATGTACTTAATCACATCTTCAGGGGAAGGTAGTACTTACAATATAATTACTAAGAAATTTCTGGCATATTTTAGTGATTTTTGAATCCAAATAACAACCTAAAAATCTGCATAATCACTTTATCCCCAAACTAAACCTAGATATTAACCCTGGGGAACTGAACAATAAACCATCTGCCAAACCAACACAAGAAACATAGGATGGTTTAGCAACACCCAAGCAGTAAGGGTTTCATTTGAAAATAAGTTTTGTGCCAGAAGAGTGATGAAACTGGCTATCTAACTCTAGAGGGTTATGCAGCCTTTATAACAAGAAGTAAATAAATAACATCAGTAGTTTAATGATGCACCTACCTAAGGGAGGAGAAGGGATCGGGGGATCTCATGTGCTCTTTCATTCTTTAGGGCTCTCTGGTCATTGCTGCTTTCCCACCTTTACTTCGTTGTATAATTCTTTTGCAGATAAAATGCAATGCCAGTGGGCCCACCCATCTCTGCCTTCTCATTGAAAGGTAGAATCTCTTCAGAAAAATGCTGTGTCAAGAGCAATATGCCACAAAAACTAAAGACCACAAGAAGACATACGAAAGGACTAAATCTGCCAAGGGAGGATTTGGGTAAGGGAGAATGTAATTACCTGAGTTGGAACTTGGCCAGCAAACAAAGATTAATGCAGAAACAGGAAGGCTTCTATCCTGTGAGAAGTTCCAAGCAAGCCTTTGGGACCAGAGGTGGTCAGGGCCTGAGTGTTACATTTCATTTGATTTCTTCCATCCCTGGGAACACAGTGGCCCCTTGCTGAAACATTAGTTCCAAACTGACTTGAAGAACAGCCTTGCTTACTAAAGCATCAGCATTATCAATTACACTGGACAGTCTAGGAAGCAAAAGGGATTTAAGTGTTGGCAGGATTATGAAACGCAATCCAGTGTATGAGGGGAGAGGAAGGGAGGAAGTGCTATTTCAGAGGCATGGACAGCTTGTACTTAGCAGCTCCCCAGTGGCTCTCAAATTGTGTCCCTCCTTTTCCCTCTGTCTCCACCACCCCTTCAAGCTTTTTGCTTGGTATTTGTTATTTTGGGCCCAAATTGTTGCAATGGAGACACGAAACTCTAGGGGGAGCTCCAGCCTCCCTGGTGGGGTCTATGCCCTAGGTTGGGAGCAGAAACTCGAGATGAGGCCTCCAAATTCACAGTTGATGAGCAGTGTGGCTAGAACCAAAAACCTGAACGCCGTCCTCTGTCAGGAGCGCCTCCTTTTGATTGCTCTACTCTCTTGTAGAATTCTATCTATGTCATGCTGTGGCAAAGCAGCCTGGGACTTCTTACAGAAAAGCAAAACAGTTTAATGATGAAAAGCAAGGGCAGGTTACCAGGGGCTTGGGGGAGATGAATGGTGGTGATGGTTGCACGATGCCAATTAATTGTACTTAATGCCACTAACTGTACAATTAAAAATGGCTAAAAGGCATATTTTACCACAACTTTTAAAAATGCTGAAGTATATATTTTACCACCATTTTAAAAAGTCTTTCATTACGAGTTTGAATAGATTCAAAGGTCTAAATTCTTTGGTATATTGTAATAGTGGGATCTTTAAATGAAGCTATGACATCGCTCTTAAAAAACAAAATAATCAAACGTCATTGGAGGCATTTAGACCTGAGTGATCCTCTCAGGTAAATTTCCCTCCAAATTTACTCTCTTCACAGGAAATGTGCTCAGAGAAAGTCAAGATTGGAATCTACCCTGTTATCTTGCAGAAGAGAAAACTTAGACCAATGCAGCAACCCAACTAAATCTCAATCTGCTGTTCCCATGGTCCTGGAATCTTTATCTGCACCTTTGATGCTGTTATTCATTTCCACGCTTTTGTTATGCTGTTATTCCAACAAGACTCAACTCAGGTGTGGGATAAGTTCAGATCCCTCTTCTCTGTGCCCAGCTGCATTTGTTCTCTTTCTCACTAAATTAGACAGTGAACTTCTAGAGTGTAAGAACTATCTTTAAATCCTCAATACATAACCTGGCACATAGTAGGTGCTCCAGAAATATTCGTCAAACTCAACTTTACATGCTATGAATCCCTTAAACATATCCCCTTTCCCAGTTTCCACAAAGACACCAGAATATCCAAGTTTAGAATATGGCCCACCCTATGCAAAGATAACTAAAATTCCTGTGCAAATAGATCGTTAAGTATGTAGATGAGAGAACAGGGGCCGGGAACAGAACCAAACACCCAAACCCTAAATACAACTCTTTAAACCCGAAGAAAGTTTCACAAAATGATAATCTTCCACCACAGCACCAAAGTAACTTGGCTGTTTCATTCACTCCTGCATCCACCTGATGTCACTCTCACTGCCCAGTAGAACAATGTGTCAAAGGCTTTTGGTCACAGAGCTCCTACATTAAGAGCCTTTGGAAAAGCATAGCTATACCTGGTTTGGGAGGAGTTGAAGGTTCCCTGAAGACAAAGAGCTATCTACAATGCATCATCCTTCTTGGTTCTCTCTTCCTTACTCTAAGAACAAGATACCCTCAGCCTGTTTCATTTCCAAGTTCTTTGTCCTGAAAACACTCAGAGAGACATCTAGTACTTGTGGAGCTTGGCACTGAGCCAGGCCTGAAAGAGTGAATGTTACTGTCTGCCTGGGAATATGGACTTAAGATGAAATTCAGGAGATTTCCTTCTTGTTCTCATCCCATAGAAACTTATTGTTTTTCTGCTGTGAATTCTCCGTTTTATGAATTGACCAATTACATTTTCCCCCAAGATAGAATTTTGCTATATGCTAATTTGTAGGTCCTGAAAATGCAAAAATAAAACAAGAAACATAGGCTTGCCCACTGTAACAGTTAAAAAGAATTGGAATATCTGGGTTCTATTCCTGGCTCTTCTACTCACTTGCTAGTTGACCTTAAATGGATCATATAAACAGGCTGTCTTTTAAATGTGGATTTTTAACTAGAGCGCATATGTGAATAGTTTTAGGGTCATGATGAAAAGAATTTGGCAAGCTTTCTAGAGAACTTTTAAGGAAAATTCACAGCATAAAGCCTGGCTGGCATGATTCTCTTTTCCAAACCCAATTAGTGACATAACTTTGGGAATTCTCAGCCATAAATATACAGGAGCTGAACTCTCAGATGCACTTTCCTCTCTTCCCTCTTTCACCCAGTAGTAGTCTCATCAAAATGCCACAGGACAGAGGACAAAATATTTCGCTTCTTTAAGCCTGGGTTTAAACATTGTTCACAGTGAAACCCAGCTCTCCCTGTGAGCTCTTCATTGCCAAAGTCCATTGGCCAGGATGAAATACTTTGAGGACGGTCATCTGCTGCTCTGTGGAGCCCTGATCCTCTCACTGCTGTCTGCTTGCAGCCTGAGTAGCAAACACTTTGTGTCAGTTCACAGACATCTCTTGGTGCCCCGGTCCAGATCAGATCTGACGCTGCTGCAGGATTGTGCTTATTTTTCCTCACCAGCCTGGCCATGAGTGTTCTCTTTTTCTTTGTGGCTTCTTCATAATCATCCAGTTGTCTTGAGCTCTCAGACAGCGTCGAAGAGAGACCAAGGAGCTGTTTGACAGTGTTCAATGACTCAGCAACACCTCCTATTCTTCCTGTGTGTGGCCCTTGCTGGTACTCAGACAAACGTCATTCAGAATGTGATTGATTGATTGAAAAAGCACATTGTTTTTTTTAACCCAAATACATAAATCCACCGACAAGTTCAAACTACTTAAGAAAACTAAGTGATTTCCAGCAGTTTTTACTTCAAATCAATTACCATTAGTGATATGGTTTGGATTTCTGTCCCCCTCCAAATCTCATGTCAAATTGTAATCTCTAATGTTGGAGGAGGGGCCTGAGGGACATGGTTGAATCATGGAGGCAGATTTACCCCTTGCTGTTCTCATGCAGTGAGTGAGTTCTCACAAGATCTGGTTGTTTAAATGTGTGTGCCACCTCCCTCCTCTCTCTCTCTTCCTCCTTCTCCAGCCATGTAAGGCGTGCCTGCTTCCCCTTCAACTTCCACCATGATTATAAGTTTCCTGAGCCCACCTCTGCCAGCCATGTTCCCTGTACAGCCTGCAGAACTGTGAGTCAATTAAAGCTCTTTTCTTAATAAGTTATCCAGTCTCAGGTAGTTCTTTATAGCAATGTGAGAATGGACTAATATAGAAAATTGGCACCAGGAGTAGAGTATTGCATTTAAGATACCTGACAGTGTGGAGGCAACTTTGGAACTGGGTAGTGGTCAGAGTTTGGAAGAGTGTAAAGGGCTCAGAAGAAGACAGGAGGATGAGGGAAAGTTTGGAACTTCCTAAAGACTTGTTGAATGGCTTTGACCGAAATGCTGATAGTGATATGGACAATGAAGTCCAGGCTGAGGTGGTCTCAGATGGAGATGAGGAACTTATTGGGAACTGAAGTAAAGGTCATTCTTGCTATGCTTTAGCAAAGAGACTGGTGGCATTTTGCAACTGCCCTAGAGATCTGTGGAACTATGAACTTGAGAGAGATGATTTAGGGTACCTGACATAATAAATTTCTAAGCAGCAAAGTGTTCAGGCTGTATCCTGGCTACTTCTAACAATGTATGCTTATATGCATGAGCAAAGAGATGATGTGAAACTGGAACTTATATTTAAAAGGGAAGCAGAGCATAAAAGTTTGGAAAACTTGCAGCCTAGTCACATGGCAGAAAAGAAAAACCCATTTCCAGCAGGGAGAATTCAAGCAGGCTTCAGAATTCAAGCAGGAGCTATGTGCTAACAGCCAAGACAATGGGGAAAAGGCCTCAAAGCCATTGCATATACCTTTGCGGCAGCACCTCCCATCACAGGCCTGGAGGCCTAGGAGGGAAGAATGGTTTTTGTGGGCCAGGCCCAGGGCCCTGCTGCCCTGCACAACCTCAGAGCACTGCTCCCTGTGTCCCAGTTGCTCCAGCTCCAGCCGTGGCTAATGAGCCCCAGATATGTCTCAGGCCGCTGCTTCAGAGGGTGTAAACCATAAGCTTTGGTGGCTTCCATGTGGTGTTAAGCCTGTGGGTGTGCAGAGGGCAAGAGTTGAAGTTTGGTAGCCTCTGCCTAGATTTCAGAGGATGTATGGAAATGCCTAGATGTCCAGGAAGAAGTCTGCTGCAGGGGAAGAGCCCTCATAAAGAACCTGTACTAGGAGAGTATAGAGGGAAAATGTGAGGTTGGAGCCCACACACAGAATTTCCACTGGGTCATTGCCTACCCTACTAGATCTGAGAGGAGAGGGCTACTGTCCTCCAGACCCTAGAATGGTAGATCCACTGACAGCTTGCACCGTGCACCTGGAAAAGCCACAGGCACTCAGTACCAGCTCATGAAAGCAGCTGAGTGGGCTATACCCTGCAGAGCCACAGGGACGGAGATGCCCAAGGCCTTAGGAGCTTACTCTTTGCCTCAGTGTATCCCGGATGAGAGACATGGAGTTAAGGGAGATTATTTTGGAGCTTTAAGATTTAATGACTGCCCTGTTGGTTTTTGAACTTGCACGGAGCCTATGGCCCCTTTGTTTCGACTGATTTCTCCCTTTTGTAATGGGTGTATTTACCCAATGCCTGTACTTACATTGTATTTTGGAAATAACTAATTTGTGGGGTTTTGTTTGTTTGTTTTTTGTTTTGAGATGGAGTTTTGCTCTCTCACCCAGGCTGGAGTGCAGTGGCACGATCTCGGCTCACTGCAACCTCTGCCTCCTGGGTTCAAGCAATTCTCTGCCTCAGCCTCCCAAGTAGCTGGGATTACAGGTGCCCACCACCACGCCCAGCTAAGTTTTTGTATTTTTAGTGGAGACAGGGTTTCATCACCTTGGCCAGGCTGATCTTGAACTCCTGACCTCATGATCCACCCACCTCAGCCTCCCAAACTGCTGGGATTACAGGCGTGAGCCACTGCACCCAGCCACTAACTTGTTTAACTTGTTTTTCACTTCACAGCCTCATAGGCAGAAGGGACTTGCCTTGTCTCAGATAAGACTTTGGACTGTGGGCTTAAGAGTTAATGCTGAAATGAGTTAAGACTGGGGGACTGTTGAGAATTGATGATTGTACTTTGCAATGTGAGAATGTGAGGAGGACATGAGATTTGGAAGGGGCCGGGACAGAATGATATGGTTTGGATTTGTGTCCTCACCCAAATCTCATGTAGAACTGTATTCCGCAATGTTGGAGGAAGGGCCTGGTGGAAGGTAATTGGATCATGGGGGCGGACATCCCCCTTGCTGTTCTAGTGCTAGTGAGTGATTTCTCACAAGATCTGGTTGTTTAAAAGTGTGTACCACCTCCCTTCTCTCCCTCTTCCTCCTTCTCTGGCAATGTAAGACATGCCTGTTTCCCCTTCACCTTCCACCATGATTGTACGTTTCCTGAGGCCACCCCAGCCATGTTTCCTGTACAACCTGCAGAACTGTGAGTCAGTTAAACCCCTTTTCTTAATAAATTACCCCGTCTCAGGTAGTTCTTTATAGCAATATGAAAATAGACTAATACAATTAGTAATATATAGCTATACATTTTGTTTAAAATTGTTTTCTATGCAGCTGGTGAATTCCACAGGAGTAGTGACTGTGCACTTTTGTTCTCAGTGAACTCCAGAGCCCAGGATGGTGTATGGCTCACAGTGTAGTCAGTAACATTCCATGAAAAAAAAATTAACCTTTTTGGAAATCTTTATTATATAGAATCTTAAGGCGTTAAAGCCAACAAAAGAATGTTAGTGATTGTCTTCTTCAATTTCCCTCTCTTGAAGATCAAGAAATTCTGTCCAAAGAGTGAAGTAACTTACCTAAGATTACATAACATATCAGCAGCAGAGAGTAAGCTTCAGGCAGTCCATTTCTACCAACTCTATTTTGTTCCCTTCTGTGTCCCCAGAGCTCAGATACTTCCTGGAACATAGTAGATGTTGAGCTACAGCTCCAGGGACCACAGTTTGAGATCCACTGGTCTTGTAACACCGAACTTCTTGTACTTAGCTGACATATCATCTACTTAACCCAATCATTTATGACCTGCTTTGCCTCCACCCAGGAATTCCTTTCACATGGCCTTTTCTCAGTGGCAAACACAGCATATACTTCTACGCAGCACATACCATATTAGAATGAAACTTGTTCTGCATCCTAGTCTCCCGCATATGACTGCAATCTCCTTGAGAGAAGGAATTCCATTCTTGCTAATAGCACTCTCAGCCTAGCACAGCACTTGGCACATAACAGGAGCCCCTTGAATGCTTACCTGTGGGAGAACTGAAGGCAATTGTGAACATTCACTGTACATATTCTTTCAAACCTATATACCAAAGGTATTGTTTTCTCACATTTTGGTCTTCCAAACTCAGCAAATACCAGATAAGAGTTAAGGACAATTAGAATCATAGGAAATGTTTGCAAGAGGACTTGTTCCATTGTACTATAAGCATACAACATAACGTGTGTTCAATGACAGAAGGAACAGTGCAAGAAAGTGCTGGAGGAATAAGGAGGTATGTGAACAGAGAAGTGGTGAAAATATGATAAATGTGCATGTTTGCTGGCAAGGAAAATCTACTCTCAAATGTTCTTATTGTTTATTGTGAATGTTGAATACATCAGATGTGGTTTCCAGCTTTCAAAATGAATAATATACATTGATGTAACTGCACAGGGTTAAAATGCAACAGTGGAATCCTGGAAGACAGGCTGCAGAGTGTCACCTCAGCTGCTGAAATGGGGTTGTGGAGTGCATCACCCCTGTGAAACTTCTGGGCAAGGCAACAGGTACAGATCCCGAAGGCGAATATTCTAGATGTCAGGAGTCCTGGCAAGGGCACATGCTTTGAGTTGGGAGTGAAAATCAGGCCTCTGCTACTTTCTGACCAGAGCAAAGTACTTAACCTGTTTGAGCTTTCCTTCCTTCATCTGTAAATCAGAGCTAAAATCCTGGTTTATCTGAGTATTAGATATCAAGCCCTCAGCACAAGGTAAGGCATATGGTAGATGATCAATAAATATTAGCTATATTATTCCACAAGCAACTCCATAACACTGCATATAATGCATATGTTCAATGGATTATCTTAATATTTTCAGTTAAGAAATCAGAGGGACCTTGATCAAATGATCAAAACACAATTCCACCTTAACATGACAGGACCAATGACACTAGTGTTCGAGGAAAGCTCTGGCACATTTATTTGGAATTGATTATTAATTTGTCAATATGGGAGTGAAAATTGTCACTCAAAATAAATACAAAGTTGAAGTAGTAATTAAAAATGGTAATGTTATTATTATTATTATTAATAGCTCCCCTTTAATGAGGCACAGATATATGCTGGCAACTGTGCTAAGAGCTGTATAACCATGATTCCCACTTAATCCCCCAAAGGACTATGAGGGATTACTCTTATTAAGAAGTAGATTCTTTGAAGTAGATACTGTTATTGTTCCATGCAGCAGGTACTATGAGAATCCCTATTTTGCAGATGAGGAAACTGAGGCTTAGAAATAGGCAGCTCAGGGATGAGCCCAGAAATGAACACACATGGAAAAAGCAACTTGCCAAGGTCACATGGCAGAGAATGGCTGCACAGGAACTTAAACCCAGGTCAGACTGACTCAAAACATCATGCCTTGCCCCACAACCCTAGATGGCTTCCCATGTATGTAATACAGAACAATCCCATCACACCTAATAAAATCATGATCCGTAGTTTCTTAAATCCCTAAGCATGGTTTATTTTAGAGATCGACTTAAGAAACATTTAATGGGAATGGCATTATGTGCAAAGTTCTGCGTTAGCCACACTGGGGAATTTAATAAATGAGCAAGTCTTGATTTTGTCTTCAAAGCAATTTACAAGTAACTCAAGGTATAAAAAGAATTAAATCTGGGTACAAAGTTAGGATCAGACAAGGGGCTGAGTAAGAATTCAGCAACTTTTATCTTCCAAGTTGAAACTGTTTTTCTAGCGTGGGCCTCTTTTAACTCCTGTCTGAGTGGCACAGTTAAAGGCAGACTTTTACTGAAGTCTGGGGCAGACAGGCTGGATGGACTGCTTTTAAATCCACAAACTCCCTCAGGTCTAGCCCATCAATCCAGGGTGTTATTTCTTTCCAAGATATCTCAGACACAGCTTTCTTGGCAACTAAGTTGCATATCTAAGTTGAAATCATAGGTTCAACACTGCCGGTATCTTCTTGGTAGGCTGACTTCTCACCTTTGCCCCTCTCTGTCTTTGAAAAATGACAGCCTCTCATTTTAGCTGGCAAGAGAGTCTTTACAAAGCTCTCTCTCTCACACTTCCATGCTCACTTCCTCAGGGTTTTCTGATTTCAGTGCCTTCTGGGCTAAGGCTGACTGGCTAGAAGTGAGGGTGGCTGGACTAACTCGCAAAGTTGGATCAGCTGGTGAGAGTTTCTTGCCATGCATTTTTACCATGTCTGCTGGGTATGTGGGGAGTGAACGCACTGGGGAGTGAACGCACTGACTTGATGGAGTTCTTACGATTATTAGTTTTAAAAATTAGTCTATGATTGACTTTTGGGGATTTTATTTTTTTTATTTTTTTGAGACGGAGTCTCATTCCCCAGGCTGGAGTGCAGTGGCATGATCTTGGCTCACTGCAACCTCTGCCTCCTGGGTTCAAGCAGTTCTCTTGCTCAGCCTCCCAAGTAGCTGGGATTTCAGATTTGCACCTCCATGCACGGCTAATTTTTGTATATTTAGTAGATACTAGATACGGGTTTTCACCATGTTGGCCAGGCTGGTCTTGAACTCCTGACCTCAAGTGATCCACCCGCCTCAGCCTCCCAAAGTGCTGGGATTACAGGTGTGAGTCACCACGCCAGGCCTGACTTTGTTTTTGCTCAAACACTGGTTTCTATTAGAAATGAAGGCAAAACTTGATTTTAGTGAAATGAATGAAGATCATGTCCCCAAATGGCTTTAATATGAATACATATAGATGATAGCAGCTCATCTTTAGCCCAGTAGCAGTGTTTTATGAACATAGAAAAGTGTGAAGTACAGGAAGCAAACCTATACGGATAAGAAATATGCAAGAGACATTTCATTGTTCTAGAGGGGACCAGGGCAATATCAAGAAAAGATGGTAATAAATAGTTCTGGACTGGTTGTGAGTGCCTGGAAAAGATAGATGGAAACAAGGTAGTGAAAGTGAAATAGACCCACATGGACGTAAGGAGAAGGTTGTAATGCTTGGGAGAAGGAGAGAGCTGGAGACAAATTCCTGTGTCGTCATTGTGCTTAGGTCTAGGAACACTAGAGTCACGACAGCAACCACACATAATAACAGTCATAGTGAAAGTAGTTATTATTTATTGAATGCTGTTTTTCTTGTGCCAAAAATTGTACTAGGTGCCATCCAAACATTTTCTTTATTCTTCATAACTACCCTGCAATATACATATAAATTATATTCCCACACAGAAACTGAGGCACAGAGGGATGATTTGAGTAATTTGCCCAAGGTCAGACTCGTAAATGGCAGAGCAAAAACTCAAACTCAAGTCTGTTTGATCTTAATGTGCTCAAAAGTGCCTCTCCTCTATGCCTCATACAACACTTTCCAAGGTGATAAGATGACTTGGGGAAGGGGAGAGACCCAGCAGCACCTACTGCTCATTGGTCGTAAGGGCAGAAACCATGCCCCTTCCAAACCCTAGTCATGACACATCAGAGCCTGGAACGAGCCACTGTTGGGCTGGAAGAAACTCTCAGAGTCTTCTAGTCAACTGGGTTCATTCTTGGAGACACAAGAGAGACGAAGGACTCAGGTTTCCAGATGGCTGGTCCCAAGTTTTTCTACTTCTCTATAATTATTTCTTATCAATAATAGTGTTGGGACTTGGAACTCAGTCCTGTCTAGAATAAATTCCTTACTCTTTCCAAGTTACTGTGTTAGATAGACACTTTTATTTGCCTTCCCAGAACGCTTCCAACCTTTGTCCTTAATAACAGGATCCAGTTTTGCTCAGGGTAACAGAGCTCCAGGTGATGGATCACAGCCAGTCCTGACAACACTGATGCTGGGCTTCCCAGCCTTTCTTGCAGACAGAGGTGGCTGTGTGATGCACTCAGAACTCTGCTGGGGAAAATTTGGGGGAAATACTTTGTTTTCCCTATAAAAATAGACAGATGTGGCTGGTATGCATCCTTTTTCCTAGTTCACTTTATCCTGACTTAGATGTTGACATATGGTTGGGTCTAAAGAAGCTATCTTGGAACAGTGAGAGAAAAAGTCAAGGGAATTGGAGAGATACATGCCTCAACATGATTGAACTGCTGAACCAATACCAGAAACCACTTAATTTTTACATCAGAAAAGTATGCTACTATAAGTCAGGGTTTCTTTTCTTTCTTTCTTTCTTTCTTTCTTTCTTTCTTTCTTTCTTTCTTTCTTTCTTTCTTTCTTTCTTTCTTTCTTTCTTTCTTTTTTTGAGACTGAGTCTTACCCTGTTGCCCAGGCTGGAGTGCAATGGCACAATCTTGGCTCACTGCAACTTCTGCCTCCCGGGTTCAAACAATTCTCCTGCCTCAGCCTCCCGAGCTGGGATTACAGGCACCCACCACCATGCTAATTTTTGTATTTTTAGTAGAGATGAGGTTGCACCATGTTGGCCAGGCTGGTCTCAAACTCCTGACCTCGTGATCTGTCCACCTGGGCCTCCCAAAGTTCTGGGATTACAGGTGTGAGCCACCGTGCCTGGCCAAGTCAGGTTTCTTACTTGCAGCCAAACACATTCTCACACACTAAGCTCTATTCTGTCACTGAAGTCTGTCCTCCTGTTTCTCAAATATGTATCTGGTGAATGGTGATCAGATATGTCATCTTTTGACCCCCAGCATTAAAGGGAAATTATTGCTCTGACTCACAGACAATGAGGAAATAAGGATCTTGTCATTTTGTCCCAAAAAGATGCCTTCATAAATAAATGATTGTTTATTTAAAGGAAGCTCAGATTTTCTTCTTGCAAAACATAAGGATACACCATGCCCCCACTTTACCGTGACATATTCCTTTTCCTTTAGTCCTGTGTAAAATGTGCTTCAGTGCAACTAAGTAAACTGAAGTGTTTGGAAGCAGAAGAAATTGAGTGGCATGCACAAGCATTTTTGTGTGCAGCTCTTTTCAGCATGCAGCTCTCCTGCTCTGTTGCTGTGTGAGGAGGAGCAAAGGCTCCCCTTCTGCTTTCACTTCCTCTGTGCTCTGTGGTTCTAAACTCTAAGATAGCTAGGAAATCTCACTTTCCTCCCCAACCCTCACACCGAGGGCAGTGCCTTCAGAGAAGAAAAAAAACTCCTCCTTTGTCAATCCATGCATGCTTGAAAAGGAAATTTTCTTTCCTAATTAAAAAATACAGATTTGGGAACAGTCTGGGGTCATCTGATTCAATCTCTCATTTTAAACAAATGAAAATTCAAGTCAGACTACCTGTTTTTAGGAAAAATGCTATGGAGAGAGATATCACATTCATCTTTGGTAGAATTTGATCAAACTTGGGTCAAGTGGCCTAATTGACCTATATTTCTTTAATTAAAAACGGAAAATGGACAAAAGATAGAGCAAAAAAAAAAACCCCTCAGATTACCTCTTGTTCTCAAAATAATATTTAATGAATTTGCAAATATATACTAATTCTCCTATCTTTCTTCCTTTTCCAAGATGAAACAAGTCCGTCCAAGTGAAAATCTTATTAGACTCTTCCCATTTTCCATCTTTTCATTTTCATCTTTCACAGTTAGTCCAGGTTTTATTGTAAAATTGGGATGTGTAGGCCATGTGGCCCTTCAGCTGTACTCTGGTCACACACCAAGTCCTTCTCAAGGTCTTTCTCTCCTGCCATGTGGCTCTCAACCTTCACTCCTCCCAAAACACATCTAGATTCACGTCTTCTTTGGTTTTTGGCATCCAGACCCACCTGCATCTGATGGAGATGGTATATGCCTACGTGAGAGGCTCCACATACTCCCCGTGGGCTGTACACAGTTTACTTAGCCTTCAACTAGTTTTCTTTACTATTCTGCTCACTACCTCCAGTAGATCCAGATTTTTTTTTTTTAATGTAGCAATCCAAACTAGACATGGGTCTGCACCCTCAAGAGGATGTAAACATAGTGCTTTCTTGCCTTTTTTTCTGTTTTTATTTTATGTGTGAGAAAATGCATTTTCTCTTCAGTCAGAGACCATCCCGGCCTGGCCCACGTGCCCCCATCCATCAGGCTTGGTATAGTCAGGGTGGAAGGAAGGGAGTCTAAAAGTAGGACTCATTTCAGAATTAAGTGCAGGGTGAGCCAGCGTTATCGACAGAAATTCTTTCTTATAATTGGTCTGCTGATATACTCAGAGACTTGGAAGGCTTCGGGCTTTGAAGAGGAGACACTAGGTAGGGCTGAGTCCTGGCCTAGCCCAGCCAGCCGTTGCTCTCTGAGTGATGGCTTGACACTACCGTCCTCTGTCAGCACTATTGTTTCTGTCATCCCTCGAGACCAAAGCAAGTGCAAAAGCTAAGAAAACCATGAACTCGAGAGCACATGGATTCACTCTCAAGCTTCATAAGGGAATTCTTCCTCAAAATGTGGACTAATTCCTTTGCATCTTATAGCACAGGAGGAGAGGCCACTGCCTCCCTATCTCTGAAGAATATGATCTATTTTTTAAATTTTATATGCCCCCAAATCTGGGTTTTCCCTGTGGGTTCCATGATCGCTTCTCTTTATTTACTTTTTCCCCAAATATAAAGCATACACTGCACGATGGTAAAGACCACTACATAGATCCATGCTTTTTATTTTCTCTGTCTTTTTCCCTTTTCTACTGCTACTTTATGACAGTATCCATGAGGATTTCCACAATCTTATTAATATTTAACATTTATTGTTAGTCTCTTGAGCCACCACAGGGACATATATTATCTCTTTGCAAGATTTAATGTCACCCTTAGTGATTCATATTCTCAATGGTATGCTTTCTACTTAGAAAAAAAAGACCCTTCTTCATCTCCAAATTAAAGCATTCTGTGCTCAGCTGAAGTTCTAGCACTTGGGCAGAGGAGTGAGTAATAGACAATGAGGGATACTTTGTCTATTATACTTTGTCAGCCAGGGATCAGAAGTTTTTCACAAAAACTTTTGGAATTATTTAGCTCATGTCCTGTGTTTATATTTATATTTATATGAAGTGCCTTAAAATATAGACTTTAAATGAATTAAAAACATAGTAAAGTCAGACATTTAACTTTGCACAGTCTTGAAAGCAAAGTTTACTCTGCAAGCAAATATTATAAACTTAATATCATGGGACTGATTTACTCATCGATGGGAAGAAGTTGTTTTTGAATCTTTTAATAGTGTCCTTCGACATACTAATAATTAGTGTACTAATTGAAAATGATTCTTATATATTCAAAAATATGATCGGCAGAACTCATTTATAAATACGCTGTTGGCTTACTTTGACCAATTGGAACTCCCGATTTCAATTGACAGATGCCCAATTTATTTAAAAGAAATATTCTCCAGTGCTGACTGTATAGTTTTTCAAATTAGTAATTGACTTGACTAGCACTTTTGGCTTCAACCTGGCAATCAGAATTCAAATTTGCCCTCTAGCATATGCAGCTCAAAACATCTAGGTCTGGACCGCAGACAGGCCTCATTTTAATATTGGCTCCTCATTTCCTTCCTATGTGACATATAGAACAAACATTTAACCTCTTAAAAAATATTGATTTGCCTGGGTACAGTGGCTCATGCCTGTAATCTCAATGCTTTGGGAGTATGAGGCGGAAGGATCACTTGAGGCTGGGAGTTTGAGACCAGCCTGGGCAACATAGCAAGACCCAGTCTATGCCTGAAGTCCCACCTACTTGGGAGACTGAGGCAGGAGGATTACTTGAGCCCAGGACTTTGAGGCTGTAGTGAACTATGATCATGCCACTGCACTCCAGCCTGGTGACAGAGCCAGACACTGTCTCTAAAATAATAATAATTAGCAGAGTAGAAAGAATAACAACTGCACTTATTGAGGTATAACTATGTTTTAGTAACTTTCCTTGGTGCATCTGCTGGTCATTTCTGATGTACAGGAGAGTCCATGCATAACTTGAATTAGGTATCCCTGCCCATGTATCCTAGCTCTATACAAAGCCACATTAAGTCACAGCAAAATGTTGGCTTCAGTTTCCCCATCTCATTGAGACCAGATGCAAAGCTTGGTGAGTTTAGTAAAAGACTGGTGCATCCCTGGTGATCCAAGGTAAGTGTTTTACTGCTTCATATAGGGATGTAATAATTACCACTTTTCAAGAAAGATTGTATCTTTCTGTAGCTGATTCTAAGCAGAAAGCATATGTCACCTCCAAGTATTCAATCTACGATTCAAGTATGTCTATAATGTCTTTCTTTTTATTTACTTAGTGCCCTCCTTCAATGTAGTGGAACTGGTTGTTGCATTTGCTCCTCCCTTTAAAGATCTTGAAGGTAAATGCTTCTAACATGAAGAATTAGCCAGAAAGATCTAGTCTGCAGTGTGAACAACAAGGTACAAAGCATGAGAGAACATGCTACCTTCCTGAATATTCTGTTTGTTTTAATAACTAATGCTTATTAAGTGCTTACTAACATTATTATTCCCACTTTATAGATGAAGAAACTGAAGCCCCCAGAGGTTGAGTGACTTGTCCAAGCTCCCACAGCTTATAAGGGACAAAGCCAAGGTTCACACAGGGTAACTTGCCTCTTAAGCTTGAGTTTGTAAACTTTGCCCTGTCTTGCCTCCTTCTGTAATCAAACAAACCTCCTCTAGCCTCTTTTGTTTTATTTTCTCACTTGAGATTCTGCCTCTACTTCTTCAATGTACCCCATAGGAATAAATGAGTACATTCCTGCTAATGTGTCCCACCTCTCTCCAATAAACATCTCATTCAGCTTCAACTCCCAGTAAGTTACCCATGAATTGCCTGAGAACTTTATCTTCTTTATACACCTCCTTCATAAAGTTATTCCATCAAGGATCTTTTTTTTGTTGTCAGAGAGAAGGTTGCGTAAACAATACATATTTCTTACTCCTCCAAGTTAATAACCAATTGTCGTATGGATATAAGAGACAGGTAGGTATAGATTTTAATTGGGTTGTTTGTCTATTACTGAGTTTTAAGAGTTACTTGTATATCTTGGAAGCCAACTCTTTATCTAATTATGTATTTTGCAGATATTTTCTCTCTCCCAGTCTGTGGCTTGTCTTCTAATGTTCTTAGCAATGTCTTTCACAGAGCAGAAACTTTTCATTTTAATGGAGTCCAACTTGCCAGGTTTTTCTTTCATGGATTCTGCTTTCAGTGTTATGTTTTTAGCCATTGTCATACCCAAGATCACCTAGATTTTCTCTTAACGTTATCTTCTAGTTTTATAGATTTGCGTTGCACATTTAGGTCTATGATCTATGTATGAGTTAATTTTTATGAAAGGCATAAGTTTTGTGTCTAGATTAATTTTTTCTGTGTAGATGTCCAGTTGTTCCAGCACCATTTGTTGAAAAGATTATCCTCTCCCCACTGTATTGCTTTTGTTGCTTTATCAAAGATAAGGTGACTATATTTGTGTGTATCTATTTCAGGACTCTCTTTTGTTCCATTGATCTATTTGTCCATTCTTTCACCAATACTGTTTTGATTACTGCAGCTTTATAGTAAGTCTTGAAGTCAGGTAGTGTCAGTTCTCTGACTTTGTTCTTCTCCTTCAATATCGCATTGGCTATTCTGAGTTTTTTTGCCTTTCCATATAAACTTTAAAACCACCAGTTTGTCAATATCCACAAAATAACTTGCTAGAATTTTGATTGGGATTACATTGAATCTCTAGATCAAGTTGAAAAGAACTGACATTTTGACAATATTGAGTCTTCTTATCCACATATATGGAATATCTCTCCATTTATTTAGATCTTCCTTGATTTCTTTTGATTAGAAGGTTTTCATTTTCCTCATATAGATCTTGTACACATTTTGTTAGACTCATCCCTAACTTATGTTTGTTTGAGGATTTTTGGTGTTAATATAAATGCCATTGTGTTTTTTATTTCAAATGTCAATTGTTCACTGGTGGCATATAGGGAAAAAATTGAATTCTGTATATACGAGAAGATTTAAAAAATCAAATATATTACTGATCAAAGCTGGATTTCAGGATATGAATAGAATTGTGGCTTTTTAAAACTATATAATGCATTTGACATTTTTTGCTACCCACTTTCAACACAGCTGAACAGCCACAGGCCTCTCCCAGACTACTGAAGGGAGATCACCACAGAGAGAAACTGAGAATGTGCCCTGAGAACAGGCACCTCCACAAGGAGAGAGAAAAGCCCAGGAGGGGCAGAGCCAGCGTTACCAGCAAACAAATCACTCCTTCTCTCTTGGGCAGGGGCAAGGTCAGTGGCTGAGAGAGTCTAAGAAACTCTACTCAAGCGGAGCTGCCCATCAAGGACATCTAAGACTGATGAAGGGGAATTCTTTCAAACATTCTCCACTAGTCACTACAACTTGAAAAGACTTAAAACATTAAGACAGACAGTGAAAGTTAAAGGTGGCATCAAAAACGTACTTTACTGTGTGTGTGCTTATGTGTGTGCATATGCATGCGTATCCCTTCCATCACGTTCATCAAACCTCTGTAAAAGCAGTCCTATTAAAATATTGTCACTTAAGGCCTGGGCTTCCTACATACATGGTATGTCACCAGGAATTCTGTTTTTGTTTTGTTTTTAAAATAATATACCATTTATAATAAATCATTAATCTAAAATGTGGAAAATAGAAAAAAAGCACAAAACAGCCCCACATTATGTCATCAGAGTTCAGTATTTTCCTCTATGTGTGTGTATATATGTATATGTATATACAGACACACATATATACACACATATACATATATACACACATATACATATACACATTTAAAAGAGGATTGCAGTCTACATATATTTTTATGATCTGATTTTTAATTACTATATCTTGAAAATTTTCTACTCATTAAATAGTCTTCTACAAGATTACTTTTAAGGTATGAGTAGTATTCCATCATATGTAGATGTTTATGTATCATAATTTATCAAATCAACCCCTTATTGCTGAATTCTTAGATTATTTATAAGGTTTTCTCCATCATAAATGATTCTACAATGAACATTTGTGTTCATAAATCTTGCACAATTGTCTAATTATTTCCTCACCTTATAGTCCTGTAACTAAACTTACTATGTGACTAGGTATGCACTGTTTTTTTAAGCCTTTTGAAGCATAGTGTCAAACTATGCTCATATCTGCAACTTTTAATAAATTGATTCTCCCAGTTTCTCAACTACTCGCTGGTACTAAGTTTGTCATCAGTGAAAACTGTTTACAGCCATGTAGTTCATGTTTAGATCATGGATACATGTAGTTCATGTTAGACCATGGACACATAGATTTGTTGAAATCACCCTAGAAGAATAAATGAATTAGAAGAATAAATGAATTAATGTAGATTCTAAAATTAGGAAGTAGTTGAGCTACAAAACTAACCTACCAAATACCATGGTGCACACACTGTTGTACTTTTCTCCAACTTTCTAAACTTCTCAGAGAAATTGAGACTGCCTCTTTGGATAAAAATGCTCATATGGAGAGAAACTCCTTAAGCTCTGAAATACCTTTTTACCTAGATCCTGATAGACAGCAAAATCTGTGGTGTGACAAATGGCATCTGACATCCAGGAAGGAACATATCCTAAAAAATAAGTCCATATCTCTCATCCATCTCTAATTTCAGGGGACAGGCTTTCGTGCAAGATCTGTATCTGCCTCTGCCTTCCACAAACACCAAGTCTTAGTTTTCTGGCTCTATAATCAACTTGGCTGAAACACAGCCACAATACAATTTGAGTTAAACTTTGTTCCCATAAAGAACCCTGACATGCTGCTTGTGTGAAAGTGATTTCTAAGGAGAAAAATATAGGTAAGTAAGCTATCAATCAAATCACAGATATTTTCCGAGTTTTAAGAAGTGTGCTTAAAGAGTTCATATTTTTGCATTTATATATAATATGTATCAATGTATTTGAGCTATTTCAGGAGAATATTTATAATAGACATTAACTTTTTAGGACCTTTCTTGTGAGGAGTTCAAAGCACAGTACTGTGTATTAGCCAGGGTTCTCCAGAGAAACAGAACAGGTAGGAGAGATAGGTAGATAGATGAAGGGATTTATTAGGAAATTTGGCTCACATGATTATGGAGTCTGAGAAGTCCCATGACAGGCCTGCTGCAAGCTGGTGACACTGGGATGGTGACAGTGTGGCTCAGTCTTAGTTCAAAAGCCTCAGAAGGGGGGACACAGATGATGTAATTCTTAGTTCAGTGGAAAAGGCCTGAGTGAGACATGGGGAGGAGTGGGCACTGGCATAGTCCTGGAATCCAAAGGCCAGAGAACCTGGAGTTCTGATGTCCAAAAGCAGGAGAAGAAGAGCATCCCAGCTCCTGGAGGGTGGAAGAGAAAGGATATCTCTTTTTCTCTCCCTTTTCTGTTCTATCTGGGCCTTCATCCAAATGGATGGTGCCCACCCACATTGAGGGCAGATCTGCCTCACTCAGTTCACTGACTCACATGCCACTCTCCTCTGAAAACACCCTTGCAGACACAGCCAGAAGCAATGCCTTACAAACTCTCTGGGTATTTCGAAATCCTGTCAAGTTGACAACTAAAATTAACCATCACAAGTCCACCCCAAGTCAACTTGGCACCCATATGTATTTCTTTAAACCATACTTAATCTCCAAACAAAGGTAACAACAAGGTAATAGTTCCTACTGAAAATGTACTAATCCTTCCCTCAAGTGAAGTCCTTGGGTAATGTTTACTATTCTCTGGATATCCCATAACTTAAATACTATGATGTAAAATGAACAGTACTTAAATATTGTTATAAAGTCAATATGTCTTATGTTACATGATAAAGGAATAAGAAAAGAATGAAAACAAAGATATTTGCCTAATATATGTCTATATACACACAAACATATTCTTAACCAAGTAAGGAAGAAATAGTCATGAAATAGTTCTCTTTTCTGTAACTGGTCATGCTGTGATAGTTGATATTTGTAACTACCTTCTGTAAACCATTCTGTATTCCCTTTGCCTTCAGCAATCACCCCAGCTGGTCATTGTTTTTTATTTGGCATGGTAACTCAAACCTTCATTCCTGAAGGGTCTGGACCATTTGTAGTCCTGCCTGGATTGGATTGTTGTAATTTCCCATTGACCTTAACCACAGGGCATGGTAATACTAGGACACTTTCTAAGTGATCTCCTGTATTCCAGCCATACTCTTCCTTACATCCATTATGGAGTAGTAGTTTCAATTTCCTCTGGGAAGCCTGGCTCAACCATCCCAGCCAACACTACAACTTCTTTCTTAGTCTGTTGACTCAGAAGCATAAAGTGCCCAAAGAGCCTAGGTGGCAGTCTTAACTTCCAGTTCAGTGGAATCATTATTGTCTCCTGGTGGAAGTTTTCATCCTCTGACTAGCAGAGCATAAAGTTGTGGGAACCGGAAACAAAAATATTGCTAGTCGGTCACTAGGGGAAATGGTGAGTGGTGCCACATCCATTTCTATTCCTTGATATCTGAACCTATGAATCCTCACTATGAAACAGTACCATATATTGAATGCTGATTCAGAACATACACAACCTTCCAGAGAACTTTTCCCAACCCTACAAAGTATGACAGTAGGTGACAATCCAGCTGGCATTGTAACCGCAACTTCAAGTCAGCTGCTTCAAATCAGTGAATGCCATGAGCATGAGGCCATTACTGCACTTCTTTGGCTGTGAAGTGAGTTGCTTGGTCAGAAGCAATGCTGTGTGGGACACCATGATGTTAGATAAGGCATTCTTTAAGTCTATGGGTGCTGGTTTTGACAGAAGCATTGAATGCAGGAAAGGCAAATCCATATCCAGAGTAAGTTTCTATCCTAGTAAGGTGCTGTTCCTTCCATGATGAAAGCAGTACCGTGTAATCAATCTGCTGCCAGGTAGCTGGTTGATCACCCCAGGGATCATATCAGTGACTCAATGCTGGTCTTTGCTGCTGGCAGATTGAGCATTCAGAGGTGGCCCTAGCTGGGTAGATTTTGGTGAGTAGAAGTCCATTTTGCTGAGCCCATATATAATTTCCATTCCTGCCACTATGGTTGCTTTCTTTCATGAGCCCATTGGGTGGCTGGGAAAAGAGTGACTAATATCCATAGAATGGGTCATCTTATTTACTTGATTATTAGAATCCTCCTCTGCTGAGGTCATCCTTTGGTGAGCATTCATATGGCACACAAATACCTTCACATCTTTCGTTCACTCAGGGAAGTCTATCCATACTTCTTTCCCAGATGTCTTTGTCATCAATTTTCCAATGAAGTCCCTGACCATCCAGCCAAACCTTTGGCTACAGCCCATAAATTGGTATCAAATTGCACATATGGACATTTTTTTTTCCAAGCAAAGTGCAGAACCAAATGCACTGCCTTAAGTTCTGCTCATTGAGATTTCCCTTTACTATTGTCCTTCAGAGATGCTCCCAAAATGGGCTGTAGAACTACAACTGTCCACTTTTGAGTGGTCCCTGCATATTGTGCAGAACAATCTGTAAACCAGGCCCTAGTCTTCTTTGCCTCTGTAATCTTATCATAGGGTACTCCTTATGAAGTCATAAGTGCAGACTGGGAAAGAGAAGGCAGTGTAGAAGGAGTAAGAACCATGGGCATTTGGGCCACTTCTTCATGTAACTTTCTTGTACCGTTAGGACCTGCTCAGGCCTGATCATGTATATACTACTTCCATTTGATGACAGAGTGCTGCTGTGCACATCCAACGCTTATGGCTTGATGAGTCAGATAACATACAATTCATGACGGGCAGCTCAAGTTGCATGGTAACTTGGTGAATGATAGTCAAATCTTCAGTTTCTACTAAGGCCCAGTGGCAGACCAAGAGCTGTCTCTCAAAAGGAGAGCAATTATCTGCAGACGATGGTAGGATTTTACTCCAAACTCCTAAGGACGTCTGCTGTGATTCATCTATAGGGGCCTGCCAAAGTGGCCAAACAGCTTCGTTATCTGCCATTGACATCTAAAGCACCATTGGATCTTCTGAATTATATGACCCAAATGGCAGAGCAGCTTGCACAACAGCTTGGCACTGTTGCAGAGCCTTCTCCTGTTCTGGGCCCCACTCAAAACTAGCAGGTTTTCCAGTCACTCAGTAGATGCACTGGAATAACACACCCAAATGAGAAGTGTGTTGCTTCCAAAAATCCAAATAAGCCTACTAGGCATTGTACCTCTTTCTTGGTTGCAGGAAAGACCAGATGCAGCAATTTATTCTTCACCTTAGAAGGGATATCTTAACATGCCCCACACCACTGGACCCTTAGAAATTTCACTGAGGCAGAAGAACCCCAAATGTTAGTTGTATTTATTTTCCACGCTCTGACATGCAAATGTCTTATGTCTTACTAATAAGTCCACAGTAGTCACTACTTCACTACTCACTAGGTCCATTAGCAGAATGTAATCAATGTGATGGACCAGTGTGATATCTTGTGGAAGGGAAAATTGATCAAGATCCTTGGAAACTAAACTATGACATAGGCCTGGGGAGTTGATGTATTCCGGATGTAGGACAGTGAAGGTGTATTGCTGGCCTTGCCAACTGAAGCAAGCTGCCTTATAGACAGAAAGGGAGAAAAAGGCATTTGCCAAATCAATAACTGCATACCAAGTACCAGGAGATG
The DNA here is from genome assembly GCF_000001405.40 of Homo sapiens. Taxonomy (NCBI): domain Eukaryota; kingdom Metazoa; phylum Chordata; class Mammalia; order Primates; family Hominidae; genus Homo; species Homo sapiens. The sequence continues at coordinate 217,312,378 of NC_000001.11, read as the reverse complement.
TGTTAATTTGCTCAAGCAATGAAACCACATCTTGTATAGCAGCTGTGATTGGAGTCACCACTTGGTTAAGCTAATAATTCACTGTTCTTTTCCAGAATCCATGTCTTCTGCACAGGCCAAATAGGAGAGTTGAATGAGGATGTGGAGGGAATCACCACCCATGTATTTTTCAAGTCCTTCATGTTGGCACTAATCTCTGCATTTGTCTCCAGGGATATGGTTTTGGCTTTAGTTTACCATTTTCTTAAGTAGAGACTGTTCTAATGGCTTGTATTTGGTCTTTACCACTACAATAGCCCTCAGTACACAAGTTAAGGAACAAAAGCTGCTGAGTATGTCTATTGTAATTATGCATCTGGAACTGGGGAGATGACCACTGGATGGGTTTTGGGTACCCACTGGGAGGCAGACTTGAGCTAAAACTACATTGATTACGGGACCTCCAGAAGCACTTACACTGACTGGGTGGCTGCAGTGATGTTCCAAGACTCTTGTTAGTTGAGATCCAGGATCTAGTAATCCTGAAAGGTCTGATTATTTTCTTTCCTCCAATGCAGTTACCCTGGTAAAAGGCAGGAAGTCCCATTGGGGAAGAATGGGGGATAGATTAATGGTAAATTCTCACTAATGTACCAGGTTTCTTCCTGGAGGGGACCCAGCCTCCTCTTCATTCAAGGGGTTCTGGATCTGTAAACTGGCTCAAGTCTGGGAACTGATTGAGGGGCTGTGATTCCCTCTTTTAATCATTCAAATTCAACTCTTGTTCACTTGACCTGAAAGTTTTCTGCCAATACAGATCAAGTAAGAACTTAGTAGGTTTATTCTTTATTTCACTCCTAGGAACATCATGATTTACTAGCCAGCACCACATTCATTCAGCATATGAATCTACATGAGTCAGACTATTCTGAATGTTGCTTTGCTTCTGCTGTCCATTATGGTACCTACACCCACCTTGTTATGGATGATTGAATGCTGCCGCTTGTCCCCTGCCACCCTGGGATCCAATCATTACCATTGCATTTTTTTTTTCAATTGAATGACTGCAATTCTCACTTCAAGGACCTGTCTTCAGAGAAGAGCAATCACGGAACTCTTCAGGGATGTTGGGGCTCCCCTTGCAAATCTATTTATCAAAGTATTGGTGAAAGGTATGTGTGGGTGAGGAGGTTTTAAGTGACAAATCCACTCTAGGATTCCAGTCTCCCTAAGCCTTTGCATCCCTTCCTCTATTGTAAACTGGGAGATAGGGTGTTTAGGTCAGCTCCTACTCACTCATGGTGGGCTATCTTTTGAGTCAATCAACCAAAGTGTTAGAACCTTTCCTAACTCCCTGAACTGCAACATTAAATGCATAATCTCAGCTTAGTAGGCCCATACCAACAAACTTGGCCTGATCCAACTTTATGTTCCTTCCACCATTATCCCACACCCTTGATATCTATTCCCATACATGTTCCCCAGATTTCTGCTTATATAAGTTAGAAAACTCAAGTAGTTCCTTTGTAGTGTAGCGCACCTCCTGGTGGGCCACACTTTGTACCTCACTCTTAGGGGCCTGCTGGGACTTGAGTCTCTTTATAGATCTAGAAGCAAAGAGGGGTGATAGAGTTGAGTCCTGAGGAGCATCAGCAATTGCCTTGCTTGACAACTGACTCAGAGGAGGACATTGCCATTTACTCAGGCAAATGCAGAGTTAATCCCCTGTGGGATCAGAGGTGGAAAGGCTGATCGCACTGTGGGTGGGAATGCGCTGCTGCTAGGAATGGAGAGCACTGGCAAACAATGCTCGTCAGAATTTAGGAGCTTGATGTCCCAGCCTCACCTGGATTTTCCCACACCATTACACTCTGACTTATGGGACCTCATTCTTTACCAACAAATGCCCTCACTTTAAGTGGACAGCCTTCGAGACTGAGAGTTCAACTTTTGTTGTTTTTCAGCCAATTGCATGATGAGGGCTTGTGTTTGATTTTCAGCTATTTCAGCCCTGCGTCTGCAGGAGAGAAGATGCTCCCTCAGGGCACACTTAGAAGCTCTTAGGCTGTTTATGGTTTTCCACAAATGTTCAAAGGTATCATATACACAGTTACCAAGCTCCTTGCCTTTTATAAGTGGTTAGTTAGGAGTATCAAATACAGATGTTTTGTGTATCCTGATAAACAGTTTATACCATGAACTATCAGTGCTGTCTGTGCTATTATAAGTAGAGTTCTCAGCACTTTTAGGTCTAATCAGATTAGGCAGCCAATTCTAGAAACCCCCAAACCAATTAAGAAAACTCATCCTAAAAATTCTGTTCTTCTAAAACCATTCCTGGTACCAATTCTCTGTCTTAGTCTGTTTTTTGCTGTTATAACAGAATATCTGAGACTGGGTAATTTATAAAGAACAGACATTTATTTCTTATAGTTCTACCTCCTAGAGTTCTAGGAGGTAAGGGGGATGAACTCATCCTTTTATCAGGAACCCACTCCCATGTTAACTAACCCACTGTCAAGATAACAACATGAATTCATTCACGAAGCCAGAGCATCTTAAAGGTTCCACCTCTCAACACTGTTTTTTTGGGGATTAAGTTTCCAATGCACAAACTTAGAGAAACACATTCAAACCATAGACATACACAGAAACCATGCCCCAGCCCTTAAAATTCATGTTCTTCTCACATGAAAAATGCATTCATTTCATCCCAATAGCCCCATATCCATTTCATCCCAATAGCCCCTTTACCTCCTCTTGCTCTCACACTCTCTTGCCTTCTCACTTTCTTCCATGTGATCATGCAGCATAAAAGCCCCAGTTGTGGGGCCCTTGATCTTGGACTTTCCACCCTCTAGAACTGTAAGAAATAAATCTCTGTTCTTTATAAATTGGTCTCAGATTTTTTTTTTTTTTTTTTTTTTGAGACGGACTCTCACTGTCTCCCAGGCTGGAGTGCAGTGGCGCGATCTCGGCTCACTGCAAGCTCCGCCTCCCGGGTTCACGCCATTCTCTTGCCTCAGCCTCCTAAGTGCTGGGACTACAGGCATCCATCACCACGCCTGGCTAATTTTTTGTATTTTTAGTAGAGACGGGTTTCACCGTGTTAGCCAGGATGGTCTTGATCTCCTGACCTCGTGATCCACCTGCCTCGGCCTCCCAAAGTGCTGGGATTACAGGTGTGAGCCATCACGCCTGGCCTCAGATACTTTGTTATAACAGCACAAACAGACTAAGAGAGAGAATTGGTACCAGGAATGGTTCTAGAAGAACAAAATTTTTAGGATGAATTTCCTTAATTGGTGTGGGGGTTTCTTAACTTGTTTTCATCATCAACTCAAAAGTCCAAAGTCCAGAGTCTCATCTGAATTAGATATGGGTGAGACATAGGCATGATTCGTTTTGAGTCAAATTGCTCTCCAGCTGTGAACCTGTGAAATTAACAAATTGTGTGCTTCTAAAAGACAACAGGTGGACAGGCATAGGATAGACATTCCCATTTCAAAAGGGAGAAATAGGCCAAAAAGAAGGAATAACTTCCCCCACGTAAGTCCAAAACCCAAAAGAGAACATTAAGTCTTAAAGTTGGAGAATATTCTCCTTTGTCTCCATGTCCCACATCCTGGGCATACTAGGGTGGGAATGGGCTCCCAAAGCATCAGGTAGCCCTGCCTCTGTGGCTTTCCTGGGCTCAGTCCACTCAGTGACTCTGCTGGGTTGGAATCTCATGCCTGCAGGTTTCCCAGGCTGAAGTTGCATGCTGGTGACCCTACAGCTCAGGGGCTTCTGAGGTGGCCTTACCCCCATGGCTCCACTAGGCATTACCCTAGTGGGGACTCTCTGTCAAGGCTCCAACCCTACATTTTTACTCTGCATTTCCGAGCTGTCCATGACATCCTTTGAAATCTAAGTGGAGGCTACTATGGCCTCGCAGCTCTTGCATTTAGCACACCTATAGAATTAACACCACATGGACACCACCAAGGCTACTGTTTACATCTTCTGGAGTGGGAGCACAAGTTGCAGCTGGGCCTACTTGAGGTACAGCTGGGATTGTGAAGAAATGCTGTGCTGGAATGAGAGAAGCAGAGACTTGAAGCATTTCAGGGCAGCAAATACTGATATCCCACTGGCACCTCTCTGGAAACATTGCCCTCAAGATCCTGTTCTGGACCAATAATGGGAGGGGTAGACTCGAAGATCTCTGAAATGACTTTGGGGTCTTTCTCCTATTGTCTTGTTGAATAGCACCTGGCTTACTTCTATCCATGCTAATCCCTTTGTCAAAGGGTTGTTTGGCACTTGTTCTCCTAAAGATGCCTTCACTCTTTTTTTTTTTTTTTTTTGAGACGGAGTCTCTCTCTGTCACCCAGGCTGGAGTGCAGTGGCGCTATCTCTGCTCACAGCAAGTTCCGCCTCCCAGGTTCGCACCATTCTCCTGCCTCAGCCTCCTGAGTAGCTGGGACTACAGGCGCCTGCCACCACGCCCAGCTAATTTTTGTATTTTTAGTAGAGATGGGGTTTCATCGTGTTAGCCAGGATGGTCTTGATCTCCTGACCTCGTGATCCGCCCGCCTCGGCCTCCCAAAGTGCTGGGATTATAGGTGTGAGCCACTGCGCCCGGCCAAGATGCCTTCACTCTTTACATGTCCAGGCTGAGAACTCTGCTCTGCTTGCCTTTTAATTATAAATTTCACCTTTAAATTGTTTCTCTCCTCTTGCATCTTAGCGTATGCAGTTAAAAGTAGCGAGGCAGCTCCTCCAATATTTTGCATAGAAATTTCTTCTACTAAATATGCTAGTTCACTGCTCAATTCCACCTTTCATAATGCCCTAAGACATAGATAAAATTCAGCCAAGTCCTTTGCAAATTTATAACACAGATGGCCATTACTCCAGTTTCCAATAAGATATTTCTAATTTCTGGTCAAAATGTGTTGACATGTATTACCTGAATTTATTGCTGATGTATAATAACACTTCAACTCTAAAATAATATAGCTTTTGGCTGAGAAAACCAAAACTTCCCCCAAATTATGACAAACTTGGTTCCCAAAGCCACTATTTTCATTCATATAATTTTTCAGAGGTCTCCAAATTCTAGTTAAGAGAATAAAAGAAAGTGCTCAGAGTACTTGATTATCTTGTTTCCTTTTTTTTTTTTTAAAGAAATTACTTGGCCGGGCGCAGTGGCTCATGCCTGTAATCCCAGCACTTTGGGAGGCTGAGACGGGCAGATCAGGAGGTCAGGAGATCGAGACCATCCTGGCTAACACAGTGGAACCCTGTCTCTACTAAAAATACAAAAAATTAGCCAGGTGTGGTGGCAGGCGCCTGTAGTCCCAGCTACTCAGGAGGCTGAGGCAGGAGAATGGCATGAACCCAGGAGGCGGAGCTTGCAGTGAGCCAAGATCACACCACTGCACTCCAGCCTGGGTGAAAAAGTGAGACTCTGTCTCAAAAAAAAAAATTACTTTTATGTTTTTATTGTGACTTTTTAGAAATGCAGGAACTATTCCAATAAGGAAAAGATAAAATGTAAAGAGAATCACAATTAAAAGCCTTAAAGGGGCATACACTTAATAACACACACACACACACACACACACACACACACACACACACATGCACACACAGATATTCCTAATTTCTGTCTAAGACCTCATCAGAATGGCCTTTACTGTTTATGTTTCTACCAACATTCTAATCATAACCACTTAAGTAATCCCTAAGAAGATTTAGGTACTTCCTACAGCTCGTCTTCTCAGCCCTCATGGAATTGTCCTTAAGGTTTCATTCATGGTAATATGGACTTTTTCTAGCTCGCTCCTCCAGATTCTTCTGGCTTCTACCCATTACCCAGTTCCAAAGCCACTTTCACATTTTCAGGTATTTGTTATAGCAGAAGCCCCACTTCTTTGTTCCAAATTCTGCATTTGTCAGGGTTCTTCAGAGAGTCAGAATCAGTAAGATGGAAAGATAGATAGATAGATAGATAGATAGATAGATAGATAGATAGATGATAGATAGATAGATGATAGATAGATAGATAGATAGATAGATAGATAGATTAGATAGATAAACAGGTGATTTATTAGAAGAATTGGCTCACATAATTGTGAAGGATGAGAAGTCCCATGACAGGCTATCTGCAATCTGGCAACCCTGGGATGCTGATAGTGTGGCTCAGTCCTAGTCCAGAAGCCTCAGAACCAGGAAGCCAATGGTATAATTCTCAGTCTGAGGCTGGAAGACTGAGAATCCAGGAGGCTGCATTATAAGGCCTAGCATGCCAAGGCCAGAGAGCCTGGTGTTCTGCTATCTAAGGGCAGGAGAAGAGGAGGATTCCAGCTCCAGGAAAGAGAGAAGAAATTGCTCTTGCTGTTCTATCCAGGCCCTCAGCCATTTGGATAGTGCTCCATTGAGGGCAGACTTGCCTCACTCAGTCTATTGATCCACACTCCAGTCTCCTCTGAAACACACTCACAGTCATACCTGTAGTACTGCTTTACCGGTTCTCTAGGTACTTCTTAACCGAGTCTAGTTGACACACAAAATTCATCATCAAATACTGATAAAAATTAAATACGTATTCATTCTTTTTATAAATATTACTATAAATGTATCCCTATGATATGTCAGTTTGTATTTGGTTCCTGAGATAGTAAAATAAATAATATTTGGGACCCACACTTAAGAATCTTCCAGTGTATATTAAAAAATGCTTAGCATCATTAATTATGTAGAGGGACTCATTATTAATCAGGGAAATCAAATCAAAACCACACTGAGTGTGTTAGGCTATTCTTTGCATTGCTATAAAGGAATACCTGAGACTGGGTAATTTGTAATGAAAATTTTAATTGGCTCATCGCTCTGCATGCTGTAGAAGCGTGGCACCAGCATTTGCTTGGCTTCTGGGAAGCTATCAGGAAGCTTACAATCATGGCTGATGGTGAAAGGGAAACAGGCATCTCACGTGGCGACAGCGGGGGCAAGAGGTAGGGGGAGGTGCCATATACTTTTAAACAACCAGATCTCGTGAGAATTCACTCACTATGGTGAGGACAGCACCAAGCCATGAGGGATCCTCCCCCATGATGCAGTTACCTCTCACCAGACACCACCTACAATATTGGGGATTACAATTCAGCATGAGATTTAGAGGGGACAACATTCAAACTATATCAGTGAAATACCACTTCATGCTCACTGGGTTGACTCAAGTCACAAAGATGGAGAATAGCAAGTGTTGCCAAGGATGTGGAGAAATTAGAAACTTCATCCATTGCTGGTGGCATTGTAAAATGGTACAGCCACTTGTACAGCAGTTTGGCCGTTCCTAAAATGTTAAACGTGAAGTTGCCATATGATCTAGCAATTTCACTTCTAGGTATATATACAAAAGAATTGAAAATGTATGCCCACATAAAACATGCACATATTTTTTAATGAATTAATGATTTTAGAGAATTATTTGATTTGACGTTGTGAATGTACATGGCAGCATTATTCATAGTAACCAAAAACAACTGGAAACTACGCAAATGACCATCAACTGATGAATGAATAAACAAAATGTGGTATGTCTATACAACGAAATATTATTTGTTCATAAAAAGAAATGACATGCTACAGCATGGATGACTCTTAAAAACATTAGGAAATGAAGTAAAAGAAGGCAGACACAAAAGCCCACTTATTTTTATTTCATTCAAAAAATGTCCAAAAGAGGCAAATCTATAAAGACAGAAGGTAAATTAGTGGTTGCTAGGAGGTGGGGGGAAGAGGGAGTGGGGAGTACATGATAATGGTATGAGGTTTCTTTTTGGGGTGATGAACATGGTCCAGAATTAAATCACAGTGATCGACACATAATGTTATGAATATACAAAACCTATTGAATTGCACTCTTTAAATGAATGAAATTTGTGACTTGTGAATTATATCTCAATAAATGTGTTATTCAAAAAAAAGAAGAAATTCCCAGGATAAAGCAACTTACTCTACTCATTCTGGTTGAGTAGAATGAGTCACACTATCCTGGAAGTTCTACCATGCCATCCTTTAAGAAAGGGTGGGGAGGGGCTTCATGAAGGCACTAACATCTTCCCTAAATATTCAAGGATAAGTAGAAATAAAGTTCATGCAAGGAGAAGGAAAGAACAACCAGGTAAAGGGAATGACACTAGCACTTTGTAGATATTGAATAAAAAAACAAACAAAAAAATAAATTAGTGATTTTAGAGAATTATTTGATTTGACAGTCATGAGAACTCCTTTTCCAAGGGCCAAGAAAACTAGGGAGCTGCCCCAAAACTATAATGAAACTGGGACGGGAACCACTGTTTATTGGCAGATTGCACAATAACAAAGTTATTATCTTATTAGTTTCCTCTGATATAAAACATCTAGCAATTTCTGGATTGATCTCTGATGAGATCTTAGAAGAAATCTTTGCTATTTCTTTTATCCTAGAACATGTCTACAAGATACAGGCGTAAAGCATGGTAAAATATCAAGCAAATGCTAATCATCTCACATCGTATAAATAGGCAAGATTAAGTTGAATTTTTCCTTTTTAAACTTTTCAACCAACTTTTTTGGAATAGAGGACTATAGACTCATGTCTATAAATTCTATACATTTTCTAAATTATGGATGATGTTTATAGAATTCACAGCTAATCTTTTTCTATCCCTAGATTTCAAGAACATTTAAACAAGCTAAGTATTCAAAATATGTTAAAGTTAAATTCAAAAACCACAGTTTGAATCCCAATAGGGTTTCAGCTATAGAAAAATTTAGTTAAACCAGTGAAGGTAGGAGATGGCAAATGGAGTTGAGTGCTACATAATTTAACTTTAAGAAAAACATAATTAACCAGCCTATCATTTTATACAACTGATCATTTATAATGAGAAGATATGGGGTAAAAGCCAGGCGTGGTGGCTCATGCCTGTAATCCCAGCCCTTTGGGAGGCTGAGGTGTGTGGATCACGTGAGGTCAGGAGTTCGAGACCAGCCTGGCCAACATGGTGAAACCCTGTCTCTACTAAAAATACAAAAATTAGCCAGGTGTAGTGGCGGGTGCCTGTAATCTCAGCTACTCGGGAGGCTGAGGCAGGAGAATCGCTTGAACCCAAGAGGCAGAGGTTGCAGATTGCGCCACTGCACTCCAGCCTGGGCAACAGAGCAATACTTCGTCTCAAAAAAAAGAAAAAAGAAAAAAAAAAGATTTGGGGTGGGATGATAACAAGAACCAACCTGAGTGAAAAACATTTTGCCTAGGTGAAACTGTCAGTGGTTTGCAAAAGTGAAGAGAAGAGAATAGATGTCTAAGAGGGTGGGTTAGAGGTAATAGGATTTTGCCCTACTAAGGAAACTTAAGCTAAAGATTGCAAAGCTTTTATGTGATATCGCCTTTGGAGTGACAACTGCCAACAGGATATGAACAGTGGCGAGGTCAGTATAGATTTTTTCTAGGTCTCCCTGCTGCCATTTCCTGTCATGAGAGTTGTCATCTTCAAATCACTTACATACACTCAGCTATTTTACTGCATCGGTATATAGCAAAAAAATTGAGGTAGGAATATTTATTTGGTTTGAAAAATTTTCCATTTTAATGTATACCAGGTTGGGAAATGCTCTGAACACTGTTGAAAAATTCTTTCTTTAAAAATAGGTTAATAACCTGCAAGTAATTTTTTTCAAAGGCTTGGATAAGTGTATTTTATGTTTCCTTTAATGAATAGAAAATTACTCTTGTTTAAAAGACTTTCATTTACTCTATTGTACATTTTTCATCTGATGGAGAGAAAAATCAATTACTTTAAGAGTTAAATTCTTTCTGTCAGTTCATTTAAGTAAATCCTACTAAGTTAAATGACCATCAGTATTTTTTTCTTATTTATCAACTCCAAGAAAAGTGCTATAATGTACAGAAGTGGAATATAATTTGCTGTTGAGGAAATGGCATCGATTTTTCTGCCTGTTAAAGACTGCTAGTTAGAAAACAAGAATAATATTTAACTTCTACTTGGAAAAATTTTCTTGGTAAGAATTATTCTGGAGTCAGAAAAGAAGGCAGCTAGTCCCATATCCTCTATAACCAGCTTATGCCTGAGTGTTAGATGCTCAGGTAGAAATAGAGAAAGGATGTTACATATGGAATAATTATAACCAAAATGTTTTACAATTTTATATGCATAATGTTTTTTGCAATATATAAAAGACTTTTACATACATGACATAATTTAGTTACTAATACATGAATTTTATGTAATCTGGCATTGGATGGCTAAAAGGAATGACTGCTTCCAAATTGCAAATTAAATTATAAAATACATCTTAGGGTTTGCTGGATTTGATCAAAACACATAATGTACCTATATCTGTTTTATTTCTTTAAGTGCTAACATCTGATTAGATGTCCACAAAACTGTCAAAATACATAAACCATCAAAGTATAAAAACTAGCAAATTATATAAACTTCTCAAGGGCCAGGAACATTTCTTTTCATTGTTGATTTTTTCTATTGAGGTCCAGATATTAAAATGATATCAATAGCAACAATTTTGTGTGTTGTTTCCCCTAAAGGCATTAAATAATAAAGACATATTTGTTGGTCACTTAAGGGGCTCCAAATGGTTTCCCTTGATCCCCACTTGGATTCAGAGCTAACTGAAAGAGAAACAAAAGAGCAAGGCACAAGGAGTTTTGGGAGAAAGTGGCTTGGTTGTGTAGCAACAATGGGACCCCAATGCCCTCACTCAGCCCCTGGGTAACCTGTGGTCTTCAGGACCCCTTCACACGGACAGAACCTGTGGCGGTAAACACAATGGCACAGAGGAGCAGAGATGAGAAAGAAGAAGGAGCGAAAAGAGATAACGCTATCAAGTCCTCTTTCTCATCTAAAACTCACCAATCTGATCATTTGGAGGAGTGAGTGAGGTAACACAGCCCAGGGGGGCTAAAATGGTTGTCCCATCATGTTAAAGTGCCTCCACTTAGAAACTCAAAACATGGGGATAACTACTGTCAACAAATAACAGAAAATAATGCATAATTATAATATTTCTTTAATATCTAATGTTGCATTATAAGACATGTCTTCAAAAATAATTTTTAGAGGGAATTTGGCCATTACTTGTAAAGTATTTGATTGAGTATACCTGTAAAAAATGAGATTCGGTTAAGAATTTATCCTTTTAAAACCCAGATCTAAGAGAAACACCTCCCTGATTATTTCTTGCATTATAAATTATTTCAAGTCAAGAAAGATTTAAAATAGTTTGAAAATGTGTATTTAAATATTCATAATAGAGCTGAAATCTATAATACCACCAATAAATTTTTAATTTAAAAATTATAACCTTTAAATATATGTTATATGGCAGATAATAATAGTAATGGTCAAAATAATATGACCAAGATTGATTGAATTAATGGAGTGCATATGATATTACAAGTATTATATTAGGTAAATGTATGGTTCCATTAAAACACAACTGCCTTGTGAGGTAAGTACTATTACTATTTGCATTTGAGAAATGTCTGCTTGGCTTGAAAATTCCATATGAAGTATGTGAATGAGACTCTATTTGTGCTGTTTTTCCCTTTCACTAAAAAGAGAGACAAATATAAGCCCTGTCCTTTATGCTAGTAAGTAAAACCAATATCAGTTTTCCACAGGTTAGCTCTTATAATTGTGCTAGTCAGGGATAGGAAAGCTATCATATGCCCACAGAGATGCAGGCATTGAAGAACATAAGTAATTAGTTCAGAGAACCTACATGTACCTTTAGGAATTATCAGTAAGAAAATAATCAGAATGACCTGGATTCAAGTCTCACCAGTCCTCTTTTCTAGCTGTGTAACTTAATTCCTTGAAGATTTGGTCTAATAATCTCAAAAATGGAAATAATAAATGGTACTACCTCACAAGGTGTTGTGAGAATCAAATAAGATATTAAAGCAGCCTAAAGCGAATTGCCTATGTAAACACAGCCTTTGCCTCCCCTGTATGTTGCTGGGCTGCCGCTTCTTTCTCCAGCTCATCCCTTTGTGCTCTTTGGCACATTCCTTACCAAAACTGGCTTCCTCCTTGGTAAGGATACTGGGCTTAATCTTTACCTGCCGGTGATAATGATATCTGCTTCAGATGCCATTTCCTCTATCTCTGTGGTCACATCATGGGTTGCTGTCTGCATTGACTGTGAAATACTTACTTTTGATATAGCAAATACATATGCAAACAAAAAAGAGGGAAAATATTCAATTTTGGGGTCAAGCTTAGGAAAAAACCACTTTTTCTTGCAAAAGTCAAAGGACTTGGAAAGGACATCTGTTATCAAAATGAGATGACTTGCTTTAGAAATACATATTTTTTAACTAAAATGCTTATATTAAATAAAGCTCATGACATTCAAATCCTTAAAGATCCAAGACTTTGGATTTTGTTGTGAAAATGTCTTCCTAAGACATGTCTTTGATCAAGCTTTCTTGGATTCAGTTCCAGTCCATTTAGGTAGTCATTGAATTTTATTTGGAAATGAAATCGGAAACCCATACTAATAATTGGAGACTGTCATCTGAAAGATCAGACATGAACTGGAATCAGCTTTTATCAAGACACTGAAGCAGGCATAGCCATTGTGTCTATCCTCTTTGAAACATAAAATGCTTGGGTTGAAGGAACATTAGAGATTAGGTGGCTCAGAGATTCCCCTCCATCATTTGAATATCAGAGGACCTACTATAAAGACACATGCACACGTATGTTTATTGCAGCACTATTCACAATAGCAAAGACTTGGAACCAACCCAAATATCCATCAGTGATAGACTGGATAAAGAAAATGTGGCACATATACACCATGGAATACTATGAAGCCATAAAAAGGATAAGTTCATGTCCTTTGCAGGGAAATGGATGAAGCTGGAAGTCATCATTCTCAGCAAACACAAGAACAGAAAACCAAACACCACATGTTCTCACTCATAAGTGGGAATTAAACAATGAGAACACATGAACACAGGGAGGGGAACATCACATACCGGGGCCTGTCGGGGGTGGGGGCTAGGGGAGGGATAGCATTAGGAGATATACCTAATGTAGATGATGGGTTGATGGGTGCAGCAAACCACCATGGCACGTGTATACCTATGTAACAAGCCTGCACGTTGTGCACATGTACCCCAGAACTTAAAGTATAATAATAATTTAAAAAACACGTTACTTGGACTTAGCTTAAATGAATGGGTGGGAGAAGCAGACACTAATTTCTAGATCTTAAGTTCTGGAAGAGAGCAGGTCACCAAACATGCTGCATAAAATACAAATCCTGCAAATAGACTTCTAGCCTGTCTACCTCTGCTGGAGAGTCTGAACAAATTTCTTCACCAGGGTTGAATGTGTTGCTTATTTCTTCTCTTTCCATGATGGCTCATCTCCTCCTTTCCTACTGCAACGCTTCATCAACTCACTTCATTGCAACAAGATGAATCTCAGTGTCCTAAGGTCTATGAAGAGAGGTGACTTCCTTTTTACACAATTGAACATAATCTTTATTTCAAGCTTTCATTCTACCAGAGCATAGAATCCCAATGTCAGGCCACCGAGAATTGCTTCCGAGGCAGTTTGTAAAACTTAGACACTGGGGTGGAGATGAGAATTGGATTCTGACTGGGCATCCTCTATTCCCTCAGCATTCCCCATTCCTGTGATCTATGGGCACCCCGTCCTCCACCTCAGCCCACTGTAGTCCACTTCAATAGTTTTTGGTAAGATCACTAATGCTCTCCATTGCTAAATAGAAGAGACATTTTTCATTGTCACCTTGCTAAGATACCCAGTGGTGTTTGACCTATTTTCTCCTTAAGGCACTTCTTTTCCTTAGCTTCATCAGACAGTTTTCCTCTGCTATTTCCTGCCAGTTTTTTTTTTCTTTTTGAAAGTCCATCTCTATATCTTTTAGGGGCACTTCTGTTTCTCAGGTTCTCTCCTCTCTCTCTATTTTCTTCCTAGGTGATGTCTTTCATTTCCATTGCTTCAAATACAACCCAGTTCAGATGACTTAGCATTTATATCTTCAGGCCAGAGAGAGTGTCTCAATTTATAACTGTATATTAGATGACAAACATTACATGTCTACTTAGATGTCTCAAAGACACTTCTAAGAACAAACCCAAAAGTAAATTCAGGGTCATTGTCTCCACAAAACATGTTCCTCTTCGAGTTTTTCTGCTCAGCATGTAGTATATTCTTGCCATCTCTCTATTTCACTTCTTCCCCTATACGTCAAGTCCTGTAATGCGTATCCTCCAAATGTATCTTAAATCCGCCTACATCTTATAATCCCCACTAATGACATGGACCCCTGCACTGACCTCTTATGTGGTTACCTTGTACTCACTCTTGCCTTCCTCCAATTCCTTCTCTACAGAGTAACAAGAGTGACCTCTTAAAAATGACTCGAATCCCATTACACCTTTCCAAAAATGCTTCAGAAGGCTTGTGATTGCCCTTATAATAAAGTATCTAATATTGAAGGTACCCTACAAGGACTTACATGAGGTCCTTCCCAATTGCCTCTCCTGCATCATCATCCTGCATCACTGCTCTCTCAAACATCATGGGCAAGATACATTTTCTCAATTTGTCCAGCCAAATATCTCAGATTTTTGGTAATTTCCTTAGAATGTGCAGCTTTCCTCTACTGTAATGGTCTGTAGCCTCCTGTTCACCTGGATAATAATATGCATCTGGACACTCCTACCCATACTTTGCCTTATTTAGGGCAAAATCTTCCTCAAATCCTCAAACTATACCCTTATTTTATATTCTCACAGTAGCATAAGTAGTCCATTGGTTTAATGTCTACCTTATTCGTTACTGTATACTCAGCCCCTAGCACAGTGCCTGGCAAACAGTCGACAGTTGATAAGCAATTACTGAATTTGAAAAATACAGACTTTATTAGTTTCTTACAGCTGTCATAACAAACTTGGTGGCTTAAAACAATTGAAATTTATTCTCTCGCAGTTCTGGAGTCTAGAAGTTCGAAGTCAAGGTCTCAGCAGGGTCATGCTCCCACTGAAGGCTCCAGAGAAGGCACCTTCCTTGCCTCCTCCAGCTTGTGGTGACCCTGTGCATTTCTTGGCTTGTGGTGGCATAACTCCTATCTCTGTCTTCATCTTCATATGGCTGTCTCCTCCTTGTGTCTCTCTGTGTCCTCTCTTTTTATAAGGCCCTGCCATTGGATTTAGGGCCCACATTATGTCCGGGATGATTTCATTTTGAGATCGCTAATTAATTATATCTGCAAAGACCCTATTTCCAAAGAAGTCACATTCTAAGGTTCCAGGTGGATATGAATATTGGGGATACTATTTATCTCTCTATGCAGCTCATCTCCCAATACCTCTTGCTGTTTCCGCTTTTCTTCCTCCTTCCCCCTCATCAGCTGGAGTTCATTAGAAAAGCTGGCTTCATCATTAACATTTATAGCAGGATCTTTCTCAGCTGCTCAATTAGAGCTTAATTCCCAAGATCAAAATAACACCTTAGGGGGCAAAAGTCCTCTGTGATTATTTTTATCAGTGAAACAAGAAATATCTTTAGAAAATATAGTCCAGAGGAGGGAAAGAATTACTTAGCTTCCAAGAGGCTGAAAAAATGACACACATTACTCTTACTATGTGTGCCTTGCTTCCAAACAAGAAGTGAACTTAAACATTAATATTGACTTATGTGTAAACACGGAAAAAAAGGAAGTGTGCAATTTTTGAAATCCACAATCATGTAATCAACTGTGAATAGTGAAGGGTATACAAATTATTACTTGGCCCAAAACAAGCATGAGCACTGCCAAATGCTCACTTTTCAAATGTGCTTGGAAAGGACACTATGACACGGATCTTCTCATTCATAAAAAGACCCAGTCAGAAGCACTCAGGGCACCACACTCTTTAGGTAACCCCAAATCTCTGTTTCCAACCTACTACCTGAGAAATATAAGGTAATGATTTTCATGTTTCTAGTATATGGTTATATTTTCTAGCATATTTCACACTCTGCATGCCCCCAGCCCTTGCCCTGCCACCCTTCCACCATTGCTGGTCATGTGTAACTTAAAGAAAAAGGTAACACCCAGTGCGGGTGAGCAGATGATGAAACTTACATTAAACTTCTTCCACTTTTGTGTTCTGGTGACAATATAAATGAGTACAAATCACTTGTAAAGTTATTTCAGGATATATTTTTAAAAATATAAAATTAATTGTTTAGGCCTAGAGTAAGTAAGAGATTTACATTTATTGAGCATGGCCAGGCCTAGTGTCCGACAGTGGACAGACAGAGGTCAATAAGGAATGGTTCCTGCCATCGAGGAGCTCAAGTTTCATAGGGGAGACAGACCTGTAAATAAATAATTATGAAACAGAGGAAAAGGTTAAATAATAGAACTCTGCTCTTGGTTCAGAAATAGTACCCCTAAACCCACAGACAATAACAGAAAAAAGTAATGTGTTTAATCTATTTGTGTACAAAAGCAGGAAAAGCTTCCCAGAATAGGTATCTGAACAGTTTTAAAGGATGAATGGGGATTTTTCCAGACAGTCAGTCTTGGGGCGTGGTTGGGAGAACCAGGTGGAGGGAGGGAAGGAGCAGCAATGTTGAGAAAGGAAATAGATGTGCAGGAAATAGGAATAACAGTGATTGTCCTGGGAACTATAAATTATTTTATAATATCGGGACATAAAGTAAGTTCGGTGACCAGAGAATTGACTCTAGACCTAGAAGGCTAGATAGGAAGGTCTTATGCACCATGCTAAGGACCATGATCTTAGACCAATGAAGATTTGTTGAAGAGATTTAAGCAGTGTGTAGTGGTGGTGGTGGTGGGGTGGGGGAGATCTGATCATATCTTCATATATACTCATTAATCCCATTCCTGTACTATTTCAGTACATATTTATTCCTGATAATAAAATAAAATACATTTTTCTTCCAGACACAAACATCATTTATTATATTTTGCACATCAAATTAGAAAAATATTATGTCACACTTAAAGCATAATAAAGGATTTTGTAACTACGTGGCAAAAATGATATATTTTAAGCATGCCTTACTATAAATAAAATGAGATGCAATTATAAACTGTGAAGTTATTCTTTTATTTAATTCCCTGATTTTCTATTGAATTTCTGATGGCCTATAAATAAATGTCATAGTGAACATAAAATGTTTAACAAAAATTAAAATATCTAATATTTATGGATTGCATTTGTTACTAGCATTTTTTTAAAAGAAAATATGAAATTCACCTTTTTAAAGAAAATTCTTAATTGTTACCACATTCTCATCCAGCAAAATATATTCGAGCTTTTTCTCTTGTTGTTGGTACCAAAGAATGCTCATTGTCCTCTAAGTGACTGAACCTATCAGCCCAGGAAAAATAAGTGAGTATAAATCACAAAGTTCAATTCCTTTCATTTGTATGCTGCTTTGGAATTTGTAAAGGCCTTTAACATAACTTATTAAAGCATGTGTCTGACACACAGGTATAATCCTTTGAGTGAACTGTTTGTTACAAGAGTTTAGTTCTTGCCTGGGAAGTTCAGAGTATTTGGTTCTTCAGGAACAGAATTTAGTTTGTCTGGGTTCAATCTTCGAAGCAGCATCAAGTGCTGAAACTGCTGACAGTACAACTCTTCTCAGAACGTATATGCAGTATCTGAATTCTCCATGTAAGAACAACTCCGTATTCTACCCTTCTGTATGGCTTAGAGAAGATACTAATGCTCAGACTACCAGGAAAAGTGTCATGTCATAATGGATTTGGGTTTTAAATAGTAGTTCACGTGAACCAACTACAATAAGAAGTCTGGTTCAATACTTAAAGATCTATAACTAAATTCTTCCAGTAAGGGCTTATTGGCTGCCTATTAATATCCAGCCCAGTGTTTAATGCTGGGGGGAATCAAAAGAGATGTAAGAAACTCTATAAATTTATCAAAAATTACTGAATGTGTACTTACACTGAGTAAATTGCATGATATGTAAATTATACCTCAATAAAGCTGTTAAAGAATAAGGAGGAGGAAGAGAGGGAAGGGAAGGGCAGAGAAAGGGAAAGAGATGAATCAATTTACCCAGCTGCTGCAGCGGGAATTCTAAAAGGACAAGGCAGGATGGAATAGAGTCATTTTTACCAAACTGTAATTATTCATTGGTGGCTTTTCCATGTTGCGTTATCACGTAATATCTGTATTTTAAATTATTAAATGGTTTTCTATTTTTGGCTGTTTTTTTAGTCTAAAAGCTTTATGTTCTCTTTAAACCAGCTCATCTTTTTGTGTGTACCCAAATAAACAGTAGAAAGCAAAAAAGATGTAAGAGATGTCTTTGCCCTCCAGGAGCTTACAATATATGTAAATTATTGGCTGCCTACTAGTGCCCAGCACTGTGTTTAGAGCTGGGAGGGAATTAAAAGAGATGTAAGATAGAAAGAATAACTAAGATTTTAGTATTTGATAGCACAACTGGGTGACTATAGTCAATAATAATTTAATTGTACATTTTAAAATAACTAAGAGGGTATATATAATTGGATTGTCTGCAACACAAGGAAAGGATGAATACCTGAGGTGATGGATACACCATTTACCCTGATGTGATTAATATGCATTGTACACCTGTGTCAAAATGTCTCACATATCCCATAAATATTTACACCTACTACGTACCCACAAAAACTAGAAATTAAAAAAGAGAGATGTAGTAAACACTAGGGAAGATAATATATGTAAATATAGCAAGTCCTCAATGTCATCCAATGTCATCATTAAGTTCTTAGAAGCTGTGACTTTAAGTGAAACTTTGTATAACAAAACCAACTTTACCATAGGTGAATTGATATAAACAAGAGTTAAGTTCCCACGGCATATCTGTGATCACAAAACATAACCAAACTTTTAAATAAAGACCAAAACACTTGTAATAATATTAAACTTTGAAATAAATGTGAGCTATATATACATTTAAGAAAGATGAATAACAACGAGTAAGATAATTATTTACCCAATTTTTGGTGAATCAGTAAATGGCTACCATCGTCGTGGTTGTAGGTTAAATCAAGCAATATATGTTTGCATAGCAAAAATTGTAAGGAGCACTTCCTATCACCAAGCAGTTCAAAAACAATCACAAATAGCACAGACTCACTGAGCAATTTGGTACTGCATGATTCATTGGCATGCATTTGTGTGATTATTGTAGAGTTGAAGAATATTTATTTGACAACAATTTGTATCCATTCATTTTCCAACCTGCTTATTCCAGTTCAGGGTTGAGGGTGGTCAGGTCCCATCTGGGCAGCTCAGGGCATCAGGTGGGAACCCACCACGGATAGACCACCATCCCATCACAGGGCGCCCTCACACACACCCACACTCACTCACATTGGGACTAGGGGGACACTCCTATTCACCTAATGGGAGGAAACCAGAGTACCTTGAGAAAACCCACGTAGACATGGGGAAAATGTGCAACTCCACACAGACAGTGGCCTTGCCAGGAAGCAATTTTTTTGTCACCCATGTTATAATAAAACGACATTCAACAAAATGGCATTATTTGAGGACCTATCCAGGCAAAGCAAATTTGATAACAAATCAAATCTCATACAGTTAAGTGCTATAGTTAATGAGCAGAAAATAAACATATAAATTAAGGGAAAAGTGACATTAATATGGGCTAAATTTGTGAGGAGAGTAAGTCACAGAGAAACTGGGACTTGAGCTGGACATTGCAGAATGGACAAGATTTGGAAAGTGAAAGAAATGAATTTTATCCAACATCCATCATTTATTGTGTCCTTCTTATATGCTAAACACATTATAGGCAATTCACATACAAGTGTCATATATTATCTTATTTAAATACCATAGTGATCATTTAAAGAAGTAGTACTCAGTTTACATATGAGGAAATCAGACCTCATACATGTTAATGGACATGCCCAAGGTCACACAAGTTGTCTAGTACTGCCAGATTTCAAATCCATGCCTGTCTGATGACAAAGGCAATGTTTCTTCTGGAGGAAAGAATATTTTAGATAGGAGAAACAGTGTGAGTCGGGGCATGAAGTCATGTGCATGGCGTGTGAGGAGCCTGTCCTGCTGTGAATAGAAGGTTCTTGAAAAATAACTCACCCTCTATCTCCACAGAATTACAACCTACTTATGATAGCATATCTCTCCACAGAAAGAAAAGGGGTATTTACTATTAGAAGAGAGAGAAGACTTGGATCCCAGGGATTTCTACTACCAGCCAATTGGATGATTTAAGACTATGTGGTTATTTTTAGCAGGACTATATTCTTTAATAAACTGTATTTTTCTTTGTCTCTGCAATGGAGTTGTTTCAAGTATTATGACTCTACTAGTCTACTACAATTATTTCATTATTTCATAAGCCAACTTGAGCATATGTAGGCAGAAAAGATGTAAGAACTCCCCGCCCTCTACACATATACACACATGGCTATTGGAGGGCATGAAAAGTAGGATGAGAGCATCTTTTTTTTTTTTTCATTACAGTGAAAATTTATAGAAATCTGTAGAAATTATTACATATTAGACAATGAGTACTAGACTGACAATATTATTGTTGACCCTTAAAGCAGAATGGAATTCTGTTGACTCACACCATAATTTATGTAAATCAAGCTCCCAATAACAGATGAATGGATAAAGAAAATGTGGTATATATACACAAAACTTCTCAGCCATAAAAAAGAGTGAAACTGTCATTTGTGATGACATGAATGAAACTGAAGGCCATGATATTATTAATAAATGAAATGAGACAGACATGGAAAGGCAAATACTGCATGATCTCACTCACATGTAGAATCTAAAAAGGAAGTTGATAAAGAATCAGAGAGTAGAATAGTGGTTACTAGTGAAGGGTAGGGCAGTGGGGAGGGAAGGATGGGGAGAAGTTGGTCAACAGGTACAAAATTACAGTTAGATAGGCAGACTAAATTCTGGTGTTTTCTTGCACATTCAGGTGACTATGGTTAACAGTAAAATATTTTATATTATAAAATAACTAGAAGAGAGGCTTTTGAAGGCTATCAACACAAAGATATGATAAACGCATGAGGTGTGGGATATACTAACTACTCTGGTTGGATTATTCTAATACATAGATATGTACCAAAATATTAAGTTGTACCCTATAAATATGTGCAATTATAATGTGTCAAATAAATACATAAATAATTTTTAAAATATATTATTACACTTAGTTTGGAGTTTAAAATGATACGTGCTTTATTATAAAGTTTAGAAAGTATCAGAGGACATTAAGAAGAAAATAATAATTATCCCAAGTTTTATTACCCATAAAGGGGAAGGGAAAGTGAACACATACTTATTCACATGGTGACAGCAAGGAGAAGTGAGAGCGAAGTAGGGGAAAGCTCCTTAGAAAACCATCAGATCTCCTTAGAACTCACTCACTTTCAGGAGAATAGCATGGAGGTAACTGCCCCCATGATTCGATTACCTCTCACCAGGTGCCTCCCAAGACACATGGGGATCACTGGAACTACAATTCAAGATGAGATTTGGGTAGAGACACAGCCAAACCATATCAATATTATATATAAATATATTATATAAATGTATTTAACATTTATATTATATAAAATTTAATATGTAAATGTACTATATCAAAGCATATCTTTAAATATATAGTATATATTTATATGTATAATATATATTTAAGTTTCAAATTTTTGCTTGTGTAACTCTGAATAAATATCATTTTACTGAAATAATTTTGCACATCTTCAACTGTTTCTTTAGGAAAAATTCCTGATATGTAATTGCTGGGCTAAAGGGAATGTATTATGTTTAATGCTCTTCATTCATACTTCAAAATTACATATTAGATAGCTTATATTAGTTTAAACTCCAGCCAACAGTTTTTGAGAGTGCAGCTTCTACATGTCAACTCCCAGCCCCGTTCCTCACCACATGGTTACTATATCATTAAATTGTGCATATATACTTGTTAATTTGCTATGTGAAAAGTGGCATTAATTTCATTGTAATCAGACTGACATTTTATGCTTAATTGATCATTTGTATTTCTTCTTTTGTAAATTACTTTAAAAATATTGCTGTTTTTTCATTGATTTATAAGATTCTCTCTTTGCATCAATAACGTAAATTTTGTCATATATGTTGTAAATGCTTTTTCTAATTTTCATGGGTTCTTTAATACCAAGTTTCAAGGTTTATGTAACATAATATATCAATCTTTGCCTCATGGCATCTTCCCTTCTTATATTTTAAATTTCTATAGAGAGAGGGTCTTGCTTTGTTGTTCAGTCTGGAGTGTAGTGGTGTGATCCTAGCTCACTGTAAACTAGTACTCCTGAGCTCAACCCATCCTCCCACCTCAGCCTCCCAAAAGTAGCTAGGACTACAGACACGTGCCACCATGCACTGATTTTGTAATTTTCTGTGGAGGTAAGGTCTTGCTATGTTGCCTAGGCTTATCTTGAACTATTGGGCTCAAGCAATCCTCCCACTTTGGCCTCCCAAAGTGCGAGGATTACAGGTATGAACCATGATGCCCAGCTGGCATCTTTCTCTATTTAATGTTAGAAATGTCTGCAATGCAGATGGTTTTATTTTCATATTTAATTATTTAATCTGTTTTATTTTAATTTTGTTACATAGTATGAGGTAAATATACTCTTTTTTGCCCAAGTAATTAATCAATTGTCCCAGAATCATTTAAAAATAATCCAGATTTTTACCCATTGATTTAAAACCACCAGTACTTAAGTATGTTTCTGGTCTTTCATTTCTGTCTCATTTCATTCATCTTTATGCCAGTTGTATCTCTGTTAATTAATTAGCACTGCAATGCATTTTTACTATCTTTAACAGTTTTCCCTGTTATTATTTGAAAAATAAATTATTCTAGATGAACTGTGAAATCATTATACAGATTAAACATTTACATTGTACAAATACATTATTTCCCCCTTTCTTCATTATATAAAAGGCAGCACAACTCTTATTTTTACACTATTTAGTCTCCCAGGAATGAAGTCTGTCTATAAAAATATTTCTTCATGTCCTTCATGATAGTCTTGTATGTTACATATGCAGGACAAAACATATAGGTCCTATACATTTCTTATAAAGTTTATTCTAATATACATATTTTTAGTTAATATTTCAAATGACTGCTTTTTCTAACTATATGTATATGGAACTTATTTTACTAGTAGTCATCTGAATAAATTTACCAAATCTTACTAGTTTTAATTGTCTGTGATTGGGTTTTCTGAATTTTCTAGTAGATTACTATAGTTTTTACATCTTTTAAATCAGTTTTTTCTTATTCCTGCCTTATCATCTATTGACTAGAACTCCTTGAACAATGTCAAATAAGTAATCAGTTTGTGTTCATGCCTTTGTTCTAGCTCTCATAAGAGTACCTCCAGGAATAATAAGCTACCATTTGCTGAGCTCTTACTTTATGGCTGGCATAGATTACTTAATGTAATCATAGAAACCTCTTTTAGGTAGGTTCAATTATTGTCGCCATTTTATAGGTGAACAAACTGAGTTTTATAAGTTAATTTGCACAAGATCAAATAGCCACAAAGCTACTGTTGAACCCAAAGGAGACTAAATATTGAGTACAGTTGCTTAACCACTTTAGTGTCTCATCATGAAATATTATTTTGATTGATAGTTTGAAATAGTTATTCCCATTTAATCTAATATCTTTGTATTAATATTCCTCAAATGTTTTTAAAATTTTAAATTTATAGTGAATTTTATATTCCTTTTTCATCTATTGAGCTATCCTTTTTTTTACCCATTGAGCCATCCTTGCATTCCTAGAATAAAATGATTTGACCATAACATATTATTATTTTAATATGTAGATGTTATGATTTGCCAAAATTATTTCATAAATTATCTATATCTCTACTATTATTTTTTCTGCTTGTCCAATTAAGAAAGAGATAGTGAAATCTTTCAATGTATTAGAGATTTAAATTTTTTCTCCTTCAAATAGGAATGCTTTTACACTATTGGTGGGAGTGTAAATTAGTTCAGCCATTGTGGAAGACAGTATGGCAATTCCTCAAGGATCTGGAACTAGAAATACCATTTGACCCAGCGATCCCATTACTAGGTATATACCCAAAGGATTATAAATCATTCTACTATAGACACATGCACACGTATGTTTATTGAGAACTGTTCACAATAGCAAAGAATTGGAAGCAACCGAAATGCACATCAATGATAGACTGGATAAAGAAAATGTGGCACATATACACCATGGAATACTATGCAGCCATAAAAAAGGATGAGTTCATGTCCTTTGCAGGGACATGGATGAAGTTGGAAAGCATGATTCTCAGCAAGCTAACACAGGAACAGAAATCAAACACCGCATATTCTCACTCATAAGTGGGGGTTGAATGATGAGAACACATGGACACAGGGAGGGGAACATCACACACTGGGGCCTGTCGGGGGATGGGAGGCTACAGGAGGAATAGCACTGGGAGAAATACCTAATGTAGATGACAGGTTGATGGGTGCAGCAAACCACCATGATATGTGTATACCTATGTAACAAGCTGGCACATTCTGCACTTGTATCCCAGAACTTAAAGTATAATAAAAAAAATTCTCCTTCAGGTTTTATCAATTTTTACTTTTTTTGTTTTTAGTCTATTTTAATAGAAATATGCAAGTTTAAAACTGTTATGTCTCTCTGGTTACCTAACCTCATATAATTAAGTAGTTGAGTCTTAATATTGCTTGTTTGTCTCAGAGTTTACTTTGACAATCATATAGCAAAACTAGCTTATTTTTGATTTTGAATGATATAATTTTCCTTCTTTTTACTTTTATTCTTCTTTGTATTGTATTATTTTTAGTGTATCCTTTGTAAACAGCATATAACAGGATATTTTTGTCTACTCTGAGAATATATCTTAATGAGTTTAATCTTTTTAAATTTATTAAAATTTATTATATAATTGGATATAGCTGGAATTTTGCTACCATATATATCTTGTGATTTACAAGAACCTCAGGACACTTAACTCCAACATTTCCCTTTTGAATTGAGACTATTGCTAACAATATTTTAGTTCTGCTCTTAATACATCTGCACAAATTAAACATTATTATTATTTTATGCAAGCAATGTTTACATTTACATTTTTTGGTTACTTTATATTCTCGGTATTTCTTTTTGAACATCAGATAATCCTTTCATAAATCATTTTTGTTCTTCCCGAAATGCATTCCTTAAAAGTTCCATTGGCACAGGCCTATTGATAGGAAAGTTTTCATTATAAAATTATAAAATAAGGTACTTTTATTATAAAATCAAAGGTCCATTATTTTACTCTCATTCTTGACTGACAGTTTTTCTGGATGTTGAATTCTTGGCTGATAGTCATTTTCTATCAGTGCTCTGAAATCATTATTCCTCTATTTTTTGGCTTCTTTTGCTGTTGTTGAGGAGTCTCTTGTAGTCAAATTGTTATTCCTTTGTAGGTAATCTTCCCTTCCTTTGCAGCTACTTTTAAAAAGCAGAATTTTAAAATAGCTATTGGAAATGGGATTGCTTTCTTGATTTCTTTTCAGCTAGTTTTGTGTATAGAAGCATTACTAATTTTTGTATGTTAATTTTATATTATGCAACTTTACTATATTTATCAGTTCTTAGGGTTTTTTTTAATGGAATTTTAGGTTTTCCTATATATATAATCATGTCATTTGCAAATAGGGACAATATGATGTTCTCTTTTCCAATTTGGATGCCTTTAATTTCTTTCTTTTGCCCAATTGCTCTGGATAAGATAAAAGAAGTTGAAGAGGGAACCAAAAAGAAAAAAAAGAAAAAAAAAGAGAACACTATACTTTGTTCATGGGTTGGAAGAATTAACATTGTCAAAATGACCATACTACACAAAGCAATCTACAGGTTCAAAATACCAGTGACATTCTTCACAAAAATAGAAAAAAATCCTAAAATTCCTATGGAACCACAAAGGACCCCAAATAGCCAAAGCATTATTGAGCAAAAAGAGAAAGCTAGAGGCATCACACTACCTGACTTCAAAATTTACTACAAAGCTATAAAATCCAAAATAACATGGTACTTGTATAAAAATATATACATAGACCAATAGAGCAGAATAGAGAACTCATAAACAAATCCACATATTTACAGCCAACTGTTTTTCTACAAAGGTGCCAAGAACATATATTGAGGCAAGAACACCCTGTTTAATAAATGGTGCTGAAGAAACTAAATATACATAAGCAGAAGAGTGAAACTAGCCCCCCATCTCTTACCATAGACAAAAATCAACTCAAAATGAATTAAAGACTTAAATGTAAGACTCAAAACAATAAAATTACTAGAAGGAAGGGAAATGCTTCAGGACATTAGTCTGGGCAAAGAGTTTATGAGTAAGACTTTAAAAGCATAGGCACCAAAAGCAAAAATAGATAAATGGGATCATACCAAACTAAGAAGCTTCTGTACGGCAAAGGAATAATCTTCAGAGTGAAGAGAAAACCTGCAGAATAGGAGAAAATATTTTCAAGCTATTTATCCAACAAGGAATTAATATGAAGGATATACAAGAAACTCAAACAACTCAACAGCAAAAGACAAAACAGAGAACAAAACAAAAATCAAATAATTTGATGAAAAATGGACAAAGTGTCTGAATAGACATTTCTCAGAAGAAGACATACGAATGACCAACAGGTATATTTAAAAATGCTCAATATCATTAATGATCCAGGAAATGCAAATCAAAACCACGAGATATCATCTCACCCCAGTTAGAATGGCTATTATCAAAAAGACCAAAAATAGGCCAGCATGGTGGCTCATGCCTGTAATGAGCTTTGGGAGGCCAGGTGGGGGTGAATCTCCTGATGTCAGGAGTTTGAGACCAGCTTGGCTTACATGGCAAAACCCCGTCTCTACTAAAAATACAAAAATTAGCTGGGCATGGTGGCAAGTGCCTGTAATCCCAGCTACTCAGAAGGCTGAGGCAGGAGAATCCCTTGCACCCGGGAGGCAGAGGTTGCAGTGAGCTGAAATCTCGCCACTTGCCACTGCACTCCAGCCTAGGTGACA
Source organism: Homo sapiens (assembly GCF_000001405.40). Lineage (NCBI taxonomy): Eukaryota > Metazoa > Chordata > Mammalia > Primates > Hominidae > Homo > Homo sapiens. The sequence goes on along the minus strand of NC_000001.11, from coordinate 217,285,163 downwards.
AGAGTGAAACTCCATCTCAAAAAAAAATTTAAAAAAAAAAGACCAAAAATAACAAATACTAGTGAGGATGCAGAGAAAAGCTAACTTATATACTCTTGGTGGGAATGTTAATTAGTACTGCCATTATGAAAAACAGTATGAAGCTTCCTGAAAAAATAAAAATAAAAACAGAACAACCATATGATACAGCAATTCCACTACTACCGGGTATTTATCCAAAGGAAAGGAAATCAGTGTGTTGAACAGTTATCTGCACCCCCATTTTTATTGCAGCACTATTCAATATAGTTAAGATACGGAATCAATCTAAGTGTTCATCAACAGATGAATGGATAAATACAAGTTGGTATATGTACACAATATGCACAATACAATAAAATTCATCCATAAAAAAGAATGAAATCTCGTCATTCCTGGGAACATGGATAAGCTTGAAGGATGTTACGTTAGGTGAAATAGGTTAGGCATAGAAAGACAGATACTGCATATTCTCACTCATATGTGGGAACTAAAAAAGTTGTACTCAAAGAAGTAGAAAGTAGAGTACTGGCTACTAGAAGCTGCAAAGGAGAGGGGGGATAGGGAGAGGATGGTTAACTGATGCAAAATTACTGCTAGATAAGAGTAATAAGGCCTAGTGTTCTATAACACTTTAAGAAGACTATGATTAAGAATAATTTATTGTAGTCTCAGCTACTCGGGAGGCTGAGGCAGGAGAATCACTTGAACCCGGGAAGCAGAGTTTGCAGTGAGCCGAGATTGCACCACTGCACTACAGCCTGGTGACAGAGCGAGACTCCATCTCAAAAAAAAAAAAAAAAAAAAAGAATAATTTATTGTATATTTTCGAACAGTTAGATTATAGCATTTTGAATGTTCCCAATACAAAGAAACTGTTTGAGATGATGGATAAGCTACTTACTCTGAATTGATGATTATACATTGTATACATGTATTGAAATATCACTATGTGCCCGATAAATATGTACAATTATTATATGCCAATTAAATCTAAACTTTTTAAAACACAGACTTTGGTTTTCTGCAGTGTCACTGTGCTGTGTCTGGGCATGGATTTGTTTTTATTCATTCTGCTTGAGAAATGTTAAACTTCCTGAAGGTGGGTTTATATTTTTCATCACTTAGAAAATTCTCAGCAATTATGACTTCAAATTACCTTATGATCTTCTTTTGGGACTCTGATTACTTGTATATTAAGCCTTATGTTATCATTTACCTCTCTTAATTTTAATTTCATGTTTTATATCTTCTTGTTAATTTGTGCTGCATACTAATTTTTCAGTTATATCTTTCAGGAAATTATCTCTGTATTCAATCTGCTGTTTAATCCATTCACTGATGGCTTTGCTCAACAATTATATTCCCACTTCTGGAACTCCATTTTGTCTCACTCAGATCTATATAATCATTCCTGACAATCTCCTGTAGCTGCTTACTTTCATGTGATTCCATCCTTCAGTTCTTCATGTATTTCATATATGACTATTCAATTCTGTTTGTGATGAATCAAATATATGAAGTCCATGGGAGTCTATATCTGTTGATTTTTAATTTTCCTTTTTAAAAAATGCCCCCCAATGGAAACTTGCTCACTTTTGAGCTTGATGATCTTTGTGAACTCCAAATTGCACCATCTTTATCTGTGGAGATTCTGCAGGATTAAATTGGAGGTGCTTTCCTCCAGATACAATTTATGCTTGCCTCTGCTAGGAGCAGATGGTGCCACCAATCTACACTCCCCTGGAAGGGGGTTTTGCTCCCTTCCAGGGTTATGTCTTAATGAGGAGTTGTCTAGCTCAGCTCCCACTCATTACCACTGGCCAAAGCCTTGCATCTTACTTGTAGGATGGAGGGCTGCCACTGGCATTGCTGTCAGGATAGTGTGGGTCCTCTGGCCTGTTCATAACTCACTGCTCCCAGCAGTCATTCATCTCTATGGTTGGTTCTCCCCCTTTTGAAGTGGGGTAGGGGAGAGATACTTGGAGATTTCCTTTCTTCCACTAGGTAGAGGAGTACATTCACAAGTATGTTTTGCAGAAGGAAGTTCCCTCAGTTTATCTGGTATACCAAACTTCTGAAAAGGGAAGACCTCTCTTTAAATCTTAGCAGGAAAATTATACTCATTGAATATAAAAATAAGAATAAAATTCTAGTTGTTATTGTGTGAAATGCAAATAAGATCCAGTTCTGCCTGATGCAACATATGTTGAAACACAGTAACAAATCATTTAACTCTGCCTGAATGAAAACATAAAACTTACTCCCTGTGATAAAGAAGTACCTCTACTTACAAATAGTTTAGATTTCAAAAGGCTTTTCCCAGTTCCATTTGTTAGCAAATCCAATGTGACATATTTCAATTGATGAGGGCATGGTATCTTGGTAAAGTTGAGGTTCACTTCTAGGTCTATCATTATCGTTTACCTCTTCCAACCTACTCAACATTGTCACATTTTTTACACTTGTATTACAGCGAATAACCTCAAATAAGTAGAAAAACAGTGATATACTGTAGACTGAAACTAAAACAATGGTCTATGTTTGCTAACACTGTGCTGACAGTAAAGGTAATGTTCTCTTGTTCTGGCCATAGCTTTGTTCTAGCTACAAATCTCTTTAATTCCCTTAGAGGCAAAACTAAATCTTTTAATAGTTAGTATAGATGGAGAATAGATGGAGAAATTGCAGCTCCTGGGGAAAAAAGATAAGTACAGGAAATATGCTATATTGTTCAACGTAAGTTTTTGTCAGAGCACATGTTTAACATCTAATTGCATGTAGTACTCTGCTAAGTACTGTATTACATAACCATATAGGTGTGCTCCTGGAAACTAGAAGTATGCAGTATAAATCAGCATTTATAGAGTACAATCAGGTTCCATATAACAGCATTCTGGCCAATGATGAACCAAGCATATGGCTATGGTCCTATAAGGTTACAATACCATATTTTTACTGTACTTTTTCTATGTTTAGATACACCAATACTTATCATTGTGTTACAATTACCTGTAGTATTCAGTACAGTAACATGCTGTACAGGTCTGTAGCCTAGGAGCAATAGGCTATGCCATATATCCTAGGTGTGTAGTAGGTTATAGCATCTAGGTTTGTGTAAGTATGCTTCATGATGTTCACACAATGATGAAATTACCTAATGAAGTATCTCCATCATTAAGCAAAGCATGACTGTGTGTGAAAGAACTACTGAGAGCAGAGTAAAAATATAAATTCATTCAAGAGTAAGGTGTTTATAGTATCTATGATTAACAATGTATGTATTTTGGAAGTAGATAGAAGAGAATACTCATTTTGGGAATAAAATCAAATTATAATAATTGGAAATCTAAGTTGAGCTAGGTTGACAAGAAAATATCAATAATTTTGTGCCAATTTATTCTGTGAAGAAGAGAACACTGCTTTCCACTCCTAATGTTGCATTCATTGTCATTGACATAGAAAATATTGCTGGTAAAATAGGAAAGAATGAACTGGGAATGCTCAGTCTATTGCTACCTTCCTTACTGAAGCCAAGCTGTTCACAGCAAACAGTCATTCTTCCACCTGCCTCCACCAGGACAGGTTCTTTTCTTGTCACGTGATGGGTAGTGGTGAAAGGATGGGGCTGTCATCCACCAGCCCTACCTGAGATTGGGCAGGTAAGTCTGCCAGATCCTCTTGTTCAGGTAACAGGTTGATTTGTCTCAAAATACCATGTATACTGTATTGTTCAAATTATTCTTTAACAGTAGCAAAAGTGACATTTTGGTTTCACCTGCTGACTTTTGTCTTATTCTTCAATTGGCACAGAATTCACAATGGCAAGATACATGCTATTTATTATATTATTCTTTCATCAGTGGCAGAACAGCTTAAGCATTCTTTTTGTTTTGTTTTGTTTGTTGTGTTCCTCTGGTGGGATTAGAAACCCAAATACCTCTTGTAAAATACTTTAAGAAATGTACTATGCAAGAAATGTCCTATAGTATCACCACACCCACAGAGCCCAATTCTCATATTTGAACCAATTTTTATCATGCTTTGTACAAGGTAGTAAACACATACTTATTTTTTTAATTTTAATTTTAATTTTAAGTTCCAGGGTACATGTGCACAATGTACAGGTTTGTTACATATGTAAACGGGTGCCATGGTGGTTTGCTGCACCTGTCAACCCATCACCTCGGTATTAAGCCCAGCATGCATTAGCTATTTTTCCTCAGTCTCAGTGTGCGTTGTTCCCCTCCCTGTGTCCATGTGTTCACATTGTTCAGCTCCCATTTATAAATGAGAACATGCGGTGTTTGGTTTTCTTTTCCTGCGATAGTTTGCTGAGGATAATGGCTTCCAGCTCCATCTATGTCCCTGCAAAGGACCTGATCCCGTTCCTCTTTATGGATGCATAGTATTCCATGGTGTATATCTAGCCTGTCACTGATGGGCATTTGGATTGATTCCATGTCTTTGCTATTGTGGATAGTGCTGCGATGAACATATGCATGCATTTATCTTTGTAATAGAAAGATTTATATTCCTTTGGGTATATACCCAGTAATAGGATTGCTGGGTCAAATGGTATTTCTGGTTCTAGATCTTTGAGGAATCGCCACACCATCTTCCACAATAGTTGAACTAATTTACATCCCCACCAATAGTATAAAAACATTCCTATTTCTCCACAACCTTGCCAGCATTTGTTGTTTCTTGATTTTTTAATAATCGCCATTCTGACTGGCAAAGATGTATCTCATTGTGTTTTTTTTCTTTCTTTCTTTTTTTTTTTTTGAGATGGAGTCTCGCTCTGTCACCCAGGCTAGAGTGCAGTGGCGCAATCTCTGCTCATTGCAAGTTCTGCCTCCCGGGTTCATGCCATTCTCCCGCCTCAGCCTCCTGAGTAGCTGGGACTACAGGTGTCCGCCACTGCGCCTGGCTAATTTTTTGTATTTTTAGTAGACACAGGGTTTCACCACTCATTGCAGTTTTAATTTGCATTTCTCTAATGGTTAGTGATGTTGAGCTCTTTTTCATGTTTGTTGGCTGCATAAATGTCTTCTTTTGAGAAGTGTCTGTTCATGTCCTTTGCCCATTCCTTAATGTTTTTTTCTTGTAAATTTTAAACACATACTTCTTAATTCAGCTCTTCCTCAATGCATTGCCTCAATGTTATCCATGGTGTTGCTTCGATATGTCACATTTGATGCATTACAATCCTGTAGGACAGATTTTAAGTTTGTCTTTCAAATTCACTTTGCAGCAAGAGCTCTTCTTGTTGCATCTCTAGCAGTAGTGATTGCCAGAAAGAATGTGCAGAGAGAGGCTGCATTTATCATTTCTATTATCAGTAATTTGAGATAGTTTAATGAATTCATTTACATGCTAAGTCAGGATTGAGAGAAGAACAGAGCAAAATCGTAATTTTTAAAATAATGAATGTAGGAAAAGGTATATAGATAATCAGACCATGAGAACATTTAGTTCACTGCTCAGTGTGTTTTGTCCCATTTCATCTCCGCAAAGAGCTACGTGCAGTGACAGAAACCCTTTTCCCATTTATTCTGAATGCCAATGCTGGTGTTCCTTAAACCAGTGCTGTGAATCTGTTTCCATGCATTGAGGTGATGTCACCTTCAGCTCTGTTTTGCCCTCTGCTACCTTCCTTGGATTGCTCTAACACAATGCCATGTTTCTGTCGACTGTGGCAGAAAAGCTTCCTTTGGCTTGCTAATCATCATAAGTGGGTTCCAATGAATGTTTTATTCAAGCTACTGATTCAACTAGCTGCTTTTTAAATATCAATTTCTGAAAGGGATTACTTTACAGTTGCTCCTATTTGTTCATGGGGATGACTGAATACCCACCATATTGCCAGTGATGAAACTGACTCCTGGGCTGTGTCTATTCAGTTTAACAGTTCAGTTCAACAAATATTCACTGAGCGCTTACTATGTGCCATACACAGTGCTAGGCCAGGAACAAATGCATATTTGCCTTTTTGCCAATCAAGTAAATGGTTACTTTTAAATCAATTTGATTTGTTGACATTCTAAAAATATTTTCATCTTTTTAGGTTTTTGTTTTCTACTCTATGCAAACTACAACCAACTGTCATGTTGCTTGTTACAAATTTGAAGAATTTCTTTCATTCACTTAGTGGAGATCAGTTTCTAGGGCTGCCAAGAGGGTTGATGACAAGGAATATTCACGAATGGGCAATTTGGGGATTAAAAGTTTTAGTAAATGATAGAATCGTTTTAAATTCATATTTTATTTATTTCAAACAGGAGCTACTGACATAAGATATAGATTTCTCTGATCGTGTTTTATTTCCAATTGGGTTTCCAGTCTGTGAAGTAGAACTACGTGTAAATATAGCAAGAAGTGTGTACATATATTCAGTCTGGGCTAAATACTTTGTCTAATGCAGCTGGATACTGACATTAAAAAAACAGGAGGGAGGCAAATTCAAACCCTTCCACTTTTGTGTCTCATACACACACATGCACACACACACTATAGTATAAGTATGAAAAAAATTATAACAAAGGTAAAAAAGGAATACGAGGAGAAAGGTCAATAAATATTGCTTTTAAAATACTCTATCTCTCTAACTACCATAAACTTTTCAAATGTCTGTGTTCAAACACAACATAATCATCTGATAAAAATGTAAAGCGCATTACTCATTATCTAACAAGCACTGTCACTTTTTCATTCTTTTCTAGAAACAGGAGAAATAATTTATCCATGAGTTTCTCAACATTTATTTAACATCTATGTGTCAGATTCCATGAAATGTGCTGCAAATACAAAGTAAAATCAGGTTTCTAGCCTTGGAGGATAATAGCCTGTTTGGAAAGACTTACATATAAACTCACAAAAGTGTTTTATACAATTTGTGCTATATATGGTTACTAATGGCAGTTTAAATTCAATACATTGTATATTTTGCCTTAAAATAATAAAAATGATGAATCAAAAACCAGTCAGGAGAAAGTAATCATTAGGAATTTTCTTAATTTTAGCAGCATCTTTTCCAAGGGGCAATTGTTTCTCTTTAGTTTGGTGTCTTTCAAGGTTCCCTAAAATGGTTGAAAATATATGAATATTTTATTTGCACTCCTGTGTATGAGATCTGTGAGGAGTTGTGGCTTTGTAGAAAATTCCAAGTTTATTTTACACTATTATTTTTACCACTAAAAATAGTCTCCATTTATTGAGCAAGGTATTAGTCAATTTTCACACTGCTATTAAGAACTGCCTGAGACTAGGTACTTTATAGAGGAAAGAGGTTTAATTGACTCACAGTTCAGCATGCTTGGGAAGGCCTCAGGAAACTTACAGTCATGAGAGATGGCAAAGGGCAAGCAAGGCACCTTCTTCACAAGGCAGCAGGAATGAGAAGTGCAGTGTGAAGGGGGAAGAGCCCCTTATAAAACCATCAGATCTCGTGAGAACTTACTATCACCAGAACAGCATAGGGGAAACTGCCCCCGTTATTCAATTACCTCCACCTTGTCTCTCTGTTGACACACAGGGATTATGGGGATTACAATTTAAGATAAGATTTGGCTGGGGACACAAAGCCTAACCATATCAAGCAACTATTATGTGCAAGGCTCTATACACACATTATCTTAAAACAATTTTTATTTCAACAGGTTTTTGAGGAACAGGTGGTTTGGTTACATGAATAAGTTCTTTAGTGATGATTTCTGAGATTTTGGTGTACCCGTTACCCAAGCAGTCAGTGTACACAGTACCCAATGTGTCGTCTTTTATCCCTCAGCCCCCCACCCTTTCCTCCAAGTCCCCAAAGTCCATTGTATCATTCTTATGCTTTTGCATCCTCTTAGCTTACCCCCCACTTGTGAGTGAGGACATATGATATTTGATTTTCCATTCCTGAGTTACTTCACTTAGAATAATGGTTTCCAATTCTATCTAGGTTGCTGTGAATGCCATTATTTCATTCTGTTCTGTGGCTGAGTAGTGTTCCATGGTGTGTGCGTATGTATATGTATATGTGTATATATATATATATATCACATTTTCTTTATCCACTCATTGATTCATGGGTATTTGGGCTGGTTCCATATATTTGCAATTACAAATTGTGCTATTATAAACATGCATATGCACACATTATCTTATTTAAGCCTCATAGCCATCCTAAAAAGTAGGATATTATAGAGAAGATGTCTGAGGCATGAAGAGACTGACTTTCCCAGGACTGCACAAAAAGTAAATGGTGACATGAGTATTTGAACTAAGGTCTATCTTAGTCTCCAGTCTCTGTTCTTTCCCATCAGCTCAATTGCCTCCCATTTTGTATAGAATCTTCCATGTGCTCTTCTACATTTCCAAGGAATGATGGCAATAATCCAAATAAAAGGAATGAAGTACATAGGTTATATTGACAATTTAGAAAGTTAGAAGCTATTTAAATTGTAGGGAACTATAAAAAATATCCAAATAAGGGAGTCTTCATTAATATGTATCTCTGTGTTACTGATTGTTGTTTTACTGAAATACACCTTAATCTCTAGCCCAATAAAGCAGGAGTTAGACCAGTGATTCCTTTCTACTTTTTAGCAAGATCTTCCCACCCTGGTTTGAGGAGTACAATGAGGGTAAAGGATTAAAACAAATATTAGTTCATAGTGAGAAACCTGATGGGAAACTTTAGTTCTCTGAAACAGATTGTTTCTCATAATACCCAAGACAAGGTATCTGAAAATGAGTCTGGCTGGTGGGCCTATTTATAAAGTAGAACTTTTGATAAAAATGTATCTTGCAGCACATCTGGTTTGATTTAGCAAAGTCCACAGAAACAGTGCATTTGCCTTAGCAGCTTCATCTCTAGGGATTTGAGCAAAATGAATTATCCATGAATATTATCTAGACATAAATAATACAATGTTCTTGCCTTTATTAGCTACCTAAATCAGTAGTCATGAGCATTTATTTTTGATGTGTCATGTTACTTTTCTGATGAGTCATGTTACATTACATACTCTTTGGCAGGGAAGAGGCGTGTCATTTTGCTAAAATGAGTTGCAGCCGGACATTGAAACAACCCACAAAATAAAGTACCTCGTCAGAAAAATCACCTAATCAATAGTCCTAAAATATCAAACAGCTATGATGAAAAGTACAGAATGTTCACACTGTAAGCGAGCAAACAGTTCTCATCCTGTATACTTTTTACTCTGCAGTCTCTCCAATGAGCTGAAAAGGAAAGCCAAGTTTTCAGTTCCTAACACTCTCTTCCAATATATCACTCTATTTTAAAACAATAAATCACCTCCCTTTGCTCAAATGCTAAACAGCATATCATACTGACAAGAACCTGGCTTAGAGTCAGAAAAACTTAAGTTTTGAAACCTAGACGAGCCATTTACTAAATCCGTGACTTCAGCCAAGTTAGTTGAGTTCCCCCAGCTTCTCTATCTCATATGGAAAACTTTTTGGAGTTATCATGTGTTTTGAAAGATGTAACAGAAACAAAATGCCTAGCATAATGTTTGTGGAGTCAATGAATTAGTGGGGGCTACCCTGGTACTGGTTTCTTGCTACCCTGCCTTGTATAGATACATGAGCAGGATGCCTCTCTTCATGTGTCGTGATTATTCAATTCAATCAACAATCTGTTTCCCTTTTCAGAATATCCGTCATGAAACTGTGTGAAAAAGTGGCACAGGCCATAAACTATGAGTCAGAAACTACTAATCCTGTATGTTCAGAAATCAGTCATTTGATCTCTCTGGAATCCCATTTTCTCTACAGTATGTGGGAATTGAAATTCATTCTTAAGTTTCCTCCCAGCTCTGACTTGCTATAATATTATGATTTGAACTCTCAAGACAGACAAAACCAGATCAAAGATACTTTGGGTCCCTGATATTTCCTTTAAATAATAATATAAGCTGGTTATTTTCTAGTTTGTGAACCAGGCCTATTTGATGAAAGAATCTCATAGTCAGAAAGAAACTTATCTAGTGACATGCAGTCCAGGCCCACAAGAAGGGTATAAGTGAGTGGTCAAAGAGAAAATTATGTCAGATTTAATTGTGACTTCCTATCAGTGTAGAGAATCTCCTAGATATGTTGAAAAAGAAAACAAGTTCTTTTGTAGACAAAATGAAATTGAAATTATTTATAATGATGGCTAATAGATCTTTGTGACAAAAGTTTGATGATATTAACATGAAATGCTACAAATTAATGCTAACAGTAGGATGCTATCATATTACCATTATAATAGGTCTTTATAATAAATCGATATAATAAATAGGTAAATCATAGATATTTGATAGCATCAACTGTATTCAATATTCAGTATATTCTATGACTGACATATACACAAAACACAGTGTTTATTCTTTAAGGTAAAGCATTTCACACAAAAAGTGAACATTGATTTCCACTGAGTGAAGACTTTGCCTTTAAGAGGGATCACATTTTCTGAAACATTAGATTACACAATGTTGGGAACCATGAGGGAAAATGCTGCACTATTTAAAAGCTGTGTGGGTGGTAGACTTTAGTTTCCTGAGAAATTGGAGGACCTATTTCAGTTTCAGCATTCTGGGGAGGTGATGACTTGCTAATGGGTACTTACAGTCTTGGTAATAATGTGTGTAGTGGCACATGGGAAGCCTACTTTTATCTGTAAAATAAAAGGTAGTAAGAGTATCTATTTTATAGGATTGCTATGAGGATTAAAAAAGATATAGTTTTGCATATAGTAAGTACTCAATAAATGTAAGTTATTATTAGTAGTAATTATAACATACTACCAAGGAGTACTTGGAAGTGTCCTAGAAATCGAAGTTGCCAAAAGATCTCACATCCAGTTTAAATATGATATCTTCAACCGTATTAGTGGTTTTTTTTTCGTAGATACTAAACTAAAGCGATAAAGCAGTCTGTACCATGAGAATATTCTGTGTGTACTTTAGAGTTAAGAGCATTCTCAATGGAATGTAAGCTCTGGCATTTCCTTTTTTGAGAACTCATAGATTGGAAAGGGCTGGAATAAGGGCAGATTGTGGTACGTGGAACTGTTGGAGAAATGAGTAACGTGCACAAATCTCTTAGGATCCACTGCGTGAATTGTAATGCAGGAAAGAGCAGTAATGACTCCCGATTGGCCATCCTGAGTCTAGGACACAGAGCCAAGCCAAACCATAATGAGACAATTGTCTAAAGAAGGGGAGAGGAGCCGGGCACAGTGGCTCACGCCTGTAATCCCAGCACGTTGGGAGGCTGAGGTGGGCGGATCACGAGGTCAGGAGACGGAGGCCATCCTGGCTAACACGGTGAAACCCCGTCTCTACTAAATATACAAAAAATTAGCCGGGCGTGGTGGCGGGTGCCTGTAGTCCCAGCTACTCGGGAGGCTGAGGAAGGAGAATGGCATGAACCCGGGAGGGAGAACTTGCAGTGAGCCGAGATAGCGCCACTGCACTCCAGCCTGGGCGACAGAGCGAGACTCCGTATCAAAAAAAAAAAAAAAAAAAAAAGGGAAAGATTCTTTGCCTGCTTCAGTGATGGGGAATATCACCAGTTACAGCAGAGATTGATGTAATGGAAGTATATATTTTCTTCTTAGATAAGACTTCTGGACAGTTAATTCATCTCTCAGGATTTGCTTCTGGAAATGCAGGTAAAAATAACAATCTGTTAGAAAATTTTCAAGCGTCATGATAAAAACATTTGATTTTCATCTCTCTGAGAACTGGAAAAGTATGTTTGTAGGATGTTTGCTTCTTAGACAACTATGTAGTTCAAAAATTTCATGTCTGTTTGTTAATAACAGAGATAAAGCCATTATTCACAGTCTGAATGCAGGATCAAACAACCGAAAAGCATTAATAAAATCTCAATTGAGTATACATGTACAGTAATGATTGAAGAAATAACTGAATTTGAATCAGCTCAAACTGAATTTGAAGATGAGAGAGTTGTTTCTTGAAGTGACTTATTTAAAACTCAAATTACATGGTTCCCTTAGGTGCTAATTGGGTTACTTGTAAAAAAATTTTTCTGAATTTTTTTCTCAGTATTGAACTAGGCAACTGCAAGAGGCCTCAGTTTAAAGGCATCCACAACACTTTATTGCTCGGTCATATTTGGCTTTGACTGTTTCAAGACCATCAACCTGATTCTCTCTTCTGCCTCCTGCAAGAATAATAAAGCTTCTTCTGGAGCCAGAGATGCGAAGGTATTCTCACCGCTGCTCTTGCAAAGAAAAGAAAGATTCTCTCCTCTGTACACTTGGCAGTGCTGCCCTTCAGGGACCTTCAAACACCAGTCTCTACCAAGTGCCATGTGGATAGATCTGCTCTTTTAATTCTTTAAGTGTCAATATACAAATGGATGTGTGCTATTAAATTCCATGTTAGGCTAGAACATTATCTTTTATAAATTCAAAATCCTCATAAACATTATATCTATGTGGAGTACAAGTTGGTGCTTACTAGAGAAGTTTCTTCATAGACACTCAGTTACTGGGATTTTTGGCGACTGTTTTTCATTGTTTTGAAATGATTCAGTGGTTTCCAAGGGGATCAGATGTCCTAGACTACAGCCTGTTATTTTGCTGATAAGGTCTTATAGTAGAAAAAATATTCTTAAAATACCACCTGGTGTCTTTTTAAAATTTCCAGTCGCTCCTAGAGTCTCCTGGTTGCCTACATACACATAACTTTCCACTCATATAATAGCATTCATATTTTTGAAGAGAAGGCAGATTCAGGCTTTTACCCAGCTCAGAGTTTCCAAATGAGTTTTTCAGAGCTCATAACAAAGATAATGGTCTGAAACCTCAAAGGGTTCTTTTGGTGTGTAGGAACCAAGCTGATGAAAGAGACACATTTTGAGGAAATGTAAAAATATGGTTTGCTTGGATATATCTTAAAACACAGTCTAGGAATCTTTGGTCTATGGGCTTTACATTTTCTTCTTTATTCATTGTTGAAGTCTAGTTCAGTGAATGGGCTGAGGGAAGCAGGTGCAGGGGGGCAGAGGAATGGCTTCTTTTAGCTAGAAGTGGACTGTGAATATGGGTGAATGTAGGGTTTTGGAAGATGAGGCTGAATAGAAAGCCAGAGGTCAGAAGAGGAAATGTCCTTCATGCCACCCTGAGGTATTCAGATTTGATTCTAGAGGGCAAGAGGGAGCCATTGAAAGGTTTAGTACAGGAGAGTAACATAAGCAGGTTTTCCTCTGGCAGGACTTCTCTGGTAGCAGTGAGGAGGACTTATTAAGATAGGTGAGTGACATCTGAGTTACATCATTACAAAGTTAGGAAGTATAATAATTAAGAGAAAGCATTAAAAGGGTCTCAATTAAGAATTGGAGGGAGAAAATTATAGGTCAGATTATTTAGGCATAAAATATGTGAAACCTGGTGACTGAGGATGTAGGGGAAAAAAGGAAAAAGAGGTTCATAGAAAGGCTTCAGGGCCAGGCATGGTGGCTCATGCCTGTAAGTAATCCCAGCGCTTTGGGAGGCTAGGGCAGGAGAATCACTTAAGGCCAGGAGTTCAAAACCAGCCTGGCAACATCATGAGACCCCTGTCTCTATAAACATTTTTTAAAAATTACCTGGACATGGTGGAGCATGCCTGCAGTCCCAGCTACTCAGGCGGGGGAGGCAGGAGGATCGCTTGAGCCCAGGAGCTTGAGATTACAGTGAGCTATGATCATGACACTGCACTCCAGCCTAGGCAACAGAGAAAGACCCTGTCTCTATTTTTTTAGAAAAGACATCAACATTTCCATCTCAAGTACTGGTTGCGTCATTCATGGAGCTACGAAACTGAGCTCAGAAAAAGAAGATGGCAGGGTGAAGTGGGTTTGAAGATGGTGTGAATTTCAGACATCTTATGTTTGAGGAAGCATTTGGAAGGAGGTGAGGATTTGGTAAATTTGGTAAAGCACTTTTAATTTCTTCAGGCCACAGGAACCAGGCAATTAAAACCATTTTCCAAAACAACTTCATTATATTCTGTGATTTACTATAAGCTCCCCTACGTTAGGAAAAAGTGGATTTGTGTATCTTCGAAGCATACAAACTGTCTTTGCATGACCAAAGCTGATTTTCTTGATTGAGTTCTTAGGACTGAGTTTTGAATTAGATTCCAAATCTAGTTTAATTCACCTTTTCATGAGGAAATTAGGACCTAACTTCAGTGTACCTTCAGAAGGTCATCCTTCTACTAGGGTTCCATTATTTTCTTCTTTTCTCCCTTCATCTACAGCCTAGCTATTTACACCTCTGGTTCTTACGGAACTACCCATCTTCTTTATCTTTTTTTTTCCTCTCAATATTTCTTCAAGCATTCCACAGAACAAGCTTTCATTCTATGACAAATTAGGTGATGAAAATATGTGTCAGTAATATTTGATATATTTACATGGAAAAGATAGGTACCCTTAGGGTTATAATAAGTGAATACCCTACTTGATATATTTTACACATTACAGAGGGGGCATTTATAAACTTTTTGTTTGTTATGGCATAGGTCTGTATATGCTTTCTTACACATTGAAAGAGTCTGATGGTATTTTTCTGTCTACAAGATGGTGTGCAGTTGGGTCTCAATGATGTATAGTGGGACTGATATATTTTTTTATGCTTCATGTACTAAATTTTAAAAAAGTTACACCTGCAGATTTTTATCTGTGTTCCATCAGCATAAACGCTCCAGGATCAGCACTTTTCAGTTCTCCCATGAAAAGTGATGAGGTCTTGCAAGGGCTGAAGTCATATGATCTGTCTCAGTGCTGTCTTAAACGGTTGCCAGAAGCTAGGGCATAAAGTGAGTGCTATTTTGGCCACACTTTATTGAATTCCCTCTCCAGATGCTCTGCATATTTCACAGCAGAATTAGCAATAGCAATCATTGTGGAAGATCATAAATGTCCCAACTCCTCTCTCAATCCCCAAACCAGTTCACAGCTACTACTAGCCGAAGATGATGACAAACTTATTCCATCCACCTGACAATGCAAAAAGTCCACGTGCTTGAGGGCTGTGGGACTCCAAGGGAGATAGGAGGGATGTTAGGGGAGCATCATGGGAATGCAAAAAGTTTGGCTTTAGTCTGAGACTTTTCCTTGCTCGACATTCTGTGTATTTTATAAGGCCTAAGGGGGCAGCCAATAACTCTCAACTGTGTTTCATACCCTGAGCCCCAAGCCGGACTTGTCATTTTCATTCCAAGCTCACATAATCCTCCTGCAAGCCATTGCAACCAGATCCATTTTAGCAGGTAATTTGCATAGCCAAACATTTCTTGAAAACTCTCTCTGGGGTGAATTTACCTGGGAATCTCTGAGGTGTCATCTGAAATAAAGTGACCAGGATTCTAATTTTCACTTAAAACTGCAATCTAGTTCAGCAGTTCTGTCAGAATGATGTTAATGCATACTAATATTCATAAGGGTCCATGCCTTGTGGGGAGATATATTTAGAAGTTTTTCTTTCCGTGCAGCTATTTAAGGCCTGTGGATTGGTCTCTTTATCATGGCATCCCTCAAATATAGTAAGTGACTTTCAGCAAATAAGTGCAAAAGTCAGACTAAATCTTCAGTTTTTTTTAAATGCTAGGGTTAAAGCACATGCCTGAACCTCAGGGCTCTGTGATAATCTTGATTATTGGGTATCTATTCTATGTGGCCAACATGACCTGATGATAATTTTTGCATATATTTCTCAAGTATTTATTTTCCTGATCAAGCTCCATGAAACCTTAGAGTGGAGCCCCTCTCCATCTCCACGTCCATCCGTAATTTCATACCTCCAATACATGACTCTAATATCTGCCCTCTGAAGAATTAGAAATGCTAGAAGATTCATTTATGTGAATGATATAGGAATTTTATGACCTGTATTTTTTTTAATCCTATGTCTCTTCACTTTAATTATGACTGTCGTCATGTTTAGATTTAGACTATAATCTTAGGTCCAAAAAATGTCAGATAATCTATAATAATTATTATAAATACATCCACTAATTTCCCCAGATTTTCAGGCTATTGGCTATAGTGATCAACATATTTTGGACTGTAGCCCTATTGAAAATTGTCACATGGAAAAATGGTTTTCAGGAGTTTATACAATAGATTCAGCTCACTGTATGCTTGATCTAGTTGATTAAACTATTTAAGGTGCTGATAGTAATGAATTAATGAAAGAGTGGTCAACTTCGTGTCATCAAGTTGAGCTGAGTCACATTGCTTTCCATCTTATTTTGGTTTATTTGTTGGAGTTTGACCTATAGACTTTGTTTAATTATAGAGCAAACATGTTCTGCCATCCTTAAATCTCTCAGAAGAAAATCATACATTCTTCAGCCTAGAAGCTATCTTGAGAAATCGCCCAGTCCATAAATTGCCTTTAGGCAAAAATATACCTAAATCAGTCTATGTGATTATATTTTAAGCCTCAAAAATAATTTCACAGCTACATGTGATGCCCATTCCTGTTCCCTTTTCTATATCTAGAATGGTGTGTCTTCTCTTCTCTAAGGGTTCTGCTTTCCCTTCATTACTGACAAATGTACACACACACACTCCCGTGTACTATACCCTACAATTGTAGCCCATTTCCTGTGGTTTTATCCTTTACAGAAACCTTTGTATACAACACTGACTTTACAACAGTTTAAAACACATCCTAGTTTTCTTACCCAGGTTTCTCCTTTGGCTGGGGTTGTGAGAATGTTAATGGTGAATGGTGTGGGGTGAAGTGAAGTCCCTGTTATCACGCAAGCAATTGCTAACTGTGGACCTCTGACTTTGTAATTTGTTCTTTATGGACTCGCCTGCAGCCAATAAGCAAAATCAATAGTCTTTGCTGAAAAGTAAGCAAGTGCCAGTGTGTTATGTGACAGGTGAAGATACATGTGCTTACCAGGGGTCAGGGAGCCACATCAGATTTCTCTCTGACTTCTTTTCAAAAAGCTAAATCCATTTAGGGAGCATTCGTCATTGGAAAATGTTGCAGCGGAGAATAAGAAAGGCTGCTGTTCTTCTTTTCTCATTTAACGATGTTTGTTTTCAACAGCCTGTTCAATAATGTCACTGGGAAGAAATTATGTGAGAAGAATAAAGTGCTTAGAGTCTATTTATTTATTCATTCATTCGTTTTTGTAGAATAACACTAGGTGTTTCTTTCTCATGTATATTAATACAGCTGCAGTTGTCCAACCATTTGTTTGTTCTATTCTTTTCCAAGAAATAGGTAAGTCTCTTTCTATTGCCATGGAATTGATTACCTGTGGTTTAAGTCAGAGGGAAGGTTATATGAGCTTGATGGGAGACATACATATCTCTAAGCCAACCTTATGGAGGGATGTAAATCTACTCAATAATTCGGCTTCTGATAAGATGCCAAGATCCTTTTCCATTTTCTCTTCAGAACCATCAGACATCAGGCAATTTTGGAGAAGGATGTAAAATAAAAGGCTAATGAGAGAAAGATTCAAAAGAACTAAAATAAAATAGGCTTTTAATCTTTGATATTTTATCACTGCACTTCTCTATTTGGCTTCTTGTACTGCAATTTGTTTGAATGTTCAACTCAGAAAACAGGATTTCATTCACAAGTAGGATTTCTTAACTTGGTATTAAATTGATACAATAAGTGAACAGGGGATTTTCTTTCCCATTTCTTATTCAGGAGATTTTAAGGCATCTGCAAAAGACCATGAATCAACATATCTAGCATTTATCAGGCAGGGGTGTCAAAGGAAGAAAGAGCTGACTAACAGCCATGTGGCTGCCCATTGGCAGTGTCTGAGCATGTGGTTTCATGTGGCATGGGAGTCTCCTATTTTGACTTGGAAATTCTCAAGGAAAAATTAAATTTAGGACATGTTTATGTAGAATACAGCTTGACTTCAATGGTTTCTGTGGTTCTTAGTGGTAAATTTGATTTTGATTATATTTTACAATCATAATCAGTATTTATTTTTGTAGTCATGTCATTCCAAGGGCAGACATACATGGTTTATTAAGAACCATTACAAAAACTAAGATGATACCACAAGAACTGCTTGTATGTATGTATGTATGTATGCTTTTGAGACAAGGTCTCACCCTGTCACTGTCACCCAGGCTGGAGTACAGTGGTGCTATCATGGCTTACTGCAGCCTTAACCTCTTAGGCTCAAGGGATACTCTTGCCTCAGCCTCCAAGTAGCTAGGACTACAGGCACTGGCCAGAACAGCTGGCTAATTTTTTAATTCTTTCTACAGATGTGGTCTCTCTATGTTGCTTAGACTGCTCTTGAAAGGCTGAGCTTAAGTGATCCTCCCACTTTGGCATCCCAAAGTTCTGTAATTCCAAAGGGATTGCAGGTACAAGCCACCATGCCCAGCAAGAGCTGTTTTAAGTGTACTATGGGTTACTTTGAAATCCTCTGAGAATTCAAATTTCTATGGCATCAGAATTGATGCTCAGTAAGATTACTGGTCATCTATTACATGAATTCATTACAATGAAAATTCCTGCCTGCCAAAAGGATATGTAACATCTATCTAATATCTTGTGTATTTCATGTTATATTTAACATTACAGAATTCCAGTGTGTGAAGGTAATTTGAGCAGTATTTTAGAGCACACTGGAGCTCCTGCATTTAGACAGAGTATAGACATTTTTCCTCAACTGGAGTGTAAATTCCTCGAGAGCAGGGACTGTCTTACATTTTTTATATTCCATATATTTCAGCTATCTATTCAGAGTCTTTTATGAGCAAAATCTGAATCTGATTTTGAGGCTGACATATATACAAATTTATCTACTATGTGTATATGTAAAATATGTATATGAGTTACATAAGGCTATGCCTGTCAATGTAACATAATTTGTTTTTGAGTTAGATAAAGCTATATATACAAGCTTCATTTTCAAGAACATATTACCATATTCATTTTGTATTTATGTTTTTAAATAACTATGATAATAAAAAATGGGATAGAAGTCTTCTCTAAGGGAGTTTAACACCCATTCCAGTAAGTTTCCCTGCTACATCAACATGAAGTAATTGTAGAGAGACAAATACTCTTATAATTTTTAGATATATAAATTGCTAGAGAGAATATAAAGCTTCACTTTCCAATATTCACTTGGCAATTGAGCACTTGAAATGTAGCTAGTCAAAACTGATATGTGATATAAGTGTAAAATACACACCAGAGTTGAAAACTCAATGTGAAAAATATGTTAAATATCTCATTCATCATTATTTTATTGATAAGATATTTAAGTGATAATACTTATTTATGTTATATTTAATAAAATAGACTAATAAAACTAATTTCATGTGTTTCTTTTAACTTTTTGAAATATGGCTACTAGAAAATTTAAAGTTTCATTAGTGGTTCTTATTATATTTCTATTGGGCAGATTTGATAAAGTGTGACTTATCCAGGTTAACACAGGTTGACAGATCCAAATTGCCACATCAGATCTACTTGACCATTGACATAAATATCATTTCCTGTTTCTCTTTGCTATAATTATAAGATCATATTTTTTGTATTTTTTCCTTCAAAAAAGGCATCTAAATAAATAGCTCATGTGGTTAAATATTTCATTTTTTTATGCTTCTTACAAAAATGAATTTATAAACTGAACCAAAAGCTTTGTTTGACCTAGTGTTCTGAGTTTTGTGACATAAAGAAGGAGATTCACATGAAGCAATTTGCAACCTTATTCATTGATAAATAGAAAGCGGCTGTAGGTTTTTCCCCGTTAATAGTATTTACTTACCTACTTGCTGTCGTCGTCTTCCTCCTCCTCCTCCTCCTGTGACCCAATGTTGTTTCTTCATGATTATCCTCAACATCACTGCACCCTGTTTCACTCCAAATGATCTAAATCAGGGTTTTCAGATTTTAACAACTCTGACATTGGGAAGCAACTTATCATCAATGACATCATGAGCACTGTGTTACAGTGTAATTGACAACATTTTTTCTTTCCTAGAACTAGGTAAAATAATGCTCCCATCTATAGCTGATTGCATTTTAGATTTGTTGAAATCTGGTAAATCATGTAGAGAACATTTATAAAACACAGCTTTCAGGGTATCATCCTATGCACAAGGAACCATACTATTTGGATGGTGCGGCATGGTAGTTTGCTTTTGTTAAGCACTGTCAAAGTGATCCTGCTGTAGCCCTAGGACCAGCATTTCAAGAACCACTGATCTCAACTCTTATTTAACACAGTGTGGGTACCCTGACCAATGGTGTCAATTCAGTCCAACTAAAAAACAATCAGTTAACCAATGAACAATTTTTGCCTAGTACCAGCAATTGCTAGTTACTGAGAAAGCCATTAAAAATGGGTAAGATAGTCTTTTTTTTTCCTCAAGAAATGTATAACTTGCCTTTTACATTGCACTGGAATTTTTTTAAGTTCCAACATTGTCCTGAAGCTCAAATGTTATATCCCTTCTGCTATTCTAGATAATAAAAAAAGAAGCATTGTTCAATGAGAAGTTGACTACAACCTTTGTGAAGAGACAAGATTGTATGATGACCATTCTGGAGCAAAAGGTGCCTTTTGGTTAGAAGCAGAGACTGCAGGCCCACACTTATGGCAGTGATGTAATCTGAAAGCTAGATCACAGGAGCAGCACAGGAGGTAATGAGTTCCCATTTTTGACTTAATTAAGACTTTAATGGTTATAAGGACCAAAGACTCCCCTTAATTCCACACCAACCGAGGATAGCAATTTCAATCACTTTTATAATGTTGATGCAAAGGTACAAAAAAAGAGGAAAAAGCCTGACGGTACTAAGGATCTTGTGTTATCCAGGTCACTTTAAGCCCAGGGCAAGGACAACATTACTATCCCATTGCTTAAGTTATCTCCTAACTCTAACCTAGCTGCTTGATGTAGAGCCATCAACCCTGCAGGGCCGTTTGGAGGAAGATGAGAGTTCACAGTCACAGAAAGGGAGCTGGAATGTGACACACTCTGAGAATGCAGGCAACTATCCTCAATATCTTATTGTATCTTATTGCAGGGACTAGAAGGCCACTTATGTGGCATCCATTGAAGAGTGATAGGAAGGAGCACTAACCCTTCCCACGGAGAGTTTTCTCTTCGTCATGTTGAAGATGCTTGAAATTTTCTATTGGAGATTCCTTTAAGATATTTTCTCCCCTTGCCTGAAAATGCACTTAGTATATGGGACATATTAAACTATCATTAGTTATCCATACCTTGAACTTAAATACTTACTAATCCACTAAACAATTATTTATTGAACCACAAGATGGGTCACATACTGTGTGAGGCACTGGGAATATAACGCGAAGGAAAAGTAGATACAGCTTCTGATCTCATGAGGTCACAGTCTAGTAGTAGAAACAGGTACCGACAGAAAAAAATTGCAGCAATAAATGGCTGATCATAAACTGAGGTAAATAAAAGAGCATCAGCTTATGTGTTAGTCACTAATAACCGGTAACAAGTGAACTTAAAACTAAACCAAGAAAAAAGGAAGGAAAGCTTCTTTGAGGAAGTGACCATTGAAATACATCTGAAGGCTGGGCTCGGCGGCTCATGCCTGTAATGCCAGCACTTTCGGAGACTGACGTGGGCAGATCGCTTGAGTTAAGGAGTTCAAGACCAGCTTGGCCAACATGGTGAAACCCCGTCTCTACTAAAAATACAAAAATTTGCCTGGCATGGTGGCGCGCGTCTGTAGTCCTAGCTAGTCAAGAGGCTGAGGCAGGAGAATCGCTTGAACCCAGGAAGCCGAGGTTGCAGTGAGCCGAGATCGCACCACTGCACTCCAGCCTGGGTGACAGAGCAAGACTCTGTCTCAAAAAAAAAAAACAAAAAACAAAAAACAAACAAAAAAAAATGAAAGAAAATATATCTGAAATAAGCATAAATATAAGTAGAAATTGACTAGATAAAGAAGGAGGGCAGTGCTTGAGCCTAACTGGGATAGTTTCAGCCCTCTAAAAGACAGGTTTTAATAGGTTTTACTATTAACACATCAAGGAGAATGGTAAATCTGCTGAAACATGAAAAATATCTTTGACAGGTTATTTCTCGAGTATTTGTGAAATAAAATTTTACATATTTATAAAACATTAATTTAACCGTAAATAGTAAGTAGAATGTATTTAAGGGGGCAGAGAGTAAAGCTCAGACAATTAAAATCTACAGGTAATATGTATATTTATTTTAGAAAACACTTTGCTTCCTTCTTTGAACCAGAATTTTTCTGGAGTATATAAAAATAATAAGTGCATGTGTGCATGTCTGTGGCAAGTGTGTGTGTGTTTGTGTGTTCAATTTCTAGCACAGAGGCTGCTAAAATAAGAAACAACTGGTCATCGGGGGAAGGATAAAAGAAAAGACAAAAAGCTAGAAGAGAAAGGATATAAGGGTTTAGAAAATTTATTCGCCATGGTGGTAGGAAAAGTCAAGTTTCTGGGGAAAAGGAAAAATATGACATTCTAACAACTAATGGTTGGACAGATTGACGCTGTTCAAAGAGTAGAAATTGAGGCTATTGAGTCATTGGTGCTGCCATGCATCTTTTGAAAAGGGACACATGCAAAGACTTATCTTTTTTCATAAATGAATTGAATTGGTTTAAATTATGTATAGCAACAATGTCTCGTCTTACGTGCCAGGTCCTATAGATGGAAGACCAATACCTAAGAGCATTGAATACAGGCTACGGAAACCACGTCTAGGCTTAGTAGGAAACAGCACACTGATTAGCAATGCCTATCACAGACAAGAGAATTGCTTGTCTATGAGAACTTTTGTCATCCTTGCTCTATATAGTCTCATTCACCTGAATTTTACATGTTTTACCTTTTTTTTTTTGGCCACCTAGAGCTATTCCAAGAGACAGAAAAGAGGAAACCATTTTTAACATCTTTAATAACTGTCATTATTACACAAGCAATATTAGCTCATCAGGGTTTTTTTTTCCTTTAATGATTTTAGAGAGGAAATAAAACCAGCAAACAACAAAGGCAATTTCCTTAACATAAAGATGAAAGTTTTAAAGAAATTTGCATTTCCATTGTTGAGAAGTGTCAGGCCTTTTTTGGACTCAAATCCGCTATGTCACACCAGGGCAAGAAGGGTAATGTTTATAACATCTGAATCTCTGAACCAGTGACTACAAGATATAAGTGTTACTTAGCTGAGATGTGAATAAATATTTATAACAATGGCACATGCATAGCTAATTGAGTGACTTTTGTTAATATTAAACTAGATATTCATGGACATGTGCCTTTTTCTATAATGAAAATATTGCCTTGGGCTAGTTTTGTTTTTCTTGTCTAGAACAATTTATGTGCTTTCACTGAAATGAATATAAACTCCTATTCTCATGACAAAAGAATTCACCGTTAATTTG
This sequence comes from Homo sapiens, assembly GCF_000001405.40. Lineage (NCBI taxonomy): Eukaryota > Metazoa > Chordata > Mammalia > Primates > Hominidae > Homo > Homo sapiens. Next base: position 217,261,717 of record NC_000001.11, on the reverse strand, counting down.
AGTAAAGAATTTCTTTATTCCCTTTGTAGTATACTTTATTGAGAAAGCAAAGCCTCAATGTATCTTGAAATTTTGTTCATGCATTTTATTTAATTTCAACAACATATTCAATGTCTATAAATAGAGATTTCTAGGATTATTAGAACCAGATGTATTGTTATCAAGTTCATAAGAGATTTTCTTTCAATTAATTTAAAAAGTAATAAAAGCAAAGCAAAAAAGCAAAGCAAAATAAAATTCCTCTGTGGTGGTTTGTGTGAAGTTTGAATCCAATATTTTCCTCATTTCCTCAATCTTTTTTTCTCCCTTCTTTTTCTTCTCCTCTTCATTATTCCTTACGTGCACTGCAATATATATTTGGTTTGGTTTTTTTTTTGAGACCGGATCTTGCTCTGTCACCCAGGCTGGAATGCAGTGGTGCCATATTGGCTCACTGCAACCTCTGCCTCCTGGGTTGAAGCGATTCTTGTGCCTTGGCCTCCCAAGTGGCTGAGATTACAGGTGTGCACCACCACACCAGGCCAATTTTTGTATTTTTAGTAGAGACACGGTTTCACTATGTTAGCCAGGCTGGTCTTGAACTCCTGGCCTCTCAAAGTGCTGGGATTACAGGCATGAGCCACTGCACCCATCTGGTATTTATTTTTTGTTGGCTGCTTAGCATTTACTCTCTCTTCTTAGTAGGACCTGACTTCCTTTTGAACAATGAGCTCTTCCTTATTGTGATCAGTCCTGCCTCCTACTAGGAAATCTGGGCTGTTGAATCTACTGTCTCCCTGCTACTGGCGTAATCAAGGGAGCTGGCAATGACCTAACTTTGATCAATTAGATATTCTTCCTGAGAACTTTGGATGATAAACAAGGTAGGCATGGCCAGAATGAGCTCTTGCTGGTCTTCTATCCAAGAGCTATGGTGGCAGCATCTTGACCAGCCTGTTCCTGCTAATGAGTTGGTTGCTCTATTTCTTGCTTCCTAGACCACCAAACTTCCTTAATTTCTGCCCATTGACCAGCCCTTTTTTCCTACCTCCAGCCAATTTAGTGAATCCCTAATATCCTTCCAACAAATTCCTTGCAGCATAAAGTAGCCAAAATCTAAGAAATGCTGACACAAACTCATCTATTCCCTACTCTGTTCTCTTTCTTTTAAGTGATGCATTCATAGCTCAGTCATTGGAGTTATACAATAGTTAGATCTCAGATTGCCAATACATTGATCTATCCCCTAAAATTTGCCTGATATGGTCTCAAGAAAGATTTCTGTGACCTGACTAATGTACTAAATACAAGAGCATATAAAATTCACAGTGTGATCCAGGGTTTTCTCCAGTTCACAATCACTTTGTAGTGATGGTAATTGAATTGAACTTGAAGGTGTTTAAGTAATTAGACATATCCTGTCAGAGCCTCAGTGTCACTCATTTGTTGTTTTCAGGGCGTAGGAAACCAAGAGAGGATCCATAAAAACATAGAAAAAATACAAAGGCGTTGGTTGCTATATAATCTGTTATTTGGGCCTTCCAAATATAGTGATTTCCTAATTTGACTGGTAATAAAAATTACTTAAGATCTTCTGTGCAAATGCAAATTGTGTATGCTGGCCCCATCTCGGGTGTTCTGAGTAACTAGATCTGGGGTGGGATCAATATTAGCAAATGCTTGCACTCCAAGAGAGGAAGACTGTAGTAGAGGTGATTCAAAAACAAGATGAATTCAGTGATTCAAAGGAGAAAATTTGATGTTACAAATTAAAGCATTAATAATGGGAAATGAATAGGAAGGAATGAATTTGAAATTTATTTAGGAGGTAACATAAGCCAGTCATGCTTATGATTAATTTAATGGAGTTGAAATAAATATGGTTAATCTTGAATTCTAGGTTTTTAGATTGTTCAGTTGGGTAAATGGTGGTTCCATTGCTAAGGCAACAAATAAGGGAAAAAGATTTAGGAAGAGGTGTGTTTGAACTTAATGAGGTAAAAGTTTTTGTGTGATAACCAGGAAAAATGTTCAGCATGAATGTAAGGTCCAAAGATCAGGTTAAAGATAATGTCTAAGGATATAAATTTGAGTACTGACTGCATACAGGTAGTTCTAATCATACGAAGGATAAGATCATTCAAGGAAGGTGTGGGAAGGCAAGCGTGCTGAGCCAGAATCAGGATTACTAACATTTAAAGAGCATTAGGAAAGGAACCTGGGAGGAAGAGGTGAGTATGGACAAAGGAGAAGAGAGTACTATGAAATAGGAAGCAGTTACATTGTCAGATACAGTGAAGGTTCATGAGCATAAAGACTGAAAAGTACAGGTTAAGTCTGTAGAAGACCTCCATATATTTTTTACCAAGATTGTCAGGTGAAATTTTGAGAGCAGACTTTGGGTAGAAATGGGTTAAGGAATCAATATAACTATACATGTAGGCAATTCTTTTAAGAATCGTCATGTTTTTTATTCATTTCAGATCTTCTGTCCCATGTATAGGCCAATTCTGCGTTCACAAAAGTTCAAGCATCTGAATTCAGGATAACTATGCCATGAGATACTACCATGGTGTGTTCAACTCAAAGGTAGAGATGGTCACCAAAAATTTACGCTCCCTCTTTCATGGTGTAGAGTTGTTTCTGATTGATAACTGTGCAGCCATAGATATTTTCAGAAGCCTTTGTATTTAAGTGTGGCTATGTGACTAATTCTCAATGTAATATAATAGAAGCAATAGTTAGCACTTCCTGTCTAAGGTTTTAAGAGGCAGGATTCTCCACTCTTTCCTTTTCTTTTCTTTTTAGAGTTGGGGTTTTGCTCTGTTGTCCAGGCTGGAGTGCAGTGGAGTGATCATAGATCACTTCAGCCTCAAACTCCTGGGCTCCAGTGATCCTCTTGCCTTGGCCTCCTGAGTAGCTAGGACCATAGGTGTGCACCACCACACCTGACTAATTGTTTTTTTATTATTATATTTTAAGTTTTAGGGTACATGTGCACAATGTGCAGGTTTGTTACATATGTATACATGTGCCATGTTGGTGTGCTGCACCCATTAACTCGTCATTTAGCATTAGGTATATCTCCTAATGTTATCCCTCCCCCCTGCCCCCACCCCACAACAGTCCCCAGTGTATGATGTTCCCCTTCCTGTGTCCATATGTTCTCATTGTTCAATTCCCACCTACGAGTTAGAACATGCGGTGTTTGGTTTTTTGTCCTTGTGATAGTTTGCTGAGAATGATGGTTTCTAGCTTCATCCATGTCCCTACAAAGGACATGAACTCATCATTTTTTATGGCTGCATAGTATTCCATTGTATATATGTGCCACATTTTCTTAATCCAGTCTATCATTGTTGGACATTTGGGTTGGTTCCAAGTCTTTGCTATTGTGAATAGTGCCACAATAAGCATACGTGTGCATGTGTCTTTATAGCAGCATGATTTATAATCCTTTGGGTATATACCCAGTAATGGGATGGCTGGGTCAAATGGTATTTCTAGTTCTACATCCCTGAGGAATCGCCACACCAAATTCCATAATGGTTGAACTAGTTTACATTCCCACCAACAGTGTAAAAGTGTTCCTATTTCTCCACATCCTCTCCAGCACCTGTTGTTTCCTGCCTTTTTAATGATCACCATTCTAACTGGTGTGAGATGGTATCTCATTGTGGTTTTGATTTGCATTTCTCTGATGGCCAGTGGTGATGAACATTTTTTCCTGTGTTTTTTGGCTGCATAAATGTCTTCTTTTGAGAAGTGTCTGTTCATATCCTTCGCCCACTTTTTGATGGGGTTGTTTGTTTTTTTCTTGTAAATTTGTTTGAGTTCATTGTAGATTCTGGATATTAGCCCTTTGTCAGATGAGTAGGTTGCAAAAATTTTCTCCCATTCTGTAGGTTGCCAGTTCACTCTGATGGTGGTTTCTTTTGCTGTGCAGAAGCTCTTTAGTTTAATTAGATCCCATTTGTCAATTTTGGCTTTTGTTGCCATTGCTTTTGGTGTTTTAGACATGAAGTCCTTGCCCATGCCTATGTCCTGAATGGTATTGCCTAGGTTTTCTTCTAGGGTTTTTATGGTTTTAGGTCTAACATGTAAGTCTTTAATCCATCTTGAATTAATTTTTGTATAAAGTGCAAGGAAGGGATCCAGTTTCAGCTTTCTACATATGGCTAGCCAGTTTTCCCAGCACCATTTATTAAATAGGGACTCCTTTCCCCATTGCTTGTTTTTGTCAGGTTTGTCAAAGATCAGATAGTTGTAGATATGTGGCATTATTTCTGAGGGCTCTGTTCTGTTCCATTGGTCTATATCTCTGTTTTGGTACCAGCACCATGCTGTTTTGGTTACTGTAGCCTTGTAGTATAGTTTGAAGTCAGGTAGTGTGATGCCTCCAGCTTTGTTCTTTTTGCTTAGGATTGACTTGGCAATGCGGGCTCTTTTTTGCTTCCATATGAACTTTAAAGTAGTTTTTTCCAATTCTGTGAAGAAAGTCATTGGTAGCTTGATAGGGATGGCATTGAAGCTATAAATTACCTTGGGCAGTATGGCCATTTTCATGATATTGATTCTTCCTACCCATGAGCATGGAATGTTCTTCCATTTGTTTGTATTCTCTTTTATTTCATTGAGCAGTGGTTTGTAGTTCTTGAATAGGTCCTTCTCATCCCTTGTAAGTTGGATTCTGAGGTATTTTATTCTCTTTGAAGCAATTGTGAATGGGAGTTCACTCATGATTTGGGTCTGTTTGTCTGTTATTGGTGTATAAGAATGCTTGTGATTTTTGCACATTGATTTTGTATCCTGAGACTTTGCTGAAGTTGCTTATCACCTTAAGGAGATTTTGGGCTGAGACGATGGGGTTTTCTAGATATACAATCATGTCATCTGCAAACAGGGACAATTTGACTTCCTCTTTTCCTAATTTTTAATTTTTTTTTTGGAAACAGAATCTTGCTATATTGCCCAGGTTCGTCTCAAACTTCTGTCCTCAAGAGATTCTTCTGCCTTAGCCTCTTGAGTTCCTGGGATTATAGGTAGGTGCCACTGTACTTAGCTCCCACTCTTTCCTTTTCTATCAGTTATATGCAACCAAGTTCAAGACTCAAGGTCATAGCAAAGCACAGGGTGGAAGGAGTCTGTGAATCCTGATCATTCAAGAGGAAAGCCACCAGCCAGCTAGGAACATCTGTGTTATATTACCAAAATCTTAGTACTTATTTGTTTTATCAGCTTTAATACAAACCATATCTAAGCATGATATGGACCAAAATTTTAGATAACTGACTTATAGCTTAAATGTATTAAATATAAGGATGTGTTGGCATCATATAAATGTAGGAGACAACATTTATTTGATGGAAATCTGAGATAATGTGGTCCATGGTCCAATTCGTTGTTTACAAACTTTAATAATTTGAAGTTTAGTGATGCTATTCAAAGGCAACAAGTGGTATTAAGCACTAAATTAACTAATCAATTAATTCAATTCAGAAAGTAAATTGAGATGGTCTGGTAAATAAAAGACAACTCTTTCCACTAGATGATTAAAGCTTAAAGGTCCACCAACTATTATTTTCCTTGTGGGTTATATTAAGATATCATCAATCCATTATTTCTGTTCAGAGAAGAGAGATAATTGTTTGATAGTATGCTTATGTGCCAAAAGAACAGATGTTTTTGTTTCTTAAATGCCATCTTTAAAAGTAATGTAAGTGTTTGATCTGGAGCCAAGGTGACCACATATGGCTCTGCCCTCCACAAGGGTGTGAGATTGAGGAGGTGAGTGAGGCTAAAATCTTTTCCTGCCTCATTCACAAACAATGGGTCCAGACAACAACTGTGTCTATGCAAAAGAAGAGGGCATCTTTTTCTAATTTTTACAAAAACACCATGTGGGGAAGCAATGGTCCTTGATAGTGACCTTTTTTCTCCTCTTAATCTTGGAGGTCATTACGTACTAACACAGTTTTAGTTTTAGTAGTTTTAAAAGTCTGACTGATGGACATATTGAGTTGCTTTCAAACATTTGCTCTTATAGACAATACTCCATTGAACATCTTTGTACATGTATATGAATATTACTCTAGAATAAATTTCTTAAACTGGGATTGTTGCATCAAAGAGCAGATGTATTTGTAATTTCTATAGGTATTATCAAGTTGCATTCCATAAATGGGTTAATTTACAGCCCCACAAGCAACATATGAGAGTGCCTGTTTACTCACACCTCCAGACAACCAATGTGTTATCAAACTTTTTGATCTTTAGTAATTTGATAAGTGAAAAGCCCCTTCTATGGTAATTTTACTTTTAACTACTTTATGAAGAAGAGTTCTTTTTCATATGTTTAAAAAGCAGTTTATGTCCTTTGTAGTTAACTGTCTTTTTTTTGTATAACAAACTTTTGTACATTTTATTTTCAACCTTTCTTTGTCAATGTGTTTTGATGGTTTTTTTTTTTTTTTAGGCAGGGTCTCACTTTGTCACCCAGGCTGGAGTGCAATGGTGTGATCTTGGCTCACTGCAGCCTTGACCTGCTGGGCTCCAGCGATCCTCCCACCTCAGCCTCATCGAGTAGCTGGGACTACAGGCATGCGCCACCACACCTGGCAAATTTTCATATTTTTAGTAGAGATGGGGTTTTGCCATGTTGCCCAGGCTAGTTTTGAACTCCTGAGCTCAAGTGATCTGCCCACCTTGGCCTCTCAAAGTGCTAGGATTACAGGCATGAGCCACTGCGCCTGGCCTTATCAATGTATTTTAAATATGTGTTTATTGTATATATCATATGGTTGGATTTTATATTTTGATCCAATTTGAGAGGCTTTATGTTTTAATAGAAAAGTATATCCCATTTATATTTACTGATATAAAATATACCTTTCAGTTATGGAACTGTTACCTTTTAATGTTATTCTTATTTTTGTGCTTTTATTCAATCTTTTATTCTATGATTCGGATTTTCTTTGTGCTTTTTAAATAAAGGTTCCTTCTGAAAGCTTGCATTCTGTCTAGTGATATAATCTTAGAAATTATAAATTTAGAACAAATTTTTAAAAATATTATAAACATTGTTTCTTTAGGCAACATCTATCTCCCTACATCAAACGATGGCAAAATTCCTATATTTGTATTTCTTCCTAACTCCCATTATTCCTCACTTGATTTTAGCTAATTATATTATTGTTTCATAGAGCTTTCCTATGTTTCTTTAAATATATTTAAACATATACTACTTTATTTGTTTGGTTGATGTCTTTTGACACTCACCTTTTCTCCTCCACTATAAAGGTTGAGGAAATCAGCCTACATATATGGCTTTCCTCTTTTTCATCCCTCTTCTACTTCACTATTATTTATTGTATTATGTTGTTTCTATTGAAGTGATATTAGAGAGAAGAAAAAGAAAAGCCTTCTTTACTCTGCTGTCTTAGAAGTTCTAATCCATCTTTGTCTACTCCCCAGTACCAAGAACATTACTCTGCATGTAGTAATTACACAACAATCTAAAATACTAAGCTTGACCTGTTCATGGTTGAGCTGGCCTGGAAGAGTGATCTCATCCATTTGAATATATCCACTCAGTTATATGCAGCACTAAACAAAAATTACAGGCCTTCCTCTATAGAGGCAGGGCATTTACCCCCTGAGCTTAGGCTGTGGCCAAGAGTGGACCAGTGCTCATGCTCCCTGCTGGCAGACAGATCCCAAATGTGACCCTCAACAAGAGCTGAACCATGCAGTCCTTGTTCCTCCTCCCAAAGTCACATAGTGGTGGGGAAGAATGAAGGGAGAGTATAAGAGAGGCCAGGAGTGTTTTACTAGAGAATCTTTCTCCATATCGAAAGAAACATCAGGAAAAGGAAACATGTGCCCCCCAATCTCCATCCCAGTATCTCACCTGCTTCAAATAGTTCTGTAATACTTCCCAGGTAAACACAACAGGACCTAATAGTCACAAGAAATAATTCTAGAAGGGATGTAATGACATGAGGACACATTACCCCATAATTACCTATCTTTTGGCATTTGGTATTGTGGTAGGCAGGATAATACCTTAATCTCCAGAACATATGAATATGTTATGCTACATGACAAAAGGTTCTTTGCAGATATGATTAAGTAACAGAGCTTTAAATAGGGAGATTATCCTGGATTATCTGGTGGACCCAATCTAATCATTCAAGCTTTTGAAAGAGGAAGGCAGAACAGCCAGTCGCAGAGATGCAGCATTAGGGGAGGAGGGAGAAGGATTCAATGCACTGTTGCTGGCTCTGGATGCAGGGAACTAACATGCAAGGATGGGAGAGAGACCTCTGGAACTAATGGCAGTCCTCATCAGACAGCCATCAAGAAAACAGGACCTCAGTCCTACAGCCGCATGAACCAAACTATGCCAACAATCAAAAGGAGGCTGGAAGTAGATGCTTAGAGACTTCAGAAAGGAATGTAGCCCTGCCAACACCTTCATTTCCACCTTGTGATATTCTAAGCAGAATATCAGCTCACTGTACCTGGACTTCTGACTTACTCAATTTGAGATAATAAATTTGTGCTATTTTAAGCCACTTAAGTTTGTGGTAATTTCTTACAGCAGCAATAAAAAATACACGGCTAATTCAGGCAACAGCACAACCCACTTTGGAACCTGGTAGTCTACAGTGGCTATCCTCAAGATCTGTGTAGCCCAGTCTGTGAAATGCGGACATCTAATAGGCACCTGCAGCAATCACCAGGTTAGTATGACTGGAAGATCTAATACTTTCAGTTATTAATATTTCTGTGCTATTAGGAAACAAAATAAATGAACAGAAATTGGTAATTTTACCCATTCATTTGATAATTGAAATATCCAAATCAGCTGTAGGCTTGGTTTTTCTAGTTTGTATAAATTTTAAATTCACAATATAACTTTCAACACTCCCTCCTTACCTACTTGAGATCATACGAACTGGGTCATGGGGGTAAGCTCTGTTAGTCAAAAAAATGTAAGAACTAGGAGCTGAATGTGTCTTCTGTCTTCACTTGATATCCTGGATTTCCACAACAGCATTCTTAATAGTGAAACTCACATTTCTATCTCTAAGATGAGTGGACTTGGCCTCAGAGAACAAACTAAACCAGTAGGTATCTTGTTCAATCAGATAGCTAAACAGTAGTGACAGTCTAATAGTAAATCAAATTTTAAAAAACTTGCCTACTAGCCGTATCCCTCACTCTAGTATTATTATTACTAATTATACCAATTATCTACATGATTTTCTTTAGGGATACTTATTTCATTTCATCCTTATATCTGTAGATTACGGATGACCAAGGAAGCACAAAGATAAGTGGACTGACAGAGATAACACAGCAAGTTCCTGGCAAAACCAAGGCTGGTACAAAGGTCTTAGTTTTTTATTACTACTTTTGTTCTTCTCTGTTTTTTTATTTCTACTTATTGTTCTCTTTACTTTGACACTTTGATTTTTTTCCAAAATCAGTAAAATCCTCATTGTCCATTAAAGGTCTAGTCGGATGAATGGCCCTAAAACCCATCCATTGTCTTTCACTATAAGCCAGTGTTTTACCAGCCCACTGTCATGATTTTTCTTTATTCACAGTAGATGGTTTATGTTGAGAGAAACATTTTTGTCACTATTGCTTCCTAGTACAATGGTGATTTGCTAATTAACATATGGGAAATTCAACCTCATTGTTGCTCTTTTCTTCTGCGTGTCATGTAGTACTCAATAACTTAACAATTTTTAGTTTGTTTCACTTTTGCTTATGGGATGTCATCTTTGTTCTGGGTTCCCATGCAGAAAAGAATTGATTCCTTTAAATTAGAAGACAGAATTGTAAAAAGGGATTACATGTACATGAAGCAAGAGACTTGGTGATTTTTGCACCATGCAAAATCTGTCTCACGGGATATTTCTGAAAGGATATATAGGAGGGAGATTTTTTACACTACACGATTTTTGACATTTTTAATTTTATTCTGCATGCAAACTATACCCATTCCAAAGGTAAATTAAACTTGAATCTTAAACAGAAAAAGATAAAAGTAGAATTCCTATAAATAAAACAAAAAAAGGAAGCACATGAACAAAGAGAGAAATAGAACTGTAGCAGGCAATATTAGTGGTCTGCCCAGATGCCTAGGATCCCTTCTTTCCCTCTCTGTGCACTCTCACCCCACCACACCCACTTCTCCATGCCTGCCTTTCTGTGGACCAGCACCTGCAGCTTTTCTCTGGAAGATGCCCCTTGGGTCATTGGAGCCATTGTGCCCACACTACACAGAGGTTTGGAAATATCTAGGCATTTGCAATCCAACTGGGTGGCTGTTGTCCAAAGACAGATATAAAGGTAGGAAAGTCCAGCTCCTTTACTTCAGGCTGGGACAGCTCTGAGATTTCACACTCCAGAGTTCCCCTCTGAGATCAGGCCGAAGTCTACCTTTAGAGTGACCTTTGCCTGAGATTACACCCATGCTAGACTTCCTCTCTGTCCCTATCCTGCATTTCCTATTCTTTTACTAGTCTTCTCCCAAGAATTTTCTGAATATTTTCTGAAATTGTTTGCATATGAATCCCCACTTCAGAGAGTGCTTCTGCAGAACGGCCCTGAGATAGTTGATATCAGAAGTGGTCCTAGGAAGTAGGAAATGCAGACCAGATTCTGGAATTGGATATTTGATGACCATCTGAAAACACAGGGTCCCTTTATTAGTACTAAGTTGGGGAGTGACTATCCCTGGCAGTAGCATAGTTAGTAAGACTTCCATCTCTGTTAGGTTGGGCTGGAGTAAAGATGGGAAGGATTCTTTGACTCATACAACATTGCTTGCATTTGAAAGAAATGGAAAATTCATAATTATAAGAACAATGACATTGATTGGGTGTTACTGAGTGTCACTGGTGCATCAGAGAGAAAAAAATACAGATTTAGGTCAGTCAGTTGTCAGCTTAAGGCATAAAATGAAAGCCAGCAAAACTTTAAACACATCCTTCAGCCAGAGGAAGGACATACTTAAGACAGGGCATAAGACTCAATTGTGAGAGTAACCAAACTTCAGAGAAGACTGAATTTAACAACCAACCCAAATGCCCTACACCAAAACTGTGGCCCTAACAAGAAATAAAGGGGACCCTGAGACTCAAGACAGGTATATCTGAGTAGATGTGCTATAGAACGTTGGATCCCTAGGTTCTACTGGACCCTCTGAGCCTGCAAAATTGCCACACTCTCTCTCCTTTTCTAGAGTATAGCAGTCCCCTTGATGCTTAGGGATTACTTAGAAGCCTCAACTAAGGCAGATGCATTGAAACGCAATACTTGCCCTCCTCTTGATTTGCCCCCACCTTCCCTCCTCACTAGACAGACAACTAAGGTGAGGCTTCAGCATGACTGAACTGGGGAGATTTTGGCCTTATGAAGCAGGGAATGAATTATTTGCCAAAAAAAATCTGTAGGACTTGAGTAACATGTACTCTCAGATACTAGCAGAGCATGACTAGAAGTAGATTTTGAGGATGCCAGTTCAAGATGGTGAATAAAAGAGAGTTGACTGATATAGGGCCCTCTCCTGTGACTCAGTATTTAACATAACAGCACCTGGAACTGTTCCTTGTATGCCACCAGAATAGCTCATTGAGGCTTGAAACAAATAATGACCTGGCAGACTATTGAGAAAGGGATAAAAGGATTTAGAGGTTATGCATGACTATGTTCTTCATGAAAGCGCAGAGGGAACTTCCTTCATTGGAGCAATGAAGAATGTGCTGGTGAGTAGGGCACAGCATTACTGTTAAATTCAATAGGAGCTGAGAAGAATCTAGAATGGATGGTAAAAGAGGGGATGATGAAACGTTCTTATTTCACGACCAGTTTGTGGCAGTAGAGACTGTAGCTTGTTCCACTCATCTTCCACTTACAAATTTCACCCCGAAATTTTGAGCAACCACTGCTTTGAAGAATTGAAATGTAATAGAATTTGAGCAGGTAAGGGGTGGACTGTAACAGAAAATGTTTGTGCTTTGCCCAGATCTTTTGAGGTTTCTCATGATATCTTCTGTGCACAACCTCCATTGCCCCCAATACTAATTTTCCGTTTTATTGTTTTGTTTTGTTTTGTTTTTTGACAGAGTTTTGCTCTTGTTGCCCAGGCTGGAATGCCATGGCATGATCTCGGCTCACTGCAACCTCCACCTCCTCGGTTCAAGTGATTCTCCTGCCTCAGCCTCCCGAGTAGCTGGGATTAAAGGCATGTGCCACCATGCCCAGCTAAGTTTGTATTTTTAGCAGAGATGGGGTTTCTCCATGTTGGCCAGGCTGGTCTAGAACTCCCAATCTCAGGTGATTCTCCCACCTCGGCCTCCCAAATTGCTGGGATTATAGGTGTGAGCCACTGTGCCTGGCCCCCTGTGTTTTTAGTGACTGGAACTTGAAGCTTTTCTTTGGAGAACTGCCTTTGCATTACTGGAACTGCTTTACCTGAGAGCTACACATGCTTGCTTGGGGTTTATCTCTTCCCCAGGGTGGAACTGACAAATGACTATCAGAATATGGAGGTCCAGCTCCCTTGCCTCTGTGGGGCATCTTGCCTGAGAGTACAATTTTGCATGACTTCCTTCCTTTCCCTGCTATGTTCCTTACTTCCTTACTCATCTCCCCAGGAAGTATTTCCTGAATATATCACTTGCATCAAGATTTTTTTTTTACAGGGTTTGCTTCTAGAGACTCAATCTAAGATGTCAACTTTTAGTCTCATATATTTTTGATGGAAGTAAATGTTAGTAAGTCTTTTTGGACAGCAGTTTAACAATATTGCCAAAAACAATCAACAGACTTTAAAATGTGTATAACAGTTGCACTATCCCTCCCATATAAATATTTTTGCACAATTAGGTTTAATGCATTGTGGTTTATAATAGCAATGAAATAGAATGAAAACAGTCTAAATATACAGTGATAGGAGATTTTGTAAGCTGTGATACATTCACATCATGGAATATTAGTCAGAGACTGAAATTCAATTAAGAAGCAAGAAGTAGACCTAACACAAAAATTATTCCCATTTTCTTCAACTGGTCTTCACCTTCCAACCTGCCTCACAAATGTCTTCTAATATGGGGAAATAAGTTCATTCATGAATCTCAGAGTGATTTAGAGGGTACTTTTAAGTCACCTGGTAGTTAAGGGGGAACAAAATTGTACTTGAAATGCCAAAACCTCAGTTCATATCCCAGTTATTCTATTTACTATCTTTGAAGATTTAAACAAATCATTTTACTTTCCTGGCTACGAGAAAAATTTGTGTTCTTTCTATTTTGAGGACAAGAAACAACTGGGGTTAATCCCCAATTGGACAGACTGGCTTCATTGCAGAAGGAGCCCCCAAAAAGCTGGCAACATTATCCAATGGCTTAGTCAGAGGATCCAGGGTGCAGCATAGCAGCAGGGTTATAAACATTAAATATTTGATTCAGGAATGTCTAAGTCCATTTGAGGATGTGGGTGTAGAAAAGATTGACAGTTGTCCCTCAATATGAATTATTTCCTTCTTTGATAGTGGTAGAACTTCTGATTTGAACAACTTTTCTCAGCTTCCCTTGCAGTTAAGAGCCTCCATGCGATTAAGTTCTACCCAACAGGATGCAATCAAATATAACTTGCAATTTCTAGGTAGGGACTCCAAGGGAAGGGATGTTCCTATCCTTCTTTCATGTTCTTGTAGTTGGAAGGTAGACATAGCGGTAAATCATCTTGGACTATACAAAAGAAGATAACAACCTAGGAATATTTTCCTTTGTAAGTGTCCAATAAATATTGGCTGTTTTTATGATGCACAGACGCTGGCACATAGCAGATAATAAATATTAGTTTACTTTTCTATTAGATTTTCAGGATGCCATAACAAAATACCACAGATTGGGTGGCTTAAACAACAGAAATTTGTTTTTTCATAGTTCTGAAGGATGGAAGTCTAAGATCAAGGTGCTGGCAAATTCAGTTCCTGGTGAGGGCTCTTCCTGGTTTGTGGACAGCCTCCTTCTGGCTGTGTGACGACAAAGACTTTTCTCTATATAGATGCAGAAAGACAGCAAGCCCTAGTATCTTTTCTTCTTTTTATAAGGATATCACTCCTATCAGATAAGGGCCCCAACCTGATGACCTTATATAACCTTAAAGGCCCTGTCTCCAAATACAGGAGCATTTAAGAGTTAAGGCTTCAACACATTAATTTGGTGTGTGTGGGGGGGTGGGGACACAATTTAATTCACAAAAAACTTGTTCATCTGTCAGTCCATGTCCCTCATATATAATTGTTGTAAAGAAGAGACAGAATAAATAGCAAGATTCCTGGTAGTAGAGCACTTGCATTTCCTAAGCATTGGTATACACTTGTTGAGTCATTTGTACTGGATATTCTGAAAATCATATTCTTGTTATAAAACTATATCTAAATGCTTGGTATCAGTACATTGTGGGGAATTAGGTTTTAAATAGATTAAATTTGTAATTGGTTTTCACAGTGTCAAAGTTAGAATACTACTTTTTTATTTTTATGATAATAAAAAGTGTTTAAGTTGGCTGAAAATTATGGCTGAGTTTTTTTCTTTTTCTGAGTGTGTAGCTTTGCCTGGAGACTCAAATCTGCAAATGCAGGAATGATATTTTTCTAGTGCATCACTGGCACATAATAAATGTTCAATAGTATTTATGAATAAATTAGTTTTTATTTTTTTCTTTGCTTAGACTATAAGCTTTAGATGAATCAGGTTCCACCTTATGACTTTTCAACTGATTTTATTTATCTCACTCAGTATCTAGCATGTTGGTATCCATTCAGAAAACAACTTTATAAGGCTAAATGTCTATGAAAAAATATCAAATGGCAATATTCTTAGAAGATCAATTGGTAAGACTCCCTTCAACCTAATGAGGCTTTTTATTAAAAGTCTGTATGTCTTAAAGAATATATTGTATATTTTGGCCATAAAAAATATTAAGCAATGACTACTTCTGGGCTGTTTCTCAAAAAGCAAAATACAAAAAATATATAACCAACTTATTGATGTTATTTGCAAGAAGTTCCTTTTCCAAGAGATAATTTATCTTCTAATGGAATATTTGTTCAATATTTAGTAATTTGTCTGTGAACACTACACCATTTTTAATAGAAAAGCCCTAAACTACCTGTAATTCAGATGGACTCAGAAGTAGAGACCAAACCATGGGCTCTACCACATGAATGAGAAGTCCGTTGTCAGCTACGTGTGCCAAGCAATATGGAAAGGGGGAATGAAAAAGGTGTGGGAAAGAAAAATGTTGGAAAAGGCCACACAGGTAGGAATGGGCCTGGGTGTACAACACATGAAGACCGTGACAAGACTGGCTTCACAAAAGTAGAGAAAGAATATTTTCATAATTTCCTTATGAATGAGGAAAAAAACTTTTCAACTTCATATGTGAAGAATTAGAGAGCTCATGAAAGATACACTCATCATATGATCATATGAACTCCAACTTTATCATTCTGTTGGATTTCAGTCTCTTCTTTAAAATACAACACACACGCAACACACACCTAGAGCCCAGAGGTCCCTCTGGCTACTTACCTATCTCTCTCCTTCCCTTGGTAGTTACTGGTCCTCTCTGTCTGATACCACAAGTTAGCACCTACTTGTTCTCAAATTTCAGCTTAGTTCTCTCACCTTCTTACAGGGAATCTTTGGCTTTACACTGGTTATTATGTGCTCTTAGAGCCTCATACATTTCTTCCATTTAAAAATGAGCACAACTACAATTTCACAAATTTGTGTATGACAATTTAATATCTGTAACTCCACTAGACTGTAAGTTTAATTGGGGTAAGAATCGTATTATTGATTGTTATTATTCTTTCTATTTCAAATTTCTATTTCCCAGATCTTAGCACTTAAGGAAAGAAAAAAAATTGGCATTAGGGGCAAAGAATTACGAAAATATGAGATGGCTCCAGTCCCTGAACAACTCCTGTGTGTCACATGAAAGCTTTTATTCCAAATAATTAGGACTCCTGGCATTCTCTGGCACTTTTTGAGGTTGGCACCCAGTGTGACTGTAGTTTTCTCTTATCGTATGCTATAGCTCTTTAATTTGCCATGCACCTGAGCTGCCATGAGCATGTGTCTCCATGCTGAGCTTTGCCTTAGCCTGTTTTTTATGAAGGCCAGATAAACTGTGGTCAACGCAAATGGACTTGAACCTTGCTGGCTTTCTTCCATGCAAGCTGCTCCTGGGTAACAATACTTTTTTCATTTCCAGATGAGAAGTCGCTGTCAATCTACTTGAGACCGAACCTGGACATTATTTCCACTGTGAATCTCTTTCCTGGGGCTTGCTTAGCTGAACTGATTATATATTTCTGGGTCTCTTATGAGCAAGCTGCCAACCAGGCCAAACTGTCTGCTGGGGAATTTGAGGAAAATGCTAACTGGAGCTGAGTATAAGCTTGCCAAATTCACGGCTCAACCTGACATTTAGTGGAGACATTTGGTTCACTTAACACAGTATCCCAGCACCCCTTGCCTTAGTTAGTATGATGATTAATTCCTTCCTTGCAGGGTGGAGTTCACCGAACCAAAGTGCATGCTTACAGCCTACGTCTGGCCAGAGGGCAGATTTCCCAGTGCAACATTTGTAGAACCCAGGCAGTTGGTCTTATGGGACCCGAGGCCTTCTTGGAGTTCAAGTGCCTGAACTGACTATTTGCCACGGTATCTTTGGATGTTATCAATCCTCCCTTCAGAAAAATGCAGGGGGATTTGGGAGTTTGCCATTAGGTCACATGCAGCTCTGGCCTCCACTGTGTCTCAATGCATATATAATCTCTGGTGGGAACAATTTAAATGCATCATTAATCCCTTGATGGTCACGAGTAGTTGTACCCTCTGGGGTTTCAGTGGCAGGGCAACCGGCGTCTGCTTTCTCACGATTTCCCAATGGAGCCAACAGTTTTTGGCTCTGCATCTTGGTCCCTTTCCACAGTTTTAGCCCTGATTCAATTTGTTAATTTTTTTTTTTTCATGAGAACTTTCTTTGGCTTCACCTATGTGAGTGCCAATGCTTGGGTATGAAAATAATGCTTTTGCTTCTTTTAGTAGGTGATTGCATAAAAGAAAGGACTGGGTCTTACCTTCATCTGTATTCCTAACATGTAATACAGCACCTGGAAAATTGTGGGTGATAAGTGCATACACAGAATTGAACCAAATTGTTCCAAGTCTTCTAAAATTAATTTCCTACTGTATTATTTCCACTCCTTTAATAGAAAATTATATACCAAGGATTACCATTATGATGATACCATTTTCTTGGATGTTGGTAGTCATCCTAGAAAGAACATTTTACAAATGTAGTTTTGCTCCTGTAGGACTAAATCTCAGGATTGGTAACATTGCCCTGGGTCTATGTTACAGAAACACAAGAGAATAAAAGCTTTGAATCAAAATATAAATGGTTAGATCGTACTTAGGTGGTGGAGGGAATGTTTGAAGTGGGGACTCAGATCTTACGTATACCAATGTTGGACTTGGGGAGAGGATGAGAGTATCTTGTCAACAGAGATCACAGAGAGGGAAGCACATTGCACACATCCAGGAGACACCACTAACATGGTGTATTATTGAATAGAGTCTTATCTGAGCCCTCTTCTAGACAGGGGCCTGCCCTTTGTCTAGAATTACTAAAAGTTAACGCCTGGAAGAAACTATAGATGTCATCTAATCTGACTCCTTCATTTCACAGTCGAGGAAACTGCAACCCAGACAGGTGAAAATAACTCTGAGGTAACACAGTTAGCTGGTGGCAGAGCTATGCCTAGAATACAGATTTCTGAAATTCAAAGTTAACATAATATATAGAGAGTGTCTAGAAGAGAACTTGACACATACATTTAATAATTCCTGTACCCCAAAGACAGGTCCATGTCCACATCCCTGGAACTTGTGAATGTTACCTTATTTGGAAAAAGTGTCTTTGCAGATATAATTAAGTGAAGGATCTAGAGATGAGAGCCTTTTGGACTATCCAGGCAGACCCTAAACCCAACCACAAGTGTTCTTCTAAGAGACAGAAAGAGAGAAGACGTGGACAAAAGAGGAGGAGGCAACATGAACAGAGGCAGAAATCAGAGTGATGCAGCCACATTAAATACCAACAAACACCAGAAGCTGAAAGAGCCAAAGAACAGACTCTCCCCTAGAGCTTTCTTCATGCTTCTGGACTCCAGAACCAAAAGAGTACATTTCTGTTGCTTTTAGCCATGAAGTTTATGATGATATGTTACAGCAGCCTCAGAAACCTAATGCAGTAGGTATTAAAGAAGTAAATCCTATTCCTTAATTCTGCTTCTCACTTCTTGCCTCTGCATAAGGATGTTCACAGATCACTTGTTATTTTAAGTAAGTGGCAGTTAGAGCTACCAGGACCTCCGCTCAGCACCGTAGCCTCCCTGGGATCCAGGGTAATGTAGTAAAGAGAGAGACCAGTGTGGCTCATTGAATCTTAGGAAATTTTATCCATCTCAGGATGCTACTGGCATCTTGGGAGAAGGCAATAAAATATCACAAGTCTAGTTTCCAGGAAGAAATTTTCATGACGATTTATATGGCTTCTGTCCTTGTTCATGTTACCTAATTTTTCCTAATTCACCCCACACTGTAATTACCATAAATATCCACATCCCACAATAGGCTACAGATGATTTATCAGGCGATCTGGAAGAAATAAACCCACAGGCGCGATCTTAGCTTCTGATTCAGAGAAGATTATGACTTGAGATCTCACCCAGTAGCCTCAGCTGCTGCTTATGAGCTCCTGGCATCACGTGAAAAATGTACCAGCTTGCACACACTGGAGAAGTCCCCGGGTAGACCCAGACACTTTCAACATTTTGACACAGGGGTGTATATGTGTCCTCCGCAGTGCCCAGCCTCATTAATAGAGAAGACAGAAATACAAATACAGAAATCACATATGACGGCCAAGGGGAAAGGAAAGGGCGCTTTAAAAGTTCTGAGACAAAAGGGGATGCCAGCTACCACCAGACAGCGCTACATAAAGTGAGATGTTAAATTGTAGAGAATAGTAAAAGATATTGTCCAGGGAGAGCAGGCGTGGGGAATAGTCAAGGCATGCTGACTGCAAAACCTGTCTTCCTGAGCTGGGCTGGTACCGCTTAACGCAGTTTTGAAAGAGTCTGCTCTCCTGCTTTCCTGAGACCAACAGTGACTGCCAGGGAAAGAATGTCAGGAGGAGAAAACGGCCGCTGACATCTGAGAGGTCAGAAGGCCTGTGTGAAGACCCATGCACAGCTTGACACAAGCTCCGGACTAAGGCTTTCTCAGTGAACCCCACAGCTGCCATCACCATGAAAAACAAGATATTCCAGAAAATACTTTTTTTAAATGTTCTGGATTTTGCCTTGTGGAATGCAATTCTCTATAAAAGGGCCAATATCTCAGGGAGGTTTAAGCACTTTTTTCATCTATGCTACCATAGTCCTTTTTTCATAACACTAATATAGCCCTCATCTCCCTGTGCAAATTGCACACACACCTGTCTCTGGAGGATCCAGATGGCAAGATAGATAATAATGATGGATGATGTATAAATGAATGAATCCAATATGGTTTCTTTTATGATTGTGCACAAGAGTTTTTGTTCCTTAAAACAAGTATATTTGCAGAGACCTTACGACACAAAGATGTAAGTAACTCGTCTGGGAACAGGGCAAGTATCTTTATATATAGATAACTATTTCCTCTTCCTTCAACATCTAAGGCATAATCTTGGATAATAAACTCAGTTTTGAGGGAACTCGTGAATCTTTTGGTCAAGTATTTCAGGCACTTCAATTTCACCCTAAATAAAAAGCTGTGTAATAAATTGGTACGGTTCATTTTCAGGCTTTCCCTAAAGACGCTTTCATTCCCCAATGGGCTCAGCAAACTGACGATGTTCATTAAATTAGGATTACTATTTGGCTTTGACAGGCAAATGTGTTTCCCGGAGCAATGTTGCTTGTACATTTACAGTGTTGTATTGCTTTGTTTTAAAAGGCATCAGAGTGTTTCTTGGTATATTACCAGAAAAGCAATATTAATCCTTCTGGCCTCAAGTAGGAATATTTTTCAGCAAATATAGCAATGGGATTACATCACTCAGGAATATAAATCTACAGATTTTGCTGCTAGAAATCTAGGTTTTTACAGATGCTTGTATTTTAACCAATAAGTAACAAAATTCTGTAAGATTTGCTGGTTCATTCAGATATTTTCTCCTTCAACACTCAATGCATATCTATTCCTCCAAGTACTTATTCTTCTTCCTTTATGGCTGAGCGCAAGTTTCTTAAAATCTTTAATAGTAATAACCTAATTGGCTTGTCTTCCGTGAGTATTTAAGTTTACCATGATTTGCCTGTTTGGTCTCACTTGGTTCTTTGTTTCTCTTGGAACTACTCTTCTCACCATCAAACTCCTGGAAACTGCTTATTGAATACATTTAAATATTTTCCTAAACTGAAAAGAGAAATTTGCATTTTCCTCTCAGAATATCTTACCTTTGAATAATTTCTAGGGTGGCTTTGGTAAATATTAGTAAGAATTGAATTCATCTTCCTTTTCTGTAAGAGAAGAAAACTAGCACAAATCCCTTAATTAGTTGATATTGTTCTAATGTCCAGTGTAGTGTTGCTAATCTGTCAGATATTTATGGGCTAGATAAATAGGTTTAGAAATAAAAGACCTTTCTAGCTTTTTCTGTTCCTACATGACTAAGAAAAGCAACATTCCTTCACGAGCTTCTGATAAAGACATGATCCCACCACTGAAACTGAAAGGAGAAAGGCTCCTGGCCTTACACAAATCTGTAAATCAGCTCAAGAAGGAAAATGTATTTTAAGAGAGATTTCATTTATGAACTGACTCTTACTTAAACCCTCAGGAGCTGGTAACCGAAGTTTTGATTTTTTTAAGTTATTAGTTTTAAAAACCAAGATAGAGAAATAATCTTAAAGTGGATGAATTTCTTGGACTCAAAAAAATTAAAGTTAAAACATGGAAAATTTAAACCAGTGTGGAGAGGATAAGACATCACAAATAAGAGTTGAAACCAGGATAAAAGAGTAGAATTGATGAAGGCAATTTAAATGGGTTTTTGTCAAATAGTCAGAGTGAAAAAAAACTCAAATAAATCAACTGGCTTCATTTTTATCAGAGGCTGACACCAAATGAGGACATTGGGCTGGACATCAGTCAGTCCCTGACAAACAGAATCTATCTTATTTTTCCCTTCCCAAAGTGGTATACAGACATAGTTCAGCACCTGAATTAGTGTTCCTTATTTCACTTAAACCAATCAATATTTATTCATCTCATTTACAACAGAGCTCAGAACATAACACACAGCTGCTTGATCATTAACTTAAACTCACATCTAATCTCCTAGATTACGTATGTGCATGTGTGTGTGTGTGTGTGTGTGTGTGTGATGTAGGCAAAATAAGTGGACAAATAGCCAATAACAATTTTGGTGTCTTAATAGGTTGCTTGTTTGGGATCTTAATAGGTTGCTTGTACTGAACATATTCAGTACTGGTAAAGCTTGAGAGGAGTACCAAAACAATATTCCTTTCTATCCTTTACCCCCTATATAAAGCCAATTCTAATGGTTGTGATTAAACCCTACTTCTTCCAAAAATCTCTCTGATTGCTCCAATGCACAGCATTCTGTCTTCTGAAATCTTATAACATTGTCAAATATAATTCTCCTAATAGACTTGATATATATCACACACTAATCTTCAGTGTGTTTGTTTATGTGTTGCTTGTGTGTGTATGCCTTATGACCTCAGTGAAACTACAAATTGCTCAAAGATTGGAATTAAGCCTTAAACTTCATGATCTGCCTACCTAGGAGAGAGCCAGACACACACAGGGTCTTTATTCGCTATTATTCATCTTTAAAATATGTATTTAAATATAAACAATTGGATTAATTAACAGTTAATACTTATTGATTTACTCCACAAACATTTATACAGGATCTACTATGTGCTCAGCACTATTATAAGTGCTAGGGATTTAAAACGGATAATATCTCTGCCCTCATTGAGTTTGTATTCTACTCAGGAAGACAGGCAATAAACACAAAATGAAATAACAAAATAATGCCAGATTGTGATAAGGGTTATGAAGAAAAATAAAGCCGAGTGAGAGAATAGAGAGAATTGGGCTATTCTAGATAGGGCACTCCCAGACAACTTCTCTGAGGAGGTAATATTTGAGCTGCAGCCTAATATAATTGAGGGAAAAAGCCATATGAGTATCTGGGCATTGAGTTTTCTGGGCACTTGATGTTGGTTTATTTAAGGAACAGCAAGAAGACCCCAATTGCTAGAGGAAAATACATGTGAAGGCAAATGGTGGATTAATATATATGAAATAAAATACTTGTTTTTATATATTATAAATATATAATATATATTATATATTATATTTATTAATATATATTAATATATATTTATTAATAACTATAAATAAATAATAAACATTATTTATTTATAGTTATTAATAAATATAAATTAATAAATATAAATAAATAATAAACATTATTTTCCAAGAAGTTTCTCACTCTTTTGTATTTATTATATATGCCTTTTGTTCTCATTGATACCTCCAATGTGTTTTGGTTCTGATCTTCCAGTCTTTTACCTTCTCCTGTATTTACCTCTGTTAGGCACTCTTGAATCCAGACCAACATTCTCAACTAGAGAAATACCAGAATCCTGTTTCATACTGGACCCCTCTCACTTATTCAAGCATGAATAAGCTTGATCATCTTCTTTACTCTTACCACCAAGTTCACGTGTGGTTGCCAGAAGGCATTTCCGTAGTATGTAATGGGTTCCACAGTATCCTGAGTTCCCTAGTCTCAACAAAGATCTGAAATCCTTTTACTCAACTCCGTTTAACTCCTGTCTTAGTCTGAGGTTCCTAGTAAACAGAGACTGAACATAGATTAAATGTTGATCATTTGTTTAGGAAGTGATACACAGTGGCAGTGAGAGTAAAATAAAAGGGAAATGAGGCGGGAAATGAGGCAGGAAAGGCTGAGTAGCAATGCAAGGAGACATGTTACAGCTAGAGCCACTGCTTCATGGTAGGCCATGAAGAGACATAGGCAGTCAGTCAGCGAGTGTGTCATTTAGACTCAGTAGTGTGTATAGTAAATATTTAACAACCATCCCTCCATGGAGTGCAGTGTTTGCCAATTTCCGTGGTGTAAATAGTCCAACCACGGCTGATTTTAAGCTACCAATGTGACATCACTGAATGCAGGATTGGAAAGGGGTGTATATAATTGGCTCTTAAAAACCTACAAAAGTCAGTTCCATTATACCACTAAATGACTGCACAAGGTATATTCCCATAGGCTATTGAAAAAACATGCATATAAGAATTTCCTTGGAGAGAGAAGAAATTTATCTACTTGACTTTTTTTCATGTCCTTTCCCCATTGGTCAAATTTCACCGCGTAAGTAGATAAGTACCTTGCACTTCTGGGCATATAATTGGGCCCCTTTGACAACTACTTGAGAAGCTAGATTCCTCATTTTGTGGTGTGGTATTTCATCAGATCTGTAAGTAGAAGGAGAAGTCAGAAACTTGGATGCGAGGTTGGTGGGGCTCAGGCTGCAGAACCACAGATTTAGGTCAAAGTGTTGGTTTTGGCAGAACGAGTAGCAGAGGTTCTAGAAGGCAGATGAGGCTGAGAAAATCTGAGCAGATAAGAAATGCTTAATACAGTTATGCTGTGAACCACACATCCTCCTAATTTATGTCTAGTTTGCATACTTCAATATAAGGTCTCCTTTGTGTGTGTGTGTGTGTGTGTGTGTGCGTGTGTGTGTGTGTGTGAATAAGACGTTCTTATTTCTTCCTGAGAGGACAATCATAAACCCAGACAGTTTCTTAGTCCTCTCATGGCAATAATCCTTCTCAAAATCCTGAAAAACCTAAGGCCTGATGGGATAACCTGGACCTTTGTCCCCAAGGAGTCTGAGACATTGGTTGCCCTTCTTTATTGGGTTGCAATTGCTGTAATTGTCCATTAACAGTATTACTAGGCCTGGAAATTAAAAAAAAAAAGATTCCCCTGGGATCCAGACATACTTCTCCCTGTCTAATTGCATTGTGTAGTAGCAGGCCCAACTTCTTATGGTAATCAGGGTCAATTGCTCTTCATGATAATCAGCTACAATTATTCCAGCAACTCCTGCTGATGTGCTGGCATGAGACACCCAGAGTGGCCAAGTGTTAGTCAAAGCTTCCAGTTCAAATGAATTCTTGCTGTTTCCTCTGGAGGAAGCGTTCCATTTCTGACAATCAGGACTTTATCCTGGTAGAGGCTTAGGCTGCAGGTGCATGAAATACAAATTCCAAAAGTGAGTCATTGGGTGTGAGAGCGGCTGTTCCAACTTTCATTGTTTCCCAAATCCATGTATTCTAATATTAGAGAAATAATTCCATATATCATCCTTTGGCTTAATGAATATTCTGCATGCTGAAAAACAGAGCCCAATCCTGCACAATGTCCCCCATCTTGCATCTTAGCTAAGCTGTCAGAAGCTGACTGCTTTTGGACAAGGGGGTACCTGGTAAAACCAGTGGCTCTCATGGTTATAAGCCCACTATCATCTCTTTGTTATAAAAGCAGCCCTCTAGTCTGAGGTTATGGTATATGGGTTATCATGTTGATGGCTAAGGCATTCTGTAAGCCCTCAGATTCTACAAGTGTTTTGCTAGCAGAAAGCTAACAGCAGGAAAGGAAAATCAATAATTATATTGTGTATCAATTTGAGTAACAATGAATCTCTGCCTTTTCAAGGTAGAAAGATCTACTTGATTGGCCTACTACCGGTGGCTGGTTAGCCAATGGTACCATAAAAGGGCCTCCATTGTGCTGTATGCCACTAGCAGCACTCAGCAGTGTCAGCAGCTAGAACAATCTTGGTGAAAGAAAGCCCATGCAGATCCCAGAATAGCCTCTATCCTTGCCACCAAGCCATTCTGATCATAGGACCCTTGCACTAAGGTGACTGTGGAGAAAGGCTATCTGACATCCCTAGGGAATGTTATTTTGTCCTTCCGGCAGGTTAATGAGAATCTCTACTGCAGTGAATGTTCTTTGGCAGCCATGCACCTGAGACACAAGGATCTTCATGTTTGGGGCCCAGTTTCATATGTTAAATTATGTACTTCTTCCCCACACTCCTTATCCCCTAATCTTACAGTATTATGCTTTCCAGGGCTCTGATCAATTGGGCAAACTGTTTGCTTCTGCCTAGGAATAAATGCATATCTGTATTTCAAACTTCATGTCATCTCCCTCCATACAAAGTATAGGACCAAATGTATTTCTCAAAGTTCTGCCTATGGGTAGGATTTCCTTTCGCTTCTATCCTTAGGTGGGGCTGTAATTCAGCAATGGTCCATTTCTGGTGATTGCCAACATTGTGCCAACCCATCTATAAATGAGGCCTATGCTCATTCTCTTCTCTTGCTTAGCTTAGGAATATCACCACCTCCCACCTCACATACACACACACTTACCTGCAATGAGGTCATGATGTGAATTGAGGGAAGTGCCATTGGGGAACAGCCCAGGAAGGTGATGAGGTAGTATGGGCTCCTCTTCTTAGAATTTACTTGTGGCTTTCTGGATCTGCTTGAGCTTTGTCCTGAATATATCACTCCCATTCTATAATCAATAACCACTCTTTCTGCCCAAATTTATAACTAGGTGAATCTAGTAATAATGAGTTCATGATGGATAACTCAGGTTGTAGAGTCATTTGGGCTCTGTAGCGAGATGCTTAGTGTCTACTATGGCCAAATAGTAAAGCAGAAGCTATTTTACAAATGTAGAGTGATCCTTTGCCAATTACAGTATAGTCTTATGCCAGCACCCTAAGGTTCTGAGCTTTATAGGGGCTTGCTAGAGATGACATACTGCAATCTTATCAATCATAGAAAGTTCTAGCATCATAGGATTTGCTGATATGGCCCAAGTATCAGAAAAGCTTGCACCACAGCATGGGACCCACTACAGAGATCCCTCTTGTTCTGAAGTTCACTCAAAACTAAAAAGTTTCTGGGTTACTTCATAAGTGGGTCATTAGTGTTCCCAAATGCAATATAATATTGCTTCCAAAACCCAAAGGGGTCTAACAAATATTGAGCTTCTTTCTTAAGAAACAAAGTACAACAATTTGTTCTTTATCCCAGAGGAGATATCCCAGCATGTCCAACTAAACTAAAAATCTTCACAAATGAAGGTCTATGAATCTTGATGATTTTCTCCCATAGTCTGGCATGCAGCTATTTATTTTACTGGGGCTATAGCATACTTACCATTTCCTGCTTCTCGAGGCCAGTTAGTGTGATATCATCATTACAGTAGGCTGGTGTGATATTTTCTGCAATATCAGGTGATCGATCAATCAAGATGATTGAGGTCCCAGTAGATTATATTATGTCAAAGGGCAGGAGAACTAACACGACTCATGAATAAGATAATGTAGGTATATTCCTGTCTTTGCCATGTAAATGAAAATTGCTTTTTAATCTTCTGTATTACTGAGTTTTGAGAACAAAGGATTTGTCCAATCAATACCTACATACCAAGTGCAAGAGGTTGTGTTCATCTTCTTAAGAGAAAATACTATATCCACCACAACAGTTGCAACTGAGTCTACAAGCCAACTAGCTACACTTATAAAAGTTCACTATCAGCTGGGCATAGTAGCTCATGCCTGTAATCCCAGCACATTGGGAGGCTGAGGCAAGAGGATCACTTGAGCCCAGGAGTTCAAGGCTGCAGTAAGCTTTGATAGCACCACAGCACTCCAGCATGGGCAACAAAGTGAGATCCTGTCTCAGAAAAAAAAAATGTTCACTGTCATATGTTAAGATCCGCTAGATTTTGCAAAGTCTAAACAGGTGAATTAAATGGATAGATGAGAAACCACCATGCTTTCTATTCTTAATGACATTACTGATGTTTTTCATTGCTTTAGGAATGTTATTTTGCTTCTGATTTACTACCTTAACTTGGGTGGGGAGTTGGGAAGGACATTTTTAGGGACTTCTACTTGGTCATTTTCCTATAATAATATCCCTTATTCCCATGTCAGGGAATAAATATGAAAATTCTGATACCTATTAATTATAATTAACCCAACTAAACATTTGGAAAGCACAAAATGAAAATGGGAGATTATAAGTGCCAGTTGTGAAAGGAACTCAGACCACATCTGTATTTATCACTTGGCTTCCATCGAGTCCTCACTCTAACCAAAGAACTGCAATGGCACTGAAGTTACTCTGGGGTTAAGGACAGCTCAGTACTGTTTCTAATAGTCCTCAGAAATACTGATATTCCCCTTAATCCAGAGTATACCATAGGAGGCTGCAGATCCCACTGGGAAAAAAGGATTGAAAGAATATTTACTGGATATACTTGTGCTGGCATCTAAAAGGTCCTTCACCTGGAAGACCTGACTTCCTCTTCAGTCAATGAGCCCTATCAGGAAGCTGACTTAGATTTGAAAACTGGTGAGAGACCAGGATTTTCCTTTGTCGTGACTGACATCAGCTTTCTTAGCTCTCAATTTTGTTGTCACATAACTGAGCAACAGCCTTGTGGGTTGCCTTCCCATTTTCCCCCTAGGACTACCATAGTTCCTGCAGATCAGGCACATTGATTGCCACTCTGACCTGGATAACTTTACGGTACATAACTGTGTGTAGTCTCTGATGATTAACAGTTGCCACTTGGTCTCTGCCATTCTAGGATATTATTTAACACCACTGATATTAGTGGGCTCAGTTTTATGGTAGTATTTCTCACTGTCAAACTTTGCCTGCTGGGGAAAGTCACCACTGAGCTTTTCCAAAATGCTGGTGCTCTCCATCCCCCACAACTGGTGTGTTCTTTATAACCTCTCAGAGAACAGAGATGGTAAGCTCTCAGGCCATACCTAATTATCCAGCATTCTCACTTCCCTGATACGCCAGCCTTACTTCCATGTTAACAAAGAAAGTTTTGGCATCTCCATTTCATTTACTGAAAGCCATCTTTGAGTTAAGTCTTCAAAGAAGTATCTTGATAAACCATTAGGTCCAGTGCCAGTTGTCCCTGTCAAGACATTGAACTGAACCATGGTTGAAGGCTCCCATGTCAATGAATTCTTTCCTCTCCAGCCTCCATTCTTCCCTCCCCTCTCTTATCTAACACCTTCAAGATATATTTATCCACTTCTCACAAGTGTTTCTCTAATTCCTTTGGCATATAGAGTGTTTTTTCCAAGAGAAGGGCTTGTAATTTCTTGCTTGGGATGCTGAGAGGTGACTCTATTTATCAACCTACAGGCAATATTGGGTGTGGCAGATGGAACTTGAGGATAACAGGCATCATCTTGCAAGGGAACTACTTCCTATGTGGTCGCCGCATGATCTTTAGGAAAGGGGAGGCTATTTAGCAGTAAAACAGAGTCTGCTTCTGCTGGTCAGGACAGTTAGAGGAATCTGTGGGTTCAAGAGTCCCAGGCTTGTCCTAAATGTTTTCATACTAGGTTTCCGAGTCCCACTTTTCCCCTGTCAGAGGAAATGCCCTGTCATAGGACACCTCCAGGCTCTTTGCATTTAGTCTTCTGCAATTCTACCACTTTACAACTCAAACCATGGATCTGATTTTCAGATCATCTGTCCCACAGCTGCATAAGATGAGAGTCTCTTTCGAATTTTCCACAGAGACTCTGTGGCTTTTAGAGTGTGCCTTATGTTAACAGCTAACTACCTTCAGCCTGTTATTTTATTTTTTTGCAAGTTTCCAATTCCATCAAAATGTTGCACTCACCAATCTCATAATTATAGTTGCTCCCATTACATTAAGTGCCTCAGCTAATTGATTTCCCAAAGTCCTCTCCTTGCTTCCACCTCATCTCAGTTAACCATGATTGTATTCATTGTGATGCTGTTGATTGCCATGAATTACTCCATCCTACTGGCCAACTACACTGGCCTCCCTCTTGCTTTCACACACACTGGGAGCTCCACTTCAAAATCCCATCCTGTAGGTGTGCTTTTTAAAACACTGTAGCAATTATCTTTGACCTGGTCCTTTAGAAAACAGAAACTGGGACAGGAATTAACCTTTGATGCTTTCCTGTGGAGGTGAAATTTCAGTGCATTGAGAGTGAAGGAAGTGAGACAGGGAAGTGGGGGAAGCCAGACAGAGTGATGGATTACTACAGAGCCACCACATCATGGGGGCAGCAAAGAAACAGCCAATCAAACAGAAACAAAAATATTCACACTAAATGGGATCAAGTAAGACAATAGCTTAAGGCCAAATCTTGCCATTGAATGAGTTCAGTTTAGGTCAGGTTTTGCTATCAAAGAAATTATGAAAAAAAAAACCCTTCCATTTTTAGACATTGACACTGCAACTAAAAGGTTGTAAAGATAGATTTCTCTAATGGCACATACCTCATTTTGTCTTTTAAGTAAGCTATTTTATATCTTATATTCTAAACTGGCTTCCCTTTCTCTCCTACTGCAGGGTAGACACTGTCTTACATACATTGGTATCCCCAAGCATATAGCGAAGAATCTGGGAGTAGACACTCAGTAAATGATTTTAGAAATTAATTGAAAATAATATTGATGAAATAATAAAAAATCAGTAACTATGAACATTTATTGTGATCTTATTACATGATAAACGTTATACATGTTGTCTGTATTAGTCTTCTAGGGCTGCCATAACAAAATCCTACAGACTTGGGAGTTTAAACAACAAAAGTTTGTTTCTCACACTTCTGGAAGCTAGAAGTCTAAGATCAAGATGTCAGCAGGTTTGGTTTCTTCTGAGGTCTCTCTCTTTAGTTGCAGATGACCATCTTCTCATTGTGTTCTCACATGGTCTCTTCTCTGAGTTTGTGTTTGTCTGTGCCCAAATCTCTTCTTCTTACAAGGATACCAGTATCACTGGATTAAAGTCCATCCTAAAGACTTCATTTAAGTTAATTATGACTTTAAAGACATCATCTTCAGCTGGGCATGGTGGCTCATGCCTGTAATCCCAACACTTTGGGAGGCTGAGGTGGGCAGATCACCTGAGGTCAGAAGTTTGAGACCTGCCTGGCCAACATGGCGAAACCCTGTCTCTACTAATAATACAAAAAAATTAGCCGGGCGTGGTGGTTGGTGCCTGTAATCCCAGCTACTTAGTAGGCTGAGGCAGGAGAATTGCTTGAACCTGGTAGATGGAGGTTGCAGTGAGCTGGGATTGCACCACTGCACTCCAGCCTGGGTG
Organism: Homo sapiens; assembly: GCF_000001405.40. Lineage (NCBI taxonomy): Eukaryota > Metazoa > Chordata > Mammalia > Primates > Hominidae > Homo > Homo sapiens. The sequence goes on along the minus strand of NC_000001.11, from coordinate 217,231,309 downwards.
ACAGAGCAAGACTCTGTCTCAAAAAAAAAAAAAAAAAAGATATCATTTTCAGGCCAGGTGTGGTAGCTCATGCCTATAATCCCAGGACTTTGGGAGGCCAAGGCGGGTGGATCACCTGAGGTCAGGAGTTTGAGACCAGTCTGGCCAACATGATGAAACTCTGTCTCTACTAATAATACAAAAATTAGCTGGGCGTGGTGGTGGGCTCCTGTAATCCCAGCTACTTGGGAGGCTGAGGCAGGAGAATTGTTTGAATCTGGGAGATGGAGGTTGTAGTGAGCCGAGATCACACCATTGCACTCCAGCCTGGGCAACAGAATGAGACTCTGTCTCAAAAACAAACAAACAAACAAACAAAAAAAAAACAAGAAAAGAAAAATAAATAAAGACATAATCTTCAAATATGATTACATTCTGAGGTACTGAGCTTTAGGACTTCAACATACAAATTTGGGGAAAATGCAATTCAGCCCATAACATGTCTTAGGTTGAATTCTATAAAATCACATTATCATGAAATAATATATTAGGGAATTCAATTTAAGAGAAAATTCTGAGCCAGCTCATTTATTTTTAGGTTAGGCTTCTCCTATTTCATTCAAAATAAGCCAATTCATAAATAGTCTAAATATAAGTTCTTAATTGGGCTTAAGGTATACATTTTTTGAAACACCAGATGGTGCATGCTGCCTAGTTCTTGCTCATACCCTCTTGAATTCTCTGGGTGCAGACTTGTTAAAATGCAGTGAGCCTGGGTCAGCGTGTGCAAATGTTTCTTCTAGCATCTAGGTGTTATAAAATCGTTACTGAGGGATCCCACAAATGATGGTTCTCAGGTGTTCCTGAAGCATTGACACCCTGCACAGTTTGCCCAGGAGAGCTAAGTATCACTGTTGGTGCTCTCACATGTAAAGTAAAGAGGAGAATTGAGTCAATTGCCTGAATAATTATAGCTTGAACGAGCTCTTATTTTGCTTATCTATTTCAGGAAAATATTTGAGGGCAGTAACTTAACATAAGATGACTGGAAAACGGTCTCTATTCTCCGCTTTTCTTAGGGCATATATATATATATATATACACTCTCTACATCAGTGATTTTTTAACTGGGGTGATTATGCCTCCCCCACCCACCTTTCACCCCAGAGATATTTGGCAGTATCTGGAGGTGTTTCTGATTGTCACAACTTGAGGGTGCTACAAGAATCTAGCAGGTGGAGGCTAGGGGATGCTGCCAAGCACCCTGCCATGCACAGGACAGCCCCCTCTGCAACAAAAAACTTTCTAGTCGAAAATGTTAATATCATTGAGGTTAAGAAATTAAACCAGGCTCTATACACATCTACATCTATGATAGTTATACCCAAAGATTTGTGTGGGAGAATTATGGCCAATTAATAGGATACGTTTTCTTCTTTGATTGAGTTTACTGAAATTATTAAACAAAATCACTCATGCAAAAAGAAAAGGAGAGGCAGTCTTACCTAAAATACTATATAACTAGCTAAATTGGACTAGGACAGGCCTAGAATGCATATAGAAAACCCCTTCAAAAATTACAGTTGTAATTTTATTTTTAATAGATAAATCTCACATTGGAAATCCTAGCCTATCACTGCAGATAACAGCTGTCTCTTTGGTCAGATTTAAGTGTTTCTGCTCTACACGTGGTTTCATGTCATGTAGTTGAATTCTAAATTTTCAAAATCTTAATCTTTCAAAGAGATTATCTTTTTCAGAAAATTATACATCATGAAGAACAGTAATTAGTGTGACTGCATTCTTTAAAGTAGCAGATCCAAGTGGAAAATCCAAAACTTTTCTTGGGCTTTTCTTGGCTCTTCATTAATTTTTCCTTAATGAAATGGGGAAGTGATGACTTTATCCATTGTTGGTCTTCCCTGACATAAGAAAAACACAGCTGTGTATTTTGAGAAACCTAATAGTCAGTCCTTAGATGAGTCATGTGGCCCTATGAAATCACAGAAATCCTAGCTATCAAGAAATGTGATTTTTGATTCCTGCCTCACATCTCTGTGAGGTACCCCTAGTGCGAGGACACAGTAGGGTTCATTGTTTTCCCCAGGTTTTCCAAGTTTGTCAGATTATAAGGATTTTCAGAGGTGTTTTTTAAAACACATTTGCTGGTGAGTGTGTTTATTTTAAAAGCTTTGCAGATTATTCTTTTGATGCAGGAATGTTGAGATATACCATCATAGAAGGTGGGCCAAAATTGGCCTGACACTTGTATTTGTATATAAAGTTTTATTGGAACGCAGCCACATCCATTCATTTACTCATTGTCTGTCACCTCTTTTGTGTTATAATAGCAAAGTCGAGTAGTTGCATACGAACGGCGAAGCTGAAATATTTACTCTCTGGCTCTTTACAGGAAAAGTTTGTTGACCCCTGCTCTAGGCTAGGATAAAGTAGGAAGGTAAATGTGGGCAAAACAGACTGTTCCCTGCCTGGAGCTGCAACACAGCACTTGCTCCAAAATAAACACAGACATTTAGAAATTTCAAGGATCCAATTTTCTCCTTCAGTTAATCAAGAGTTACAGAGTCCAAAAATGCATTTAGGAATATTTTAAAATCTGAATACCCCTGTCCTTTGGGAAGATGGCCAAATATAACATAAATAAGCCAATTAAAGCAATATTTTGGGCTAAACTGTATGTTACTGACTAGAAAATCAGGAATTTTAAGAAGGAAGACATGAGTTCAGATAGGATTAGTCTGGGAAGATAAGATAGGGAAGGATCTGATGTTAAAATGTGAGACTATGCTGGGCATAGCAAGAGTGAGTAGTAAACACATACTTGGTTGGCTGATTGACTAATGTATTGGTTTATACATGTCAGGAGAGTTTGCATCTTGAAGAGCAATGGGAAATGAGGTTGAATACTAAATTAGTTGTCTGTTGCTACGTAACAAATTACCTCCAAACTTAGTGGCTTAAAACAACATTGATTTTCTCACCCATTTTCCGAGAGCCATGAATCTGGCAGCAGCTTAGCTGAGTGGTTCTGGTTACAAGTTTCTTACAATGTTGAAGTCAGAAATAGGCTGAGGTTGTAGTCAAATGAAAGATTGCCTGGGGCTGAATATCCACTTCCAAAATGGCGCACTGACAGGGCTGGAGGGTGGAAGCCGCAGTCTCTTGCTGGCTGTAGGCAGAAGAGCTTTGTTCTTTAACAAAAGAACCTCTTCTTGTGGCTGCTTAAGTCTCCTCATGATACCGTGGGTGGCTTCCTTCCGAGTGAAGGACCCAAAGGACAGAGAGTAAGAAGGAAGGTGCAATCCTTTGTATGACCTAAGACAGACAGACCATCACTTTTGTCATAGTCTACTTATTAAAGATGAGTCAGTAAGGCCAGCCCATATGCAAGGGGATGGGAATTAGGTTCCAAAATTTAGAGGGAGGGGTGTTGAAGAATTTGTGGACATATTTTAAAATTGCTACAGATAGTAGATGAGAGTCAAAGCAGGAATCCGGGACTAGAATAAAGAACTGCTATTTTCTCCAGTGTCAAGAAGACATGTGGTTTGTTTCCACCTGTAAAACCCCAAAACCATCATCCATCATTAATCAACTGAATTATCTTGTTTGTGGGTTTTTTCAACTGGCCTTGCTATAAAACAGCAGAAGGATGTTTTGTCTTGATTTACACAGGACAAAGAGAGGTCAGTTCAACAGGCTCCTCTCTCTACATACCCCTTCTCTTTTACCAGGGGAAAATATGGGGAAGGAGGTGGAGTACAAAATATAACATCTTGTCCCTTTCGTGGCTCCAGTGAGTATACTGCTAAACCATGAAGAAAAATCAGAAACTTCATGTTAAGATGCTATAAACAAAAACGAAACTATGGCTCTGGAATCCTTTATAAGAAGACATATGAAATCTTGTTTTTCATAGGTATTTAGTAATAGATCTTGTTTGTAAGTGAAGTCATTAATTTAATTTCATTTGTAGTATTGGCTTGGTGTTAATACAGTTGCATTTTTATTCTTACGTTTTTAAAAATGATATGAACCTGTGTGCTTAACATTATAAGTTTCTGGTGATAAATTATGGGTACAGGCCAACTTATCACCACACTTTTAAAAGATGATTCTAGCAGTAGCATGAACTAATTCAGTGAACATTCCTCAAACATGTTTTACCTGTCTCTACCAGTGGTTTTGGTCATACAGTATCTTCTCACCAGTCTTCTGGTAAAATAGTACCTTGAATTCCTTCTGAAAAATCACTTCTGATGGACACCTCAATACTTGCCTTGAGATGGTATGAATCCCATTCTTTTTTTTTTTTTTTTTTTTTTTTTGAGACAGAGTCTTGCTCTGTCACCCAGGCTGGAGTACAGTGGCGCAATCTCAGCTCACTGCAACCTCTGCCTCCTGGGTTCAAGCTTTTCTCCTGCCTCAGCCTCCTGAGTAGCTGGGACTACAGGTGCCCACCACCACGTCTGGCTAATTTTTGTATATTTAGTACAGATGGGGTTTTACCATATTGGCCAGGCTGGTCTCGAACTCCTGACCTTGTGATCCACGCCCCCCCTCGGCCTCTCAAAGTGCTGGGATTACAGGCGTGAGCCACCGTGCCCTGCTATGAATCCCACTCTTAATGTCAGGATGTGATGTCAGGATGTGGCCTTAAATGAATCAGCACATCCTACCCCTCCTGCCACAGAGATAGGAATGAGCGTGTGATTCTATTCAGGACCCTCTTCAAGAGGCAGGAACTCGGCTTTGTTTTTTTCAGCTATTATGGGAAAATCTCAACTCTGTTCCTTGGAAGCCATTTCGCTGTCACATGAAATGCCTTGCTTTCACCTGGAGAATAAGGATGAAGTTGACACCAACAAGGAATGAACGGAAGGAAGAAAAGGAGGGAGCGTATGTAACATCACACGAGCCTCTGGATGGAGACTCAACCAAAGCTAGATTTGAGTTTTCTGTTACTTGAAAACAAAAAAATCATAACTGATAAAATATGCACTTGTTTGAGCTTGTTGAACTCTTTTTGTTTGTCTGTATATGTCTTGCTTTTAAAACGTTTTGTGTATAGACAGCACACATTTTATCACTGGACACTTGCTGGGCCATTTTTCAAGTCTCTGATTCGAGTAAATATTATTACAGTTGACTTGTCTTGTTTTTATGTGGGCTTAAGGTGGGAGAGTATGATGATTTTTTTTAAATGTAAGTCTCCCTGTGGGTCATGTCATTTGAGACTTCTGTTTGTCATGCGTATGGTGCAGGCAAAAACACTCACTAAATTCAGTCTTTGAATTAAGCTGTAACCAAGCTTGTATATTCATTAGAGGAGAAAAATTCTCCTCGAAGAAGTTCAAATTGTTTATTGATTTTCATTTCTGTGTTCAAAGGAAGCCTGAGTAAGTCTGTCTCAGCACAGTCCCCACGGGGCTCAACAGCCAACAAGTGCATCACAGTTAAACCCAACTGAACAGCTACCAACCAAAACGGGAGGATTCCTCTAAAACTATGTTAATAAATAATAAGAGGATGATATTTCCAGTTCAATAAAGTTGATTCTTAATGAGGAATATCAAATGTGTCACAGCTGGCAAGGAATGGCAATTTAGGGGAAAGCTTGGGGAAAAAAATGAAAATAAAATAATGGAATTTTGTTGCATTTGGATGGTCTCCTTTTGCCCATGGGCTAGGGGTTAAGAGAGGGTGTTATTAAAAAACTACTTCTTCCTGGCCAGGCACGGTGGCTCACGCCTGTAATCCCAGCACTTTGGGAAGCCGAGGCAGGCGATCACCTGAGGTCAGGAGTTCGAGAACAGCCTGGCCAACATAGTAACACCCCGTCTCTACTAAAAATACAAAAATTAGCTAGCGTGGTGGTGCATGCCTGTAATCCCAGCTTCTCGGGAGGCCGAGTCAGGATAATTGCTTGAACCCTGGAGGCGGAGGTTACAGTGAGCCGAGATTGGGCCACACATTCCAGCCTGGGGGACAGAATGAGACTCCGTCTCAAAAAATAACAATAACAAAACAAACAAACAAAAAACTACTTCTTCTTTACCTCTGATGATCGAACTACATATGTGGTAACTCCATTGCATAATCATTGAGAGAATGTATTAAATAGGTCATGAAGAAAAAATATGAACGTTCCATTTGTCAGTGATCACAGCTATCTATGTGAATACTCTCTCAGGCATCACCGAAAGAGGGAGATACTAGTTTCTGGAAAATGAGTATAAATGTGAATACTTTATGTTTCTTGAAGCAAAATCTAAAAATTGGCATTTAAAAATAAATATGGAGGAGATTGCTGACTTTTTACGGTCCTTTGATAGATGTCCACTACCAAACAATCCTCACCACACACTGATACAGCACAGTCACCACGGGAACTGGAGGCAGTCTCAGTCTGTATCAGGCTGTAAAGTCTTCTTTTATTGTCTCATTTTAGAAATACATTTGGACAGAATTTTACTCTTCTAAGTACAAAGATAGCTTAGGAAGATGTATCTTCTCTCTTGAATTCAAGATTTATAATATAAAATATAATATTTGTAATAAATATATGAGAAATATAATATATTATAAAATAAAAGATATAAAATATATATTTGTATATTATAAAATATATAATTATATAAAAAATATTTATAATTATATTATAAAGCATATTGTATTTTATAATATGTATTATACATAATATATGATATATAATATTAATACTAATTTGTTATTATTTAATAATTAATATGTTATATCTTGATTATTAATAATATAGCAACAGTATTAATAATATATTAATATAATGATATATTAATATTAAATACTAATTTATTATTGATACTTAATAATGAATATATTATATATTAGCTAATACATAAAAATATGTATGCATATTAGCCATGTGTGGTGGCACATGCCTATAGTTTCAGCCGCTTGAGAGGCTGAGGTGGGAGGATCACTTGAGCCCTGCAGGTCCAGGCTGCAGTGAGCAGTGATTGTGCCACTGCACTCCAGCCTGGGTGACAGCAAGACCCTGTCTCAAAAAATAAAATAAATAAATAAATTAATTAATTAAATAAACCAATTTTTGAATTAGAAGATTATGTAAACTAAATCTTTACCTTTGTTGTATAAAATAGGAGAGCAATTTCCTTGCCTATTCTATTCCTTGAAGACTCAGGTTTTAGCCTCTGTTCTGCCAATGTCTTCTGTAGACCTGAAGAAAATTACTTCATCTCTATGTGTAACAGCTTCCTCATCAGTAACTGAGAATAAAAGCATTTGTTCTGCCTCAAAAGGGTGTATTGAAGATAAAATATGGTAATGTTGGCTGTAATATTTTTGCAAAAATAAAAGCATGCAAAACTATAAAGTTTAATAGCATGAGTGATGTTACATGATGCATGTCAGGCAAAAATCACATTGCTAGAAGAGCAACTGTTCAGAGCTAATATTAAAGCCAAAAAATGCTTTCCATGAAAACAACATTATAACAGAAAAAACCTCCAAGTAAATGATTGCGTCCCTTCCATTCACACCAGTAAGCATAAGGAGTTCTGGGAAAGCTATCTGAAAGATGTAAGTCAAGATGGTTCTCAGAAACTCAACATTGCAGGACTAGATTCAATTTGGGGAGGTTGAGAAAAGAGAACTTGTAATTATAGGATATCAAAATATTCAAATTAAAATGAATAATCAATCAACCAGAGGCTTTATCTATACAAAGACAAGCAGTCAATATCTAGAAACCTGCATCAGGTTGAACATTTTTATTGGGTTTGATCCACATGTTTGGCCCTGAAGAATTTGTCCTGGACACGTGGCTCAACTCTTCGGTGAGCAAAATTCCATCTCTGGGTATTGAAATAAACTTTATCAAATTTAGGAATCCGTAGTAATGTTCAGCGTTATAAACTATCTCAGCATCATGACATTAGTGTGAGAAGCCTAGAGAAAATCCCAGGGCTAAGAGGATGCTTTCACTTATCAGCAAGGCTTCATTAAGATGCATAATTACATTTCTAAGAAAGTAATTTTCACCAGTACTTTTGTATTGAAATCAATTTGTTATTGAAAAACAGTGTCTGAACAAGACATCTATTTAAAAAAAAAAAAACAGTGAAGTCTAGTGTAACAAAGTTCAGGCAAAAATCTTTTCATTCTGGTCCTAGATCAAGCACTGGTTTACTGTGCACACTTAAGTCATTGACTTGTCCTTCTCATGTTTATGAAGACACACCAAACCCCCAGATAAGACTGAAGAGGATGAAGGCCTTAACCGAGTTATCTGTTAGGACTTCAGGTGTGTACCTTTCTCTGGGGACCAGGAGGTACTCAGCAGAATCCCAAGGGCCTGGAGGTGCTTTGGGGTCCTGTGTGCCACACAGAAACTTTCACAGAAAAATCCTTTGCTTTTAAAGTCCGTGGCATCTAGCTAAGCCAACCATCCTTCCCTCATATAACTATAATCTACTGGCTTCAGGTAATTGCCTCATAGTCATTGGCTAGTCCAGTCTCCAACTTACAATTTTCCTATTGAGTCCACTTCCTGACCTATTCCAAGAAATTACAAAATGCATGCTAATGATACAGCCAATACGTAAGTTCTTAGACTTCCTTGGCTTCAATGATTCTCACTTCCAGCCCCTTGAAGCCCCTTGAACCTGGAGACATTCTGGACCTTCTCCTCCCATAGTGTAAGTCCTTGTCAGGCTCTTTAAATTCAGGCATTCCGCTCTCAGGCTATCCCATACTCTCCGGGAAGCTCTCACTGCTCTTTCTCTCTACCCCATGGAGAGACCAGGTCTTTGATCCTCTAAATGTTTTCCAGTCTATCAGGGCTCTTCTAGCTTCAAGGCCTTTGCTTCCCAGCTTGGATCATGTAATTGATCACCTTGTCTAACTTTTTACCTGTGCTCACCTCCAAGGCCTTATATGATCTCCTCAGTAACCCCCAGACTCATCACCAGGCCTGGCCTGCCTCACCCTCTGTGCAGAAAGAGGATCAACTCTCGTAGAGTTCTCTGCAAGCATTCCACTCAACTGTTTTATGTCCTGGGAACTTACAGAAGGTTGCCATACTGTCTGAAGATTTGGCATTGACATCCCCATACTTAGGCATCATCCCCTGGCACTTTCCCATTCTCAGATAAGGGCCTCTGCCCCTCACACTCTGCTGTTATAACCATCATGGTACTGACCACATGCTTGTGACAAGATCTGCTATCATTTCTGTCTTTCCCAGTAAACTACAAGCTGTCCTAGAAGAGAGACTTTATTTGTTCAATTCTTGACTCCTGTCAAAATAGTTGGGATCTTATGGTGCTCAGTAAATATTTCTTGATATGAAATGAATGAAATCTTTGCCTTTCTTCCATATTTGCTTCTCGTTTTTTTTTCAATCTGGAGCAATTAAACAACCGGCCTTCTTTATTTCTTACACCAGAGAAAATGTCATGATTGCTATCCCTCCAGAAGATGAACTATATAAAATATTGGCTGTATCCCTTGTGCCTAGAACAATGAAGCACATATTAGGTATTTAAATATTTATGGCATTTCAAGATTCCATTTAAATATATGCTCTTCCAACATTAGGTGGGCTCAAAACATAATTGAATTTGTTTCTTGTCCTTGACCAGGCTTTTCTCCTATTTTCTTCAGAGATTATTCCACAATGCTCTCAGTCTCCTCAAGCCTTATAACACATCTCCAACTAATTCCTCTGCTTCCTATTTCTTTGGAAAAAATGGACTATCAAGTATGTACTTTGTCAACCTCCTTCACCATGATTTGCTAGTGGCTCTATGGTCTACATTAGAAATGGTGAATTTTGGCCGGGTATGTTGGCTCATGCCTGTAAACCCAGCACTTTGGGAGGCCGAGGCTGGTGGATCACCTGAGTTCAGGAGCTTGAGGTCATCCCGACTAACATAGTGAAACCCTGTCTCTACTGAAAAAAAAAAAAAAAAGTTAGCCGGGTGTGGTGGCAGGCCCCTGTAATCCCAGATACCTGGGAGGCTGAGACAGAAGAATCGTTTGAACCCGGGAGGCAGAGGTTGGAGTGAGCTGAGACTGCGCCATTGCACTCCAGCTGGGCAACAAGAGTGAAAATCCATCTCAAATAAATAAATAAATAAATAGGAAATGGTATCCATGCTAAATACCAGCATTTTCATCAACTTGATTACTGATTGACAGTAGGATTATAATTTTGTGCTTTCTAACAAGCACAAGTAATATAAATAGGTCTATTGAAAAAATTATTTTGTATTACTGCTAATAACTCTTTGTTTTATTAAATTGTCTTGTAATAACAAAAAGTTATCTTTCACTATTATTATCAACAAATTATTCATATAGCCTGTACACATGGATGTCTGATCACATAACCCATTATGGAAAACTATAAGAGAGGAGGCATGGAGATATTTAATCATACAGTACTCTTGTTACTAAATATAAGAAGCAATTTTCATCAGGGCTGGGGCACTAGAAACATTGGATGGTAGTTGAAGATAATTGTAGATCTCACAAACAGTAACATATCTAAACATTCCCTTTATGCCTATTTATTCACAAAACAAAAATCCAGATGAAAATAAAGAGATTAAATATGTTTGATCTTTTATCTATATTTAATCTATGTAAACCACAAGTCTAACTGTTTCATAATTTTCAGACTTTGGCTTTAATTTATTCCTTTGCATATATGCACCATGTTTTAGCTCAAAAACTCTTCTTATCATAGCTTTCAGAAAAACTATAAATAAATTCAGGTAAACCACTTTTACAAAACTCTCAAAGGATCAAACTTTCCTTATATTAGGGTTTTGTTACATCAAATATTATTTGAAGTAGGGGCAATGAGAGTTAAAAGTCTCTGGCTCTAAAGAAAGCTTTCATTGCAATGTAATTTGTTGCATGTAATTTAACCCTGGATATAAGCTATAATCAAAAAGCAGAAAATGGATCATTTGCAAATTAAGAGGCATGACCCACCAAAGTACGGAAGCTTTATTTATTACTTAAAACACAGAAAATTTATTTATGACTTTAAAATGATGAAGTTAATTTTTAAAAAGTATTGAATTCAGCAATAATGGGTTTAGAAACAATTAAATTAATATCATTGATTTGAGACTAAATAAAAGCTTTTTTATTATTGTCATTATTTTTGAACCCATGTCAACTCAATAAATGTTTGTTACTGAAGTTAATTGTTTTGCCTGAAGAAAAATAGACTTTTACATTAATGTCATCATTTGTTTCAATCCTTGAATCAGATATTTTTCACACAGGGAATGCTTCCTGCTGGTTTGCACAATATTTGTCCACTTTTCAAACAAACTGATTTTGTCACAAGGACCATTATATTCACTCAAGGTCTAGAAGACTCTCAGAATAAATGGAAAGATTGGAAAGATCAAACGTGATTTATACTGATGAATATGCTCTTCCTAGACGAGACTATCCTTACTACCAGAAATGAATATTGAGTAGAATTTTTAAGAGAAAGAATCTGAACCAGCAATTTATTTCTGGAAGGAGGCATACCATACATAAGGAAAAGGGGCAGAGCAAGATGGGGAAAAGGACTACAAAACATATTTACCTGGAGATAACACACTCTACTAAGATCTTTCATAAGAGAAAGGCAGACTTTTTACACATAAAAGTCTGTTGTTAAAGGCCACATATTTTTACATCGTAACCCTTCTGGAGACATTGTTTCCTATTAGGAAAATAAGCTCAGAAAAATACGTGTTAAAAATCTGTATTTCAACATTTATTCTTGTAAGCTGCTGGAGAAAAACATCTTTAAATACATTCATACATGATTATAGCTCAACTGGGTTTATAGTGACACCATATTTATCTAAGTCAATGAGAATTTGCCAGATTTTGTTGCAGTCATTTGCTTACAATACAATGGATATAATTTGGATTTTCTGTCTTGAGACCACAGCACAAAGTTAGGGCATATCCACTCATGACTAAGAATGCTACCAAATTGCTCACAGATAGCCAAAATCTAGTTATGTGATCAAAGGAAGACAGATTTTGGAGGACAGCTATTAGTCTATACCACAATGAGTGTGGGCCACCATGTGTGATCTGAAAATGCAAAGTTGGTTTCTCGAGGAACTCACAAGCCACTAGGAAGTCAGACACAGAAATAGATCATTATAAAACAATATAAAGATCCAGTGGTAGGGATGTGCATTTATAACCCTCTCACACTAGGCCTTCTATTGCCGTTGATAGTATAGAAAGCATTTAGCTGTCCAACTCTGATTTTAAAAAGAACTCTGTAAAGCAAAATGGCTCAACAATTTTGTGAACTTGGCCCAATCATCTTGGCCAAGGATTTTACATCAATTTTAGTGTGTCATTTTATATCTATGGAGCACACTGGATGATGAACAACCCAAGAGTTGATGGTTTAAAACTGGTCTGATTTTTAGATGGCTACGAAAATTATTTCATTCTAATTTAATACCCCGTGCTGTTCAGAAAGTGTCCCAAACCTCCCTTGGTGTATACACTGGTAAAAGCTTACTTGTTGCAAAGTAATTAAAATTAGAATTCAAATTGGGTGCAATCTTAGAACTTATGAGAAAAAATTTTTTGCTAAAGGCCTTGCTATAATAGTTCTTACAAAATAAGGTTCTGTTCATCCTTTCCTGAGTGTACGCATGGAGATTCACATTTGGCCACCGCATTTTGAATGGTGTCCAATGTGCCCAGGGGAGACCCTGAATGTCCACATGCTGACAAAGCTGCAGCTTCCACCCCTAACAGTCATTGTGTGGACGTATGCCACTTTTATTTATATCAGTTTTTGGGTTGTGTTCAAGTTTCTTAATATTCCTGCCCTGAACCTCAGCACACTTGCCTAAAGACCTGGTCCTCTAACTAGTTTCTGCTTTATTATTCTCTCTTAGAAAGTAGACCTTGCTACTTTCTAAGAATCTAATAGAATTCCCTACAACAATGATTTTGGAACCATACTCATTACAGACTCCTGATGCCAACCCTTGCACCAGATTTGATCCTTTGGATAACGACCCTCTGAAAGAACTGAATTTGCTACACTCCTTTGGAGGTGAAAACAATAACACTCCCCAGCCCCAAGTCCACTATTCCCACAATAATGTTTCTTTCTGTTGACTTGCTATAGTTTCTTAATATCCTGGGGGAAAAATGAAAGTTATAACAAGCATTTATTTGGAAATTACAGCAAAATTTTGTAAATGCTGTTCTTTCATTTCTAAGATTGGCACAAGGGCTAGAAAAGAGATTTGGTTATAGACATCCAACATGGCAGAGGTGGTTCAAATATTTTTGGACCCCTATTATGTTGCAAGCATGGTGTTTGGCAGAAGGGCTCTTATGGTAAACCAGATACAGAAACAGCCATAAAAAATGTTCATAGTCTCGTTGGAGAATTGAGCAAATGAAAAGGTGGCAACATTTCATTGTGCACATGCTATCTTAGGTGCAAGAATAGGGTGTTATGGGGACATATGAAGGAATCCTAATTCAGCCTTAAGAGTACAAGGAAAACTCTTTATTGACAGTGACAACTATGATTTGATATGAAGTATTAAGATGATTGATGGGTAAAATGGGAAGAAGTAGAGAGAGGCTAAAGTGTTACAAACAGGGGAGCTACAGAAAATAAAGCATGCAAAATAACGGTGATGAGAGAGTATATGACGCTTTTGAAGTACCAGAAGTATTTCATTCTCACAGGATTGTAATGGCTAGAAGTAGATAGTTATGTAAAACCTAGAAGTAGGCTATTCTATTGATTTAAAATACCCACCATCCACAAAATTTACCTCCAATTTTTTCCATGAAAGGCTTCCCAAAATATTTATCTGGCGAATGGACTAAAACTCTCTGACTTCCGCTATGATCATTTGTTTTGATTTTTCAGTCTATTATCTTAAAATTCATTCTTCCCTAGTCTCTTTGCCTTCTAGTCTTCAAGGGCTGTGATGAAAGCAGAAGTGGAAATTAAAATTAAACACTGAAGCACAGCTTGCATTGCTGCACCACAACAGCAGCCAACAGTCCCAATAGGTGTGTAATAAATGAACACAGAGGTGGGGTGGAGTAGGGCGATGATGGTGGAGGGTGGTGGGCCAGGAAAGATCCTCAATAATGATTTCAGAACAATTAGCTAATGGAGAATAAGGGATTTATGTTATCATTCATAGCATTGTATGAGATTATGCCTATAGAATATAAGGCTCAATTTTGTGTCTGTTGCTTGATTGCCTGTAGTCAATTGCTTTAGACAAATCAACTAGAACACTCAAGTCCAGGCATAGGCAAAATAATAAAATTGTCTTCTGGGCTTTCATAATTTCCTTCAGAATATTGACATTAGGTAGCCAGTGTAGTTATTTCCTTACCTCCTCTCCTCTATGAAAATTTCTTTCTCAGGTGCCGCATTCCAACCAAGGTAACAAAGGCCTTATAATAATTAATGTTCTCACAGGAATTTATAATTTAATGGATAAGTGCCTGGCTCCTGAGTTTCTAGGCATTCAATTACTGATTATGTAAAAAAGATTTCAGGAAGGCAATAGCACCTTCCTGCTACCCAGAATCCACATCAGTAGGTGGGCACCTACTCTGCTCTAATTTGTATTCCTCAGAGAGACCATCCAAAAGTGTCCTTTTTAGGCAGGAAGGCTACTATGTCTGAAGGGTGTGAATATGGATGACAAACCCAGGCTCAGGAAACTATCTAACCTAGGAAGATCAGACAAATAAAAGATAGCAATGGGAAGACTAGGCGGGACTAAAGAGAGTAGAAACATACACAAAAACCATGTGATTATCTCAATAGATGCAAACAACAACAAAAAAAGGCCTTAAATAAAATTCAACATCCCTTCATGTTAAAAAAAAATAGGTATTTTAACATGTAAACTCAGTAAACTGGGTATTGATGGAACATACCTCAAAATAATAACAGCCATTTATGACAAACCCACAGCCAATATCATACAGAATGAGCAAAAGCTGGTAGCATTCCCTGTGAAAACCAGCACAAGACAAGGATGCCCTCTCTCACCACTCCTATTTGACCTAGTATTGGACGTTCTGGCCAGGGCAATCAGGAAAGAGAAAGGAATAAATGGCATTCAAATAAGAAGAAAGGAAGTCAAATTGTCTCTGTTTGTAAACGACATGATCCTATATTTAGAAAACCCCATCATCTCAGCCCAAAAGCTCCTTAAGCTGATAAGCAACTTCAGCAAAGTCTCAGGATACAAAATGAATGTGTGAAAATCACAAGCATTCCTATACACCAACAATAGACAGAGAGCCAAATCATGAATGAACTCCCATTCACAATTGCTACAAGGAGAATAAAATACCTAGGAATAGAGCTAACAAGGAATGTGAAGGACCTCTTCAAGGAGAACTATAAACCACTGTTCAAGGAAATAAGAGAGGACACAAACAAATGGAAAAAATTCCATGCTCATGGATAGGAAGAATCAATATTGTGAAAATGGCCACACTGCCCAAAGTAATTTATAGATTCAATGGTATTCCCATTAAAGTACCATTGACATTCTTCACAGAATTAGAAAAAAAACTACTTTAAAATTCTTGTAGAACCAAAAAAGAGCCCATATAGCCAAGACAATCCTAAGCAAAAAGAACAAAGCTGGATACATCATGCTACCTGACTTCAAACTGTACTACACAACTGTTGTGGAAGACAGTGTGGCCTTTTCTCAAGGATCTAGAACCAGAAATACCATTTGATCCAGCAATCCCCATTACTGAGTATATACCCAAAGGAATAGAAATCATTCTATTATAAAGATACATGCACGTGTGTGTTTATTGCAGCACTATTGACAATAGCAAAGACATGGAATCAACCCAAATGCCCATCAATGATAGACTGAATAAAGAAAATGTGGTATATATACACCACGGAATACTATGCAGCCATAAAGAGGAATGAGATTATGCCCTTTATAGGGCCTTGGATGAAGCTGGAAGCCATTATCCTCAGCAAACTAACACAGGAACAGAAAACCAAACACCACATGTTCTCGCTCATAAGTGGGAGCTGAACAATGAGAACACATGGACACGGGGCGGGGGGGGTGGGGAACAACATGCATTAGGGCCTTTTGGGGGGTCAGGGGGAGACAGAGCATCAAGATAAATAGCTAATACATGTGGGGCTTAATACCTAGGGTTGATATGTGCAGCAAACCACCATGGCACACTTTTACCTCTCTAACCTGCACATCCTGGACATGTATCCCAGACCTTAAAATAAAATAAAATATTTTTAAAAAAGAATGGTAAGTGGTAGGAGAGAAGTCTGTGGTAGTAAGTTCCCAGATACCAAACTAAAACTGAGAGGCAGCGCTGAAGTCAGAAAGAAAACAGTTGCCCAATTATTTGACCAGGAGAATCAGAGGTCAGAGCTAGACTTAGCAGCAAGACTGATGATGGTGAATCTCAGACACTATCCTTCTTGATTTTAAGCCAGCCCAACATACCCATCGGATTGCTGTGTAACCATAAACGTGATGAGGCAATAGTCAAAGACCTCCTCAGATCTCCTTGGCATTTAATCTCCCCAGGGCCTATCTCTTATATCAACTTTTTTTATGATCTTGTTCCTCTCCCTCCACATTTCAACCTCCTTTCCCAGGCTAGGACTTACCCCTTGGCTCTCCTTACTTCTTTATCACCTTGATATTCTTGCCATGGCCAGTCCATCATGAGGCAATCCTCAATCTGGAACTTTATCTGACTTTTCTCCCTTTTAAGGGATGGGACACTGAGACATTAGTATATTGTCCTAAGAGCTACAGGCAGGACTAAATTTACAGGTGAAAAATTCAAGTAGTCCATGCTTTAGGAAAAAATATGAATAGGATGACAACTACTAGACACACTTTTAAATATAAATGACTTCTCAGACAATGCCCAGTATCTCTAAAAACATAAAGACAACATTCTGAGCAGACTTTCAAATGTGAATTTATTCCCTGTTTTTCTCACCTCATAAAAAGTCATAGTTTCAAAATTAGCTTGGTATTGAGAATGATTATTCTCTTTCCAGCCCTGTGTGGATACCTTCCTCTTTTTACACTACTATTGCACGTGTTCTCAATGTTATGGCACCTGGCTCTTAATTCTCTCATGCTATACCTGCCCATGATCACTGGATGGACTATGATATATGCTTTTACATTTTATATCTTTTTCAGAACAAATTCAAGATGATTAACCATAGTGCAATCTAATTCAAACATTGAAACAGTATTTTTATTTTTTATTTTTACTATTATTATTATTATTTGAGATGGAGCCGTTCTCTGTCATTCAGGCTGGAGTGCAATAGTGCGATCTCTGCTCACTGCAACCCCCGTCTCCCAGGTTCAAGTGATTCTCCTGCCTCAGCCTCCCGAGTAGCTGGGATTACAGGCCCTTGCCACCATGTCCAGCTAATTGCTGTATTTTTAGTAGAGATGGGGTTTGACCATGTTGGCCAGGCTTGTCTCGAACTCCTGACCTCAAGTAATCCGCCCATCTCAGCCTTTCAAAGTGCTGGGATTACAAGTGTGAGCCACCGTGCCCAGCCTGAAACAGTATTTTTAAAACCCTGGTGTTTGAATTGGCATACTTTATGCGTTAAGAACCCATGTAATTTGATTTTTAAATTGCTTTTTTTTTTTTTTTTTTTTTGAGACGGAGTCTTGCTCTGTCGCCCAGGCTGGAGTGCAGTGGCCCAATCTCGGCTCACTGCAAGCTCCGCCTCCTGGGTTCACACCATTCTCCTGCCGAGTAGCTGGGACTACAGGCACCTGCCACCATGCCCAGCTAATTTTTTGTATATATTTTTTAGTACAGACGGGGTTTCACCGTGTTAGCCAGGATGGTCATGATCTCCTGACCTCGTGATCCACCCGCCTCAGCCTCCCAAAGTGCTGGGATTACAGGTGTGAGCCACCGTGCCTGGCCTAAATTGCTTTTTTCGTAACACCCAGAAGTATGCTCCATTCTCCATGTCAATGATGAAAATCTTAAAAAAGAATCAATGGATCTAAGACCTATTCCTAAAGGCGATCTCTTTTCAGCAAGTCAGCTCACATTTGTATATTTCCATTTGTAGGAAATATTTCCATTGCTATGAAGATTCTAATCTGAAAAGTTTTTACAGTATGTCATTGGCAAGTCAACTTTCTGAAGAGCATTCTAATTAGTAATGTTGAAAGCCTTCCATAAATAAGATGACTGTCACCAACATTCTTTTTTCCTGTCCTGAGTGACAATAAAACAGAACAAATAAAAAGAGAAAACTATAATTGGTCTGGTAATTGAGCCATGAAAATGTAACTATAAAGAATGTAAACCTAAAAGAAAGCCACAGAAATTGTGGCATTTCAAATAATTTAACTAGCATTCCAAATAAGTCACCAGTTCATCCTGGATGGCATACCTAACAATGGGTTTTTGTTTTTATTTTACTTTTTAACATCAAAGGAATGTCAGCTACACTTTGGAAAACAACAGGATTCACTTCTGGATTTCCTCACTTCACTAGTGGGATGCAAAGACATCTGAAAAGCTGTCATTTTATTTAGAGCTTCACTTATTTGGGGCTTTGTCCTTATATTAGGAGAATGAAAGGACACATTTATTACAGCTAGCTAAAACGTAATAATCTGACATTTTTCCTGTCTCCTCTGCCCTCAATTCATTGTTTTCTATCTAACTCCTTATCCAAGGAAATTTATTAACAATTTATATTGTGATATCATCCTACCACGTAAGACCTTAGATTTATGTCTAATTAAATAAGAACTATTTCTTTTGGATGAAGTTGTAAAATCTAATACTGTACTCTTTGGGCACTGTTCTCTCACAAACAGACTAAACTTTTCAGAGTCTGGGGAAGACTGATTAATACTGATTAAGAAAAAGATGTTTTTCCCTACAAATATACATATTGGTTTTACATAATAACTATAAAAACCAGATCATGGTATGATATCTATTTGGAAAATAGAATGAGGCTTCTGTTTTTCACCATGGGATGATAACTGACACTAGACTTGTCCTTCCACTGAAAAACAACTGTAAAACTGGACAAAATGTATGAAACATGTATTTTCAGGCATTGAGCAATAAGTAGAACAGAACTGTGATCCTTAAGAGAATGAAAACACACCAGATGATTCCCATGATTTTCTCGCCTTCCTGCCTGAACCATTTACCTGTCATGGTGAAGGGAGTTAGAGCCCAAGATTAGCAGAGGTCTAGCTGAGCAGAAGAGGCAGACATTAGAATTCTAAGCTTTTAAAGAAGCTGGAATTTTTCAGGACAAAGTACCAGAGAGAATAGAGTTACACACAGAGAGAATCCCAGAAGTCTAGGTAGGGATTCTCTGCAGCTTCCTGAGTGAGTTTTGAGAAACATACACCCAGAGAGAGGCTTTGTGAAACCTAATAGGGACTTTTTCCTATGGGTCTGAGAGCTGAAGAGTAATACCAGAGATGATGCTGTGTAAAAAACATTAAGCAGCTCATCAAGCCTGAGTGAAAAGACCTCACCGAGCACATTGGGCTTTCCATTGAAATCCCCAAAAACCACAGTTTAGTAGTAAAGATCATGCCTGAAATGAGAGCCTCATGAATAGCACTTGTTCACATCAGAACGAGGCCTGCCCACGCAAAAAGTAACAAAGCCTGACAGGAACAAAGGATCTCACAGAACAGTATACAATCTCTTTAAAGAAAAATAAATAATCTAGACTGTAAATCATATCATTTACACTGTCCAGCATACCATAAAAATTACCAGATATGGAAAGAAGCAGAAAAACATGAAGCCATGTTTGAGAGGGAATCAAAAACCTCATATTGAGATGAACCAGATATTATAATTAGCAGACAAGATATATACAGAAAATGTTAGAATATGACCAAAGACATGTTCTAACAAAGAAAAAGTGGTCATAATGAATAACAGATGAGGAATCTAGAAGAAACGGAATCCGTGAAGAACCAAATGGAAATTCTAGAATTGAAAGAAACAATAATTTAAAAGAAAACATTTCTGTATGGTCTGAAGAACAAATAGAAAATTACAAAATGAAGGAGTACTAAGCTTGAAGATAAAACAACAAAATGATGTAATCTAAAGAAGACAAGAAAAATACATTAAAAATAAATGAACAAACCCCCCAGTACCCATGAGGTTGTGTCAATCAGGCCGGCATTTTGAGTACTTGGAGTCTCAGTGGAAGAGTAGAGAGTGACTAGAGAGTGAATGGGATAGGACAAGAAATATGAAGAAATAATGGCTGAAATCATCCCAATTCAATAAAAATATTAAATTATATGCTTCAATAAAATCTTGAAATAAGCCTTGTCAACAATTTTTTGGCTATCATAACCAAACTCAAGCTACAAAAGCAAAAATAAATAAATGGGACTACATTAAACTAAAAGTCTTCTGCACAGAAAAGGAAACAACTAAAATGAAAAGGCAACCTACAGATTGGAAGAAAATATTTGCAAACTACATGTCTGATGAAGGGTTAATATCCAAAATTTGTATTTAAAAAACACACACAACTCAATAGCAGAAAAACAAATAATTCAATTTAAAAAAAAAACTGCAAAGGACCTGAATAGACATTTCTCCAAAAAAAGACATAAAAATGGCCAACAGTTATATGAAAAAGTGCTCAAAATCACCAATCATCAGGGAAATGCAAATAAAAGCCAATATGAGGCTGGGTGTTGTGGCTCATGCCTGTAATACCAGCACTTTGGGAGGCTGAGGCAGGCAGATCACCTGAGGTCTGGAGACCGAGACCAGCCTGGCCAACATGGTGAAACCCCACCTCTACTAAAAATACAAAGATTAGCTGGGCATGGTGGTGTGGGCCTGTAATCCCAGCTACCCAGGAGGCTGAGGCAAGACAATCTCTGGAATCCGGGAGGCACAGGCTACAATAAACCGAGATAGTGCCACTGCACTCCAGCCTGGGTGACAGAGCAAGATTCTGTCTCAAGAAAACAACAACAAAAAAAGCAATATGAGATATCACTTCACACCGGTTAGGACAGCTATTATCAAAAAGATAAGAGATAACAAATGTTGACAAAGGTATAGAGAAAAGGGAATTCTTGGCCAGGCACAGAGGCCCATGCCTGTAATCCTAGCACTTTGGGAGGCCAAGGTGGGAGGATCACTTGAGTTCAGGAGTTCAAGACCAGCCTGGGCAACATGGCGAAAACTGTCTCTACAAAAAATACAAGAATTAGCCTGGTTTGGTGGTGGATGCCTGTAGTACCAGCTGCTTGGGAGGCTGAAGTGGGAGGATGGCTTGAGCCTGGGAGGTGGAGGTTGCACTGAGCTGAGATCATACCTCTGCACTCTAGCCTGGGTGACAGAGCCAGACTCAATTTTATTTATTTATTTATTTAAAAAAGGGATTCTTGTACACTGTTGGTAGGAATTCGATTGTGTAGATTCGTGCACCTGTTACAAAAAAGTGTGGAGGTTGCTAAAGAAACTTAAAATAGGACTGCCATATGACCCAACAATGCCTCTTCTGGGTATATACCCAAAGAGAGTGAAATTACCACTTCATAAAGATATCTATGTCAGGCTGGGCATGGTGGCTGCTGCCTGTAATCCCAGCACTTTGGGAGGCCGAGGCGGGCGGATCACGAGGTCAGGAGATCGAGACCATCCTGGCTGACACGGTGAAACTCCGTCTCTACAAAAAATACAAAAAATTAGCTGGGCGTGGTGGCGGGCGCCTGTAGTCCCCTCTACTCTGGAGGCTGAGGCAGGAGAATGGAGTGAACCCGGGAGGCGGAGCTTACAGTGAGCCGAAATCGCGCCATTTAACTCCAGCCTGGGTGACAGTGCGAGACTCCGTCTCAAAAGAAAAAAGAGTGATCACCAAGGGCAGAGGTGGGAG
Organism: Homo sapiens; assembly: GCF_000001405.40. Taxonomy (NCBI): domain Eukaryota; kingdom Metazoa; phylum Chordata; class Mammalia; order Primates; family Hominidae; genus Homo; species Homo sapiens. Next base: position 217,209,303 of record NC_000001.11, on the reverse strand, counting down.
GAGAGAGAGAATGGGGAGATGTAGGTCAAAGGATACAAAGTAGTAGATATGTAGGATGGACAAGCCTAGATATTTAACGTGCAACATGAGGACTATAGTTACTGATATTATATTGTATTCACGATTCTTACTAAATGAATAGATTTTAGCTGCTCTTACCACAAAACTAAAAGGTGACTATGTAAGATAACATGATAGATATGTCAATTTGCCTCACTGTAGTAACCATTTTATACTGTATTTATGTATCTCACAACCTTATGTTGTATACCTTAAAAATATACAATAACTTTTTTTTTTAAATCACATACCCCATTGCTCAGCAAACCTTAAGCAGGGTAAATACAATGAGAACCACACTTGACTTATACATCATAGTCAGAATGCTGGTAGTCAAAGAAAAAGATAAAATCTTAAAAGAAGACAGACAAAGACATTTCTCATAGAATAGGCAGTAATATTACTGAGGGCTGCTATTTATCAGAAACAATTGAATGGCACCTTTAAAATGCTTAAATAAAAAAAGCTGTCAACACAAAATTTTATATCCAGTGAAAACTACACATTAAAAGTAAGGGTTGGCTGGGTGCATTGGCTCATGCCTGTAATCCTAGCATTTTAGGAAGCTGAGGCAGGTGGATCACTTGAGGCCAAGAGTTCGAGACCAGCCTGGCCAACGTGGTGAAACCCTGTCTCTACTAAAAATACAAAAATTAGCTTGGCATGGAGGCGTGCACCTCTAATCCCAGTTACTTGGGAGGCTGAGGCATGAGAATCACTTGAACCGGGGAAGCAGAGGTTGCAGTGAGCCAAGATTGTGCCACTGCACTCCAGCCTGGGGGACAAAGCAAGTAAGACTCTGTCTCAAAAAAAAAAAGTAAAGGTCAACTAAAGACATTTTCAAAGAAATAAAAGTTGAGGACCTTCAGCCCCAGCAGATGTACATTAACAGAAGTAAACAGGTAAAATTGTTTAGAGGAATGGAAATAACACTAGATGAGAACTTCGATATACCAGAAGAAATGAAGGACACCAGAAATGATAAGTATGTGGGTAAATATAAAAGACTGTTTTCTGTTTTCTTCTCTTCTTTTTTTTTTTTTTTTTTTTTTTGATGGAGTCTCATTCTGTTGCACAAGCTGGAGTGCAGTGGCACAATCTCAGCTCACTACAACCTCTGCCTCCTGGGTTCAAGCAATTCTCCCTGCCTCAAGTCTCTCAAGTAGCTGGGATGACAGGCACCCGCCACCATGCCTGGCTAATTTTTCTGTTGCTTAGTAGAGACAGGGTTTCGCCACATTGGCCAGGATGGTCTTGAACTCCTGACCTCAGATGATCCACCCTCCTCGGCCTCCCATAGTGCTGAGATTACAGGTGTTAGCCACCACGCCCGGCCTTTTCTTCTCTTAATGTCTTTGAAAGGCAGTTGATGGTTTAAAGCAAAGAAAATAACATTGTATTATAGAGTTAAATATATTAAAACAGTATTAGAAAGGATAAGAGGAAATGCAATTTTACTGTTGTTAGCTTTTTACATTTTACATGAGCTAATGTATTATTCTTTTATTAAGAATGCATATTATAATCCCTAGCATAACCACTAAAAAGCAAATATAACGGCTGTATTAGACCATTTTCAAGCTGCTGATAGAGACCTACCTGAGACTGAGCATTTTACAAAAGAAAGAGGTTTAATTGGACTTACAGTTCCATGTGGCAGTGGAAGGCAAGGAGGAGCAAGTCACATCTTATGTGGATGGTGGCAGGCAAAAAGAGAGAGATTGTGCAGGGGAACTCCTCTTTTTTAAAACCATCAGATCTCATGAGACTAATTCACTATCATGAGAACAGTGCAGAAAAGACCTGCCCCCATAATTCAATCACCTCCCACCAGGTTCCTCCCATGACACATGGGAATTGCGGGAGTTACAATTCAAGATGAGGTTTGGGTGGGGACACAGCCAAACTATATCATGCCACCCCTAGCCCCTCCCAAATCTCATATCCTCACATCTCAAAACCAATCATGCCTTGTCAACAGTCCCCCAAAATCTTAACTCATTTCATCAACTCAAAAGTCCATAGTCCAAAGTCTCATTCGACACAAGGCAAGTCCCTTCCATGTATGAGCCTGTAAAATTAAGAAGCAAGTTAGTTACTTCCTAGATACAATGGAGGTACAGGCATTGGGTAAATGCACCCATTTCAAATGGGAGAAATTGGCTAAAACTAAGGGGCTAGGGGCCCCATGCAAGTTAGAAATTCAGTGAGGCAGTCAAATATTAAAGCTCCAGAATGATCTCCTTTGACTCTATGTCTCACATCCAGGTTATGGTGATGCAAGAGGTGGATTTCCACTGTCTTGGGAAGCTCTGCCCCTCTTGCTTTGTGGGGTACAGGCTTCCTCCCAGTTGCTTTCACAGGCTGGCATCAGCGTCTGCGGCTTTTCCAGACACATGGTGCGAGCCGTTGGTGGATCTACCATTCTGGGGTCTGGAGGATGATGGCCCTCTTCTCACAGCTCCACTAAGTGGTGCCCCAGTAGGGACTCTGTGTGGGGGCTCCAACCCCACATTTTCCTCCCGCACTTCCCTAGCAGAGGTTCTCTATGAGGGCACCACCCCTGCAGCAAACTTCTGCCTGGGCATCCAGGCATTTCCATACATCCTATGAAATCTAGACAGAAGTTCCCAAACCCCACTTCTTCACTTCTGTGCACTCGCAGGCTCAACACCACGTGGAAACTGCCAAGGCTTGGGGTTTGCACCCTCTGAAGCCACAGCTCGAGTTTTGTGTTGGCCCCTTTTGTCCATGGCAGGAGCGGCTGGGGTGCAGTGCACAAAATCCCTAGACTGAACACAGCAGAGGGACCCTGGACCCGGCCCATGAAACAATCTTTTCTCCTAAGCCTCTGGGACTGTGATGAGAGGGGCTGCCGTCAATGTCTCTGGCATGGCCTGGAGACATTGTCTTGGGGATTAACATTCAGCTCCTTGTTACTTATGCAAATTTCTGCAGTCAGCTTGAGTTTCGCCTCAGAAAAATGGGATTTCTTTTTCTATCACTTTGTCAGGCTGCAAACTTTCCAAACTTTCATGCTCTGCTTCCCTTATAAAACTGAATGCCTTTAACAGTACCCAAGTCACTTCTTGAATGCTTTGCTGCTTAGAAATTTCTTCCACCAGAAACCATAAATCATCTCTCTCAAGTTCAAAGTTCCACAAATCTCTAGGGTGGGGGCAAAATGCCACCAGTCTCTTTGATAAAACATAATAAGGGTCACCTTTGTTCCAGTTCCCAACAAGTTCCTCATCTCTATCTGAGACCACCTCAGCCTGGACCTTATTGTCCATACCACTATCAGGCTTCTGGTCAAAGCCATTCTGGAAGTCTCCAGGAAGTTCCAAATGTTCCCACATTTTTCTGACTTCTTCTGAGCCCTCCAAACTGTTCCCTCCTCTGCCTGTTACCCAGTTCCAAAGTTGCTTCCACGTTTTCGAGTATCTTTTCAGCAGCACCCAACTCCTGGTACCAATTTACTGTATTAGTCATTTTCACGCTGCTGATAAAGAAATACCCAAGACTGGGCAACTTACAAAAGAAAGAAGTTTAATTGGACTTACAGTTCCACGTGGCTGGGGAAGCATCACAATCATGGTGAAAGGCAAGGAAGAGCAAGTCACATTTTATGTGGATGGTGGCAGGCAAAAAGAAACATTGTGCAGGGAACTTCTCTTTTTTAAAACCATCAGATCTCATGAGACTTATTCACTATTATGAAAACAGCACAGGAAAGACTCCCCACTCCCCATAACTCAATCATCTCCCAATGGATTCCTCGGATGACACGTGGGAATTGTGGGAGTTACAATTCAAGATGAGATTTGGGTGGGAACATAGCCAAACCATATCAATGGCATGTAGAAAAAGAGTCAGTTAAGAAATTAAAATGGAAAACAAAGAATGATTCAATTAACACAAAAGAAGATAGGAAAAGCTAAACAGAGGATGAAAAATCAACTGAGATAACTTAAAAACAAATAGTAAGATGATAAACTTAACACAATCATATCAATTATCATATTAAATATAAATAGACTATGCACTCTAATTAAAAGGCAGAGGCTGTGAGACTGGATAAAACAGTAAGAATCAGCTACAGGTTATGCACAAGAAGCTCACTTTTCATATAAAGACACAAATATATTAAGAATAAAAGAATGAGAAAAGTTATACCATGCAAACAATAAGTATAAAAAATGTGATTTCACTATATCTTTATTAACCTTTATTATATCTTTACAATATAGTGATATATTAATATATCTTTTGCCTAAAAAACAACATCATGAAAGAAATTAGAAAATATCCAGAAGAAACTAATAATAAAAATATGACACATTAAAACATATAAAATATATCATTCAACAGGGAAAGGCAGTCTTTCTAATAGTGCTGGGAAAACTGGATATCCACATACAAAAGAATGAAGCTGGACTTTTGCTTTGCGTCATATACAAAAATTAATTCAAAATGGATCAAAGACCTAAACATATGAGATAAAACTATAAAATTCCTCTAAGAAAGCATAAGGAAAAAAGCTTCATTTTATTAGATTCAGCAGTGATTTTTTGGATATGACACTAAAAGCACAAGAAATAACAGTAATGTAGATAAATTTGACTATGTCAAAATTTAAAATGTCTATGCATCAGAAGACACAATTAACAGTGTAAAAGGCAACTCATGGAATGCAAGAAAATATTTGCAAGTCATATCCGATAAGGGGTTAATATACAGAATATATAAAGGAACTGTAATTCAACAATAAAAAATGAACAGTCAAAATTTAAAAATGGACAAAAGAATAGCTATTTCTCAAAGAAGATAGATCAATGTCCAATAAACACATAAAAAGGTGCTCAGCATTACTAATCATATGGTAAATGCGAATTGAATGCACAATGACATATCACCACACATCCATTATTATGGCTTCTGTCAAAAAAAAAGGGTTGACAAGGATATGGAGAAACTGGAAACCTTGTGTACCATTGACAGGAATGGAAAATAGTAGAGCAGCTGTGGAAAACAGTATAGTGGTTCCTCAAAAAACTAAAAATACAATTACTATATAACCCAGCTATTCCACTTCTGGGTATACACTCAAAAGAATTGAAAGCAGAGTCTCAAAGAAATAGTTATATACTCGTGTTCATATTAGCATTATCTGCAATGAGTGAAAACACCCTAATATCTGCTCATCAACAAATGAAAAGATAAACAAAATGGGGTATACACCTATAATGGAATATTACTCAGTCTTAAAAAGGCAGGAAATTCTGATATATGCTACAACATGAATTAACATTGAGGACATTATGCTAACTGAAATAAGCCAGTCACAAAAAGACAAATATTATATGATTCTACTTATATGAGGTAGCTAGAGTAGTCAAAATCAGAGACAGAAAGTAGAATGATGCTTTCCAAGGGCTGGGGGTAGGGGTGATGGGCAGTTTTTATTTAATGAGTATAGAGTTTCAGTTTTGTGAGATGAAGAATTCTGGAGATTTGTTTTACAAGAATGTGAATGTACTCAACATTATCAAACTGTACATTATAAAATGATTAAGATGGTCAGTTTTTGTTATGTGTATTTTACCAGAATTTTTTAAAATTGAAATAAACAACATATAGCATGCAGCTAAAAAGGTGATTAGAAGAAAATGTACTCTTTAAATGCTTCTAATACACAAGAAGAAAAGTTTATAATTAATGACCTGAGCTTTCACATTACAAAAACAGAAAAAGAAGAGCAAATTAAAGTCAAAGTAAGTAGAATGAAGTAAATAAGTAAATAGCAACCATAAAAGTGGAAAGAGATGAAATACTAAAAAAAAAAAAAAAGAAAATGAAAAACTGGTTTATTAGAAAAATAATTAAATTAACCCCTAGCAAGACTGATCATGGAAAAAAAACACTAATTCCACTACCAGAAACAAAATTAATAATATATCTATAGGTCCTACAGATATTATAATGAGGGAATATTATAAATAATGTCAATAAATTCAACAACTAGATGAAATGGGTATATTCCTTGGGAAAATACAACTTACCAAATTCTGAATAGACCAGCACTATTGAAGAAATTAAATAAATGATAGGGGTCCTTACACGAACAAAACTCCAAACCCAGTTTGTTTCACATGAATTCTATGAAACATTTAAGAAAGAAGTAATGTATTCATGCATAAATGTTTGGGGAAAATATGAAACAGTACATTTTATAGGTAAGCATAACCATAACCAAATTTGGAAAAGGCATTACAAGAAAACAGAATTCTAGGCCTCTATCCCTCATGAACATAGAAATAAAAATCTTTAGCAAGTTGTTAATAAATTAAATCTAGAATTACATAAAAAGTTTATACATCATAAGCAGCTAGGATTTATTCCCGGGGTGCAAAGATGGTTTAATAATTGTAAATCAACCAATGTAATTTAACTAATTAACAGAAAAAGGGAGGATAATATATGATCTATATGATCACCTCAGTAGGTGCAGAAAAAGCATTTGACAAAATTAAGCACATATTCATAATTTTTAAAAAACAAAATCCTGAGAAATCTAAGAATAAAAGTAAATTTTATCAGTATGATAAAAGGCATCTATGAAAAACCTTTGGCCAGCAACCTGCCATGGTGAAACATTAAACACTGTCCCCTTAAAAACAAAAATGAGGAAAGTATATCACCACTACTTTTCACCATTGCATTGAAGATTCTAGCCCATGCAATAAAGCAAGGTTAAAAGGACAGATAGAAGAAGAAATAAAGTAGTCTTTATTTACAGAAAATATGATCATAGACGTAGAAAGTACTAAGAATCTGCAAAAAATTTTTAAAACACTTTATTGAACTAATAATTTAGCAAAGTATTAGTATATAAGGTCAATCTACAAAAATCTATATTTCTATACAATTGGACAATAAAATTAAAAGATTTTTATAACAGTATCAAAACCATAAGACAACTCACATAATAGGAAAAAATATTTTCAAGTTTTCTATCTGAGAAGGAATTAATAACCAGAATACATAAGGTGCTCAAACAACTCAATAGGAAAACAATCTAATAATCCCATTAAAAATAGTGAAAAGATCCGAATAGCTATTTCTCAAATATGAATGACAGTCAGGTATGTGAAAATGTGCTCAACATTATTGATCATCAGGGAGTTGCAAATCGAAACCGCAATGAGATATCATCTCACCACAGTTCAAATGGCTTTTATCCAAAAGACAGGCAATAATGAATGCTGGTGAGGATGTAGTGAAAGGGGAACCTCTCATACGCTGTGGGTGGGAATGTACATTAGTACAAACACTATGGAGAATGGTATGGGGGTTTCTCAAAAAAACTAAAAACAAAACTACCATATGATCCAGCAATATCATTGCTAGTTGTATACCCAAAAGAAAGCAAATCAGTGTATCAAAGAGATCTCAGCACTCCCATGTTTATTGCAGCATTATTGACAATAGCCAATTTTGGAGTCAACCTAAGTGTCCATCAGTAGAGGAATGGATAAAGAAAACGTGTACATACACACAGTGGAATACCATTCAACCATAAAATAGAAGGAGATCCTGTCAGTTGCAACAACATTGATGGAACTGGAGAATATTATATTAAGTGAAATAAGCTAGACACAGAAAGATATTTATTTGTGGGAGCTAAAAGTTAAAACAATTTAATCCATAGGGAAATGGAGAGTAGAATGACAGTTACCAGAAGCTGGAAAGTGTAGTAGAGGGGGTAAAGGGTTATGATAAATGGGTACAAAAAAATATTAGATAGAATGAATAAATTCTGGTATTTGATAGCACAACAGGATGACTACATTTAACAATAATTTATGATACATTTATAAATAACTAAGAGTACAATTAGCATGTTTGTAAACATAAAGAAAGGAAAAATGCTTGAGAGGATGGATACCTCTTTTACCCTGATGTGATTATTACACATTGTATACCTGTATCAAAATATTTCATGTGCCCTGAAAATATATACACCTACTATGTACCCATAAAATTAAAAAACTTTAAAACTATATACAGTATTTAGAAATAAACATTTTTAAAAGACTTGTAGTACCTCTCCACTTGAGTCTTCAAAACATAACTGAGAGAAATTTTAAAAGGCCTGAATAAACAAAGAGACATAAAACATCTACCATTTGGAAGAGTGTCATTATCATTTCATTCCAAATTGATCTATGGAATAAACACAATACCAATCAAAATCTCATGGACTTTTTTTGGTAGAATTGACAAGTTGATTCTAAAAGTTATATAAAAATTCAAAGGACTTGGAATGGCTAAAAACGTCTTGAGAAAGAACAAATTTGGAAGGTTCACTCTACCTGATTTCAAAACTTACTACAATGCAACAGTAATCAGGATAGTGTAGTATTAATGTAACTAAAGACAAATAGGTAATTGGAACATAATAGAGCCCAAAAATATACCCAGACATATCTTATCAACTGATTTTCCACAAATGTGTTAAGGCTATTCAATATGGACAGGACAATTGTGCTAAAGCAACCGGAAAAATGTGAGAAAAATAAATGAACCCCAACATCAACCCTTAAAATATACACAGACATTACTTTGAGATGGACTGTACACCTAAAATTAAAATCTGTAATTATAAAAATTCTAGAAGAAAATAGAATAAAGTTGTGACGTTGGAATAGGCAAATATTTCTCAATGAGAACAAAAATGTACTAATTATTTTAAAAGTCATAGTGTTCTTCATCAAAATTAAAAAGTCTGCTAATCAGCAGACATATTAGGTAAATGAAAAAGCAAGCCTTAGATTGGAAGAATACTTGCATTACACACATGTGACAAAAGATTTAAAGCTAGAAGACAAAAGACAAGTATCCAATAAAAATATATGCCAAAATATGGAACAGACACTTTGCAAAAAAAGTTACATGAATGGTCAAAAAATACATTAAAAGTTGATCAAAGTCATAAGTTATTAGGGAAATCCAAAATAAAAATCACAATGGCCTATCACTTCAGACCCACAAGAACAGGTAGAATTAAAAAGATTGAAAACACCAAATGTTGGCAAAGATGTGAAAAATGAGAACCAATGGTACAACTACTTCAGAAAACTGTTCGTTTCTTTCTTATAGATTTAGAGGTTTGCTGACCCCAGAATTTCTACTCCTAAATATATGCCAAGCATAAATCAAAATATGTATTCACAAACAGGCTTCTAGAGGAACATACTTAGTCACTTTCTTTATAATAGAAAAACACAGTAAAGAATCCAAATATCCATCAATAGAAGAACTAAAAAGTAAATTATATTATAGTTACATAATGGAATACTGCTTAGCCATAGGAATCTCCAAAACACTGTGTTGAATTAAAAAAGCCAGACACAAGAATATATATTGTATGATTACATTTACATGAAGTTCACAAATAGGCAAAAGTTATCTATGATGATAGAAATTAAAATAGTGATTCTTTTGAGTGCAGTGGCTCATAACTGTACTCTCTGGAGGCTGAAGTGGAAGAATTGCCTGATCCCAGGAGTTTGAAGCCAGACTGGACAACATAGCAAGACTCTATCTCTAGAAAAATAAAATTTCCAGTTGATAGCAGAGAAGAGATTGGAAGGAGGCAAATGGAGACTTTCCGGGTTGATGGAAATGCTCTATGTCCTGATTAAGCTGTTGGCTATACAAGTGCATATATTTGTTATAAATCATTGAATTATACACTTAAGATTGGTGCATTTCACACAACAAATTTTTACCTCCATTACAAAAAAATTAAATTTGTAAAAAGATAAATGAAAAACATTCATAGACAAATCTTCCACACAAATAACTCTTGTGGTAGCTGGTAGTCCTAAAAAAAAGAGAATACTTTAGGATATGTGCCCGGGTTCAAGATGTTTTAAGATATAACATTAAAAATTGTCTTTAGGGCTCAGAATTTGATCTCATGTCTTCAAGTACAACAGTATAGTTATACATTAAAGGTGAGAAGATTAAAAACAGAACTTTCTAAATTTCCCCAGAAACAGATTAGCTGATGTAGGAGTAGCAGCAGAAGCAGCAGCAATGACAACAGAACTAGAGTCCAAGGTTGATCTCTGTTGCTGTCTTTGCTCAGCTTTGCTTTGCAGACATAAGTGGGTCATTTGGTCTCTGTGGTTTTCACAGAGGCTTCTAATAAGAGGGTTAGTCAGGTCATTGGCTTTCTGAGAAACATCTTCCAAGAAGCACACTCAGATTGCCTGTTTTCTAAGTGAATCTGATGGAATGCAGTTGCAAACGTAAATATTGGAGGGGATGTATGCCCCAAATTCACCTGGTTAATAATTACCATAATGATGTATTTTCCTGCTCTGACCCAAGTTGCCCAGCTCTCCAACAGACTAAAAGGGAATTATGTGAAGTCTTGATACAGAACTTGGTACAAGGAAGCCTATTCTCTTCCTTACTTCTCTGGCTACCCTTAAATAGTAAATGAGCCCTCTAGAAGATGGACAGAAGGGAGCATGGACTGGTTCTTATACAGGCACACCTCGTTTCACTGCACTTCACGTTATTGTGCTTCTCAATCACCAAGAGCAGTTATCTCTCTGTGGGACAGGACAATATTACTGAGATGGCCTGATATTCCTGTTTCACAGTGTCTTGGTTCACAATTAAAATAAAATTTAGGGTACATTTGGATCCTGTTTGTGTGAATGATGATCATTTAAGATTCTGTAGAATCTAGGATGACAGCTGAACAGTATAAGCATGAGTTTTACACTGTGGCCTTAAGGAATAAAGAAAGCTATTATTATAATTATAGGTATACCTCAGAGACATTGCAATACTGCATTTTTTTCCACAAATTGAAGGTTTGTGGCAACTCTGCATTGAACAAGTATATAGGTGCCATTGTTTCCAACAGCATGTACTCACTTCATGTTTCTGTGTCTCATTTTGGTAATTCTCACAATATTAAAAACTTGTTTGTTATTATAATATCTGTTGTGATGATCTGTGATCAGTGATTTTTGGTGTTGCTATTGTAATTGTTTTGGGGTGCCACTAGCTGTGCTCATATAAAGCAGCAAACGTAATTAATAATGTGTGTGTTCTGACTGCTGCACTGTCAGGCTATTCCCCCATCTCTCTTTCTCTCCTTGGGCTTTTCTTATTTCCTGAGACACAAAAATCATAAAATTAGGCCAATTAATAATTCTACAATTGCCTCTAAATGTTCAAGTGAAAGAAAGAGTTGCACGTTTATTTAAATCAAAAGCTAGAAAAGATTAAGCTTAGTGAGGAAGGCATGTTGAAAGCCAAGATAAACCAACAGTTAGACTTCTTGCACCAAACAGATAGCCAAATGGTGAATGCAAAGGAAAAGTTCTTGAAGAAATTGAAAGTGCTACTCCAGTGAACACACAAATGACAAAAAAGTAAAACAGCTTTATTGCTGATGTACAGAAAGTTTGAGTAGCCTAGAGAGAACATCAAACCAGCTCCCGCATTCCCTTAAGCTATAGCCTAATCCAGACCAAGACCCTAACTCTCTTCAACTCCATTAAGCCTAAGAGAGATTGACAGGCTGCAGAAGAATAGTTGGAAGCTAGCACAGGTTGGTTCATGAGGTTTAAGGAAAGAAGCCGTCACCATAACATAAAAGTGCAAGGTGACGCAGCAAGTGCTGATGTAGAGGCTGCAGAAAGTTATCCAACTTATCCAGAAGATCTAGCTAAGGTCATTAATGAAGGTGGCTACATGAAACAACAGATTTTCAATATAAATGGAACAGCCTTCTATTGGAAGGAGATGCCATCTGGACTTTCATAGCTAGAGAGGAGAAGTAGATGCCTGGCTTCAAACGACAGGCTGACTCTCTTGTTAGGGGTGAATGCAGCTGGTGACTTTAAGGTGAAATCAATGTTCATTTACCATTCTGAAAATCCTAGGGCTCTTAAGAATGATGCTAAATCTACTCTGCCTGTGCTTTATTAATGGAACAACAAAGCCTGGACGACAGTAAATCTTCTTACAACATTGTTTACTGAATTTTTTAAGTCCATAGTTGAGATCTCTTGCTTAGAAGAAAATATTTTGTTCTAAATATTACTGGTTTTGACAATGCACCTAGTCACCCAACAGCTCTGACAGATGTGTACAAAGAGATTAATGTTGTTTTATGCCTATTAACACAACATCCATCCTGCAGACCATGGATCAAGGGGTAATTTTAACTTTCAAGTCATATTACTTAAGAAATATATTTCATAAGGCTTTAGCTGCCATAGATAGTGATTCCTCTGATGGATGTGGTCAAAGTAAGTGGAAAAACATCTGGAAAGGATTAACTATTTTAGATGCCATTAAGAACATTTGTGATTCATGGGAACTTGTCAAAATATCAACATCAACAAAAGTTTGGAAGAAGCTGATTCCAACTCTCATGGGTGCCTTTGAAAGGTTCAAGAGTTCAGTAGAGAAAATAAATGCAGATGCGGTGGAACTAGCAAGAGAAGAAGAAAAAAATGGAGCCTGAAGATATGACTGAATTGCTGCAGTCTCATGATGAAACTTGAATAGATGAGGTGTTGCTTCTTATTGATGAGCAAAGATGTTTTCTTGAGATGGAAATGTATTCCTGGTGAAGATGCTGCGAACGTTGTTAAAATGGCGAGAAAGAATTTGGAATATTACATAAACTTAGTTGATAATGCAGCAGCAGAGCTTGAGAAAATTGACTCTAATTTTGAACAAAGTTCTGCTGTTGGTAAAATGCTATCAAATATCATTGCATATAACAGAGAAATCTTTCATTAAAAGAAGGGTCAGTCAATGAGGTAAACTTCACTCTTGCCTTATTTTGAGAAATTGCCACAGGCACCCCAACTTTCCACAACCACCACCCTGATCAGTTAGAAGTCATCAGCATCAAGGCAAGACTTTCCATCAGCAGAAAGATCACAACTTGCCGAAGGAACAATTGACTGTCTGCCTTTTTTAACAATAAAGTATTTTTAATTAAGGTATGTACATCGTTTTTTAGACATGATGATATTGCATACTTAATAGACCACAGTATAGTGTAAATATAACTTTATTCGCACTGGGAAACAAAAAAGTTTACATGACCTGCTTTATTGTGATATTTGCTTCATTGTGGTTGTATTAATCTGTTCTTATACTGCTATGAAGAAATACCTGAGCATGGGTAATTTATAATGAAAAAGAGGTTTAATAGATTCACAGTTCCACATGGCTGGGGAGGCCTCACAATCATGGTGGAAGGTGAAGGACAAGCAAAAGCACATCTTACGTGGCAGCAGGCAAGGATGTGTGTGCAGGGGAACTGCCTTTTTTTTTTTTTTTTTTTTTTTTTTTTTCTTGAGACAGAGTTTCACCCTTGTCGCCCAGGCTGGAGTGCAGTGGTGTGATCTTGGTTCACTGCAACCTCCACCTCCAGGGTTCTGCTGCGTCAGCCTCCCGAGTAGCTGGGATTACAGGCAGATGCCACCACGTCCAGCTAATTTTTGTATTTTTAGTACAGACAAGGTTTTACCATGTGGCCAGGCTGGTCTCGAACTTCTGACCTCAGGTGACCTGCCCACCTCGGCCTCCCAAAGTGCTGGGATTACAGGCGTGAGCCACCGTGCCCTGCTGGGAACTGGTCTATATAAAACCATCAGATCTCCTGAGACTTATTCATTATCATGAGAACAGCATGGGAAAAACTCACCCCCATAATTCAGTTACCTCCCACCAGGTCCTTCCCATGACACATGAGGATTATGGGAGTTAATATTCAAGATGAGATTTGGGTGGGGACACAGCCAAACCATATTAGTGGTGGTCTAGAACCAAATCCACAATATCTCCAAGGTATGCCTGTAATTATAGTAATAGCTTTCTTTATTCCCTAAGGCCACAGTGTAAAACTCATCCTTATATTGTCCAGCTGCATCCTAGATTCCACAGAATCTTAAACGATCATTATTCACACAAACAAGATTCAAATGTACCCTAAATTTTATTTTAATTATGAACCCAGACACTGTGAAACACACATCAGGCCATCTGAGCAGTATTGTCCCGTACCACAGAAATAACTGCTCTTGGTGATTGTCAGAAAATTTGATTACTTTTCTATTGACTTTATGTAGAACCATAAAAATTTTGAAAAATTAATTAATATCTCAGTATTCATTTAGCTCGCTTCCACAATTGAAACTGCTCCTAGGCAGCTCCTTGGCTAGAGCATGATCAGTGACAACAGTATCACCTAGGTACACTTTAGTGACACTAATGGGTGCAGTAAATGGAGAAATGTTTGGCAAATGCTGTTACAGGGAATACTCCATTTTTCATTTACCTCTTAAGTCCTGCTTATCTCCTATTTTGTCACTTAGCCCATTTCTCACTCCAAAGCAAACAACCAAAACCTAGTGTCTGGCTTAAAAAAAAAGACTTTATGCCAATCGTGCAATAAAAGGGAGTTCCCCAGAGGAAAAAAAAAAAAAAAGCATACAGGCACACACACAACCACCCAACAAGACCCTCCATCATTTCTTCACGATCTTATAAAAGGGACAAAGGGGAAGACAAACATTTATGGAGAGGGAGATTTTTCTCATAATGGCCCCAATAAATATGTTTGTTGTAGAGAAATAAATGTGAAGGGAAGACATGCAAGTCTGATGTTGAAGAAAGGCTTGTTCATGCTTAATACATTGGAGAAATTTTCAAGAGCTGTTCATCCATGTTAAAAAATATTACCCCTGTAATGCTGCCAAGGACAGGGAGACCTATGGTGACCAGCGGAGTAAGTGCTGGCCGTCCAAGTTAAAGTGCCTAGGGGCAGAAATAATTTATGTACCCAATTTTTCCAGCATGTCAACAACTGAAATTTCAAGGAGGAATACATGTATCATGAGCATGCTTGTTTATAAACACACACATGCACACACATGGATACACATACACCAGAAAGTCCCTGAGATATGCTTTTTGAAATATGCTTTTTGAATACATCTATCATGGGCATGTGGGCTACTTGTTTATAAACACACATATGCACACACATGAATGCACATACCCCAGAAAGTCCCTGAAATATGCTTTATGAAAGAAAAAAATAGAGCAGAGGAAACTGTGTTGACCACTTCTACTGACAAGCATCCTACTGCCTCCCCTATATCCCAGGATTATCTGTGGGCTGTGAAAATAATCTGAAAAACAATCCTAGGACACAGGATAATTCCAGAATACAGGGTTAAGGACAGTGGTATGCTTTAGTGACAAATAATAAGAAGACAAGCCACATATCTACAAGCTACTTCAAACCTTGTCCTCCAAGGCAAATTTCTGGAATTATTAAAGCCGGAAGAATTGGATAAGCATGATACCTTTCTTATGATTTATATGCCCAGTTAATTATTTAGCAAAAATTTGGGGGGTAATGAATATGTTTTGGTCACTGTCCTTGGTGCTGGGACTAATGCTTGAGAATCTGGCATTGTAAGTTAAAGCTCTAAAATAGTATTTTAAGCACATTATAAAGATAAACACAATGTTGTATTATTTGGTGAAAATGTTTATTTTTATGAGCTCTTTTTTTCCCCAAAAAGTTCCAAACAATTCACATTCATTGCTTTGTTTCTTTCCTGCAAATGAGACTGTTCACCAGTAATAAGATAGTTGAAAATTCAGATTTCACAGTGGAATCGGGGTGGTACCAAATCCCTCTCTGCCTGTAGCAAAATTTATTGCAACTCTGAAAGCTCTCTGCCAATCACAATTATAATCACGAAACTGAACTAGTATTGCAGGTCATATAACCAAGTCTTCAAGGAGAGGATGACAAGATGGATAGGAATTTAATGGATTTATGGTATTAGACAATGAAGAAAAATACCTGTCTGGACTAATCATAAACTTTTCTTTAGCTGCAATTAACCTCATGTTGAAATACTATGTGGCGGCTATGTAACTGATAGCACTTAAGGAAAGCAATGAATGTGTAATTGTCTGGTGCTTTTTGGAAAAAAAAGTCTCTTGAAAATGAACATTTTCACCCAATAATACAGCATTGTGCTTATATTTAGAATGTGCTTAAATATCATTTTAGAGCTTTAGCTCACAATGAGAGATTCTCAGGCATTAGTCCTAACACGAAGGACAATGACCAAAACAGATCTGTTGCCCCCCAAAAATTCTAAAGATTTTCTAAATAATTAACTAGACATAAAAGTAATAAAAAAGTATCATGATTATTCAATCAATATAGTACAATTTGAAATGTATATTTAACAACAGAATGAAATCTATAGTTAAAGGACTAGACAATAAGCTCCTTAAGAGAAGTGATCTTATTGTTTATTATCATTATGGTAGTTTTCTTCTTTTCCTCTCAATTTTGCATCCACCACATAGCACAAAACCTGAAGCATAACATTACTCTAATATTTGTTAAAAGTACATTCTGTAAATAAAGCCACTCCAGACACTGTCTCCAGTAAAAATAGTGCCTGCTCCCTGACCTACACTTCAAACCAGGTCATCTGCCTTCAGTTACCTTCCTTAGCAAGTATTTCGTCCTATAACAATCAGGAATTTTATTCTACCAGAGTGGGAAGGAAAATAATCAGTTAAGTTTGGAAAGATGAATGAATCATCATTGGATTTTACTTGATTTCTGTGGCATTTCTATATTCTTCGTCCTGGATTCTTTACCTGATGTTTGACCTCAGCTGCTTGGGTGAACTTATCCATGTAGGTACTTGAAGGGTATTACCTCTTAATTATTTGCTGCCAGGATTTGCATCCACAGTTTTCTATGACCTAGATATGCCTATGTCTTCCATTTTAACTTACCTCTTCAGTGTCTCCTCTCGTTCTCTTTTCCCTTCTCAACCTTATTATGATCTATAATTGTCTTTAGAATCACAGATCATGGCAGAGCATTTCTGGTCTTCTACAACATAATAGCATTGAAAAATGGGGCTCCATTAATATTTATTATTGATATATTCATAGTTTCAGAATACATTACTTGATTATCTTAGTTTGGGTAGACAGAAATACTGGTAGGCTTGTAAATTTTTTAATTAAAAAACTTTATTATTAACTATAGAACTAAGCCCATAAAATGCATAATGGAATTCAGAAAGCATAGAGTCAAATTTGTCAAACAATTTGAATTTTGCACATAAGCTGAGTTTGAATTTAATAAATACTTACATTTACTATTTTAGTGTGTGTGTGTGTGCATGTGTGTGCATGAAGTACTGTTCTAATTTGGAATGTATAGTTCAACGCATCATAGAGTGACCATATATTGTCCAAACTGCGACACTTTTGAGAGTGAAAAGTGCATAGGGAATAATTATACCAGAAAAATAGTCATAAATTGAGATGGTTCTGAGAAAACCAGGATGTCTGGTCACCCTCAAAGAAGTGACTGGGGCTCATTTTAACAGAACTGACAGACTCCTGAAGGTAACCTGCCTGGGAACCTGCAACAGAGAAACTGGTCAGCAGGTGCCCCATATGTAGCCAGATTGTGAGTCATCAGTCTGGGAGAAATTGAGTTTTCAGTTTGGACTTTGGTGGTGTGTTGTAATCTGTTCCCTAGAGATCTGCCAAACTCTAGGTTGAACACATGGATCCTTAGAAATTATCCATCTTGAATCGTTTGGTATAAAAATAGATTTCAGAAGTCCCAGGGCAGATATTACAAGATTTCTATGAAAAAGAAATAAAGAATAGAAGTATAAACGTACAGGAATGGTGAAGCAAGGAGGATAATGGATGTTAGAAATACTGGCAAAGAGGGCAAAAATGTGCAGTTAGATAATGATTACATGAATATAAATATGGAATATTTATTAAATAGGAAAATTAGGCCCTAAAAGAAGTCTTCTGTCACTGTTTTAATATCTCGGTTTTTGGTCATTTCCAAAACCAGGAGTTGAAGTGGGATCTATGTTACCTTGGAGATATAGTTTGGATGTGTGTTCCTGCCCAAATCTTATATTGAAACGTAATTTCCAATGTTGGAGGTAGGGCCTGTTGGGAGGTGACTGGATGATGGTGGTGAATTTCTCATGAATGGTTTAGTACCATCTCCCTTGGCACTGTCCCTGCAATAGTGAGTGAGTTCTTGTGAGATCTGGTCATTTTAAACTGTGTGACACCTCCCCCCTTGCACTTTTTTGCTCCTTCTTTCACCATGCGACATGCCTGCTCCCCCTTCACCTTCCACCATGATTGTAAGTTTCCTGAGGCCTCCCCAGAAGCTGAGCAGATGCCAGCATCATACTTCCTGTACAGCCTGCAGAACCGTGAGTCAGTTTAACCTCTTTTCTTTATAAATTACCCAGCCTTGGGTATTTCTTTATAGCAATGAGAGAACAGCCTAACACACTTTGAGTTCTTAAAGATATGCACCATCTGTAATTTGCTTGTGTGCACCTAAAACCCCTTAAAAAGCAGATTCTTACATGTATCTTTCTGTCCTGAGTACAGATAGTTTCTTATTCTTGTGGTATAAGGTACTGGGTAGGCCTCCAATATCCCCATTTCCTGGTCTACCTGCCCTGTGTGATCCCCTTCCCATCAGTATGGTTGAGATGTATGAATATGATACGATAATCATTCCCTTGATTGCGTAACATTATTTGACAAAGATAATGGAATAATCACTCCCATAATGAATTTGCCGGAAAAGCTGATTTTTGGTAAAGCTTAGTGTAAAGACCAAATGGGCTTCTTAGGATCTTCTGAATTGAATGAAACCTCCCAGGCACATGCAGTGGCTGGAAAACCACAGGCTAAGATATGATTAAAGTGGAAAGGAGGAGAAATGACACAGTCCCTGCACACAACAAATCCCAGAGCCAAGAGCTTCACTGAACTCACTCACAAACTTTCCCAAATTCACCAATCAGCTAGCTCTTTAAACTCACCCTCTTGGTGAAGGGACAGGCAAAGAGGCAGAAAGGCAACTCTAGGTGAGCTGCCTCTATGTAGGGCACCATGAAGGCAAGGGAAAATATGTTTCTCCCCCTACAGAGAACTGGGGATAAATAGTCATTGTTCTGTTTCGTCTCCCATCAAGTGAAGACATATGTGAGGCTAAATAGAGAAGTCTTTAATAAAGCAAATTTTCAACTCAATAATAAAGCAAACAATCTAATTTTAAAAAGGGAAAAGATTTGAAGACATTTCACCAAAGAAGATATGTAAGTGGCCAATAAGCCATTGAAATATGCTCACATCAATAGTTATGAGGACTAATGTCGTTAGTCTAACTAAGGAAATGAAAACTGAAACCACCATGAAATATCAATACATTCCCTAGAGCAGCTGCGATTAAAAATCTGATAACACCCAGTGTTGATAGACATGTGCAGCATGTGGAAATCTCATATGCTACTGGTTGGATGCAAAATGGCACAGACACTTTGGAAAAGAGTTTGGAAGTTTCTTATAAAGTTAATTATATATTTACCTTACAATTGAACAATTCCACTGCTACATACTTACCTGAGAGGAATAAAAACATATGTCTCACATAAAAAGTTGTAAGTGAATGTTCATAGCAGCTTTATTCATAATAGCCAAAAGCTGGAAAGAATCCAAATGACTATCAACTGGTGAATACCCAAATTGTGGTATATCCATATAATACAGTGCAGACTACAAGTACACACAACAATATATTTGCATTTTAAAAGTATCATACTAAGTGAAAGAAATCCTTTATGAAAGACCACATGTTTTCTCGTATATAAAATTCTCTAATAGGTAAAACTATAGTGACAGAAAACAAGTGAGAGATAGCTAAAAGCCAACATGGGCAAAAACGGTTGACTGAGCACGAGGGAAACTTTCAGGCTGATGGAAATGTTCTATATTTTGAGGATGGGGGTTGCTACATGTTAAATCTCATGAGACTGATACTGTCTAAAGTGAGTAAATTGTATTTTACAAAATTATATTTCAATAAAGCTAATTTTTTAAAAATGCTGTAAAAATGACAATTTTGGTTTTAAGACTATTTAACCCTCAGGATACTGGAAAGTGATGATCAGGACTGCTGCATATGGTTATGTAAATTGTGTGTTTACGTAACTGTTCAGTTAAATGCAGACGCTCACTCAAGAATCCGAGTAGTACCAGCTGTCCACCGGCATGAATCATTTTCCTACTCTTGCCTCACCCAGAACAAGGGGCAGAGACCATCCAAAACCTGAATTGGTAATTAAATTGCCTTATAAGGTTTTAGTTAAGAAATCTTATCCACAAAAGTTCAGAAACTTCAACGAAGTACCAGGTTTTATTAATGTCATATCTAGTAGAAAGGGGACTGGATAAATATTAATACAGGTAGTAGACAACTCCTTGTTTGTCTGCTTCATACCCTTTTACATGGATACCATGTCTCCCCTATGTTGCAATTACCCAGTTCACTCAGCATAACTTAGGTGTGATATTGCTCTGCCCTTGCTCCAGGTCCCAAGGGTGGGCTTATAACCCAGGCCCAGGCAGAGTATTTCATCTCCTTAGCTATGATATTTGATTCATGGAAGGTCATGTGACCCAAGAAGGCCATCAGGAGATTGTGAGGTAAAAAGACTGTATAAAACTGAAGCTCTTGGTAGCTTTCTTTATGTCTCATAGAAAGAGCCAGCCTGGGAATGTAGCCAAGAGCTAAAAGCAAAACTGAGAGATGAAAACAAACAGAGCCCTGACAATACATTTTGGGCATTGGAATCCCACCATGCAGGGACTTTTCAGTTACTGGAGCCAACATATTTATCTTATGTTTAAGCTAGTCTGAGTTAAGTTTCTGTCACGTGTAACCAAGAGTGCCAAATAATACTGAACAAAGGCTATTGGAGACTTTCTATGACAGAACGAAAAGTAAAATATAAAAAGGTTTATTCAAAAATTTTTTTATAGTTAATTTGTTTTTAGATTCTCTTTCTTTCTTTCTTTCTTTCTTTCTTTCTTTCTTTCTTTCCTTCTTTCTTTCTTTCTTTCTTTCTCTTTCTTTTTTTTTGAGACAGTGTCTCATTCTGTCACCCAGGCTTGAGTGCAGTGACGTGATCTTGGCTCACTGCAACCTCCACCTCCCAGGTTCAAGTGATTCTCCAGCCTTAGCCTCCCGAGTAGCTAGGACCACAAGTGTGCACTACCACACCTGGCTAATTTTTGTATTTTTTATAGAGATGGGGTTTGCCACTTTGGCCAGGCTGGTCTTGAACTCTGGAGCTTGAACCAATCCACCCACCTCTGCAGGCTGGTCTTGAACTCTGGAGCTCAAACCAATCCACCTGCCTCAGCCTCCCAAAGTGCTGGGATTACAGGCATGAGCCACCATGCCTGGCCTAGTTTACTCACAATTATAGGTAGCCAATGTATAGAATATTGAAGTCAAGATCCTCACCCTAATCCTAAAATTACCACTGACTTATTTTGTAACAATGAATCAATATCTCAATCTGGCTAGGAGCAGTTGTCTTATATCTAAAATGAGAGCATTGAATTAATCCACTTTGAGCTCTCTAAATTCACAGGGACTCCATGGCTGGCAGAGCTAGAGCCCTAAAGCTGTTAGTGCTAATAACCCTCCTCCAAGCCTTCCCAGTAATGTTATCAACTATTGATAAGCATAGATTTTATTTTATAAGCAGTAGAAAAGTTTTGGGCCTGGGTAGGATAAAAAAAGTGCATGGCAGTAGCAATACTTAGACTTCTTCCTGGGATTTCACAAGCCATGTTAGAGGGAAGGCATAAAACAGAAAAGAGCAGCTGAGTGTGGTGGTACATGCCTGTTGTCCCAGCTACTCAGGAGGCTGAGGCTGGAGAATCACTTGAGGCTGGGAGGTGGAGGTTGCAGTGAGCCAAGATCATGTCACTGCACTCCAGCCTGGGGAAGATACTGCTTGATGACTGCGGGGTGAAGGCTTTTGTGGGAGGTAATCTTCTGGGGACTAAAAAAAAAAAATAACTGAGGTATATTTCATGGGGAGTGAGGAGGAGAGATATTTGTCACAATTAAGCCAGTGGTGGCTCAACTTTAATACAACTTCATTAAAAACACTGAAATATGAAAATATGCTCAACTCCATTCATAATAAAAATGGGAATTAAAATTATGCTGAGATAATATTTTAAACATTTTTATTATTCAATTAAAAATCACTCTTACAGCATATATTTAGGGCATCTTGAGTCTCTATACTCTTAGGTTGCAGGGGAAAAAATCACTCTAGAACCTAGCAGCTTGAAATAACAATGGTTTATTATTTCTCATGATTCTGAGAGTTGATGGGGCTCAGCAGGGTGGTTCATCTGGAGGTGGGAGCTGGGCTACAGTCATCTGGGGATCTGAGTAGGCTGGAGCACTCATGATGGCCCACTCATATGACTGGTGGCTGGTTCTGACTGTCACCTGGCAGTTCATCTGGGACTGTTGACTAGAACACCTTGGTTCTCCACATATCTTCTCCCTATGGGCTGGACTCCTTGTTGTCTCAGCTCCACAGGGGTAAATGTTCCAAGCTTGAGAAAGCAGAAAATGCAGATTTCTTAATACCCTTTTATAACTTCTGAGTTTTGTACTACATGATTGTATTCTTATTAAAAAATAATTGAATACATTTACATTTTCTTAAATCCAAACAATGAGACATAGAAACTCAAATTCTGAGCATGAACTCCAAGAGAAATGTAGATCCCTTATAAAAGGAGACAAAATTAGAAATGTTATTATTGCAGCCCTGTTTGCAACAGTGTAAAAAATGGAACTAACATAAATGTCTACCAAGAATAGATGGCCAATAAATCACAGAGTAGCCATATTATGGAATACTATACAAAAGTTAAAAAACTAAGAGTTATATACTTACTAACATGGTAAGATTTCCAAATGATAGTGTTGCATATTAAAAACTCAGAAAACATATTATGAATTCAGTGTCAAAAATGATTAAAAATAAATATGCATATACAATATGCATACATGTACAAACATAGCATAGAAAAGGATCTGAGAGTTCTAGGGAGCTTCAGTGTCTCTGTGGTTTCCTTTTTACAATAAAAATTACATTTTTATTACATGTATTATTATATATTAATGGAATTAAATTAAAAAGAAAGTCAACTTTTGTCTCAAGATGGTGGATTAGCCATTCTCAAACCATGGCTACTGTGTTTGTCTTCTAAGGCTCACTTTAACCTTATTTTTCTACAAACCTCACCCCACTTGATTGAAACACATGATAGAAAGATATAACAACAGCTAAAGCAAACAGTAGAGTTAAATAGAATGTAGTAATAAGTAACAGGAAGGAAGATTCGAGAAAATGACTAAATAAAAACAAAAGAACACCATCATTTCCAAGACAAAGATACCATGTAGTTTGCTAAAATGCGCTGTAAAAAATAATTATTTTATAGAAAGCAGTGTATGTGATTCAAATCAGTGAAACATGGGCTCATTAGCTGTCCTTCACATATTCTTGAAAAAAATTTAAAGCCCATTTTCCAATAAAGAGGAGATTGATAATGTGCTATAAACTGTCATAAGGAATTCTCACCGAGTTGCAATGGGTGTGAAAAAAAATGTAGCTTATTCTGCATTTACAGGAGCAGTAGAGAGAAGTTTTCCATTTCCTCACGAATTCATTCAAAGACAGGTCCTGAGGCTTCCATGTGAGACGCACACATCCTGCAGAGCCTGTACGAGGAGACAGACTTTCAAACAATTACAGCAAGTGTCTGGGAATATGGCTGATAGACCACTTATCTGGACCTAGGAGAGGCATAAAAGAATGATTAAAAATTACTAATAATATGGTCACATCTAATACTTTGAGTCCTTACTAAGTGCCAGGCACTGTACTGTGAGTTTTACATACATTCACTCTTTGATTCTTCCATAATTCTTATAATGTAGATACCATTGTTATTCTTTCTGGTGAGGATTCTGCTGGTTAATGACTTAAGTAATTCCTTCCAGGTCATGCAGCCAGTCAGTAGTGGAGCCTGGATTCCAGCTCGTGACTGTCTGGACTTCATGCCCTGACTTTTTCCAAGATTTGTACAATATTGCTGGCCAGCTGGCTCTTGATGAATTGGTGAGCTGGCACTATGCTAGTGTGGGGAGGCATAAAAGAAGGTAGTATCTTTGAAGACCTACTGGTGGTTTAACTTGGCTGAAACTCAGGAATGAAAAGTGGCAGGACATGAGGCTGAACACGGAGGCATTGGCTGAGCCATAAATGGGTCATAAGCCAGTAAAGGAATTTAGGTTTTATCATATAAACTATACAAAGATACTGAAATGTCTCTGGGAACAAGTCAAGTCAAATATCGTAATTCTTGTAGCATAGAGTACAAATTATTCTAAAGGTATTAAGAAAGCAGAGAGATCATTTAGGAAGATGTTTCAAAGAGTCTAATCAATACATAAAATGAGCTTGAACCAGTAAGAGTAGAGAGAGATAGTCAGTATGAAAACTGTTCTCTCGAATCCATTTGTTGCCATCCTTCTGAGACAAAAGTAACAGAATCATGCTGAACAAAACTTACCTGTCGAGGCACCAAATGTACTGTGTTATTAACATTCACATTCCAACCCAGTGGCCACAGCCATATGTTGCTATTTCCTACTCGATTTTAATTCCTGGACCACTGACCTCAGTCCCTGAGAAATTCCTGTGTTAACACAGGGCTGAGAGAATGTTGATTTGAGTTGTTAGGATTTCATAGCTCAGAAGAAGATTGAAAGATACAGTGCAGAGTTAATGGATTTTTCAGCAACTTTCTAAATACAATGTATGGCCTTTGCTAAATATCACCTTGTTTGCTAATGTATTAGCCAAGATTCTCCAGAGAAACAGAATCAATGTGATATATATAATAGGAATTGGCTTGCACAATTATGAAGGCTAAGAAGTCCCACAATCTGCTGTCAGCAAGCTGGAGGTCCAGGAAAGCGAGTGACACAGTTTCAGCCCAAGCTCAAGAGCCTGAGAACCAAGAGAGCCAATTGTGTTAAGTCTTGGTCTGAGTTCCAAGTCCCAAGTGCCAGAAGTGCTGATCCAAGGACAGGAGAAGGTGGATGTTCCAGCTCAAGCAGAGAGAGAGAAGAATTCATCCTCTCTGCCTTTCTATTCCATTCTGGAATTCATTGAATTAAATGAAGCCCACCTAAATTAGAGAGGGTCATCTGTTTTATTCAGCCTACTGATTCAAATGCTAATCTCTTCCAGAAACAATCTCACAGACATACTCCAAAATAATGCTTTACCAGCTATCTGGACATCCAGTCAAGCTAACACAAAAAATTAACTATTGCAGCTAATGTGTGAGGTCTTTGTGTTTCATATTTCCCTAGTGTTCCAGGATGAAATCATCCACAGTTCTTGAAGGGAGAAAAAGACAAAATTCAAGTAGGTCAATTTTATTGCATGCTGGAAGCTCTGGTAAAAGAGTTGGTACATGAGGAGATTGAAAAGGTTAGTTAGAGTGAGACTTGGGATTATTGTTGTTTTTCCAGTTATCCATGCTTACACTTTACCCAATGGCCATGGAAAATCAAGACTCAGTTACATTGTCAAGAATCCTCTTGTGAATGGCACACGTCTCATGTAAAAGAGTATTTTATAATAGGGAATTATTTGGGGCTACCTTTTCAAATAGAAGCGTGCTGATATTTTAAATGTGTCCACTTTTCTGTAGTATTGTAGCTACAACACGGCGCTCTTTAGGCAAGTATTTGGGCACTTGAATTTTAAATACTGAAGACAATTTTTACTAAGGAAAACTGTTTTACTAAGGAATTTTACTAAGGAAAATCTTTAAGTTAGCAGAGAAAAAATATTTTTAGAATTATGAATGCTAATAACAATATGAATTGAAAATAATTGCTTTAAGTCCTTCTGTCACAGAAGAGGCGTACTACGCAAAGAGTAAGGGTGTGAACTGGAAGCTGGGAGAGCTGGCTTGATTCCCTTCACCGGCCATCACTGGAGTGCGTCACTTGATATCAAGGATTTCCGTTTATCAACTACGAAGTGATGGTAAAAATGGCTTTCTTTACCACTGGCTTCTGGGGTAGATAAGTGATAGCTAGACTCATGCCAACTACTTGGTAAAATATGAAGATTCCAGTTAACTAATCTTTTTTTTTTTTGACCACCATAACAAAGAGTCAATTGAGTTTTTCCACTAGATTAAATGACTTTCAGTTTTTTTAAATTGAAGGAGTTGGCCAGACATTTTGATTTGAACTGTCCCTTCTTCCCGGACTAATCCTATATCCAATTAAGCCCAAGCCCTGCTGATTTTACTTTCTAAATGTTTCTCATATCTGTCTACTCCTCTCAACACCCATTCCATTTCTCTAGTTCAGAGCTCATTATCTTTTCAACAAATGCTACAGTAGCCTTTTAATCTCCCTGTCTCCATTTTTATTCTGTTTTAAAATTTCCCTCATCTTGCAGGCAGAGTCATTTTCCTAAAAGTCAGCCTGACCATCTGTGGCTTCCCATTTCCTGTGGGCAAAATCCATGCTTCTTAGTCCAGCTTTCAAGAATGTTCTTAGACTGTGTCCCCCTTCTCTCTTCCATTTTTGCTCCCCCTACTATCCATTTTGTATGGCATGCCCTAGTAATAGCAAACCACTTGCAGTTCCTTGCATTTATCAGGGCATTTTATTCCTCTGTGTCCCTCTGCCTGGGACAATCCTACCTTTTTTCACCCAACTTAACATTTCTCGTTACTTAAGGCTTAGCTAGTCATCATCTCCTCCAGAGGCCGTCCCTAAACATTTCATTTGACCTACACTTTCTCCTCTGTTTTCATAGCCTTCTGGGCTTGCCTTTTCCAGTACACTTAACTTTTATATTAACACGGCATTTCCCCCACAAGACTACAAGTTCTTCAGTGTCAGGAACCATATCTCGATCGTCTGTGTCTCTAAAACCCTGGACTGTGGGTGGTTCATGCTAACCTTCAATAATGTCCCTTGCTCTGATTCTTCCTCACTTTTCTATCCTTATTCATTTGCCTCTATAGAAGTTTAATGCTGGAATTAGAGACCATCTGGTCCAATTCTTTTCTCTCTCACTCCATTTACAGAAGAGAAAACTGAAAGTAGGATGTTGTGCCCAAAATCATACAAGCAAATAGTAGCAGAGTCAGATACAGAACCCAGTTCTCCAGAGAACAAGAGTTAAACTACATGAAATAAAAGTTATGGTAAAGTTTTTGGCAGAATGCCTGGCATGTTGTAGGAGCTTAGTATGTGATAGGCCATTTCTGTTCTAAGCCAATTGTCTTTCCATTATACTCCATTGCCTTTCTGCAAGAATAACTCTTCCACTTGCTTTCTTTTTGCTCTTCAGTCCCTTAGGTTGATACAGCTATGGAGATTATAGCTTTCAAAGTGTTTGAGAGGAACCATATTTTATAAATTCAACATTGCTGACTGCTGAAGGTATGCTATTAAAAATGTTAACTCACCAGGACCAGAAACACCCCAATGAGGGTGCAGAGTTTTCCTGTTACATTTAATTAAAAGATCATTTTTATGACAACGTCATATTAGGGGTGATAAAAGGATCGTAAATTGCTTCATGAGGTCACCAAGAAAGTTCCAATGCCCCATTAGTTTTCATTTTCCAGTCCCAAGATATCAACACTTACTTTTATCACAAAGTACATAAAACATACTGACCTTTCTGGTTGCCATACACAAATGTTCCCCAAAATCATATTGAACTTGTTTCACATCTGAAACTTATTACTGCCAAGGGCAGATGTAAAATGCAGCTAATATTTTATATGCTATAAAAGGATGAAGTTCTGGAAAATTACAGATGTTAAGTGCTTTGATCTCTGAAACTTAACATGTCCTTCTGTAAATATAACAGCTTTGACCTCCTGTTTTTGATTATAGAATTACAACCTAAAACATACAGTGGGAAGCCATGTATCAGCAAGAATACGGATAAGCAGGGATGATTATTTAACTGAAGCACATGCTTGTTGTTTAGAATCAAAGGAAAAATTATTTTAATTTTGTTACTTATGGAAATATAGATGTTACCCTACAAAGATGTATTTTATCATTGTAATTAAGAAATGGTTTTGCACAACGTCAAAAAAAGGCTAAACTACTAACCACAATTTTATGAAGAACGTGTCAATTTCCACAGAAGTGACAGAATCTTCTGTGTCTTTGTTACTTTGGTTTGGACATGCCTGCTTAATATTCAGAAAATCACAGTGCAAAGGAATTTCCAGAAGTCAGTTTCTCCAAAGTGGCTTTACAGAGCACTAATTTCTAAAACCTTTATAAAACGATTTTATTAAGACCTTCACTGAAAACCTTGATTTTTTTATCACCTGGTTCGCTCCTCTTTCCAAAGGAAGTGACCAGCCAAAACTGTCTGTATGCAACACAAAGATAAAAATTTCAATTAGGCTCAGTGCTGTCATAAGTGGACCACATGAGAAAGCTTGAGATAATCCACATTACATATTGATGTCTATCAGCTTCGAGACCACAGCCGTGATTCATTCCAGGCCCCTTTTGTAGGTTTGGCAGACACTGCACCCAATAAAGGCCTAATCATATTAATTTATGCCCCTATCAATTATACATTCAGATTCCCCAGATAGCTTGTCAGTTTTTATTCACTATTTTCCAAAAAATACGCCTATTACAGTTACTGTGCAAATAGTAGGACTGTCAGAAATGGAGATTTAAAGAATATTACTTAAAAGAGGTGGGCTTCCTTAATTTATAAATGTTGTATTATGTGTCATACATGTGCTAGTTTTAAAATCAGGGGCAGTGTGAAGATGGATGTCACATGAAGGACTTTCTAGAAAGGGGGAGGGTGAACCTTCTCAATCCTTTTGTGGTGTTTTAATAGTTCTTTAAATCAAACAATCTTTGGTCTATCTGTAAAATATCTCAGATACCATTATTTGAAACATCATTTATTTTTGTCTTTCAAACAAGAATCACCAATTAAATTACTTTACAGGCACTATCTTCATGCTATATTTTGCCATGTGGCTGAAGGTCTTGTGAAGGTGGTCTTCAGAGTATCTGCGTATTATCTTTGGCGATGGTATCAAAGGCTGCTTCAGGCAGGTATAGGGTGCCTCACCATGGTAGGGGAATCCTTGTTCATAAGCAAGGGAGTATCAGGACCCCAGGAACCAGGAGCTATGGGCAATTCTGCAGTAAGGAATAATACCAGTTATAAGGTACTGGGAGTCAGGCAGTGAATTAGCCAGAGCAGGGGGTAAAGTAAACCAAGCCTAGCTCTGTGCCCTTCTGCTTTTTCTTTTTTTCGCCTCCATCTCCCAAATCAGCTGCCCACTTGTGTCCACGCTTGCAGAACTTTGTCCTTCTCTAGCTGACATCTAGTTCTTGATGACATATTTGTGAATCTGCTCAAAGCTGAGCCTTTTCAAGGAGATGTGTAGAGAAGAGCCTCTGTGTGGGTGACCTGAGCAGTCACCTAACTACCACAGGGAGGGCTAGAGGAATTGGACCTGTTTAGAACCTACAGGACAGTAGAAAATCCTTTGTTTATTGAACAAAAACACATAGAGATATACAAAAAAGATGTAGACTCTGATTCATGGAGCCGAGATTCTAGTGGTTGAGTGGTAAAACAACAAATAAAGATAAAATTACAAATTGTGTTCAGGTTATGAAGACTAATATATGATGTTACAAGAAAGCAAAAGAGGAGACCTTTTGATGGGAAGATCCAGGAAGTTTCATTCAAGCTCAGGATTGGGTACGACTCAGCAGGGGGAGAAGAGCAGCTTGAAGACACACGCTACCTCCACTTCTTTCCTAATCCCACAGACTTGATGATAGAAATGTACAACTATAAACCCATAAGGGACAAAAAGAGTTAGAGAAGAAACTGCAGCAGATGTATTGACAAGACACTGGCAGCTGGAAATTCTAGTTGGAACATTGGGTTTCCCTAAAAGCGGAAGATGAAACAAAGCCTTATATGGAAAATGAACCGGGACTGCAGAAGTGAGAAGGTGGGGAATGTGAAACTGGAAGGGGGCTCATGAGCTAGCTGACTCCTATATTGCACAACTGGGTGTCAGATCCCTTGGGGGCTTTCAGAGGAGCCGTGTTGAAGCAACTTGGAGCAGGCTAGAGCATGTGTTCATGACTCCCTCCCCTACCTTTAAAGGGCTGCCTTCAGGAGGATTAAAATCTTTATACCTCTGGGTTGCTTTCAGGCGATGACTTCAGACAAAACTTTGGGATGGCAAAGCAGAGAGAGGCTGAAGTCCATGCTTGATGTGGGAAACAGATCATGCACATGGGACTGTCTACCACTGCACTGAAATCAGCTGGGCAGACAGTTTGTGGCACACAGTGCCTTACAAGTGGTTGCTACAGGCAGGGAATAGAGAAACCAGGATTCCAACTGTCTGCAGCGGACAAAGCTAGTAAGAACAAAGATAGCTCCTATCACAAGCCCCACCACCTTTGAAGGCTGGAGTGTGATGTGGAGTTGATAACAGAAGAATGTCTTGGAAACCTGTACAAGGAGCATTCATTAACCCCACCACACCTGCCCCAGCTCCAGCAATCAGGCAGTTTCTCCTTCCCTTGCCAGAAGAATGGAAGCTTTCCTTCCTAAGGAGCCCAATGTAGACTACTGCTGAAAGTAACTATTATTGATAGTAATTGCTCCTGCTCCCTGGCTATCCATTTTCTCTTTTCTTGCGCAGGTCTCTGAGTAGCTAGACTTTTTCTCTATACATTTTCACTTTCTTATTTTATGTGGTTCTGTTAGTTTTTAGTAAGAAACTTCCTCTGTGCTTGTGAATCTCAAATGAACTTCTGTGTGGATGTCACCAGGAGTTACTGAGCATCATATGAATGTTTCCCAAGTCTTAATCTCTTAATCTTACCCCATGGGAGGAAAAGTCTGCTAAGTTGCCTTTTAGACAGTCATCTTTTCCCATTACCTTCATATTGATGGATAATTCTCAGAGAATTCCATTCTTTAATTGTGTCAAGCTCCTCCCCACTTTGCTGCACCAGCCTTGGTGCCAAACCTGAAGGTGGGGTGGATTACTTCCACAAACATATCATTGAACAGAGCTAGACATATAGCCCCACTTAGATGCAAAGGAGGCTGGGAAATGAGGGCTTCTTATGACCAGAAGGAAAACAAAACAGCAAGTAAACACATAGTATATTCTTTTCGCAGTGACTTTGGTCAATAGCCACTTTCAGTATTCTAGAATCCCAGGAATATTACTCTTCTGCCACCTTACTCCCACCACATTCAATTTGCACTCATCTCTATTTGCACATTGACTTTTAGGAACCAGATTTAAGATATCCAGTGCAGTGCCTGGGAAGTTCTCTGCCTATTGCCAGGAGAATGGAAATTTCCCTGGGGTATATGAGAGGAAGTTGATGAATGCTGGAGTAGACTAGAGGAGACAAGAATTGTTTCATTTGAGAAAAGTGAATGGCACTGGAGCAGACAAATGAATCTGATGCAAGAACTAATCAGAAAATACAAATGAAACAAGCTACAGATGTCCCCTGGAAAACAGAATCACTAAAACTGGTTGAACCAGAAAAAATGGGCTTAATGAGAAAGAGAAAGAAAATGGGGGAAAGGAGGGTAAGGAGATATCTTAGCTCAGGCTGCCATAACATAATACCATAGACTGGGTGACTTAAGCAACAGAATTTATTCCTCACAGTTCCAGAAGTCTGAGACCAGGGCATCAGCATGGTCCTGTCCTGGTGAGGGCCCTCTTCCTGGCTTTCAGATGACTGCTTCCTTGCTGTGTCCCCACATGGAGGGGAGAGGAAGCTCTGGTGTTTCTTCTTCTTGTAAGGACATTAATCCCATCCCAAGGGCTCCACCTTCATGACCTCATCTAAATATAATTGCCTCCCAAATCCCACCCCCTAATACCATCATATTGGAGGTTAGGGCTTCAACATATAAATTTTGGAAGGACACAAATATTCAACCCGTAATAGCCGGTCAGTTGAGAAATAAAATTTGTTAATGAGTGGCTTTTTGGCAAACATGTCAGAAAGGACAGGAAGTAAGTATCAAGGACTTTCCTATTCATTAAAGGATATTTGACGACTTGTTATGAATCAGAAGAGAACAGTTGAAAATGAGTGGCTGGCAAGATACTAATCCAGGGACCTGGGCACTGTTACATCTGAGTCACATCACCAAAAGGGAACTCCTTTAAAAAGAAATTTAACATTGTAAATTCCTTTAAAAGACAGTGAATATTACCTGAGTGTCTAAAAGACATATTTGTTTCCTACTTTAAAATAGTTTTCTATTCTTTTATCATTTTAGTTATACAGATTTCATATAAATTTTAGCTGAACTGAGGTTGTTCAATTATAGTCAGCTCTCAGTTTCCCATAAGAGAAAAATACTCTTCATTTGGCGTTTGAGAATGCTATTTAACAGTTGCTTAAATATCCACTACATGCAAGGTGCCATTCTTGGAATAAACAAAATGAAATCCCTACAGTCACAGAGCTTACTTTGTTTGTTTGTTTTTTTTTTTTTTTTGGAAGGGGGTGGTGGTCATGCACATGAAGCAATAAACAAACTAGAAGAAATCAAGTGATCATAAATATTATAAACAGAATTTACTCAGAGGATGAGATATGAGATAGAGAGTGATCAGGATATAGGAGAAGGCCTGTCTCAGAAGAATACATTTAATCTGAGGCCTCAATGCAAAGGAGGAGCCTGTCATACCAAGATTTGGGGGAAGTGCATTCCAGAATAAGTTCCTGGGAGCTCAAGTACAGCACAGTGACTATAGTTAATAATACTGTATTGGATATTCAAAATTTCCTGAGAGTAGATCTCAAATGTTCTTACCCTACACACACAAAAAGATAACTAGGTAAGGTGATGGATAACTTCATTGTGGTAACCATTCCACAGTATATGTATACACGAAATCATTACATTGTATATCTAAAATGTGTACAATTTTATTTATCAGTTATACCTCAATAAAGCTGGGGAAACAAACATTCCAGACAGAAGAAACATTTCAGGTTCTTTGAACCAAGAAAAAGTTTGTTAACTTACGGAAAGACAAGCATTTTGGCTCAAGACCTAGGGTATAAAAGAGCAGATGGTGGGGGATGTTG
Source organism: Homo sapiens (assembly GCF_000001405.40). Taxonomy (NCBI): domain Eukaryota; kingdom Metazoa; phylum Chordata; class Mammalia; order Primates; family Hominidae; genus Homo; species Homo sapiens. The sequence continues at coordinate 217,175,987 of NC_000001.11, read as the reverse complement.
GTAATAGGGGAGGCTATGCATGAATAGGAGCAGGGTTTTATGGGAAATCTCTGTACCTTCTGCTCAGTTTTGATGTGAACTTAAAACTGCTGCAGAAAAAAATAAGCCTGCTTAGGCTGGGCACGGTGGCTCATGCCTGTAATCCTAGCACTTTGGGAGGCCGAGGTGAGTGGATCACGAGGTCAGGAGATCGAGACCATCCTGGCTAACACCGTAAAACCCCGTCTCTACTAAAAAACAAAAAATTAGCCGGGCGTGGTGGTGGGCACCTGTAGTCCCAGCTACTCGGGAGGCTGAGGCAGGAGAATGGCGTGAACCTGGGAGGCCGAGCTTGCAGTGAGCTGAGATCGCGCCACTGCACTCCAGCCTGGGTGACAGAGTAAGACTCCGTCTCAAAAATAAATAAATAAATAAATAAATAAATAAATAAATAAATAAATAAATAAAAAATAAGCCTACTTAAAAAGAAAGACAGAGAATAGAATGAGATGATATTAAAAAGAGAGCAGGGGTCAAATCATGCCAAACTTTGAAAGCCAGAGTAAGGATTCAGAATTGTCTTCTAGGTGCAATTTTAATTCTTCCTGGCTGTTCTTTGCATATTCCTCTTTGCAGTGGGCCTTTGTAGTGCAGTGGCTCTCATCAAAAGATACAGCCTATTTCTCCACCTCCTAGAGTCTGGGTAGGCCCAGTGACTTACTTTGGCCCGTGGGACATTAGCAAACATGATGTAAACAAAGGCCTAGGAAGGTTCTTGTGCATTGGGGTTTGCTCTCTGGCTGCTCTTTGGAACTCTGAGTCTGCTGTTGGAAAAAACCTGGTACAGCTTGCTGGAGAATGAGGGATCACATGGAGAAGGGAAGAGACATCTCAGCTAAACCCTCTATGACTTGGCCAACTAAGCAACCACAAGACATAGGAATGAGGCCATCCTGGATCATCCAGCCCCAGCTTAGCACTGGAGAGCAGAATAAATATTCAATAGACCCACAGAATCAGGAATGAAAATAAATGAATGTTACTTCAAGCTACTAAATTTTGAGGTGGCTTGTAATACAACAAAAGCTAACTAATTTGGTGTGATGGAATCCTTTGGAAGATATTAAACAGAGTGGTGACCTTATCTGATTTGCATGTGGGTTTAAAAAAAAATCCCTCCAGCAGCAGCATGGAGAATGGATAGTAAAAGGGCAGTGGAATCAGGGAGACCACTGGAAAGTTAATGAAGAAGTCCAGGTGGGAGATGGAGGGGGCTTGGACAGGTCTGGAAATATTAGTAATAATTGCTGTGATCTCATCCATTTTTAAGGTTTTAAATATCATGCATTTGCCAATGACTCCAAAATGTATTAACGTATGTCCAACTTGGACCTCACCCATTATTCCTAATTCATACACTCAAGTGTTCCTTCTGGACATCTTCACTGTGATGTATACTTGGAATTCCCAATTTAACAGAATTTGTGATTCTTACTGATTCAGTCTGTCAAAAAGATATCAAGTATGTTCTTCCCATAGTCTTTCCATTCTCAGTCACTGAACATTCCAAACGTTCAGTTGCTCAAGCCAAACATCTTGCAGTCATCCTTGATGTCTTTCTCTCACACTCTACATTCAATCCATCAACAAATCTCATTGGCTTGACCACCAAAAGATATGGCATTACTACCCTGACCCAAGCCACCATCATCTCCCATCTGGAGAACTGTATAGCCTCTTAACTACATAGCCTCTCTGCTTGTTTTCCACCATTGCCAACTGGATTCATTTTCTATTGCTCTGTAAAAAATTGTTACATATACAGTGGCTTCAAAGAACATAAATTTATTATTTATTATATTTATTTGTTTATAATTTATTATTAAAACAACAAATTATTTTCTTACAGTTTCTATGGGTCAGGAGTCTGAGTACAAGTTAGCTGGTCTTCTCAGTATTTCATCAGGCTGATTTCAAGGTGTCAGTATAGCTGCAATCTCATCTGAGGCTCATAGTACTCTTTCAAGCACACAGGTTGTTGGCAGCATTCAGTTCTTTACAGTTGTGGGACTAAGGTCCTTGTTTTTTAGTAGCTGTCAGTGGCCAGGGACTACTCGCAGCTCCTAGAGGCTGCCTGCAGCTCTTTCCCATGTGGGCCTCATAGACATGTCACAACATGGCTCTGCTTTCTTCCAGGCCAGCAGGGGTGCACCTGCTGCAGCTGCTTTTCTTTTAAAGGGCCTATCTGATTAGGCCAAGGTAACTAATTAATAACTGGATCACAGGTTCTACCCACCCTCAAGGCGAGGGAATTATACAGGGGGCAGGGTTCTTGGGGACCACCTAGAATCTTGTCTACCACACTCACTTTGTTTTTCCATTGTGAATTCACCAACTTAACTGGGTTCTCCAAAGAGCAGGTAGAACAATCCTGCTTTTGTGTTTTAAAAAGTGAGATCATGTCAATCTTCAGCTCAGAACATTCCAATAGTGTTTCATCTCTGTGATAGAAAAAAATGCAGTCTTTATCTGGGTCTATAAGGCCCTAAGAGAGGTGGCTCTCCGCTGCTCATCTGCCCTTATCCCCTACAGTTCATTCACCCCCTTGCTCAAGTCATGCCAGATATCTTGGCTTCTTCTTGGTCCTTAAACACACCCAGAATGTTCCCATCTCAGGGTTTCTGCACTTGCCAATGCTTTTGTCTTAAATACACTCCTTCTGGATATTGGCATACCTCACCCACCCACAGATCAACAAATTCTCTCATCTTATTAAATAGGCATTCAGTAAACGCCCTGTGTATCTCTGAGTCACTTTCTAGCTCCCTGACCCTGTTTTATTTTTCTTTTTAGCACTGGGTCAGTTTGGGTCTCCCAAAAAGCAGATGCCAAGATGGATTTAGATGTGCAAGAGGTTTACAAGGGAAAATGCTTTAGAAGGATAAAGGGGAGAGGGAGGAGAAGTGGGTGGGTAGAGCCTTCAGACAGCAATACAGGTCTGATATCTGCAAAAGAAGACAGGTAAGAGGAGGATCAGAAGGGAAGAATGGGTAGGAGGATCTCGGATTACAATGCAGCTCTGAGAAAGCCTTGGACAGGCTGGTGGGAAGCCCTGGAGCAAAGATGGCCTGTTAGAAGAGTCTCATGTTGAGCAGAAATGACCTGGCTGTAGCACCTTCTGGTCAGTACTGTCTAGGATTAGCCTGGGGAAATCCAGGCCTGTGTGAACACAGTAGGAGGTCCAAAGATGTTATAGGTAGGGGCCATCAGCCAGCTTCACTCCTCATAGCTCAACCTCCATAGTAATCACAAACACTATCATCACTTAATGTACATTACTCCTTTATATCACTGGATATCCACAGTGCCTACAACAGTGCCTTTCACAAGATTGCCGCCATTCTATAGCATTTATGAACAAATGACTAATAACAGCTAATACTTTTTGAATGTTTACTGTGCACTAGGGATTGTTAAAAGTGTGCACATTTTTACTGGACTAATTATCACAAAAAACTCTATGAGGTAGGTGTTATTTTGTCCTCACTTAGAAGTGGGAGTATAGAAAATGTAAGCAATTGAACCGAGATTTCACATCTACCAAGAAGCAAGATGATAGACATATTAATTTGCTTGGCAGTAGTAATCATTCTACTATGTACATGTATATCAAAACATCATGTTGTACATTTTAATATATACAAAAATAAAATAAAATAAAAGTTCCTTAGAATACTTAAAGAAGAACCCAGATCCCAGGTGTTTAACCTCTGCTCTGCATGCTCTGCTCCTCTAGAGAGAATAAATACATTCAAACTCAGGATATGATTGTAGGTGCAATCAAGAGAATTATTAAATAATTTAATGAGAAAAGTAAAAGAAACAGAAAAATCAAGGAGAGTGCCTCAATATCTATCTTGGCAAATAGTGGGTGTTGAAATGAAAAAGATTGGTGCTTTCTCCTATTCTTTTTAGTTTTAAGAAGAAATTGTTTCGGCCAGGTTAATTTTGGGAAATGTATTAAGCATTCACAAAGTTGTAAAGTAGATATCTGAATATCCAAGACTGAATTTCTAGGAACCTGGAAATAAAGATTTAGAAGTCATTATCATAGAGTTTATATTTTTAACTACAAGACCAGAAGAAATTATAATAGAGGAATTATAGAGATAAAGAAGTGAAGTAGTGCAGCTATTGTAGAAAACAATACGGTGTCTCCTAAAGAAACAAAAAATAGAACTCCCATATGACACAGCAATTCCACTTCTGGTTATATACCCAAAAGAAATGAAATCACAGCCTTCTAAAGATATCTGTGCCCGGCCACGCGTGGTGGCTTACGCCTAGAATCCCAGCACTTTGGAAGGCCCAGGCGGGTGGATCACCTGAAGTCAGGAGTTCGAGACCAGCCTGGCCAACATGGTGAAACCCCATCTCTACTAAAAAATACAAAAATTAGCCAGGCACGGTGGCAGGAGCGTGCAATCCCAGCTACTCAGGAGGCTGAGGCAGGAGAACTGCTCAAACCCGGGAGGTGGAGGTTGCAGCGAGCCGAGATTGCGCCATTTCATTCCAGCCTGGGAGACGGAGCAAGACTCCGTCTCAAAAAAAAAAAAAAAGAAAAAAAAAAAGGTATCTGTGCCCCATGTTCATTGCAGCATTACTCACAGTAGCCAAAGTATGGAAAAAACCTTAGTGTCTGTCCATTGGCAGATGAATAGGTAAAGAAATTGTGCTATGTACACACAATGGAATAATATTCAGTCTAAAAACATGGATAAACCTAGAGGACATTATGTAAGAGGGAATAAACCAGACTCAGAAAGAAAAACATTGCATGATCTTTTTGCATCAGAATCTAAAAAAACAAAACTGGAATACATAGAAACAGGAAGTAGAAGATGGGGAGATGAAGGTCAAATGGTACATAGTTACAGTTATGTAGAATGAATAAATTCTAGGGGTCTAATGTACAATATTAAGACTATAATTAATAATATTGTATAGCATACCGGAAATTTGCTAAGAGAGTAGATTTTAGGTATTTTCACCACACAGGCTAAAACAGTAACTATGTAAGATGATAGATATGTTAATTTGCTTGACCGTAGTAATCATTTCATATGTATATGTATGTCAAAACATCATGCTGTACATCTTAAATATATACAAAAATAAAATAAAATAAAACTTACTTAGAATACTTAAGAAGAAAAAAAAGGAGAAGAGAAGGAGGCTCAGGGCAAAGCCCTGGAGGAACCTCAAGCGCATTGCGCTGAGTGAGAAAAAGTCGATCACGAAACATACGTGCTGTATAATACCATTCATGTCACATTGTCAAAATGACAAAATTATAGAGAATAGATAGAAAGTTGACATAAATTGGCCGGGCGCGGTGGCTCACTCGTGTAATCCCAGCACTTTGGGAGGCCGAGGTGGGTGGATCACCTGACGTCACCAATTCAGGACCAGTCTGACCAATATGATGAAACCTCGTCGCTACTAAAAATACAAAAATTAGCCAGGCGTGGTGGCGTGTGTCTGTAGTCCCAGCTACTCAGGTGGCTGAGGCAGAAGAATCGCTTGAACCCAGTAGGCAGAGATTGCCGTGAGCTGAGATAGCGCCACTGCACTCCAGCCTGGGCAACAGAGCCAGACACCATCTCAAAAAAAAAAAAAAAAAAAAAAAAAAAGTTGCCAGAAATTAGTCTTGTGGGCGGAGGAATGTCACTGTAAAGTGATAACGTGAAGGAGATGAACACAGTTCTGTATTCTGATTATGGCGATGGTGGCACAAAACTATAGATGGGATAAAAGTTTTTAGAATTCTAAACAAAAAAAGAGTGTTTGTAAAAATTAGCGTCTCAAAAAACTTAAGTACAGCCCGTATTCTTATAATTGTTTGTACTGCAGCAAAGTCAATTTCTGGGTTTGGACAATGTATTCTATATGTAAGTGCTGGGTACACAGGAACTCCCTGTACCATGCTGGCAAATTTTTGTGAATCTTAAACTATTTCAAAATAAAAACTATTTAAAAATATAAAGACAGTTTGTCTGCAAAAGTGGTATCTGTACATTTATTTAGATGTCTTTTTATATTTTTAAGAAACTTTTATAATTCTCTACAGTCAAAAGAATTTAAAAAGTATAGATTTGAAATGAATTCTTTTTGCTTCTAGATTGAAATATTTTAATAAAAGAAATAGAGTGCAGGGAAGAATAACTTAAACTGCTGGAGGCCATTTAATTTATGTATTTATTTATTTATTTATTTTTGAGATGGAGTCTCACTTTGTTGCCCAGGCTGGGGTGCAGTGGAGCAATCTCGGCTCACTGCAAGCTCTGCCTCCCAGGTTCACGCCATTCTCCTGCCTCAGCCTCCCGAGTAGCTGGGACTACAGGCACCCGCCACCACGCCCAGCTACTTTTTTTATACTTTTAGTAGAGATGGGGTTTCACTGTGTTAGCCAGATGGTCTCGATCTCCTGACGTCGTGATCCGCCCACCTCGGCCCAATTTATTTATTAAACTAAACCTGATCACTCGTTATGTGGTGTGCAATATGCCAGAAGAAGGGGGATGCACAAGTAAATAAATGGTGCACAGTCCTGGTCTCAGGGAGATCCCAGTCTAGTGTGGGACACACAACAAAACTCATAGCTACAATGCAGTCTTTTACGGGTGATTTCAATTTCTCATTGTGATGATCTTATTATGGGAGATATGGAATAAGAAACAAGTACCGGCTTAAAATTCTATAAATACTTACATTTTTTAAAAAGGCAGAGACATTAACATTGTATACCTCTTCAAGGTCTGAGGACAAGATTATTTTGGCTTCCAATTTTACCAGACTTTGGCTCCTAATAATATTAAATAGTTTCCTAAGCAAGAAAAATGACTTGGGTCAATAATAATTAGGCTATCCTTCCACCACTCAGACCTCAGAAGTAAATAAACCAGTAGAAAGCCTGCCTGGTTTTGATGTACATTTAGTGAAGTTGGAATAGGCAGGAAGGGATCCCTGCTTCTGATGATAGGAGGAGAGAGAAGAATTCCAAGTGGACTGAGTCCTGACACCAAGAAAGTGCTGTTGGGGTTGGTTTGTTATTTTTACTGAGACTCAAATTAACTCCTTCAGTTTTCCCCTAAAAGAAGCTTTGTATGGACCCAGCAGAGACAAGTCCTAATTTTAAAGAGAAAACCCTGGACAATCATAGCAACCTGCCTCGGTACCAGGGACAGGGAGTTAGGAGTGACTGGATGTTCATGCCATTTCCTTTTGTTGCTCACTATTCCCAATGAATTGTCCTCTTTTCCTTTTAAAAAAGAGGCTGGAGTTTGATGAGGAATAGCATACTTACATAGGCTCAAGATATCTTCCGCAAATTATTTAGAAATTTAAAATCGTAACTTTATAATAGAGAAAGCTGGCAGACACACCTTAACCAATCATCAGAGTTAACATCATGACTATCTGGACAGACAGCATCATGTGACTGCTGATGTAAGACATTGAGAAGGACAGAATATCATTTCTGGTATTCCTGCCAAAAATGAAGAAGCTAAATCTAATCATATGGAAACATCAGACAAAACCATATTGCAGGACAGTCTACAAAATGAGCATCCTGTCCTCTTCAAAAATGTCAAGGTCAAGATGCAGAAAGGCAGAGGAAGTGTTCCAGATGAAAGGAGACTAAAGATACGTGACAACTAATTGCAATGCATGATCCTGTATTGGATTTTGGACCAGGGAAGGGGAGAAGGAATAGCTATTAAGGACATTATTGGCACATATAACAAAATTTGAAAAATGGACTATGGATTAGATAATACTACTGTATCAATGTTAGCTTTCATAATTTCGAGTATCGTATTCTAAGTATGTAAGAGAATGTCATTGTTTTTAGGGAATACACACTGAAATATTATTTATGGGCAAAGAACTATACAATGGTTCCAACTTTCAAATAATAAAAAGAAAAATTTACATACATGTATGTGTGTGTAGAAATGTTTATATAGATAGAGAATTATAATACAAATGGGGCCAAATGTTAACTGGTGAATCTGAGGAAAAAGGAAAACTTTTCTCTAAGTTTAAAATTAAATCAAAATCTAAAATTTAGAAAATATGTGCTTGGCATTGAGTGCTCAATGTGATCAGCTTCCTTGTGTTCATCAGGTTGAAGTAGGGTAGCAATTTTCCTCAGCCCCTGATGCATCTGGCTCACGTGGGATCTATTCCAACAGCATGATAACCACAATAATCAAGGTCTGCAGAGAGGCTGTAAAAGCACAGAGGACAGCTCCCAACTTAAGCTGTGGGTAACAAATGATTTCCCAGGGTTGGTGATCCTTAAGCTAAGTTAAAAGGAGGAAGAAGAGGTACCCAGGCAATGGAGGGCCTTCTGGGTGACAGCTATGTTAGCAAAGGCAGAGAGAACTTGTATCTCTTTTTGCCCCTAAGATCAGTTCTCTGCCCTTCCTTCTCTGTGTCCAGGAACCTGACCTCTTTGGCCTGCATCTCTCAGATCCCCTTGACCTCTGTCTTCCAAAGACTTGATCAATGGAAGACACCAGTAGGAGATGCAAAGGCAGGCAGGGGAGAGGCTGGGGTACTTATTCTCACTGATTTTGACAGTATCTGTGTAAAGCTATTGCTCCTGTTGCCTGGCCCCACTCCATTGTGTCAGTGCACTCCAGACTTTGTTATCAGTATTTATTCCTCTTGCCTCTTCAGTCCTGGGGTAGTAATGGCTTCTTGTTCTTGCTAGTCCCTAGGTGCCTTGCCAGCCTTTGTTGGTTTCCCTAGATATCCACTTTTCTAAGAATAATTCCTCATTATTTTCAGTTAAACCTTTTTAAGTGTGCCATGTGTTTCCCGCTAGGAATCTTTCTAAAACACAAGGTGTGGCTGAAGCTGAGGCCGTATGGAGAGATGGTGGGAGATGAGGCTAATACGGTGCAGGGACCAGACCAGAAAAGGCCAGCTTTGGCTATTATTCTGATACGCAGCAATCCAGACATTACAGAACAGATGTGCTGTGTAGAGGAGAGACCTACACAGCTCTCCTGTGTTAGATAGTCCTCAATTGTGTGACCTTGGTAAGTGACTTAATCTGCCTGAGCTGTTTCCTCATTTATGGAAAGAGATTAACCTCACAGGGTTAATGTGAGAAATAGACGGGGATATAGCAAGTTCATCTCCTTTTATAACTATATCCAGACAGTGTTTTAAAGATCAATTTCAGTACCACCTCCTTCATAAGACTTCTCTGACTGTATCAATCTCTAGTGACCTCTCCCTTTTCTAAATGTCTGCTGAGCATATACTCAATCCAGAGTTTTATATTCCATCATTTCTCATTGTTTCATATGTGTTTATGCATATTTGTTTGCTGTGATTCTCCAACTAGGTTTTAAACTGTTTCAAGCAAGAGGCAATGTCTCACAGGTCTTTTACTCTCCCAATGCTGAACATGGTGGGGACTTATTAGGACTTGTTGGTTGACAAAAGGAGAGGACTGATTTTGAGTGTCATAGCACTTAAGGGCAACATTCTTAATCCTCTTCCATTGTTTCTGACCTTTCTACCTCTACCTCTATTCTATTATTATTCTAAAACCAAAACAAATGAAAATTCTTTCATTCCTTCATTCATTCCTTCATTCATTCATTCAAGCATATCTTTTAGCACTTACTATATAAAAATCCATAGACATTTCAGATATTTTGTTAACTTTAATCATTTAGAAGAGAAGGATTTGTAATAGACATAGAGTTCCAAAATTAAGTTACAATTATGCTCCCCAAAAGGGCCGGGATGAAATGATAAAGAGGAGATGGTACTTTAGATTTGGGTATAAAAAGGTCCCCCTCTATGGCTGAGTAAATTTGCTATTTTCTTTGCTAAAGTTGTTTCACTAATGATTTTAGTTTTTTTCCTACACTGTTTGTGGTACTAGGCATTTTTATTTAACAAATTTTTCCTAAAAGAGAAATGAGAAGCTTAAAAAAAGTAGAATTAGAACTAACATTACCATAGAACTTAATAATTTTCTCACATTGTCTCATTAATGCTCAGGGCACCCGGGAGGTCACTAAATATGATGATTATCACTTTCAGACAAATTAAAATACCAAGGAACAGAGAGGTTAACTGAATTCCCTATTCCCTACACATGAAGTTATTGTTGAAGCTTGTAAATGGAACTCATTCTAAGATTCAGCCTGATTTTCATAGCTTCTTAGGCCCCTCTAGATGCTTTCTCTAGCAAAGAAAACAAAAAAAGAAGAAATCCTAGGCCAGGGGGATCTAGAGTTGGTGTTTCTCAGTCTGGAGGATGTCTACCTCTTCCTCATGCTCACAAAATGACCCAACACATCCCTGGCCTGGGCATGGTCAGAGGTGGGACTGGTCAGTAGCATGGGCCTGGTGTCAGGCCAGCACAGTTCTTGCAGGTCTATGCTTTTGTATTCTCCTTTCTAGGTATCCTCAGAAAGTGAGGTTTCCTTCTGGTCCTAGAGCGTCGGCTCCAGGGATGAAGTAGGAGGGAAGTTTCTGAGCCTTTTTTTTCTTAATGTCTGTGCTGAGAATGGGACAGCTGTCCATCATAATCAACAGCACAGGAGAAATGACTCCCAACTTGCCTCTGTGCATTTACTCCCCCATATTTATCAGTGACAAAACGCCCAAGTCCAATGCCCATTATTGACCCAGTGCCTCCAGGGATCTGATGGATTTTGTCCATGAGAAAGGGAAGCAGGCGGTATCTATATTTGCATTCCTAAAATGAGTCAGGCCTGGGCTTAGCTGTAGAGTGCAGGACCAGTCTAAGGAGAACAGTCACCCCTCAACACCTGTAGGCTGCTGTTGGGGTGGGCGGATATGGGACAGTGGAAGTAAATAGGCCAATGTTTTTCAGTTTTTTTTAGAGATGGCATCTCGCTATGTTGCCCAGGCTGGACTCAAACTCCTAGCTTCTAGCAATCCTCTCACCACAGCCTCTTGAGTAGCTGGGACTACAGGCATGAGCCACTGTGCCTAGCTCCAACATTTTCAAAGAACCAGAAATGTATATTTCTGGGGGAAGATGATTTACAAAACTGCTAAATGTTGTTAAAAACATAATGTAAAGCAAATATCCTATGAGAACCCAGTTTATGGCCCCCCCTTTGATAAGCAGATTTCCCTCCTTATTTGCCATTGCATGGGATTTGGTGGCAGACTTGAAGCGTAAATGATCCAGGTGGAGAGAAAGTAGAGATTCCAGATACTACTATTAGGACTGTTTCTTTCCTGCAAGTGGCTCTAGCTAGAAGATAGAAGGGAGATGATATGGATGTTCTGATGTAGATTAGAACTTAAAAGGAGGAGGTAGAACAAGAAAGTGCTGATGAAGCAGCATTTTTCTTTACTCTTTTAAGACAAGCAATTTCTAAATTAGTGAATGAGCTAAACTTGTACGTTGTCCAGCCATGGGCTGGGAGAAGCTTAAAGTCGTGCTCTGTTGTGGGATTGATATTTTGCAGAGTAGGGAAAAGCTGACTTACTTCGCAAAGATGATCAATCTCATAGAAAGATACAAAGGGACCCTGAGAGGTCATTGATTCAATTCAAAAAGTTTTTATTGAGCGCCAGTATTAATCATCCCACTAAAGGTCTATCTCCAAATACAGTCACACTAGGCGTTAGGGTTTCAATATATGAATTCTGTGGAAGCACAATTCAGCCCATAAGCGGTATTATTAGAATTTTAATTTATAAATTTCAATCAAAACCATTGTATATAAATAGGAAAATAATTCCTGTAACAAGATTCATTTCTATAAATGTAATTTGTTTCTATTTCTCCCTTATATGGTAATTTAGTCAATTTCCTAGAATCCTTTTGTTAGTAAATTTTATATATAGATATAAATATGCACTGTGTACATCTATCTATAGCTGTCTGTTTATACCTATATATAAAATACATCTATATATGATATATAGATATATAGAGCAATACACATATATAATGTATCTATCTAAACTTATCTATGTATCCATAACACATCTATATTCATATGGATGCAACATATCTTTATATGTATATACAATGTATATATATATAGATTGATAGCTAATATAGATAACTCTATAGTATGTACTTATATACTGAAACCTCAAGTTGCTTCTATGATTCATCAAATGAAAGACAAAAATGTCCCATCCCCAAATTACCAAAGTATAGTTGTTTTCTTGGACTTACCCTCTACTCTAGCCAAACTTACTTTCTTGTCATTTGCATTCATTTGTTTTTCACTCGGCAGACTAAACATGCCCTCCATCCAACTTTCCACTAATCTTCATCCTCACTTTTCTCCTAAAGTCTAATTAAAAGGTACTTTGTGTAAGGAAAGGACAGAAGGAAGGAGATAAGGAAGGCAGGGTCAGTTTTTCTACTATGCCTCCTTCCCCTAGAAATGTCTCCCTTCAATTCAGGAGTTTGTGGGCACCACTAATTGGCATTTCTTAGATTTGTACAATTTGTGTGTTCTTAAATACTTATTTGTACTTCCTCAAAACACAGGGACTAAGACTGAAGCTAGAAGATACCAAAAAATTCATCAACTGAGTTGGAAAAACATTAGTCAGACTCTTGGCTGAATCCCCTGTCTACAAGATAGAATGACTTCTGCTTCTTCCACCTTGTTTGGATTTGCCTACAACACAGCACATTATGACAACCTATGTTCATTAGGCTGTCTCCAAGAATGTTGACACAGGTTACATCTATTCCATGGAAAACTAACTGGCTTAAAGTAAAATTTTAGGTTAATAAAATTATCTACAGAATGATCTGAATTTGTAACCTTATTGAATTACTATAAGGAATGACCATCTGATTATTTGGGTGGAGGGGAACACAGAAAGAATTGTTTTTATGTCACAATACTTGCATTGTATGTGTGTTTGTGTGTACATATGTCCTATACATTTCATGTATCAAATATATATTTATATGTTATACTTATATATTATATATATATATACATGTGTATTTATATATGCACATATACATATATATTTATAGGTATTTGTATTTTCTCTTTCTATATGAGGAAATATGTATATAATGAGATTTTATATTGGTCTAGTATAATGAACTCGAATTTCTTCTGTACAGAATATGTTTTATCATCAGTATATCTTAAGTGGCATTACTACAGAGGATTTATTCACATAAATGTACACACGCAGAGTAAAACCTTGTATATGAATATACGGATAGCACACAAATCAGAAAAGGAAGACCATAGTTCAAATTTGCAGGACTTTTCCACACTCAAATTTTACATTGCAATCAATTGTCACTGTTATTTCTTTTTTATATATATAATCAACCAAGGAAAGGCTGGCTGCTTACTTTGTACCTCCAAAATTGTGTTCTGCTGCTGAGTGTGCAGTTTTGTTGAGGATGTTTGTATCATCTTCTGTAAAACCAAACCAAGCAGATCCTTTCAATGAAGAGAAAACAATAGGGCAAAATTACATTCGGATTGGCCCCTGCCACCAATCACCTGGGACCAGCTAGCAAGAAGGAAGAACAAGATCTTCTAGCTTTAAAGATATTTCTGTTGAAACCTGTTTGAAGCAATGTTTAATTCGAGTGTCTTATGAAAAACATGTTTCAAATAGATGCTCCACAAGAAAGGATTCTGTGGACAAGCAAGTTTGGAAACCCTGACTACTATGTCTTACTTTAGGAGATTCTTAATGTGCCTTAACCTATTACAGGCACTGCAAAACCCCAAAGAAAAGCAATCTTTTTAACTTTGTTTAAAGCAATATTTCTAAATATAAGTGGACATTAAAATTGTTTTCTCATATCATTCCTTTGGGAAATGTTGGTGTAGAACATTTTAGTTTGGTCTTGGAATAAGCAAACTGATGCAACTTTTCAATGGCAGGGAGATACAGAAGACACTTTCCTTTTCATGGTTAATTAATATAAAAGAAACCTAAAAGCTTTTCAAAAATTTCTAAGGAAAGCAATTATGACAAAAAGCCCACACTATACCCCAAAAGACAGAAAATACATAGTACAATGCCAAATGTCTAGTATAGCCTTACTTTTTCCCCACTGTTATTAAGCTGCCTTCCAGCTGATTCCAGCCCCATGCTATACAGACTTACCTAGTAGGATCGCTGCAGGCTATTTCATATGAATTTACTGGGGTAAGATACTGGAGAGGCTCCACTGTATACATTTACACACAAAGATTATGCACTGATGAGAAATACATGCTGTTCTATATTTAAGTAATGACCCTCTGAGAGCTCTTATTTTGTGTCTTTTGAGGTGGTGCCTCCTGCTAATACATCTTAGAGATGATATTTTACTGTGAGAATGGTGTGTGTTTGCGTATGTGTAAATCTCTAATAGTAATACCATTTGAGAAACAGAAGAAAAGCTACTGCATCAGACCATTGGTTCTTCCAATGCTGTATTTTATCTGTGCTTTGTTGTACCAAGAAAGGGTGGGATGAGCATTTGTCGCATCCTTTGCTTTCTTCTAGGTAGTATGTTTTCTTGGCTTTACTGTCATCTTGAGCCTTGTTTTGGAGGGCAGAAGAATGCTTAGGTCATGTTTAGTTTTTATAGCCTCATTTAGTGGAAATGGTTCCTTTGGGCCCAGTCTATGCCCATTGCCTAAATTTAAAGTTCCTCTTCTTGCAGGTGGCTTAATTTATATTTGTTGATGGCACAAGGAATGCAAATAACCACACAGGTGACCTTTAGGAGGCTGTGAGAGCCAAAGCAGTTGTATGAGTGACTTGAATTCAGAAAGAGATTTTGATCTATTTTTAGCATTTCTACAAATATCTTTTTCTTGAGGAAAAAAAAGTGTTTAATTACCCAGTAGGCATTTTGGAAGCATATAGAGAGCTATTCTGAGGTAAATGATCATATATTCCAATACTATAACACTAGATGAGTGATAAGGTAAAAGGAAACCTGAGCAGAATTATAGAACCATTAGAATGGATCAGACTTTGTGGGGATTAACTGTTCAACCCATTTTATCATAATGCTTTCTATCCTGGCAGGTCTAGACCTATACCTCAAGTGAGAACATAATTGAGGGTGAATCATGACCTAATATGAAGTGATATATGACAGAAATAAATTGTTTTTTCATGATCTGAGAGCTCTTTTCAGAGATTCTGTCCAAGAATCTGTCCAAAACGATGCTTTGGCTGCTGCTAATAATGAAATTAGGTAAATGAAATACCTGAACTTTACCACCTATAAGTTTCTAAGATAACTGCTAGGTGGTCAAATGATTTTCTTCTTCAAGAAAAGGTGGGGCCAGGCACAGTGGTTCACACCTGTAACCCCAGTACTTTGGCAGACTGAGGCAGAATGACTGTTTGAGCCCAGGAGTTTGAAGCCAGCCTGGACAACATGGCAAGACCTTGCCTCTATAAAAAATTAAAGAAACAAATATTAGCCAGGTGTGGTGGCCCTCACCTGTGGTCCCAGCTACTGAGGAGGCTGAGGCAAGAGGATTGCTTAAGCCCAGGAGTTGGAGGTTGCAGTCAGCTATGATTGTGCCACTGTGCTCCAGCCTGGGCAACAGAGTGAGACCCTGTCTCAAAAAAAAAAAAAAAAAAAAAAAAAAAAAAAAAAAAGGTATTTATAGACTTGCTAAAATGAAAGAGATTTTCTATTTAGAAACAAAGTAGAAGTTTCAGAACTTTTAAGTTATTTACTCAATTTGATCAATAGAATGAATTCCATAAATCTACATAGTTGAAATGAATTAAACATTTCAAATATAAACATCTCTAATTTAAAAATTGATTTTGGAAATAAGAATAAAGACCCCTCTGCATTGTCGGGGGTGGGTGAAAGTGGGAAGGTAAAGATGAATAAAACCTGCCACGTATGTTTCACACTATCAAAATCTGTGTGGTTTATTGCCTATTCATCCCTCCTCTCCCCACATGGAGGTTACTCCCTAACCCACCTCTAATTCCTATTTACTGTTGGAATGTCATTGTTGAGCTTAAGTAAGAATTTCAGCCCCACACGTTGGAGTCCAGTATTATCACTGGAGGCACTCTTACTGCTGGCACTCCTCAAGACTGACCTTCCAACTATGCCACTGTACCTGATTCTTTGTGTCAGGAACCCACCTTTATTTCAGTCTCAAGAACTGGCTTCTTTGGGCTTTTCAGCAAATTAGAGACTAAAATCTGATATCTGAAGTTCACTCTAGTTGCCTTAATTTGAACTAGGCTCCTGACATCCGCATGCTTGGGGCACCAGTCATCTGAATGTGGCTTCCCCCATATTCTTTACTTGAAAGGTGATTCAATTAATTTAACCATGTCCAGCTGTATTCTGTGACATAACAGGTATCTCATTCATAATTTTTTGAAAAGCTATAATATCCTAGTGTTCTTAAAAGATAAAGTAAACTCTTCATTAGAAAGTTGCCAAATTAATGGGAACTTGACAATCTTTGCTGATTTATTAGGATCGTTTATCTTTATTTAAAGAATTTTAGTATGCTTCAGTATGTATGGGAAGTAGGGGCATTTAAAGTGCTTAAAGTTAATAAAGAATGAACACAGTTTCATCTGGTTTCCCTTGGTGACTCCTTTGGTGGAAAACAAAAAAGTGAACACTACTATGTAAGGAGCAAAGATAAAACCTCATATGATGATACTTATAAGAAACAGATTTAGGCTGGGCATGCTGGCTCATTCCTGTAATCTCAGCACCTTGGGAGGCCAAGGTGGGCAGATCACCTGAGGTCGGGAGTTCAAGACCAGGCTGACCAACAGGCAGAAACCTCATCTCTACTAAAAATACAAAATTAGCCGGGCATGGCACCTGACTGTAATCCCAGCTACTTGGGAGGCTGAGGCAGGAGAATCACTTGAACCCGGGAGGTGGAGGTTGCAGTGAGCCAAGATCGTGCCATTGCTTTCCAGCCTGGGCAGCAAGAGCGAAACTCTGTCTGAAAAAAAAAAGAAAAAGAAACAGCTTTAAAACTTATGAGATTAGAAAGTATACACTATGTTAGACCAAAAATATGAACACTGAAACTTGACTGGGACTACCAAAAGTCCTCACCTGTGTGATAAAGTAGGAAGAGGAAATAAAAGACATACAGATTGGAAAAGAAGACATAAAACTACTTGCAGACAACATGACTGTCTATGTTGAAAATACCAAGAAATCTATTTAAAAAAATCTAGAACTTATAAGTGAGCCTAGCAACGTTGCAGCATAGAAAGTTAACATGAAAAAATTAATCTTATTTCTATATAGTAGCAATGAACAACTGGAAACTGAAATTGAAAATAGTAAAATTTACAATACTACTGAAAAATGAAGTATTCACATATAAATCTAAGGAAACACATAAGAGATCAATAAGCTGAAAACTATAAAAAGTTGATAAAATAAATAAAAGAAAACGTAAATAAATAAATGGAGATATATACTATGTTCATGGGTTGGAAGAGTCAATATAGTAAAGATATTAATTCCCCCCAATGATGTATAAGTTCAACATAATTCCTGTCAAAAATACAAGGATAATTCTTTGTTGATATAGACAACATGGTTCTAAATTATATGTAAAGGAAAGGAAGTAGAATAGCCAAAAGAATTTCAAAAAAGAATAAAGTTGGAAGAATTGCACCTCTCAATTTTTAGACTTACTATATAGCTCCAGTAATCAAGACAGTGGAGTATTGACAAAGGGGTAGATATGTTGATCAATGTAAGAAAATTTAAAAATCCAGAAATAGACCCATACAAATAGGGCCAATTGACAAAGATGCTAATCAATTTTATGGAGAAAGAATATTTTCAACAAATGGCATTAGAACAAGTGAACATTTATGGGCAAAAAATAAGCCTAAACCTAAATCTCATACTTTATACAGAAATTAACTCAAAATGGACCATAGGTCTAAATGTAAGATGTAAAACCAAAAAAAAACTTCTAAAAGAAAACATATGAAAAAGTCTTGGTAACTTAGGATTCAGCAAAGAGTTCTTATTGATGGTATCAAAAACACAAGTCAAAAAATAAAAGAAAGATAAATTGAACTTAAGCAAAATTTAAAACTTTTGCCTTGCAGAAAAACAATATTAAGAAAAAAGACAAGCTAGACTGGGAGAAAATATTTGCAAATCACATATCCAACAAAAGACTTGTTTCCAGAATATATAAAGAATAGCCAGAACTGAATAATACACACACACACACACACACAAACTCCCTGTTAAAAATTGGCAGGGCATGGTGGCTTACGCCTGTAATCCCAGCACTTTGGGAGTCAGAGGTAGAAGGATCACTTGAACCCAGAGGTTTGAGACCAGCTTCAGCAACATGGCAAAACCTTGTCTCAACTAAAAAAAAAAAAAAAAAAAAAAAAAAAAAAAAAAAAAAAAAAAAAAAGCTGGGTGTGTGGCATGTTCCTACCTGGGAAGTCGAAGCCGCAGTGAAACTTCATCTGGGTGATGAGAGTGAGATCCTGTCTCAAAAACAAAAAGGAGGTGTGTGGAGGCAAAGACTTGGATACTTCACCAAAAAGAATATAGAAGGAGAATAAACATATGAAAGCATGGTTAACATCATTAGCCATTAGGGAAGTGCAGAAACCACCATGAGATACCCTTACATATCTACTGAAATTCCTAAAATAAAAATTGTTAATACACTGTGCTGGTGAGGATGTGGAGTAACTAGAATTCTTATACATTGATATTGAAAAGGTATAGCCACTCTGGAAAAAAGCTTGGCAGTTTCTTACAAAGTTAGGCATATGTTATTCATTCCAGCAATCCCACTCCTGCATATTTACCCTAGAGAAATGAAACCTTGTGCACCCAAAGACCCGTACACGAACATTTATAGCAACTTTAGTCATAACTGCAAAAGACAGGAAACAACCTAAATGTCCTTCTACAAGTGAATGGATTAAAAAACTGTAGTACATCCATACAATGCAATACTACTCAGCAAGAAAAAGGAACAAACTGTATCAATAATGCAAAAACTTGGAAGAATCTCAGAGGCATCATGCTGAGTGAAAGAAGCCCATCTCACAAAATCGTATATACTGTATAATTTCATTTTTATGACATTCTTGAAAAAATGAAGCTATAATGACAAGGACCAGATCAGTGACTCTTTGGCAATTCAGGTAGGTAGAGAGAGGGTGTGGTTACAAAATGATTACATATGGGGGCTTTTGGGAGTAATGGAACTGTTCTGTAGGAAAATAGATAAACCTCTCTCCTGAAAATGAATTGTGAGTACAGGAACGCATCCAGACAGAGAACACAGAAACATTTATTTTTTATTTTAAAATAATTATAGACCCAAAATTAGTTGCAAAAATAGTACAGACTAGTCCCATGTGTCCATCACTCAGCTTTCCCCCTGGTAACAGCTGACATAACTACAGTAGATTATTAAAACCAGGAAATTGACATTGGCACAGCAGGTTAGCCTACAGAAGGAAAGCTATAAGACACACGTTTGAAGATTGGCAGAGTGCAGTCATATAAAGAATTAAAGGAAACTTTTAAGGAATTAAAGGGGAACTTTGGTGTCTTGTATCCTGATTTTATTGGTGATTACACAAATCTATGTATGTGTTAAAATTCATAGAACTGTACCAAAAAAGGGTCATTTTTACTGTATGTTAATACATTTAAAAATAAAAAGTGAAAAAGCCATAGCGCTGAAATTTCATGCTAAAAGGAATATGTGCATATTTGATATTTAATGTATCTTTACGAGAAAATCTCTTTTAATGGAGGGATAGCCTTCTAACTCCTATTGAAGATGTGAAATTGAGCAATTGCTTTAGACTTGTGAATATAAGGTGATTGCTTACTACATGTATGTATTTTTTTGGAATATCTAAGAAAATTTTGGGTTTACCATACATATATGCATATGTTTAATCTCTTAGATGTATAGAAGTTATTTATTCCTTGCAAATGTTTTATTTGTTAATTCAGATAAAAATAAGTGAATTATTTAAAAATAAATCTAGAATAAATAAAATTATAAATCTTTTCAAATGCTTAAAGGTATTCAATAAGTCTGTAAAAGGGAATAAACATTTTTGAAATGCTCCTTTGAAGTTATTGATCAAATCTGCAGATTTAAAAATAACATAATATGTATAGCTGATCTTAAAAGGGCATGAAAAAACTGACATTTGGCCGAGTGCGGTGGCTCACGCCTGTAATCCCTGCACTTTGGGAGGTCGAGGCGTGCGGATCGCTCGAGGCCAGGAGTTTGAGACCAGCCTGGCCAACATTGTGAAACCCCATATCTACTAAAAATACAAAAATCAGCCAGGCATGGTGGCACATGCTTGTAATCTCAGTTACTTGGGAGGCTGAGGCAGGAGAATTGCTTGAACCCGGGAGACGGAGGTTGCAGTGAACCAAGATCACACCACTGCACTCCTGCCTGGGTGACAGAGTGAGACTCCGTTTCAAAACAAACAAACAAGAAAAAAACAAAAAAACCCTGACATTTTATATGTGTAATTTTAATATATTGAATATCACTTGTAATGCTCAAAATGAACTTTCTGGTGAAAAATAGGCTTGAGTGATTAGGGAAGGTCAATGGCGGTAGAATCTAGGACCAAAAGCAAACACACATGTAAGACTAAAAGGGGCCACTTAGGAAAAATCAATAATGTAGTTTAATAAATGAGAAACTGAAAAATATTATTTAAATTCTCTCTTTAAATTAAGAAGCTTGACTACAAAATTCTATTACATAAGTAAGATAAAATATAAAAACAATCTTGGTTTCTAAATTAAAGCAAAGTAAAAGAATATCCAAGGTGGAAGAGAAGAGGGTCAAAGTATTACCAGAAAAACAGAGAGCTGAGAGACTTGGGGGGACAGCCCCAGAGAGTTTCTCATAGGAGACACAGTCACAGAGTGATATATGGAGGAAAAAAGTTCATTAAGTATTTCACAGCCTGTGATTTCTTAGGATATTGCTACTATTTAAAGTAATTCTCTCCCCTATCCCCCACCAGCAAGGATAAAGCAAAGTAAACAATTTTTGTAGTTTTTGCTCCTTAAGCCAGATAAAAATAAATTCCAAACTTGGATATTTTAATAAGATATGGTATATTAAGAAGAACATCTGACTAGGAATTAGAAAATACAGGTTCAAGTCTTAGCTTCTCCTGAGAAAGTACACTCATCTTCTCTGATCCACAATTTTCTCATATTTAAATGGGAATAATAATCACTGCTTTACCTGTGTTACAGAATTTTTATGAAGATCAAAGAGATAATACATGTGAATTTTGAAAATTGTAAATTACTGTATACATAAGGTATTATTATCATATTTAACAGATGCAAATGAAGAACTCCAAAGAAGTATTAATTCTATTTGAATACATTTCATCGTGAGAAAGACAACTTTACGTGAACATGCAAAGTATTTGTGCTTTTGGTTACCTCCTTCTTAGACATCACAAAGCGATCTCTTTCTTATGCTTGTGCTTAAATCTGTTTCTCCTCCTGTCCCCTCATGCTCTACCATCCAGCTCCCAAAAGCCCCTCTCCAAAAGCAGTTAAAACTTCAAAATAGAAGATAACTCCTGTAATAAGTAAAAAAATCTCCCCTCCCCAATACCTCACCCCAACAGTAATTCTGAGTTGCATGATTATTTTGAGAGTGCAGCAACGTTTTTACTCACATGTAATTATGAGCTGTAGGTGAAATTAACTTTTAGTATGAATACATCTGATTTTTACTTTTTTTGTTTAGAAATAATTGCAGACAAAAGAATTTGCAAAACAGTGCAGGGAGAGCCCATGTATCCATCACCCAGCTTCCCCTCAATGGTAACATCTTACACAATTATGGTAGCTTATCAAAACCAAGAAACTGACATTGGCACAATTAATCATACTACAGAAGGAGAGCTGAAGACATCAGTTTGAAGAGTGACCGGGAATCAAAGGAAACCTTTAGAAAAAGAAAGATATAAAACCCAAGGTGGTGGTTTCCAGAGTGTCCTGATCAAGTTGAAGGCATGGGAATATGGTTTATTACAAGAGAGAAGACAGAGTTCACAGGCCACATATGTAAAGAAGGTGGCCAAGATGGGGTCCAGAGAAGTGTTTCCATCAGTTTCCCAGTAACTAAGGATGATATGAGGACCATCCTTAGGTTTACACTAGAAGTTTTAATGACAAGAAAAGAGGAAAGAAGAATGGTTAAAATGTTTGCAGTATTTGGGAGTTTGTCTACTGGAAATGAATCATACTGAGATTTTTCTACGCATAATTTGTCTTACTTTTGTACAGTTTGTACTTTCACCCTGTGTAGCCAGCTAGCTGAAGTATCTCTGGAATGCTGGGCAACTTGCACCAGGAGTAGACACCATGCGTGGGGAGGGTGGCATTGCAGAGAAAGAAGATATATCAGGAAGCGGAAGGGAAAAATTCTAATTCTTCCAAGAACCCAGCCTTTGAAGGAGAAAACCCTAATTTTTTTGGCAGGTGGTGAAGTAAAATCCACTTTCCTGAACAGAACATTTTCTGTTTGCCAACCGCCAGAGGACTTATTTTTGTATAACCTCAATGAAGATTCTAAAAGCAGCCCAAATCAAATTCTATTCAGCAAATTAGTCACAACCAAAATTTATCAAAAGTAAAACCACTCAGTATTCCAGTAGGATAAAATAATTTTAATTTAATCTTTATTTATGTTATTCTCTTTGGTCTAGAAC
The DNA here is from genome assembly GCF_000001405.40 of Homo sapiens. Lineage (NCBI taxonomy): Eukaryota > Metazoa > Chordata > Mammalia > Primates > Hominidae > Homo > Homo sapiens. The sequence continues at coordinate 217,153,193 of NC_000001.11, read as the reverse complement.
AAATCATTTATTTAATTAACAAATAACTTCAAAATTCTCCTGCTCTCCTACAAGTCATACAGAGAGTTGGAAAAGAGGCTAATTTATGTCTTTGATGCACTCTCTGTGATCTTTACATTTTGACCTTGTTTATATTTTCAGAAGCCATGTGTGAGATTGTGGAGTTAGTCAATATTATAATCCAATCATCAATATAATACAAACTTCTTGTTTATTAATACATGATTAAAAAATGTATATGATAAAAAGATATCGACTGTAGCCAAGTGTGTGGATGACAAGAACAATTATGGTGCAGATTCCTAATCACTATGTGAGCTGTACACTCCAGTGAAAGTCAATAGTCTGTTTAAAAGTCACGACGCATCCTTTTCTTTTCATCTCCTCTTTTTTTTTTTTATTTAAAGTCCAGCAATGGGACTTGTTAGCTTGTATTTTATAGCTGGATTTACTTTTGTAACTTTAACTCACTGAAGAAACATTTACTGTGCAACCAGCCTGACTCTGCCTCCACACCAGGCTCTGATGATACAGAAAAATATCCTGCCCACAAAGGGGCCAAGCTGACTGAATGCTACCTAAATCTGCAAATGAAAACAAAGTGTATGAGACCAGGGGTATCAATGTTTTACTCTCCTCATTTGAAGACGCATCATCAGTAAGCATGAGCTCTGAGCTGTTTTAGTGAGAGTGGCGATAACTTGTGATTTGCCTGCCTTCTCCCCCAATAAACACATTTTCAAGAGACTGTGGAGACTGGGAGTTCACTCTGTGACCAGCGACTGTGTACAGTGAGAAGGACTGATTGTACAAGAGCTGCAACTTCACCTTTGGCCCCATTAACCAACTGAGTTGCCCAAACAATTAAATTTTTGTAGGAAATATGGTTATTCTTTCCAAATATAGACAGCTGTATGCATGCATGTATGATTTACATTCCAGTGAGTTGGAAATGGCTAACCAGAGAGCTTCCAGGTGGCTGTAGGCAAAGGGGATGGTTGCTGTTTACATTCGATATAAGAAGGAATCTGTTTCCACAGGACAGAAATTTTTTTTGTTTGTTTTTGTTTCAATCTCAATATGTTAAGCATTCTTTCCAGCAGATTATAAACTGTGCCTTCCTAATGCCCAATCTCGGCCCCCACAAAACACAGAACATAGGTAGGAGAGACAGAGATGGAGAGACAGAACTGCAGTATTACAAACACCAAAACTATTTCCAAGTAATAAATAGCTGGTAGCAGTCACTTCAGAGAGCCCATTGAAGGAAAGCAGTCCTCTTAAATGCTGGCTTTGAACAGATCTGGAGAGTAGCTACAGCTTAGCAATATGGTTAGCAATATGATAAAGACAAGAGGTGGAGTGTAAACTTTGGAGAACTAACACTAGGATTTGAGAGCCTTGGTATTCTTTGCAATTATTTTGAAAGCCGTTAGACAAGGAAATGATTTCAATCCATCCTGACAAGACAATTGGATGCACAGGGAAAAAAAGGATGAAGGATGATAAAAAATATAAAAGCATTTAGTAAAGCCATCCATGCATGAGAGTTTCAAATTTCTTTAATAAATTTATAAATAAAAACTATAGAAGTTAATATCCCCCCTGTATGCCATTTGTAATTGCTTTTATCTTTTTGCTAATATTATATCATCCTTATCCATGGTACAGATTCAGACATTCTCAAATAATTCTTTTGTAGCCATTATGAAGTGGCTACTTCACTTTCAATAAAAGCACACGGGAAGATAGAGGCATCAGGAAAAAGGTCAGTTTGCTGCCTGCCACAAGACTTTCCATGGTAGTATCTTACAGTCCTGGAGAATTTACCAGGTCCAGGATATGGTGCTTCAGAAACTTGATTTTGACACTATGTCAAGGCTGTCCACTTCCGAGGACTAGACTCATGTTACCAGAGCTCATGAAAGACTGATGTATAAAACTAGGAGAGTGCTTCAGAGTGTGGGTGAGGATAAAACAAACTAGAGTTTGAATCCTGGCTCTGCTATATACTTGGCTCTATTACCTACCCAAGTTATTTTTCCTCCTCACTTGCAAAATGGGTATTAAAACTTGCTTTAAAGGGTTTTACAGAAAGAATTATTTGGAAAATGTAATGTTATATAATGTAAATTATGCTTCCCAGTTGTATTGTATTGTATTGTTCCACTTAATGTAATACTAAAAATCCTTCAAAACATGCCTGTTTTCTGTCTTGGAAATATTTCTTGGAGTTGATTTTGTTGCATTAATTCATGCTATTTACAAGGATATTTTCACATTCAGTATTGTATTCACTCTCCCTCATTGTTAATGAATAGAAATAAAAATATTTATGGAAAGATTTTACAAAGCAGCAGGACCTAGTGCCTAGGAGCTGAAATATGCTAATAACAATTTATTAATATCATGACAAATCATTGGCTTTTAAAAATAACTAATTAATAAATTTTATTTTATACAGTAGTTTTAAGTTCCCAGCAAAAAATGAGCAGAAAGTTTCCATGTGCTCCCTGTTCCCACACACCCATAATCCTTCCCACTGTCAACAGTGGTATGTTTGTTATAACTGAGGAACTCAAATTGACACATCATTACCAATGTCCATAGTTTACATTAGGGTAAACTTGTGTTGTACATTCTATGCATTATGACAAATTTATAATGACATATATCCACCATTCATCATACAGAAACATTTCACTTCCCTGAAAATCCTCCATGCTTTGCCTATTCATTCCCCCCTCTCCCTTAACCCTTGGCAACCATTTATCTTTTTAATGTTTCCATAGTTTTGTCTTTTTCAGAATGTCATGTACTTAGAATCAGAGTATGGAGTCTTTCAAATTGGCTTCTTTTACTTAGTAATAACTATTTAAGTTTCCTCTATGTATTTTTATAATTTAATAACATTTCTTTTTAACACTGAATAATATGGATGTATTACAATTTGTCCATTCACTTATTGAAATATCTTTTGTTTTTTTTCAATTTTTGACAATTATTAATAAAGCTCCTATAAACATCTATGTGTAGGTTTTCGTGTGGACATAAATTTTCAATTCATTTGGGTAATAACAAGGAGTGTGACAGCCAGATCACATGGTAAGAGACAGCATGTTTACTTTTGTAAGAAACTGCTAGATTGTTTTCAAAAGTGGCTATACCACTTTGCATTCCCATGAGCAATGAATGAGAGTGCTTGTTTGGTCTTGCTCTATACCCTTGACAGCATTCGATGTCATCAGTGTTTTGGATTTTGTCCATTCTAATAAGGCTGCAGTGGTATCTGAATTTTGTTTTAACATGCAGTCCCCTAATGACATATGAGGTGGACCATCTTTTCATATGCTTACATATCACCTGTACATCTTCTTTGATGAGGTGTCTGTTCTGGTCTTTTTCTCACTTTTGAATTGGGTTGCTCATTTTCTTACTCTTGAGTTTTAAGAATTCTTTGTATATTTTTGATAACAGTCTTTCATCATATGTGTCTTTTGAAAATATTTTCTTCCATTCTGTGGCTGTTTTTCTCTTTCACTTTATATTGTTTTCACAGAGCAGAAGTTTTTAATTTTAATGAGGTCCAGCTTATTAATTGTTTCTCTCATGGATCCTGCCTTTGGGGCTGTATCTGAAAAGTCACCACCATATGAAATGTCATCTAGGTTTTCTCCTGTGTTATCTTTTAGGAGTTTCAGAGTTTTGTGATTTTCATTTAGATCTATGATCTATTTTGTGGTAATTTCTGTGAAGGGTGTGAAATCTGTGTCTAGATTCTTTTTTTTTTTTTTTTGCACGTGAATATCTAGTTGTTCTAGCATCATTTGTTGAAAATACTATCTTTGCTTCATTCTACTGCCTTGCTCCTTTTTCAAAGATGACTTGACTCCATTTGTGTAAGCCTATTTCTTGGCTCTCCGTTCTGTTCCACTGATTTATTTGTCTGTTCTTTCACTAATGCCACATTGTCTTGATTACTGTAGCTTTATAGTAAGTCTCAAATTTGACTAATGTCAGCCCTCTGACTTTGTTCTTCTTCTTCAATATTGAGTTGGCCATTCTGGGTCTTTCGCCTTCCATATAAACTTCAGAATCAGTTTGTCAATATCTACAGAATAACTTACTGGGATTTTATTGAGAAAACTTACTGGGATTACAATAAATCTATAGATCAAGTTGGGAAAAACTGACATACTGACAATATTGTGTCTTTGTATCCATGTCTCTTCATTTATATATTTATTTGATACCTTTCTTTAGTCTTGTAGTTTTTCTCATTTAGATTTTGTATATGTTTTGTTAGATTTATATGTAAACATTTCAGTTTTTCTATCTAATATAAATGGTAATATGTTTTTAATTTCAAATTCCATTTGCTCATTGCTACTATATAGGAATGTGCTTGGCTTTTGTAGATTAACCTTGGATCTAGCAACCTTGCTATAATTGCTTATTAGATCCAGGAGGTTTCGTTGTTGTTGTTGACTCTTTCAGATTTTCTACATAAGCAATTGTGCTGTCTGAGAACAAAGACAGTTTTACTTTTTCCTCCCCAATCAGTTTATTTCTTATTTCCTTTTCTTGTCTTATTGCATTAGCTAGGACTTCTAGGATAATGTTGAAAGGCAGTGGTGAGAGGGGACATCCTCCCCTTGTTGTTAAACTTATTGGGAAAACTTCAAGTTTTTCATTATTATTATAATTTTAGCTGTAGGTTTTTTGTAAATGTTCTTTATCAAGTGGAGAAATTTCCCCTCCAGTCCCAGTTTGCTGAGAATTTTAGCATACATGAATGTTGGGTTTGTCAAATGCATCTATTTATATGATGATGTGATTTTTCTTTTTTAGTCTGTTGATATAATAAGTTACATTAATTGTTTTTTTTGAATATTGAACCGGCCTTGTATACCTGGGATAAATCCCCTTGGTTGTGGTGGATAATTATTTTTATATATTTTTGAATTATATTTGCTAATATTTTGTTTAGGATTTCTGCATATATGTTCATGAGAGATATGTGGTTGTAGTTGTCATTTCTTGTTATGTCTTTATCCACTTTTGATATTAGAGTAATGCTGGCCTAATAAAATGAATCAGAAAATAATCTCTTTGTTACTATTTTTTGGAAGACATTGTAGAAAATTGGTATAATTTCTTCCTTAAATGTTTGGTAGAATCCACCAAATACATTTCATTCTGTTGAGAAGATTAATTATTGATTAAATTTCTTTAATAAATATAGACCTATTCAAGTTGTCTATTTCTTCTCATGTGAGTTTTGGCAGCTTGTGTCCTTCAAGGAATTGGTCCATTTCACCTAAGTTATCAAATTTACAGAAATACAATTGTTCATAATATTTCACTATTATCCTTTTAATGTTCATAAGATATATAGTGATGCTCCCTCTTTCATTACTGATATTAGTAACTTGTGTCTTCCATGTTTTTTCATAGATTGCTTGACTAAAGTCTTATCAATTATATTGATCTTTTAAAAAATAGCTAATGGTTTTGATTTTCTCTATGATTTCCTGTTTTTAATTTCATTGTTTTATGCTCTAATTTCAGTTATTTCTTTTTTTCTCTTTACACTGAATTTAATTTACTCTTCATATTCTACTTTCCAAAGTTAGAAGCTTAGATTGTTTACTTTAGATCTTTATTTTTTTCTAGTATATGCATTCAATGCTATAAATTTTTCTCTAAGGATGTTATGAATTTTCCTTTAAGCACTATTTTCCCTGCATCTCACAAACATTAATATTTCAATGTTTCCATTTTGATATTTTGTATTTTCATTTTCATTTAATTCAAAATATTTTTTAAGTTCTTTTGAGAGTTCTCTTTTTTTCAACCCATGCTTAAAAGTGTGCTTTTAATCTGTAAGTATCTGGGGACTTTCCAGCTGTTAATCATTGGTAGTTTAATTCCACTGTGATCTGAGAGCAGACATTGTATGATTTCTATTCTTTTAAATTTATTAAGGTGTGTTTTATGGCTTAGAATGTGTTCTATCTTGGTGAATGTTCCATGTGAGCTTGAGAAGAATGTGTAAACTGCTGTTCTCGGACAATGTCATGTATAGATGTCAATTATGTTCAGTTGATTGGTGATGCTGTTGAGTTCATCTATGTCCTTAACTGATTTTGTGCCTGCTGGATCTGTCCATTTCTGCTAGGGATGTTTTAAGTCTCCAACTCAATCTAATAATAGATTGATATATTTATCCTTGGAGTTCTATCAGTTTGTGCTTTACATATTTGATGCTCTGTTGCTGGGTGCATGCATCAAATATGCTATGTCTTCTTGGAGTATTACATCATTATGTAATGCCCCTCTTTAACTCTGATAAATTTCCTTACTCTGAAGTCAGCTCTGTCTGAAATTAATATAGCTCCTTTCACCTTCTTTGGATTAGGGTTAACAGGATATATCTTTCTTGATCTCTTTACTTTTGATCTATATGTTTCTTTATATTTAAAGTAAGTATCTCATAGACAACATATAGTCAGGTCTTCTGTTTTGATTACTTCTGACAATGTCTGTCATTAAATTGGTGCATTTAGACTATCGATGTTCAAAGTGATTATTGATATACTTGGACTAAAATATCTACTATATTTGTTACTGTTTTCTATTTGTTACACTTGTTCTTTGTTCCAATTTTGTCTTCCACTCTATTTTGCCTTTTGAGATTTTTAAATGAGCATTTTACATTATTATAATTTCTCTTCTCTCTTAGAATATCAGCTAAACTACTTTTTCTATCATTTTTTTTTTAGTGGTTGGCTTAGAATTTGCAATATACATTTATAAGTAATCCAAGCCTACTTCTAAATAATGTTTTCTACTTCACAGGTAATATCAGTACTTTATAATAAAATATTTCTATTCCTCCTTCTCATGTCTAGTATTATTGCTGCCATTTATTTCCCAAATACGTACACATACATAAGCCCATATATATATGTATAAATGATAAAATACATTGTTGCTATTATTATTTTGCACAAACTGTTATTTCTTTAATCAATTAAAAAGTAAGAAAATAAAAGCTTTTGTGTTACCTTATTTTTTCTCTGATGGTCTGTCTTTCTTTATGTAGATCCACATTTTTTACCTATATCATATTTTTTTCTGATGAACTTTTAAAAAGATTTATTGCAAGACACGTCTACTGGTAACAAAGTCACTTAATTTTTTTTTTTTGAGAAGTTGTCTATTTCTCCTTCACTTTTGAAGAATAATTTCACAGGGTATAAAATTACATGTCTTAGAGTTTTTTCTCTCAATACTTTAAAAATTTTACTCCATTCTTTTCTTGATTGTGTGATTTCTGAGGAGAAATTGGATGCAATTCAGATATTTGCTCCTCTATAGGTAACATCTTTTTCTTCTCTGCCATATTTAAAGATTTCTTCTTTATCTTTGATTTTCTAGAGTTTTAATATGATATGGCTACACATAGTTTGGGGGATTTTTGGCGTTTATCCTGTTTGGAGTTCTCCAAGCTTCCTGTATCTGTGATTTGGTGTCTGATACTAATTTGGAAAAATTCTGTCATTATTGCTTCAAATGTTGCTTCTGTTCCTTTCTTGTGCTTCAGGCATTCCCACTGTGTGTATGTTACATCTTCTGCAGTTTTCCCACATTTCTTAGAAATGCTGTTTTTTATTTCAGACTTTTACTCTTTGCTTTTCAGTTTTGGAAGTTTCTATTGACATAGCCTCAGGCTCACGGTTTTTTTTCTCAGCTGTGTCCAGTTTACTAATGAGCCCATCAAAGGTATTCTTCATTTCTTTTACAGTGTTTTTGATCTCTAGCATTTTTTTGTTTCTTTCTTAAAATTTCCATACTTCTGCTTGCATTGTCCATCTGTTCTTGCATATTTTCTACTTTTTCTATTAAAGCCTTTAGCATACTCATCTTATTAAAAAAAAAATCCTGGTCTGAAAATCCCAAACTTCCTGTCATATCTGACTCCTTCTCACGCCCGTTCAGTCTCTTCAAACTTTTTTGCCTTTTAGTATACCTTGTAATTTTTTCATTAAAAGGTGAACATGATGTACTGGGTAAAAGCAACTAAAATAAATAGGCCTTTAGTAATGTGGTGACAAGGCGTAGGGGAAGGGAAGTGTTCTATAGTCCTATGATTAGGCCCTAGTCTTTTGGTCAACCTGTGTCTCTGGGCTATGAGCTTCACCAGTGCCTCCCTGTCACCCCTCCCTATGTTGGACGCAATGGCTAGTGATCACTGGAGTTGGGCGTTGCCCTTCCTCCAAGTAGACTAGGCTCTGATAAAACTCTAATAAGGCTCTGGAAAAATAGCTTCTCCTGAGGTTAGGCCTTGTTCAGAAAAACAGAATGCTCTGAAGTATTTCAAAATGGTTCCTTTTCCTTTCTCCCTGCTGAACATACAAGGGGATTTTTCTCAGATATTCACTGTGAGAACCTGGTAGAGTTCCAGGAGGAGGAACAGAAAAAAGTGTAGGGGCCAACCTATGAATGAGGTTTTTGGAGTCTTTAACTCTCAGATTTGTCCACATTGAGCCTCCAGCAATTTGTCAATTACAGTTTAGGTTTTTCTACCCTGGCACTGGTTCCTACAGAGGTTTCTACTCCTAAGTACCTGCTCCAGTAAGTTATGATTCTCTTAACTGCCTGTCTCTCCAATTTTTGGGACAGTTGTTTGCCCTATGACTTCATTTCTCTGGCAGATCTAAGAAGATTTGTAGATTTTTCAGTCCGATCAGTTTTTTTTTTTTTTTAACTTGTTGTTAGGAAAGAGTGGTGACTTCTAAGCTACTTACTTTCCAGACTGCAATCATTGGCATTTGCACAGACATTACCTAGCTCATAGTTCTTGGAAATGAGTATGAATAAATGGCCATAGAATTAAGTACTGACTTAACAAAGCTTCTCTCTGTTTTTGATTTGTATCTGCTGAACCAAGGATGACGAGTTGTAATGGTCTATGTTTTATCTTTGTTAGCCATCATATTTCAAAGAGGCTATGATATTATGACCCATAACAAAGAAAGTCTTTGAGGGAGAAATGGAATTATTCTGCAAGCATAACCAAGAGATAAATGAATAAGCAAATATGTAACTCCTTCAGATCTCCCATATCCTAAGTTTACTGATACCATTAGTACTTCCAGAAATGTGTAATATCAATATCCAAGCTCAAAGCATGCAAACAAACAAATCTTCTCTTTACCTTAAAAAGATAAAATGGATATACTTTGAAGTAGTAGCATCCTATCTATAAAAGTTTTAAATTATATACCAATATCAAAGTAGGTATAGTAGTTTTCTTCATCATGCCTAAGCTCTCTTTGTAGCCTCAATTAGGTATTCTTTGCTCCCTTTTTCTGCTCTCTCATAAATTTTGCCCAAAAGATTTCATTTGAATTGCAAACATATACTCCCTCTCTTCTGTATTTAATGCTGCAAGTAACATATGTTCTTTTTAAAATAAGGTTTTTCTTTGATACGTGCAGATTCGTCTACATTCTTGGTTGGCCCTCCAATCACCTCTGGCACACAAGTGTCCAGGGCTGATTGGATTAAGGGATGCAGTATGTGACTCTCAAGTACAGGCACAATTAACCACAGGATCAATTCTGTACCATGTTCTAATCTGAACAGCTAAGCTAGCTAGCCCCAACAATTGGATGTTCTAATTATCACTGAAATAGTTGAGTAAAATACTGAAGTTGGTAATATTTTCCATTATATAATATCAAATAACAGTTTTTACTTTCACCCATATTATACTGAATTACTGTTTTAAAGTTAAAGAGGTTTTTTTGTTTGTTTGTTTGTTGTTTTTTGCCAAAAACCTTTTGTGTAATGGAGGGCAAGAGAAAGTTGTTCCATGTGATATGTAAAACACCTAGGATTTAATTGAATGGCAGAGATCTTAGCTACTTTTTGGTTAGGTCAATTCAATGTACTGGTAGTATTTGCAAACATCTGGAAACAAGACATTAAAATAGATTATTATTTAGACTCACGCATATTTATGTGTCATTGCACATGCACCTTTGTACAATAGTGCCTATTAGTTCCAAGTATGTTAGAAAAAAATGGATGGCACTATTTTACTAATTATTGTCATTTCATTTTTTTCTAAATACCTTTTTTTGTGCCCAAAACACTACAACATGGATGAAAACCCATATCTTTACTAGCATATCTTGTTAGTCATCATAACTCCTGGTAAGGGTTATCTTTTTGTTTGCTTGTGTGTGTGCGTGTGTAAGGTTTTTGTTTCACTTTGCAATATACCCACACTTTGAATTTGACTTACTAGAAACATCTGAGGATGATTCAGATTATTTGCAAATAATTCCATGAAACATTGACCACAAATGAGAAGTGATTTCAAAAAATGTACTTATGCTATATCTCTTGGTTTTGAGTCCAAATTCTTCCTAGTTACCCCAATGTTAAAATGCACAGTTTTCTTTTTTTAAAAAAAAATGCCCTGAGTGACTGAACTGAGTCAGACAAAATAAGAATTGAATTTTTTTTCTGATTCCAATTTGACATTGTAGTTCCTGTGGCTTACAGACCACTGGAATTCTCAGAGAATCAGACACATGAAATACAGTATTGGTAGGATTCAGGGCAGACAATTGCTGTGGATGTTAGACAATGGCCCCTGTACCATCATACAATGTCTGGGAAAGCAAACATCTTCCAGAACTGCTGTTGTGCTCTCTGACATCATCACTACATGCCGACATGCCAAGGTCTTAGCTACCTTCCTTCAAATGTATTACCTCCATCAAGTATCAAAAAGTGAAGACTGATGGCATAAAGAATTATCTAATGAAAAGTTCCTCTGGAATGTCTCTAAGCAAATCAGAAGGACATTGATGACAGTGCCTTTTTTTGACTACAGAGTTGAATCATCAAGGCCTCTTTCTCTAGATAATTATTTTATTATATTTCATACACTGTTAATTCATTATTTTGATTTTAAAAAGTAACCAGGGAGGCTACTTACTTCAAATATTCCAAAATCTTCCAAAGAAATAGGTTGTTACAGGCCACTTAGGTGCTGAGGGCCTGAAGGAAACAGGAAGATTTACACATCTTTAAAGTCTATATGGTTTTCCTATAAGCCACTTACCTACTTCCTTTGAGAAAGACAGAAGGGAGAAAAAAAGATAAATGCTCACAGGAACTGATGATATAACACCGTGCAGCTGCTAATGCATATGGATGTGTCATGCAAATGTCCCCAGCAGAAACACATTCTTTAGTTTAAACCTGCAACCATATTCAGCAATAAGAGTTTCCGAAACAAACTGCTGACTCCTTTTTTTTTTTTCCTTTTTCTTATCAGAACACTCCAGCATACATCTTACCAGGCAGAGTAAATCAAAAGAAGAATCAACTGGAGTTACCAACTCTTGTTTTCCCCTGGATATCAGGTGTGGGCTCCAATTTTGCAGATCAATTTGTGAGCTGAAATAAGTAGCTGTGGCCCACTAAAACTCAAAATAAAGCTGGGTTTGGGTGATACTTGTGCTAACTTTCCAAAGGCCTTATCTTTGCAAAGGGACATTGTAATTTACCAGCTGATTGGTTTTTCCCTGTCTAAAGATATAGGTTGATTACACCTTTATCTGAATATAAAAAGATGTGGAGGAGCTGAGAGGAATACTGAGTAATAGAACTTTGTTTTCTTGTCTTTATCTTTTCTATTCTTTTAGTCTCAAATTTTGCAGATTCTCTGATAAGTGGGTAGGAAAAGTAGACTCAAGAGAAGGACAAAAAAAGGAGAATAAGAATAAGGAAAAAAAGAGGTGGAAGGAATTTGGGGCGCAATCTTGTCACATTAAATTTTCCAAAGCATCGACATAGTTAGAGCATATAGCTGTGAATTTATTGTGACATAGGCTTCTCCTCACGCTAGCACTGCTTATTTATTGAAAAGTTCTGTATTGGGGAATGAAAAATGTCAAACAGGAAACTTCAACTGTTACCTGGAGGGGACGTTAAATGGTGACTTGGGAGTGATTCACTCCAACTTCTTTATGGCTGGGAGAAGGAATACCACTCTGACATTTTTATATAGGCTTGTGTGCAGAAGCTAAGCACTTAGAAGAGCGAGGCAGTTGAGATTAGATGCGAAAAGAGAAAATGAGTACGTATTTGGGGATTAACCCGCATTTGTGCTCTACAGGGAAGCAAGCTAGGCACTCACTTTGAAGGCATCACTCCAGTGAAACGCCATCAATCCTGAATGAAATTACTTAGGGTGAAATTGCATATCTGCAGGCGGCATCATCTCTGCTGTGCTCCAGGTTTATTTATCCCTCCAACATGAGTTTGACTGGCCTTTGCTAAATATCACCCCTGAATAGCCTAGACCTCTGGGAAAGGGCCTGGAGTCCTAAAAATAGCCACTCATTTCCGTTACCCTATCTTGACTACAGCGTGCTCCAAGCAGGGATACGGCGAAGGGGTGGGGGAGGGGGGAACACAAGTATTCCTTTTTCTGGGACCCGGAGCCCTAGAGTTTGTGGCTTAGCCTCGGAGAGCCTCCGGCAAAGGCGAGGAGGTTGGAAGGAGGAAGAGCAGAACCGCAAAAGGCAATCAGTGGCTCGTTCTCTCCTTCCACCAGGATCCTAGGGCATTCCCATATTCATTAGTAGAATTCGGTCCACTCCAAGAGCCCAGGCTGGAGTCGTCACTCAGGCCCAAGGCAGGTTGGTTAGAAAATAGCTCTAGCAGGCCTTCCCTCCCATTCCTCCAAGCCCCCTGCCTGGGGTCAAGTCACGCCTAAAGGATGTAAGAAGCCTGATTCAGGAGCCGGTCATTTACTCTTTTTCTTTGTTGTTTTCCTAGAGGTGAGGCGAGAAAAAACGCTCACAGAAAGAGAGAGAACCGTTGCAATTTGCACCCCCTCCCGCCCCTCGACGCAGGCAATTCCTTGCTTGCATCTGGCGGCGCGGGCCGAGCCGCCTCCGCGTGGCTAATATACATATTTAGAGGGGGAGGCTGGGCGGCTGCTTCTTCTCCGGGTCAATGTGTTAATTAAAAGTTGGTCTGAGTTGGTCAGCACACAGTCCCAGATGTGCTTAACAGCATGCAATTAACACATAAGGCAAATCTTTTTGAAGATACCAGAATTGAAAACCCCCCAAAGAAACTCCACCCCGCCCCCGCCCTTAACGTGGAATAGCGATGGCAAATAAGGGAAAAGTCATTAAAAGACGTAATTAAATGTGGGCCGCCATTCTTGAAGGGGGTCGAGCTGGAAAAAACATTCCCTAAATCTATATATTTCAAAAATAAATAGCAAATTGATTTTTTTTTTCTGCAGGACAGGCAGGCTCGGAGATCCGCTTCGCTCCGTTCCCACCCCATGTATATTAAATAGCCGGCGAGCGGCGGTCGCCCGGCGCGGTGACCTAGCAAGCGCCCGAAGTCCCCGGCCTCTGCGCGGGCCCGCGCACCGCCGCCGCCGCCGGCAATTGCAGAGGGGCCTCTCCCAGCCAGATTGGTTTCTCTATCCAGGGATAATTACCGCAAGCTCACTTGCCTAGCGTCCTTTATATTTTCAAAAAGTTCAGGGGAAGAGTACGTATGTATTGGAGGGGGAGTGATAGTCATTCTAGATTTAAAAATATTTATATGAAAAGTAACAGTATTCGCGGAGACACCTAATATCATCATCGACCTCATCGGAGGAGCAGGTCCAGGTTCCACTGGCCCAAGGCTGCATCTGCCAGCTCCCGCCTGCCCGCAGTTTTCTGCCTTATTTAGCCCTTTGCCCTAGGTTCTCAGGCCTCCATGTGTCACTTTGCTTCTATTTGTGTTTTCATTTGGGTTGACTGTGTGTATGTATGTGTGTGTGTTACACTTCTCAGAATCCACCAAAGACCTTGAGTAAGAGCTGTTGACTGCATCTTCCCTCTCTCTGAAATCTGTTAGCACCCCCCGGCCCAACCCGCCTCATTCTCCTGCCTATACACATTCACAGGGGCAGGCGCTCCTATGCACGCCCACATTCACCCACACTCCCACACATCGTTCATTGCAACTTCCCCACTTGCAGAAGCCAGATGAGGACTTGGTGCCGAGTTGGGCACCTTAAGGCCACACCGATCTCTAAGTCAACTTCTTGGTTATCAACCTAGACTTTTGTCTTAACATGGTTTCAGGGATGCCACATGATCCCATCACCAACACCACCCAAAAGGAGGCCAGGGATAGCAAATCTAACCAATTAATTATGTGTGTCGTATCTAAAGGGCGTGCCTTATTGATGACACCTAATGAAGCAAATAATGGATTTGCAGTATCTCGCTATTCATCTGGTCCTTCCAGAATACCAAGTATTAAGGAGAGATGGATATGATGGATGGAGAGAGAGACAGAGAGGAGAGGGGGAGGGGGAGAAGGGGTCGGCTACAGATCCTTGGAAACAGACCAGATTTGTTGAGTGTCGGCTTGAAGAAAGCAGTCTGAGCTATGATTTAAACACCGGAGGCATCATTGTTAACTAGTGTCCGACGACTGTCCCCCGCCCCCACTGTGCCTTCCTCCCGCTCCTTTCTTTTCTCCCTTTTGTAGGATACAGAAGGTGAATAATGAAACCATTTTGCTAATAGTTTATGAGCCATGAGATTGGAAATGTATATGGATAGACCGTAGCACCAGGCTAAAATCATTTGAAAGAAGCGTGAGGCTTGGCAGAGACAGAAAGAAACCCTCGGTGTCCTGTCTCCCCAGCCCGAAGCGGAAAGGGACGAATGAGGTGGCCTCGTGCCTCTCCCTCTCCTCTCCATCCGAGGACAGCGGCTTGGCCGGTCCTCCTGCCAGCGCCTCGCCCTCCTCGTCTCCCCAAGGGGCTAGAGCCAGAGGGAGATGAATTGGGGCGATGGCGAGATAGCGCGAGCGGGAGATAATCGTTATCACCAGGGTTTTTCTTCCAGTGATGGATCTGAAAAGATCTATCACGCGGGGTAGCTCTCCCGGAGGCATAAAACAATAGACGTGAACCTCGCGCTGCAGACAGCCACAGAGACGCTGTTCGTGCGTCTGTCATTTCTGCCCCCATAGGGCCTGTTCCCCTAGTTACGAACACCCAGAACCTTGAGAAATGCCGCGAGTACCCACCCACCCACCCACCCGACCTCCACATTCGGCCCTCTAGGAGGTTTTCCCAAAGGCTTTCTTTGCGGAGTTGCTGCAGTTTCAAAGCCTGGACTCTGGAGGAGGGATGCGGGGGCACCTAAGGGGACTGGAGGTGGAATAGGGTGCAAGGTGAGGCGCTGGCCTAGACCCACAAAGGGGCCGCAAAGCCTGGGGAAATCCTAGGAGCTGACTCGGAACGGTGGCCCAAGCCAATGGCCCGCGAGAGACCGCCCCGCATTTGGCCAGGCGTCCCAGAGAGCGGAGGCGCGCGGGGGAGGGCGAGGGCGGGCTCCTCTGGAGGCGGCGGGCTCCAGGCCGGGCTCCCTAAACGGGTCAGCAATTGGAGCGGGAAGGCCGGACAGGTAGGTGGCGTGGGGCGCACAAGCCCGGCAGCGATAACCGGGGACGTCTGTACTGCTTCCAACCCCGTCTTTGAGAACTCTTAAGCAAGCGCGCTCGGGACCGGGACCGACAGGCGGTACCGCAGCCTCCCAGGCCCTTGGGGCAGCCTGGAAAGGGCAGTCCGTCAGCTCTCGAGCCCCAGGCGCGGTCTTCGCGGGGGCTGGAAAGGGAGACGCGCGCAAACGCCTGCGTGGAGCCATGGGCGGTGGGCACACCCCGCAGGGGGAGCTACTGCCTGAGCCCCCTTAGTATTTCTGCATTTTTCCACTCTTTCCAAACTGGATTCTGGGACAGAGTAACTTTTGCGTTTAAGAGGAGGTAACTAGTGGGAAGCGGTCTTAGGAGGAGGTAACTGGTGGGCAGCGGTGTTAGGAAAGGCGCGATTGGGTCAGCAACGCCACTACATAAACTGCATGGGGGACCCTGTTTGGTTTTTGCCCTTTGGGGTACTAGTAGAGGTTAGGCGTTTGACCTCTTGTGTAGTGTACTGGCTGCTGGCATTGGGCAGAGGTGGGGCACTGGAAAGAAAAAGCACCACTGTCCTCCGGCTCCCTCCCCCCCAGCTACTAGTCGCTTTAGGCCCACGGGACGGGCTTGACTCCCATTTCGCAGGCCTGACACTGAGGCAGAGAACGTCCAAAGAGGAGCAGAGCAACGTCCCTGCATCTGCGGACTCTCCTCTCCCGGTACCTGGCGTCAGCTGCAATATCTCCAATTTCCTCAATCCCCACACCCATCCGTGCTGATCGTCCTATTGACCCTGGTTTCTGTGCGACATTCAGGATAAATTTAGCGTAGCAACCTCAGGAACTGGGAAGTTTGGTGTATGGAGCGAGTGTCTGTTATATTCGGGGGGCTTTATTTTTAAGGAAGCACCTAGAATGAAAATGAAAATCCTACTGAGCCAATCACCACCCACAATCCGGCCTGGCCAAAAGGAAAGGGGAAGGGCGGGCAGTAAGTTGTGTTCAGGAATCTCAGTCAAGTAGATCCCATCCGTTGGGTCTGCAGATGTGAGCGGGTGCAGCAAAAGGGCGTCCAGGGACAGGGGTGAGGGCGTGCGGGGTGATTAGTAAGCAAGACCCCATGGCAAAACCCCACGGAGCTATCTCGCAGCTCAGGCTTACGCTAGAGCTGGCGCCCCCAAGCAAGCGATGACGTGACCCGGGTGCCCGCGTTTGCCCTCCCGGTAGGCCAGAGCCTAGGGTTGAAGTAAAGTTGCTGAGTGGGTTATTGTCGCTTCTGGGAAAGGAAATCTGCACTGCAGGAACTCCTTTGTGCCTTCCGCACTCACCTTTCGCACTTCCATCTAAAATTCTGGGTTACCTAAATTCCTGTCCCAGTACCTCAGGAAAACGCCAACTCCTGGCGTTGCTTTCCCTTTCCCTCCCACTCACTCCGGTACTCCCAGAGAGAAACCCGGCTCCGGATCGCCCTCCGCCCCCTGTCTTCAACAGCCACCCTCCCTGGGAGCTCCGCTCTTTGCCCTTCCCATCCAGTGCCAGTTGTTGGGTGGGGGAGAAGGGTAGCAAAGGTAGGTGGGTAGAGAAGGTCAGATAAATGGCGAGATTCTTACCCCCTTCCGCAAAAATTAACACCACTACTGTAAATTCTAATAAAATTAAATTTCATCTCTCTCTCCCAATCTATCCCCTCACAACTACTGCAAAGGGGGCGGGGGTGGGAGTAAGGTCGTCCCCAGAAAAGGGGGGATCTTGAGCAAAATGCACGCCTGCTCCTCTTATTTGTTAGTTGCTTCGGTCAAAAAGTTTGCTATTTATAGGCTACACGCGGCAGCCCGAATCCCCGCGCCCGCTTCCGAGTGCAAAGTGAGAGCGATCCCGGAGGCGCCCAGCGGCCCGACTCCGTCGTGTCCCGTGATTTGTTTTGTTTTATTTCTGCTCTCACGCGGCAAGCAGCCAGGGAGAAGACCGTGGGGAGCCCCGAAACACCCTCTGGTAGTGGCAAAGAAAACAGTTCTGCAGTCGGTGAATGTGGGTCCGCGCCTGACCCCGCTTCGCGCGCGCGGGCGAAAAGGCTGGGAGGAGGTGCAGCCGCCCTGCCGCCGCCGCCGCCAACACCGCCGCCGCCGCCGCCGCGCGCGCGCCCCTTGCTCAGTCCTTGGCCTCCGCCTCTGCCCCTTCAACCTCCAGCTCCACACGCTTTCTCTTGTCCCTCCTCCCCCTTTGATTTCTCCCTTCTCATTCTCTATTTCGCTGTATCTCTTACCCTCCCCTCACCTCTTTGGCCCTACCCTCAACTTCCAGCTGAGTTTGCATCTGGGCGCAAAATGAGTCAAGACTGGCCTTTACGTGGGAGGCGGGGTGGGCGTGTGTGTTTCATAAAGAATAAAACTGTACGGGGCTGGGCGGAGCAGGGGGTGAGGAGGGGGAAAAGCGCGTGCCCGAGCTGGCCCTAGAGGGCTGCCCCGCGCGCTGGGGGAGGGGACGAGGTGCGTCCAGATGGAGACCTTTCCTTTCGCAGTAGCTCTGACCTGGGAATGAGGACGCAGTGCCCAGGAAGCCTGGCCATTTGGCACCATCCCTCTGCGGTGCGGGGACAGATCTCTCTTAATCAAAATCTCAGAACCGCCCTGGGCGGAAAGCGGGGAAAGGAGAGGAAGGAGAGGCTGGGACTAGCCGGAAATAGAGTCAGGGTCAGGTCCCTGAATTCCAGGTAAACTGGGCGCTGCGGCACCTTTTTCCAGCGGCTGCGGCCAGGACTCGCTTGCTGTGAGAGCAAAGGTGCAAGCGGATCGCGGCGGTCGGTCCACAGGCCTTGACCTTGTCCTCTTTTTCTAAATGCCAGAGCCGCAGACTATGCGGTTTTAGAAATCAAACGTCAAGGGGACGGGACCACAGCAGGCTGGCGAGGTTCCTCGAGCCTCAGCCCGGAGCAAGAGAAACGTAGCCGCGCCAAACACGCGGGGAAGAGCTGTGCGCTCGGAGCCGCAGCCAGGCGCTCTTTCTCTCAGGCGCGCAGCGGCTGGCTGGAAACTCGCGCACGGCGGGTCAAAGTGCCCTTTCCCGCCTGAGCTGAGGTACACTTTTGGGGGTACGGGGTGTGGAGAAAGTTGTGACTGAAAATAACCTCGGGTCTTGGATCCATGAGGCCGAAAATGAGAGGCCAGAGCGGGGGTAGGGAGGAATTAAGAACAAGTAAGTGGAGACCGCTGGCTTCGCTTCTCTGGCGCGCAGGGCCCTGTGCCCTCACTGCGCGCATCGAGATCAACTTCTTAGGCACCACCAGTTTCTCCTTCCTCTGTAGATGTCGCAGTTAGAGTCCCCTTTTGGCCACATTCCCCCAAAAGTGCCCAGGCGGTCTTTGCGGATAGATTAGCAGGGAGAGAAGATCCAGCGCCAGTCTGTGTCGGTGCCATTTGGAGGAGACCTACTCCCCAGGGTGTGTGCGCCCGAAGTTCCCCGTCACAAACCATGGGGGCTGGAGCGCGGTCTGTTCCCAGCTCGCATCCCCAGTTCCCTCCCGAGCTCACATTGCAGCAGCAGTCTGGTTCAGACAGGACCCGGGGCGCCCGCATCTGGCCCGGAGCTGCCCAGATTCTCAACCTGGCCCTCCCAAAACCGCTTTCCAAAACTCAACTGCAAAGTTAAAAGCAGAAACAAGTTTCTGCCACTAACTCTGGGCCACATTCGGGGATATGGGTAGATGCGAAACTTAGTACATCTTCATAGGCAGAAACCGGTGGCTCTGACCTCTAAATGTTGGAATTCAGGTGCTGGAGGTGCGATGTCTCAGTATCTCTCAGCCCCATTCCCCAACTGTAAATGCGCTCAGCTCTTTGGTTGAGGGTTTATCTTAGCTGTTGATCTTTGCCCTAGGCCCTAATGGGAAGGGAAGGAAAGGAGAGAACAGGTCAAAGTAAGAAAGGCAGAAGTACTGAGGAAAAGAGAGAAGGAAAAGACTCAAAGTAAAAGCACAGTTAGAAAGAAAGAAAGAAAGAAAGAAAGAAAGAAAGAAAGAGAGAGAGAGAGAGAAAGAAAGAAAGAAAGAAAGAAAGAAAAAAGGAAAACACCATTGCTAGCTGTCTTTCTTTCCACCTTGTTCAGTTTGAAAAGCCCAGGACTTTCAAGAGTGAAGGAGTTAGTTAGCCAAGGACCCTCAGACACATTTAGATACCCCATCCCCAAAATGTTTCTATGACACGCGTCGCTCAAGTATTGGCCAAAGTTGGAGAAGGCCCGAGCGTGGGCTCCCAGTACCTCCGGCAATTTTACTTTAGCATAAACTCTGGGTCCTGAAGATGGGGCGCTAGGCGCCAGGCTCCTGGGTAGCGGTGGGAGCATAGTGTTTGTAGTCTAAATCATTCATTCCGCTTTCAAGAATTTTGTGAAGCATTAGGGCTTTTCCCGCCTTTGACGGGATCTTAAAATTCGGGAGCTTCCGTCGCTTAGGAAAGTGACTTGCTCTGGCTGTGAGACTCACTCGCTCAGCTCTCTATGCGGCAATGCTGGCCATAGCTTTCTAGTTCGCTCTCCCAACAGCAGGCTTCTTTCTGGCCTGTCCTTCCCGCGCTAGGCCTCTGTGGCCTGACCTCTAGAGCCCTGGGTCTTTCCTCACAGTCTGGGGCTCTAGATAGGAAGGACCCCAAGTTCTCTTTCTCCTTGCGAGTAAAGATGACATTTCCACCATGTAGACAAAACTAGACAAGAAACTTTCGGGGTATGGAAGGGAGGTGGTGACAGAGAACGGAGAGGCCCATTTGTTTCCAAATCAGTTAGTGAAGAAAGAAGAAATTTCATTTCCTCCAAATTAGCTCGTTTTCAAGCAACTCTGGAAAATGGCAGAAAGAGGAATTGTCCTCTTAGAAATACTTCAGATCTGTGACCTGTAACCCCCAAAACGAGGCAAGGACGGGGTAACCATGCACCTGTAACCCCCAAGAAGAAGCAACAAGAGAGTGTCCATGCACGTGGAATTGGACAGAAGTGGGTACCTGTGCCCATCTGCATACAGGCCCTGCTTTTCTTAGACGACCGACCTTAGATCATGGTTATAAGTGGCAGCCACCATTTTACCAATAATCAGAGCATAATCTCTTGACAGTTCCTAAATTGTGTTTTTCGTGGTGCCACTGGCTGCTAAGTTGCCAGGGATGCGATAATCAGCTTGAACCATCCCAGACCAAGATAACTTTATGAGCCTTGAAATTCCCCACCTTTCTCAATCCCACTTGCAATTCCTCAGCCACCGTCCTTCCTTCTCTACCAGCATGGCTGTGTCATCTGGGTACTAAAATGGCCTGAGAACCAATCCCAGTTGTTCCTCTCCCTTTTCCCAGCTAGACCTTTGACTAGAATACGGAATTAATTGGCCTAGCTCAAGGTGTCACACACCTGTAATCCCAGCACTTTGGGAGGCCAAGGCAGGAGGATCACTGGACTCTGGGAGTTTGAGACCAGCCTGAGCAACACAGTGAGACCTCCCTCTCTACAAAATTAAAAAAATAAAATTACTGAGCATGGACAGATGAAGGCAATGGCTAAGCTTTTCCTAAAAGTTGGAACAATTCCTTTCCTCCCTCCTTTTCCACTCTGATCCCCAACATCATCTTTCTTGGGTCAGCAACTCCAGAGCTCCAGCAATGGGGTCTTCCTAATCTTGTGCCCTCCCTTATTGGGATTTCTTTTTCTAAGAGGTCAGTGTCTAGAGGAACTGAGTATAGTCTCCTTCCAGGATTTTATTTGATCATCAAATTTACACATTTCAAGGCAAAGAGCTGAGGCCTGAAACCCAGATGTCAGGAGGGAAGGAATTAGGGAGAACCCAGAGAACTAAGTGACTCTTTGACAAGGAATTTCAATTAACTTGATACTTTTCTATTAGGTCTCACCAATTTGAACTCAAATTTTTCCCCTTAAGTGAAGAAATAGAATTCTCCGATTATGTATTAGCCATATGTTCAGGGCTGTATTCTGGCTGAGCATTTTTAGAAGTTGACCACTGAATACGTATACAACCTCCAAAGTCTTCTGCGCCCTCCAATATCTCACTTCATTTTGACATAAAATAAAAGCATTTACTTTCATCCAGTTCTTGGTCACCTTCAACAGGTTGGTTTCAGTTGCTGTATTTCTCAAATTTCCTTACAATAACAGCACATGAACCAGATATGTTTGGATTCTGTGGGACAGGATTACTCCCTCTTCAATTCTCCAGGTAGTTCTAGCTAAAACTGCCTTTGCTTTCACCTGAGTTAGATACATGCTTGAGATCAAAGTGAAGATATTTTTTTAACTTGAATTATTCAAATACTTGCTCACTGTTTTTTTTTTTCTTTGCTATTTGGAATAAACCTGGTCATTAATAAATATGGTCATATTAACCTTTAAATAGACATGTCATAAAAGATAAACATGCCTTTTTATGTAGAAATTTTCTTTGAGGTGTTTAAAAATCATAGCTTGGGTATTTAACATAGCTTCAGGAAATTGGACCTTTGCAATTAATGGACAACTGAACTTATTTTCAGAACTTTTCATTTAACTTTAGCATACTTCTTCAGAATTATGTTCTCTAATCCAACTGAATCTGCCTTTAATTGCTTTAACAAGTATGTGTTTAAATGAGATTGTTTTCAACATATCCACCTGTACAACCTGTTTGACGGGAGTTTACAATTCAGAAAAATTAAATTCGTGGCAATATAGTATATTCTACTGATCCATTTATTTAAGCTATATTTTATTGCTAACGTCTTAATAGTTAAAAAAAAGACAATAAAAGGCATTTCTTCGTGGGAGAAAATGTATGTGTTCTTTTTCAGGAAGGCTTGATGAATACTTAGTTTGTCTCCTATGTTCTTTATTTTTTCTGTCAGATACATCATTGCTTCTGATTCATTGATCCCATATAAGTTAAAAGAAGATTCAAGTTACTGATTTCTGAAAAATTATATCCCCCTTTTACCAAAATAATTAATATTCAATTATTTTTAATCAAACATTTTAATGTAATTTAGAAGAGAGAAAACTCCTACACATATTCATTAATTGATGATTACCAAATTAGCTAAACTATTGACAGTGAACATTTGGAAGTGGAGATGTAACATCAGGAAGGGTGACATTTCGGGACCAGTGCAGTGGCTCACACCTGCAGTCCCAGCTCTTTGGGAGGCCCAGGAGAGAGAATTGCTTGAAGCTAGGAGTTCAAGACCAGCCTGAGCAACATAGCAAGATCCCTTGTCTAAAAAAAGAAAAAGAAAAATTAGCCAGGCATGGTGGTGCATGCCTGTAGTCCGAGCTACTCAGGAGGCTGAGGCAGGAAGATAGCTTGAGCTCCAGAGTTCAAGGCTGCAGTGAGCTAGGATCCCACTGCTGCACTCCAGCCTGCACAACATAGTGAGACCCCCTCTCTCTATAAATAGGTAAATAAGTAAAGTTGCAGTTTCTGCTATCAATGTGACAAACCAAAAATGATATTCAAGATCAAAGGGCAAATGATAAGTGGCACAATGAAATAAAGGGAATAAGGACAACTTGTCAGCTGCTATCTTCTAGATGTAGTATTCCACTCCTTAAAATCATTTGGGTGATATATTGTGTGAAATTATTTTGTATAGGAAGAAGAAGCTTTTTGCTTCTTCTGCTGGGGGTTCAAGTTAATATTTACTTTTTAATGAGGTAAACTTCACGTAACATCACATTTATCATTATAACTATTTTAAGCAATATAATTCAGTGGCTTTTTTTTTTAACATTCACCATGATGTGCAACCTTCGTCGCCATCTGAATCCAGAACATTTTTATCACTCCAAAGGGAAGCCTCATCCTGTAAACAGTCACTCCTCATTCTTCCCTCCCCTTCAGCCACTGTCAAGCCTTAATCTGCTTTCTGTCTCTATGGGTTTGCCTATTCTGGACATTTTATAGTTGGAATCATTTAACATTTGGCCTTTTGTATCTGGCTTCTTTCTCTTATTATCTTCATATAACTTCATTTGTTATGAAGGTTCATCCATATTGTAACATGAGTCAGTTCTTCATCCCTCTTTATCGCTGAATAGTATTCAATATTATGGATATATCACCTTTTGTTTACACATTCATCAGCTGATAGGCATTTGGGTTGCTTCCACTTTTTGGTTATTATGAATAATGCTGCTGTGAACACCTGTGTACAAAGTTTTGTTTAAACATATGTTTTCTGCTCTCTTGGGTCCAACTTTGTTTAGGAACCAACCATACTTCTTTCCACAGCAGCTACATAATTTTACATTCCCATTAAAAATGTATGTGGGATTTAATTTCTCCATTCCTCATCAACATTTATTTTCCTTTTATTTCTGATAGCCATACTAGTGGGTGTAAGTGGTAATTCACTGTTGTTTCGATTTGTATTTTCCTAGTAACTAATGATGCCAAGTATATTTTCATGTGCTTATTGACCATTTGTATATTCTCTTTGGAGAAATGTCTATTCAGAGTCTTGACGATTTTTAAATTGGGACTTTTGTCTCTTTGTTGTTGAGTTGTAAGAGTTCTTTATATATTCCGAATATTAAATCCTAAGATATAGGATTTGCAAATATTTGTATTTTCTCTTATTCTGTGGGTTTTTTTAACACTTTGTTGATAGTGCTCTGTTATTCATAGAAGTTTTTAATTTTGATGAATTCCCAGTAGTATGTTTTTGAGACTGGGGTCTCATTATGTTGCCCAGGCTGGTCTCCAACTTCTGGGCTTAAGTGATCCTCCTACCTCCGCCTGAGGAGATAGCAGTAGTTATTTTTAACAATAAAGACATTACACATCCATGAAAAGACTCAGATTAAACATAACACAAAACAAAAATTTAAAACCCAAGTAAAGAGAAGACACTTCTTTAATGCCCAATCAACTTTACCAAATGCAGATTATCAGGGAGTATGTAAAGTTATTGCTGTTCAAGAAAAGGAAACAGGTGGGGCTACACTGACCTTTTTCTTCGAAGAAGTCCTGAGTTATTCAGATAAGGTGTCTAGCCTATGAATGAGATCTTTTATCTCAGGATGACAGTAGTTATTTTTTTTTAAATTATCATTATCAAATTCATCTACCAAGAAATTTCAAATAGTCTCCTCTGTTTAAATAACATTAAGGAGCTGCCTTAAACCAACAATAACCAGGAAAATCAAAAGGTTGACAGGGTGTTTCTAATTTAGCAGTTTCTAACACATAGGCCACAGTAGTCAGATGACATGCTTGTAAAGTTACTGAGAGAAAGTTCTTGGAGTCAGAGAGCAGAGAAACTAAATCATTGCAAAACATTTTTAAGACAAAACTTAATAAAAGAGTAAGGATATCAATGGACATTATTAAATGTAAAGGCTTTGCTTATTGTTTTAAATTGGTTGCTTTTAGGTAATTAATTTATTGATTGAAAACAACGAATGCAGTGGTTTGGATGAGATCTTCATTTTATTTTAATTAGTTAGTTATTGAGTAAGAAGACTTATGGTGGACACTGGTTTGGAGACCTCCGATTTTGTCCACTAGTGGTCTTGGATCAAATTTCTGCATTTGTCATTTTATGGAGTGTGCTAATGGGCAAACCCCTGGATACTGCCTAAGTACCTGTGCACAGTGCTCTTGCGTGGCCAGCGAGCACATGTGTGGCTGTCACCTGAAAACATCTGAGGGATCCCAAGGGAAATTCTCTTTCCTTATCTGCAGAATAACACCTTTATCTGATAATTATTGTGGGGACAAAAAGGAATAACATATGTGAAAATGTTTTCTACATATGAGACATATTTATTTAAAAAAATGGAAGCTTTAGTGTGTTTCCTTTTTAACGTAGCTCTTACATTCTACCAGATATTCTCCCAAGATTTTAAAAATATTTTAAAATTAACTGAAACAGTTCCACAAAGTAGGTACTATTATTTTCCCCCATTTTACAAGTTAGAAAACTGAGGCAGGGAGTTTTTCTATAACTTGCCCGAGGTCATACAGCTGATGAGTGGCAGAGCTGGGTTTTTAAGTCAGGCAGTCTGATTCAAGAGTCCATGTTCTCAGTTACTTACCACATTATGTTGCTTAGAATAAAATAATCCAGGGATTTCAGATGAAAATCTGAATCTCTGTATTGAATCAACAAATACTTATCGAGTACCTATTATGCATTAGACTTCTCTTGAAACACTGGAAGGTCTAGCAATGCTGTGGCTGCTCTCCTGCATTCTCTTATGGCAACCATCAGCTGGAGGTGAGTTTTCAAGGCCATCTTTTGATGGGGTCACCAAACTTGGCATGATTTATTCACCTGTTTACCTGCATAAGTCCTGTCATTAATCACGTTTGTTACTGCTAACATAAGACACAGGCATGAAAAATAGCTTATAACCAAAACATATAAGCAAAAGGCAATAATAAACATAGAAAATGAACATTGTGGCACAAGTTTAGCTTTGCAAAGTTCTCTTGCTGTTAGCATTAATCACAGAGCAATGAGACTTCGAACAAGCAGTTACAATTAAGTGTTTAAAATCAGAAGAGTAAGAAACACCAACACAAAAAGCAAATGGATATAAATCAATATACCGTGAGTATAGTTGACACCCCGTAATTGGAAATCTCTAATAATTAATCTTTTAGGCAGAGATTTTTCAGTTATAGAATTTATTTCCTTATTTTATGCACAAAAGGTAAATAATAAGTAATATCACATCTATTTCAAAAGGCAGGCTTCAGAATATGCCACAAATTTGGGAAACAATCAATCCAATGTCTAATGCTTTCAAAGTATTCATGCAATGCAGTTGGGCAGTGTTCATAGCAATTAGCCTGAGTACTGTGGGCTCCAGAAAGGTCTCTTGAATGGAGAGATAATTGGATATGCAGAGTACCATATTATCATTACATGTATTCCAATGCACTCTAATTTTTTAACAATTGTTAATTATTATTGATGAGGATACTCGATTAGCAGGAACCTTCCCTTTGTAGGTGTGTCTATACCAAGCCAAGTTAATTCCTGCTGTTTGCCTACTTAAGATTAAAGAGTCTGCTTTTTGAAGATCTGGTACCAAGCAGAAGAAATATTTTAATATTCTATGTGTTGTGACCAATGTCATATAGCTTGACCCTCACCATGATTTGGCCAACAATATTTCCATAAACATGGGCCAAGTGTACTATGGGATTTGCCAGGCTTATGGCATGGGTGTATACAGCACAGTTGGTTCAGGCATTTTATCTATGTCTAAATAACCAGCAGAAAACCTTTCTGCACTGTACCACTTGGCGTGATATAATTTGTTTAATATTATAGAATGTTGAAATAACTGCAAATTTATTGATTTATTGAACAACATGTGTTAAGTATCTGTTAGGCTTCAAGGCAGGGTTTTATAGATACTTTTTTCCTACATGGTGCTACGGGGTGGGTGGGTAGGTAGCTAGGTAGGTAGCTAGGTAGGTAGGTAAAGAAACATATTTTGAATCCCACAGAGAGGAAAGTGAGGCTTAGAGATTACTGCCCATGACCGCACAACTAGTCTGGATGCAGAGCTGAGACTCAAAGCTAGGCCTCTGATAACAAGTTCAGGCCTCCTCTACCACAATATCTCTTGATCAGCTTTTCTGAGAGTGCATTCCATCCAAAACCCTATGACAGAGTGACCTGGGTTATTTGTGTAAAATGTAGAGCCCTGGGCCCTGCTCTAGAAATACTGAATCCCTGGGCCTCAGAAATTTCAATAATACCCACAAGAGGTTCTCATACACAGCAAATTCAAGCATCAGGGATCTAGACACCAAACATCTTGAAATATTTAGTTAGATTTATTTGATACTAAGAAAAGATAGTTTGAGAGGAAAGAAGAAGTTGTCTGACCACATATGATAATAATAAATACCAACATATTTTTAATGTTGCCTTACATGTTGGGATTTAAATAGATTCAAAGTGATCTTCCAGTTCAGTGAGGTTGTTCTTACTTGAGGTGTTCCATAGATATGCCATGTTTTTATCATATAGTTTTACAAAGCTGGTTCTTTGGGACCCTACTTCCATACAATATTCATTAATTTGTCAAATATTTATTAAAGTATCAAATACTATGTTAAGCACTTGAGGAAAAGAAATGACCAAAATGGCATGGTTCCTGACCTCATGGAACCAACTCACAATCTATGGAGGGAAGATGTCAACAAGTGTTTTGTCTGAAGATTTTTCTTGTAGACAAATACATTTGTGAAACAATGGATTCAACAGATTTCTTCACTATAGGATGTTTCAGAGTCTAGTATGTACTATTATGTACTGCAAATATCTGAGAGAGGACTATGGTATGTAATGTTTTCCAGATTTATCACAGCATCCTTCGTACAGACAACAACTGCTAGGTCTAGTGCTGTACAGGATACTCCAGTGAAATCCTGTGACCCCTGGAAGGCCCAGTACACTTGTGGTACTGGTATGGATATAGAGTATATTATAAAAATGGAGTCCCACTGCCCTCCCTCCCCAGTGTAGTATTGTTCTGATAACCTAGCAAGCACTGGGATCTAGGATAGGGAATGGGCAGACTTGATACAGATCAGCCCTGAGCTGTCTTCAGAGGCCCTGGAGTGAGAATTTAGAAATGGAGTGGATCCCTGGATATGTCTCTGGTCTCTTCAGCTGGGTGATGGTTAAGACAGAAGGGTTGTTTTAGCATCCTTCAGGAATTCTGAGGCCATTTTAGACCATTTGGTGTGAGAAGGGCAGCATGAGAAGGGATCATATACCATCTCTTTACACAGAAGCTGTGTATTATTTGAGGGATACTCAACCTTTGGCTAGGGGCATAGAATGAGTTTCTTTGCTGAAACATACCTCCTTTCTATGTATTGCCTACTTTTATGAGGACCATTGGTGGATAAAGGAAAATACAGGCATTTTCAGTGAGCTACCTAAGCCCGATTACCTTGGTTTTTTTCTTTCTTTTTCTTTTCCTCAGGCAGTGGCTATATCTAAGTAGAACAAAGTGACCTGGCAAGTGTTCAGATAACTCAAGAGTGGTGTATTCATCTGATGGATGGATTTAAATAGTTTGGTTGTTGACATTTATCAAATTACCCAGAAAACTGCCACATCACCACCTTGATTCATGCACGTGGAGAGTTCTTAAGGAAGCCTCTTCAGAACTGTTTGTTTTTCTTAGGGATCATAATATTTAAAGATATGTTGCTTTATTGTTCGTTAAGTACATGCTTTATTCATGAGCAGGTCTTGCCACACATGCTTCCTCATGGATTTACAAGGTAAAATCAAGAAATATAGTACTATCCCAGTAATTTAGGTAGTCATCACCTGAGTAAATACTTGAGACAAACTGCTTTTTTCCTCCTTTCCAGAGTTGTGGAATAAATGTTTATTTCTTCATTCATTGCTAGGAGACCTCAAATCTCTAAGTGTTGGTGTCTTCCGTTCAAAGTCTAGATTCAGTTTACTCTTTTAATCACTTTGAACAAAGAGGAGTTAAATGCAATTGCTGCCTTCAGGGAGCTTACATCTTAGGCTCAGAGGTAGTCAGGGAAGGTGAGTGCACATATTGTTATATCAAACCAACATCTGGAAAGTGCTAAATGTAAAGGTTATATGTGGTGTGATAGTGGCTCAAAGGTGTTTCATCTGCTCATGAAGAATTAGAGAAAGCTTATTCCAGGAGATTGCTTTGAGACTAGTCTTTTAAAATGGGTATTTTTAAAAATTATTACTTTACTTTTTTAAGCTCTGGGGTACATGTGCGAGATGTGCAGGTTTGTTACGTAGGTGAGCGTGTGCCATAGTGGTTAGTTGCACCTATCAACCCATCATCCAGATATTAAGCCCAGCATGCATTAGCTCTTTTCCCTAATGCTCTTGCTGCCCCCCTACTCTCCCCTAACAGGCTCCAGTGTGTGTTTTTCCCCTCCCTGTGTCCATGTGTTATCATTGTTCAGCTCCCACTTATAAGTGAGAACATGTGGTGTTTGTTTTTCTTTTCCTGCATTAGTTTGCTGAGGATAATGGCTTCCAGCTTCATCCATGCCCCTGCGAAGGACATGATCTCATTCTTTTTTATGGTTGTATAGCATTCCATGGTGTATATGTACCATATTTTCTTTAACCAGTCTATCATTGATCAGCATTTGGGTTGGTTCCATGTCTTTGTTATTGTGAATAGTGCTGCAATGAACATACATGTGCATGTAAAGAGGTGGAACTGGTGGAGCAGAAAAAGGAAGAATTGTGCTTAAAATTTTGTATACAAAGGCAAGAATGTAATTAATACACTGAAATGGGAAAATTGAAGGCCTATTTGGGACATAATACAAGTGTGTAAAGGATGGAGGAGGGAGGAGAATGACAAGGCAGAAGATGAGTGCTAACATTATGTAGGACCCCTTAGGCATGATATACTGTTAGGTATATCATCTATTCCTTTTCATTTCCACGAGAAACAGAGCAGAATATTATTGAAGCCACTGCTTCACTAAAGATTCATGCACCATTTCCATTGGTTAGCATTTCTGCTGGGAAGTGACTGCTAGGCGGATAACATTTCCTAGGCTGTTTTGCATCAAGTTGGGATCAAATAGTTGCTCTCAACAACGAAATATATATGTCACTTCTGGGCTAAAGTGGTTAAGAAGTGTGTGTGCTGGCTGGGCGCGGTGGCTCACGCCTATAATCTCAGCACTTTGGGAGGCCGAGGCAGGCGGATAACCTGAGGTCTGAGGTCGGGAGTTCGAGACCAGCCTGACCAACATGGAGAAACCCCGTCTGTACTAAAAATAAAAAAAAAGAAAAAAGAAAATTAGCTGGTCATGGCAGCCCATGCTTGTAATCCCAGCTACTCGGGAGGCTGAGGTGGGAGAATCACTTGAACTCAGGAGGCGGAGGTTGCAGTGAGCTGAGATCGAGCCATTGTACTCCAGCCTGGGCAACAAAAGTGAAACTCTGTCTCAAAAAAAAAAAAAAAAAAAAAAAGTGTGTGTGTCTTTCCCGCCATGGACTAGGGAAGGAAAGTCGTTGTAAATGAAGGAATTTAAGATCCTAGGGGAGGAAGAACCACCGGATGAAGAAGCCTGGGTCCTCCTGTATATACACCTGGGCTTCATCTGAGTAAGAAATCTTCAATGTATTAAGCTACTGAGATGTGATGATTGATATTTTGTAGCAGTTAGATACCTTAATACAGGTATCATTACAGGCCTATAGAATATAGGCTTTTAGAGGTAACTTAGTCAAAATCACATAACTAATAGGAGGTGGGGCCAGGATGCAAATCCAGGTATGTCTTCAGATTGCTTTTCTTTTTCTGGTCTATTCCCATGGTTTAAACTACTACTGTCTACATGCTAATTTATATTAGTGCTCCCTTGTCAGCCTAGGCCTCTGGAGAACCAGACCAGTGTTGGCAGTTGTCTCTTGGATATCTCTACTTGAAAGTCTATATTATTTAGCATATAAAAGAAGATCCCTTAAAAATGGAACTCCAATATATAATGGATTAAATAAGCAGTTTCTTTCTCACAGAATAAGTGGTCCAAAAAGAGGAATGATTGATCTGGCCCATCTGCTTTATCTCCATATTGCTTCCCTGCCTTCCTCTAAGGTGTTGTGTCATTTGCATAGTTAACCTAACTCGTGGTTATCTGAACAGAAATTCAGGACAAGCAATTTCCTTTTAAGCAAATGGCACAGAGGTTGCCTTCTTCTGCTCCTATTACACCATCAAGAACTTAGTCATATGGCCACATCTAGCTGCAAGGGAGGCTTTATAATGTGGTCACTAGTAGGTGGTTATGTTCTTGGCTGAAACATTATTAGATGAAATAGGAGGAAAAATCATTTCAGAAGATAGTTTTCTTTCTGGCACAAGAATCTGGCTCTCCGATGTTAAATCCCAGTGGATTTAAAACCATACTCAGCCATCTTCCCAGGTTAACTTCTCAACTTGCATTCCTGACTTGGTTAATGGCCACACCACCCTCCCAGATGTCCAGAGAACAGGGTGGTGTGCTTTGACTTTTTCTTTTTCCTTCCTTTCTATCTCCAGTCATTTTCATCTCCTAAATGTCTATTGAAACTGCCCGCTTCACTTAATCCTCTGTTTTTATCTCAGTTCATGCCTCATCATCTCTCACGTAGACTTGTAGGATGGCCACCTAACTGGTCACCCTGTCTCCAGTATCAACCTATCAAGGACATCCTTCACACTACCAGGAGAGTGATTTTTCTAAAATGCAAATCTGATCATCATTTTACTCCCTTTTTACAACCCTTCAGTGATTTCCCATGGCAAAAGTCCAAATTGCTTTGCAGAGCACAAAAGTTCCTCTGTGGTTTAGTCCCGGAATCTCTCCAGCCTCATTTCTGACACTTTACTATTCCCCTCCCCAAAATGGATCACACCTACAGCTTTGGTTATACTGAGCGATTTCAGAATGTTGCATTTCTTTTTGTATCTGCTCATGTGTTCCTTCTGCCTGATAAATGAGTGTGTGTGTGTGTGTGTGTGTGTGTGTGTGTATTCTTCAAGACCCGACACAGCTGACACCTCTGCTGTAACATTATCCCTCCCTTCCCCCAGGCAAAGTCCATCACTCTTTCCTTGCTCTGTTTCATTTATTCCACAAATGTAATGGATTGTTTGTGTGTCTGTAGGCACTGTGCCATGCCTTGGACACAATGAACAGAAGTAGATATGGTCCTTGCCCATGTGGAGCTTATAGTCTAATGGCAGAGACAGACATCAGTCAAAGATTCCCACAGACAAATGTGAAATTGCAACTGTGATAAATACTATGAAGATGAAAAAAATGGTACAATTTTGAGTCCATTATAGGAGGCCTACTAAGGGAGACTTCACCAAGTTGGTACGTATGAGCGAAAATGTAAAAGATGAATTAACCACATGAGAAAGATGAATTGTAGGCAGAGGGAACAGTGGTTCAAAAATCATATATTAAGAGGGAATTTGGGATGTATGAAAGGGTTGAATAAAAACCTAGTTCAATGGGGCTGTGGATGGCAGAGTGAGGTACAGGATAAGGCAGGAGAGGTAGGGGCTAGACGCTGAAGAACGTCATAAGTCATGTTAAGGAGATTTCTCTTTGTTCTAAGGGGAATGAGATGCCATTTTAAATGAGATAGAGAAGACATGATCAGATTTTTTTTTTTTTTTGGAAGAGTTCATTTTGGCTACTGTGTGAAGAATGAATTTGAGTATTAGCTGATTGGATGATACTAGACTTGTTAGTTCAGGGAAGAGATTCTGATATATTGAATTAATGTTGTGATAGTGGAGATTAAATAAAGTATTTCTAGGATTAGGTATGAAATAAAATATTTCTAGGATTAGGTATGAAATGAAATAAAATAAAATATTTCTAGGATGAGGGAGAGGGAGGTGTCAAGAATGGTTCCAGTATTCCTGGATGTATGGCAAAGGTGGTCATGGAGGCATGGAACCTGGAAGAAAATTAGTTTGGAGAGAGTTTAAATGTGGGGTGCCTTGGAGAAATCTAAGAGGAGGCATCTCACTGTACATTAATCATATTTCTATTACTTCATATACTTTGTGATCACTTTTGTATATGTTTCTTTTTATTAGACTGTGAGCTCCTCAAAGGAATGGAGCAACATCTACTTATTATTACTGTTAATCTTTTCCATTTTTGTATCCCAAGTACTTATTACACTAACTTGTACACAATATTTGCCCAGCAATGTTTGTGAATAAATTATCTAACTGGCCCCAAGGCCCACCCAATTTCTGCCACACCAGTAATAGGAAGGAAAACAAACTGGAAAGGCAAGTTGGGGCTCAATTGTAGAGTGTTTTAAATCCCTGGCTAAGAAGTTACATTATGACACAAAATGTAATTAAACCTTAAGTTTACATTTACTTTCCAATCCAACCTTTGTTTCAAATAATGCCTCTGTTATTTTTAAAATCATATAATGTTTACTCAAAGGATGTTCTCTCCTAAGTAAATCAAAGCCAACTGAGCTACAAGAAAAATACAGAGATCATGCTAGAAAAACAAACTATGCCCTTATGCTGCAGGACAAAATGAAATTAGAATGAATTCACAGGAAAAGGGATTGTGGATACAAAAGAAATGTAATCAGGACTATTTATTTTTTAGCTCTTTTTCTTTTCATTTGTATAGGATGTTAGGATTCAGTCGTTAGGGCAGATGTAGAGAGGGATTCAGATTTACATGGTCCATTGTTGGATTATTTTCACATCATGTACCTGAAGGGATTAATGTTGAAGAGCTACCACTGTTTCTTGGAGTCAGAATGGCAGAACAATATTTTAAATCTATTAGATTTAGTCATAACGACACAAACAGCCTCTATCTGTGGTGAAACAAAGCTAATTCAATAAATGGTCTGTGAAGTGTTAGGGATGTGGACACCTTAAAATTGACTTGTGCAAGACCTTCTTTGTGCACAGTAATGAATGGTGCTATTTTAATTGCATTAACCCAAATTGGCATAAGAATTCTTTTTATTCTACTCCTGAAATTGGATACATCATTCTTTATTGTTTTCTTGAAATATATCTATCTGTATCTGTATCTGTGTCTCTATCTATCTATCTATCTATCTATCTATCTATCTATCTATCTATCCATCTAGTTTCTAGAGATAGGGTCTCACTCTGTCACCCAGGCTGGAGTGCAGTGGCATGATCATGGCTCACTTCAGTCTCTAATGCTGGGCTCAAGTGATCCTCTAGCCTCAGCCTCTGGAGTAGCTGGGGCTACAGGAATAAGCCACCATGCTTGGCTACTTTTTTATTTTTTTTTCTAGAGATGGGGTCTCATTATGTTGCCCAGGCTGGTCTTAAGCTCCTGGCCTCAAGTGATCCTCCGGCCTTGGCCTCTCACAGTGCTGAGATTACAGGCGAGAGCTACCACATCCAGCCTGAAATCTACATTTTAAAGGCTCCATACCTATCTTAACCCCACATTAACTGTGCAGATAACTGAGGCCAAAAAATGTATTTTTCCCCTTTGTATGCATTCTTTTTGCATGTGTGATTTATTTTCTTCCTTGGTAAGATTGTATAATCCCTTTCTAATGTGAGCAGAGGGAACAGTGGCTTACTTGAATGAACCCACAGTTTCTTCTTGTCGATCTTGATGAGAATCAGAATTGAGCATCATGTGACTGATGGCCCAATCATATTGATTTTAATGACTGGCTGTGGCAAGCAGGACTAGATAGAGCTACAGACTTTGAGGCCAGACCTACACAGTGCAAAGTATAGATGTGACAGTTATTCAGTAACTGCAGGCCACAAAGACAGCCAAGCTGAATGTAGGTCTTGGATCTGCTAGTGTTTGCATTAAGATGTTTAGTAGAGTGGTTAAGAGCCCAGGATTCAGAATCAGACTGTTTGGGTTAATTTCTTTCCTTAGCTATTTACTAGTGGTATAGCCCTGGGCAAATTATGTTACTCATGGTTTCTGAGTTTCCCCACATGGATGAAGGGGTGAGTAGTATACTTATTGCATAGGGTTGTTGAGAGAATTTTAAGTGTTATTATCAGTAAAATGCTTAGAACAGGCTCTGGCTCATAGTAAGTACTAAATAATTTCTAGCTATTATTATTAGATTAGGAAGATGATTCAGATATGGACTTTATGGTGACAAAGATGAATTTTTGAAAGCAAGGTCAGTGCAACTTTTGGTGAAATGTAAAGAATTTTGAACTTTTTGATGAAGCATTAAATACACATCATCTGCTTGACCTCTTTAAACTGAATTATTTTAGAGTGCTTTCTATAAATATGCTCTAAAAGTAATGACAGTATCGAAAAATATTCCAGAGAAGCTGAAGATATGATGTCATTTAGTGAAGATTAAGGACCTCAGTTTGGTAAAGAGAAAGCCAAAGAAAATTACCAGGTTGAACTTGGAAATGGGTTTAATAACATATATAATAATATCAAGTATTTGTTGAGTGCTTATTATTCCATAATAACTTTATTTGATGTCATCTAATTTTTAAATTAATTTTTATTGTTTATTTATTTATTTATTTTTGGAGACAGGGTCTCGCTCTGTCATCCAGGCTGGAATGCAGTGGTGTGATCATGGCTCACTACAGCTTGGAACTCCTAGGCTCAAGTGATCAATCCATCTCAGCCTCCAGAGTACCTGGGACTACAGGCATGCACCACTACCCTTAGCTAGGTTTTTTTGGTTTTTGTAGAGATGGGGTCTTACTGTGTTGGCCAGGCTGGTCACAAACTCCTAGCCTCAAGTGAGGCTGCCTCAGCCTCCCAAATCACTGGGTTTATAGGTATGAACCACCATGGCTGGCCAACTTTATTTCATTTTAAAATTTCATTTAATTATTTAATCATTTTACTTAATCCATACAAAACTCCATAAAGTATTGTTATCTTCATCTTACATATAACTAAGCTGGGGCTTAGAGAAGGGATGTGGCTTTTCAAGGTTCCATAGTTGTTTAGTATGCAATTCAGGATTTGAACCCAATTATGACAAACTGCAAAGTTAGTCTTTTTAACCTCTATGCTATATTTTCTCCATATGCTGTTATTATTTATATTAATAACTATCATCAATGTGGCATTTTGGGGTTTATGAAACACTTTTAACAGTCCTATAAGGTAAGCATTTTTTACATCCCAATTTTACAGATAAGGAAATTAAGGCTTAATGAGGCTGACTGATTTGTCCAGGAGTCTTCAGTTACTGCATGCCCATTCTTAAGGTTCTAAATGTTTAAATTTATCCTCAATCCTTTAATAGTAGAGATTCTTGCCAACTCCATGCCTACCACCATCCCAATGGGCTGATGTAGGGAGAGAGAGAGTCAGCAGAGTCATCAATGAGGAAGGTATTCAAAGAGGAGGGAAAGCAGCCAAATGTGGGAGAAAAGCAGAGCCCAAACTTTGCCCACACTGTCTTTGTAAGTAGGAAGCATCTTGGTTGCTACAGTCTCAGTAACAGGATGACTGACTCTTTTCATTTTCTGTCCCATCAGTAATGTCAAAATTATAACAGGAAATATCAAAGTTACACTTAAGTAAGAATATTCTGACAGTATGGGTCTTGAAATACTGAAGGATTATGGGAAACTGCTTTCCCTATAAGATTGTAAGACATAATATTTGTTCTATTATCATGTTGTATTTCAAGTAGGCATCTTTACAGTCAAAACACTCAGCTTTTTGGTCAAACGTCGCCCATAAGTCTAATAGATGCTACAGGAGCTCTCTTCTTAAAACACATCAGGAAACTCAGGGATTGTTAATAGTTTGGTTTGAATTAGCAGCAAACCTTTTTACTCTGTTTGGGAACTTGCCAGTGAGATGACAACCAGAGTTAGGACCTGTCAGCAATCACTGTTATTCCTGGTGATGGCTTTATACATTCCTCTCAAGATAATTAAGATATTTATATCCATAAAATGGAAAAGTGCCTATCTTAATCTATTTTATCTATAATGCCTCTGTAGAATCCAGACATGTTAACAGGCTGAGCATGAGATCAGGATCTTGGGAAAAAACACACACTAATAAATCTTTTATTGTTTTCCCTCCTTTCTTCATCTACTTATGATAAAAATTACCCTTGTGAAATATCCTCAAAACTGCTAGTCTTTGGATTGGAAGTTAGCCTGCTGTAAACTCACTCATGAATTTATTCTTTTACTTATCAACTTTATATTGAGCAGCTATTACGTATCAGGAACTGTTCTGGGGGCTGAGTAGTCATGAAACAGACAAAAGCCCCAGGGCTCTTGTGGCTTATGTTCTAGTGAAGAGATACTTAGTGAGCAATATGAGTAGGTAGATCGACAAGAAGAAACTGTTTCATATATCCTCAGATAATGAAACCTGCTATGAAGAAAAGAAACAGGAAGGGAAGACAACATGGGAGGGTGAAATCTGGATCAGGCAGACAAAGAAGGCATGCACGAGACAGTGACTTTTGAGTGCAGACCTGAAGGAAATGAGGAAGCTAACCTTACAGAAGTTTCAGGGAGGAGCATTTCAGATAGAGAGGACAGCAAGTACAGGGTTACTAATGGAGGAGCATGCCTGGTATGTTCGAGCAAGCAGGAGAGTGAAGCTGGAGAAGTGTGAATAAGGGGATGAGCATAGGATATGCAGTAGAGAGGTTGTTGGGTGGGTAGGGGAAATGTTTACGGATCATATAGGGCCCTGTAGGGTGCAGCTTGCAAAATTTGACCTCCTATCATGCTAAAGCCAGGCTGGTTGGGGCAGACAGGAAGGGGCTGTTCTGGATCATGCATGGATGAGACTCTTTTCATGTCAGCTGACATTTATCGCATAGGAGCCACATGGCATGTCCTCTGTTGTGCTCTGAAGATCCAAAGAAGAAAGATAAATATATTTTCCCCAAGTTATTCAGTCTGGGAGAGGAGACTTAAAATGCTGCATTCTAAACTTACTTTTCCCCAGGTGGAGAATTTTAATACAGGTAAGAATAAATGCCTAGTCATATTTTCCCTAAAAGATGAGAGAAGGAATTTTTAAAGGGAGGAGTAGCATTGTGAAGGCACACAGTGACACATGGAAACCTCTTTCCCTCAGCAGCACGGAGTGCCGCCCTCTTCCCTACACAAAGCAGATCCCTCCAGAGAGAAGACACTGTTAACTAGAAAAACCTTGCCTGGGCGTGGTGGTTCACAGCTGTAATCCCAGCACTTTGGGAGGCTGAGGAGGGTGGATCACGAGGTCAGGAGATCGAGACCATCCTGGTCGACATGGTGAAACCCCTAAAAATCATCTCTACTAAAAATACAAAAATTAGCTGCGTGTGGTGGCGGGCGCCTGTAATCCCAGCTACTCGGGAGGCTGAGGCAGGAGAATTGCTTGAACCCAGGGGGCAGAGATTGCAGTGAGCCAGCACTCCAGCCTGATGACAGAGCAAGACTCCGTCTCAAAAAAAAAAAAAAAAAAAAAGAAATCTTTTGGACCTCCATGCACAAATGACAGGTGTACCCCATTCAGGACAGTAAAAATGTTCTGCAGATAAACTGAATTTAGGTTCAGTTAATTATTTTCAGAGTCAACTCTGAGACATTAGTAACACCAATAAATGTACAATTGGAATGAAGAAGCACCTCAAATTGATTCGGTAAGCCTAAATGCTCCCATTCTGTTTTATCCTGAAGTTAGACTACAGCTGCAATTAGACACCTTGATCTGGGAAAACTAATTTTTTTCAGCCGTGTCCAAATTGCTGTGCAGCAAGAATGCAAGATCTTGCTGGCTGAGAGGTAGTGTAAGGAATGTAAGGTGTTGCTGGTACTGCCCTCTGTACAGAGACCACAGGTGTGAGGGGATAACATAACTCAGAAAGTGCATGAGGCTTCCTGAAACCTCTAAGGCCCACAACAAGGTTTATTTATCACTCACCAGAATTTTTTTTTGTGTTGGTTATTTTCTTCTACCTAATACTTATTTAAAGTTTCATATATCAAACTAACAGTAATCTTTAAATCTTAATAGTTTTTACTTTTTGTGGTACAGTATAAGGAAAGATCCCAAATCTCTTTGATGAGTTTTATCTATAAACAGTATTAGGTGTCCTACTCTCTCCCAGTCCAATTTCCTTTTTTTTTTCTTTTAGAAACATGGTCTAACTCTGTTTCCCAGGCTAGAGTGTTTGCAGTGGTGTGTGTTCATAGCTCACTGAAGCCACTAACTCCTGAGCTTAGGCAATCCTCCTGCCTCAGCCTCTGGAGTAGCTGGGACTACAGGCATGCACCGCTACACCCAGCTAATTATTTTTAAATTTTTTGTAGAGATGAAGTCTCACTATGTTGCCCAAGCTGGTCTTGAACTCCTGGCCTCTAGTGATCCTCCTGTCTCAGCCTCCCAAAGTGCTGGGATTACAGGTGTAAGCCACTGTGCCTGGCCCAGATTCTTAAAGGGAGGAGTAACAAAATGTTTGTAGACACCTTTAATCAAGTAAGGTTTTCCTTCTGAGAACAAACTATTTCGATTCTTCCCAAGTGAAAAATGGTCCCTCCCAAGCCCCCAAAAGTCTCTTTCTATTGTAGCATTGGTTTAAGGTTCAGGATTTTGTCATCTAAATCATGTCCATATGTGGATGGGCTCCTGGGGAGAGGAGTAGTTCCTTGAAAATGATTTCTCTTAATCTGAAGATAAGTTACCTGCCCCACTCCTACTCAATATATGTTGGTGGTACAGAGATAAGATAACTCCTATGAACACTCCTATTCAGAAACAGGGGAGGTGGGATGGGAGACACACAGCAGTTACTGATCCACAGCAATTCTGAAATCAAGCCAGTCACATGTTGCCAGTTCCTTGATTAGGGTCCAGTCTTAACTGTCTTGGAACTACTCTCTGAGGCTCTTGTCTCTACTGTCTCATATATTAGTTCCACCTTTAATCAGCCTTCCTAAGAAACAGAAAAAAGCCCATGTCTGCAACTGAGCTACTTTCTCAGACTGTTTCCTGCTGGTAGAAAGGCCAGGAAACAGTCTGCCCTCTTTTCATTTTGTATTTTCTCTGTCTCTTTTAGTCTAAGTGGGCAGCTCTTCTATCAATACGATTCTCTTAAAAAAGTCTATGGGTTTCCCATGACTTATTGGCACTTATTCTATTAATAAAAAGCCTCACCTACATATCTTTAAGATACATCCTTATCTGTCTTGAGTCCTATATGAGGCTCCTATAGATTAACACAGTTCAGATGCTTACACATTCTCTTGATTCACAGAGAGGGTCTACAAAGCTTTCTCTTAGATCCTTAGAAAGCCCTTCATGTGGCTGAAAGTTTCTGTGGGGCATCCCTTTAAACCTTCTTGAGGTCTTAAGAAAGACTGGATTTGATCTTTATCCTGAAGTAATTAACCATTTCTTACATTGAAAACCCTTTTAGAGAGAGACTGGAGATGAGAAGCAATTTATTTTGAAACCTAGCAAATCCTAGATCCTTTGTAATTCCTTTAAATTCTGTTAAATTGTTTTGAAGTCTTTTCTTTAATCCATCCCTCTCTTCCTGAATTTATTATAGGCAACTACAAAAAGCACTTTCAACATTCTGCCTGGAAATCTTAGTCAGATCCTGAAGACCTTTAGGTACACTGTCTCTTCTATTTTCCACGTTACTGTAGGCAACAGTATTGCTAACTGTTGGCCAGTATTTAATTCAGGTGCCCTTTCTCCAGGACCCAAATATAGTTCCCTCTC
This sequence comes from Homo sapiens, assembly GCF_000001405.40. Lineage (NCBI taxonomy): Eukaryota > Metazoa > Chordata > Mammalia > Primates > Hominidae > Homo > Homo sapiens. The sequence goes on along the minus strand of NC_000001.11, from coordinate 217,112,405 downwards.
TCTTTCAAGTTCTTATCTCCTTGAAGGCCTTGCAGCTTTCATATCTATCTCCTCAAGGTCCTAAGATCTAGTGCTTGCTACTTGGTCCCAAAGCCATTGTTGTAGATTTTTATGACAGAATCCCTTTCTGATAACAAATTCTGCTGTAGTTATACATGGCTATGTGAAAACTCACCCCAAAACTTTGTGGCTCAAACATTTTATTTTGCTTGTGTGGTTTTGTGGATCAGAAATTTGGGAAGTGTTTGGCTGGATAGTTCTTGCCTGGGTTCTCTTCTGCAGTTCCAGGCAGGTGCAGGGCTATACTTATCTGAAGACTTGAATGGGTTGTATGTGCAAATGGATCACTCACAGGGCTGGCCGTTATCTTGGAGCTCAGGTGGGGCTATCAACCTGAGTACCTCCATATGGCTTCTCTCTGTGGCATTGGCTGCATTATAAGAGGGAATGTCCTGAGAGAGAACGTTTCAAGAGATCTGGATGCAAGTGGCAATGTTTCTTAAGAGTGAGCCTTGGAAGTCCCAGATGTCATTCTGCTGAATTCTCATAGCTCATATTCAATGAGTGAGTCTGTAGTCTTCTCAATGAGAGGAAGAGCACACAGTTTGTGGCCATCTTTAATTTTTCACAGTGACTATCAGAGCCCTCCCAACTACCACTCTCCCAGGGAGATATTGGTGGCATGAATGCTTACTGACAGCCAGCAGCTGAAAATTTGGGAGATGTTTCAGGAGCCTCTGTGGTTTCACAGTGGGGTGGGGGAGACATAAGAAATTTTAATCCAGAGAAATCTTGAAAAAAAACTTCTGCCTTGAAAAGTTTCTGAAGTTTATGAAGTCTTGCCAACTTTGTGAAGATGACTTTCTTCTTTGGTTCACTCATATTGTTCCCATAGTTTTGAATGCCATGGACTAATCTGTAAATAAATTTTGAAATCATGTGAACCCCTGTCAGAATGGCCCATTTGTTAACTTACAGCTGGATAGTCCACCCTATTTTATAGTCTCCTGCAGGACTCAGTGACCTTTTAACAATGGCGCATCAAAATGCTGACCTTTTGTTTGGGTGAGCTGGGTGCTGAGAGGATTGGGGTGATGAAATAGTGCAGTCACATCCCATGTGTGAGAGAGGTGTGGTGAGCTCCTAAGCTCATACCTGCCCTGGGGACTTACTGGCTCCAAAGTTATGTGTTGGAAGAAGTGATAAGGGGGGCCCTGGGGGAATTTCAGTGAACCTCTGATGGTATCCTGGGCTCCTGGTCCCCAGTGTCTGACCTGTATTCTATTTCTTAACTGAGGGCCTTGCCCTAGGACATTTTCTTGTATGGCTGCACCCTTGGAGCAAACAATTAAAAACATGAAGACTCTTCTGGAACACTCACTAACACTGAGTTGCATTCATGATAAAACTTTGGTAGAAGCAGGGCTGACCAGTACGAAATTAAAGTCAAGAGTCGAGGTAGGTAAAATTCAAGGTCAGATACATGCAATGGCTTGGAAACCGAAAAGACACAGCAAAAATTAGAGTCAGTGATTCCCTATGGTCAGCAATATAATAAGCCAGGTTGGGAGGATGATATCGAGCAATATAGTTTCAATATTTGTCCCTGCCCAAATCTCATGTTGAAATGTAATACCCAGTGCTGGAGGTGGGATGTGTTTGGATCCTGGGGGCAGATCCCTCATGCGTTGGTGCTATCCTATGATAGTGAGTGAGTTCTCGTGAGATCTGGTTGTTTCAAGTGTGTGGCACCTCATCCTCCATTCTCTCTTGCCTGTTCCTGTTTTCACCATATGATGTGCCTGCTCCCCCTTTGCCTTCCACCATGATTGTAAGCTTCTTAAGGCTTCCCTAGAAGCCAAGAAGATGCCAACATGCTTCCAGGAAAGCTTTCAGAACTGTGAGCCAAGTAAACGTCTTTTCTTTATAAACTATCCAGTCTCAGGTATTTCCTTATAGGAATGCAAGAATGGCCTTACACATCAAGAAAGAGGCAAACAGGCAATGGTTTGCTATGGTTGTGAGCAAGCTGAAGGTCTGGGTTTCAGGAAGATAAAGTGATGAGAAGTAGTCCAATTTTGGAAGCCCAAAAAGCAACTTTAGGTGATTTAAAGGGATTGCCATAGCACAGGAATGGTATAATGGTTTCATATCACTCTGATTAACTAGTAGTTGCTTTTCAGTGTGCTGCACTGACAACAATTTTGAGGCCATATTTGGCGTGTGCATGAAAGGATGTTGTGATTGATGAGCAATGTTTTCCATGGGTTCCAAACCTGGGTGGGGCTGGCAGCCTGGGTGCCATGTGTTTGGTGACTGTGTTCCAGATGATGAAAAGAAGGCTGACACATGGACTTTAGGAAAGCATTCTCCTTAGTAACAAATCAAGGCAGATGGGCTTAGAATTAGAAGCTAAATAAACAGGGATGATTTACCCCTTAAGGAGGCTAGGGCTCACCTACTCCAACTTAAAGACCCTTTAAGGATATGGTGTGCTCTGGAAGCCAGAAATTAAAACCTTTTAGAATTCACTAACACCAGAGCTAAATATGAACTGTGGCCATTTTGCCCCTAGCCTCTTAGGGTTTTTTGCTTTCTTTTCCACTCATGTTTTGTAACTTTGCCACATTCACCTATGTCATTCCCCAGATTTTTTCTTGACTATTGGATGCCTTGAGATTTCCTTCCATCTGGAGTACTTAGCTCCCTTGGTGAGGAGAGCAGGTGGGGCAGGTGAAGGCAACCTCCCACTAGCCCCCATGGCAGGAGTGCATTTTATGGTAGGGGGAAATGTATGGTTTAAGAAAGTACTTAGGTGAGAATAGTCCCCTCCACTACCTTTAAAAGTGGAGAATGTTTGCTATCTCCTGGGCTCCTTTAATGGTATCTGCGGAACTACTGGGTGCTTCATTTAGTTCAGCCCAGAACATAAGCAGGCAAACACATGGGAATGCATTTGGTCATTAGAAAAGGGACTTTGCCTTTTACTGCTTGCTTGGGCTAAAGATGCTTTCTGGATCTGGGTCTGTGGGTGTTGTGAAAAAGTATATAGAAAAGAGTTTGTAGTCCATCTCTTTTGTGTTTTTGCTCAATGTCCATGTAAAGTGGGCTTGCATAGTGTTTAAATGGAAGGAAGCTTCTATTCCCATTCCATTCTATGGAGTTCCCTTAGAATATTCTCTTCACTGGTTTATACAGATTTAAATATTTTCTTCATTGGTTTATACCTGAGCATCTTGGTGGGAAAACCAGCTGATACTTTGCTCTCATACATTTGGTGTTGTTCAAAATCCCTCAGATGGGTAAAGCCCTTAGCTTTTAGGCTGTCCCATTACATTTTTGTGGATGGGCTATCAGATACCACAGTTTCAACACATGTGCCCATGCGATCTGTTGTAAAGATGTTGTTGTAATGATTTTTTAAAGATCCATTTAATGTAACAGTTTTGTTTTATTTCTCTCTGGTGCAGCTGTTTCATGTGAGGTTGGGTTAGATGCTGAATTCTGCAAAGATGAGCAGAACATATCCTGTGTTAGGCCGTTCTTGCATTGCTGTAAAGAAATGCCTGATACTGGGTAATTTATAAAGAAAAATGGTTTAATTGGCTCATGGTTCTCCAGGCTTTGCAGGAAGCCTGGTGCTGGCTATCTGCTTGGCTTCTGGGGAGGTCTCAGGAAACTTACAATCATGGCAGAAGGAGAAGAGGGAGTAGGCACATCACATGGTGAAGCAGAAGCAAGAGAGAGGGAGAGGGAGGGAGGGAAGGCGCCACACACTTTTAAACGACCCAGTCTTGTGAGAACTATCACCAAGACAGCACCAAGGGGATAGTGCTAAACCATTCATGAGAATTCTGCCTCCATGATCCAATCACCTCACACCAAGCTTCACCTCCAACACTGGAGATTATGATTCAACATGACATTTGGGTGGGGACAAGCATCCAAACTATATCACATTCCCATCCTCGAAGATTGTATGGACTAATGGGGGCAAGGGAAGAATAACAAGAAAATGATACCCACAAGTATGCAGCAAAGCAGAATTGTGGCAAATACCATCGGAGAGCTGCAAAGAATGATGGGAATCCAAGTTGTAGAGAAAAAATTTTAGGAGGAGATGGGGAATAACTAAAGGAGGTAGCATTAAGAAGAGATTTGAAGGATGACTAACATTTTGACAAATGGAAATAATGGTGGAGTTTGAGACAGAATCAAATGTTTCAGCAAGTGGCAACTGTATTTGGTCTCTTTTGGCAAGTTAAGAGTTTGTGTTGTCAAGAATTAGGAGAAAAAGCAGGAAGAATTTTTGGAAAACTGGGTAGAGACTTTAATACCAGTTTAGAGTATTTGTTTTTAATTTGGTAGGTTATGGGGAGGCACTGTTTTTTTTTTAAACATAGCAGTAATATCATCAGAGTCAGGAATGACATGCTTTAAATAGAGTTCATCTCAAATGGGCTAGTCTGTTTATGAAGATTTTTATCTATATATGCACATAAATATGTACATATAAATTTTCACAGCCAAAGGAAAAGGTTGTATTTTATGGCATAAAATTATATTTTTTGGCTCTGACTCAGCAGTCATAAAACCTAACTATTTCCAAGCATAAGAAAGATGGAAAATACTCTTTATAACATCTTAAATAATTGTATGGAGGCCAATCCTATGGCCCTTGTGCATAAGTAGCTCAGACTGAATTTTAGAAGAGTTTTTCATACATTTCAGCATTAAGTTTGGGCACTGAAACAGACCATATATCTAATAGGTAACTTCCTTGTGAACTTTCAGTCCCAACTACCCACAATGAAATGTTCATATATGCATTTAAATGCAACTATTAAGAAGAACTGATACCTTTTCCTATGTCTGTTGCCTAATAAAACAAACTTCACAAACTAACCCCAGGGGGGAAAAAGTGCAATATATAAGTTTTAGCTTCCAAGTAAAAAGACATAACTAGAAATCACACAGGACTCTATCAGGGAAGCACTGACATTTGATTCACCCATGAATAAATTATTGTTGTCACCTGAATGCTGGGTAAAGTCATCAGTAATAAAAATTAATGTGAGCTACACTGTTAATCCAAAGCAGAAAAGTTGGAATCATGCAGAATCTAGTGAACATTAGAAAGGGAATCTTATCCAAGCGTCCGAAGGAACAGGAGATTTGACGTACTCTTATTTGCTTATCTTTAATTTTTCTGATGTAACATATCAGATTGGCAAATTTCACTTTTTTTCTTTCAAATTTTAAGATTAAGCCAGACTATTAATATCAGTCAGAGGATATTCAGATTAATCAGTTTTAGTTCTGCTGTAATATCTCTGCTGGGCTTGAAAAACAGATGAATATATGAACAATGATCAATCTAATCCATACATCCAGATCTATGAAAACTGTCTTAGTTGTTCTGGTTTAAAGGTTGTTTTGTTCCAGGTAGGTGACGAACTGAAAGGGAGAGACCGGAGACTGACTTTTAAATCATCATGGACACGCAGAGCTTGGTGAAAGTATAAAAAGAGGCAGAATCTATTGTTTGCCATGAAGAATTTTTACGGCGATGCTCACTTTAGAGTGACAGGAGTGAGTCTGTCACAATTCAAAGTCAGGCAAAGGAGGTTGTCAAGGTTACAGGCAGAGAGGCTGGAGATAGGGTTGAGGGTTGGTCACAGTGGGAAGGAGGCAAAATTCAAAGCTAAGGATCCCCGTGTCAGCAGAACTTCAGGTTGGTCAAGCAGCTTGTAACAGGATAGGGAAGAAGACTGCTAAGGGAATTTCTGTTTCAGAAAATCCCTCCTGATCCATGTGGTTCTTTATGCAAAACAACTCAGAGCTTTTCTTCTTCCTTAATATCCAGTTCCTAAAGTAAAACCATCAATGTCTTTTACAACCCTGTCATCTCAATTCACACTGAACTAAATACTTTCAGGAATGAGTCATAGAATCGCTTAAAAAATAAAAAGGCTGAGACCAGGTCGTGTGTGTGTGTGTGTGTGTGTGTGTGCATATGTGAGTGTGTGAATAGATGTATGTGTGTGGTATAAACGAGGGGCTTCCCGAATGGTGGCTGAACAGAGAAGGACAACCTAGAAGAGGTCTGACCTTCATTCATGTTGCCATTTAGTCAGAGATGCCGCTCTTTTCTCTGGATTATGTATTGAGAATTTAACTACCATTACTTACAAAAACAATGTTTCCCTTCCTTAAACACTATTTGAAATCTATCACTTAGAGACTACTGCATTTAAAGACATCAACCTTATCTCAGCACTTTATTCTTTTTCATTTTTGGAAGAAAGAACTTCTTTATTTATGGCAATTAAGTGTATCATTGTGGCTGCCAATTTTGGGATGTTGCATTAATGTTTAACTTCTATACAAACAACTGAATTCATCACAGTCTGAATTTGGTCACTCTCATTTAGTTTTTAAAGTGATAATTACACAGTTTCAAGGTTTATGCTGTTTACCTAGAAAGTGAAATAGGGTGAAAGTGAGTATTTTTGTTGGCATCTATGTCATGGCCTCCAACGTTTTCACCTAGGAGACTCCAAGGTCACATAGCCAACTTCGCATGCTTGGAAATCACAGGCTGGAAAACACTGAGACTTGAGACACAGGGATGGCTACTAGAATGGGGCAGGTGCTAGGCTGATTGTCCAGGTGCAGAATGGGGGAAGAAAATCTAACTAGGAGAATAGTATGCAGGATCTGTTACCATGGAGACAGGCAGGCGCTCCTACAGGAGTCAGCATCAGCATCGGGGAAATCCAGCAAGTGGTAAGTGGTGGCAATTCCAGCCAGCCAGGGAGTCCAGGGGAGGCCACAAAGACAGGAAGACTTTAGAGAGGACCCAGGCACAGGGTCAGCATTCAGGAGCCAGGTTTGAGCACTCGGACCATTCTGACTAAGGCTGGGGAGATGAACAGCTCGATCCAAATCCTGATTTCCCCAATTACTAACACATGCCCCTGAGCAAGTATTTCATCTCTCTGAACTCCAACCTCTACAAAGTCTATTAGAAGACAGTGACTACCTTGTAGGATTATTGTGATGTTAAAAATAATGAAGGACTTAGCACATGCCTGAATCACACTAACAGTGTAACATATAACTGCTTTTTAAAATTGATTATTAGGATTATGCCTAGAGCTAAATGGGGATTTGATACAGAAGTAAGGAGTTTAGTTATTGAAGTTAGGATACCAGTCACCACAAGGCCAAAGGAAGGGTGATCATGACATAATATTAGCCTTCTTGGATTGTCCCTGACTAGGGGTCCAGATAGATGTCATGCCTCAAATTGAGCTAAATTTGCATGTGGTTTTGGTGGAGTCCTCTTTGGGAAAGAGAGGGTCACAGAGTATAGGTAATAGATGGAATCTTGCCCTTAACTGTCCAACTGAATTCACACAGAACATGATTAGCCATGATCATTCAAATGCTCTTTCCTAGAGATGAACTGTCATGTGAACTTTCCCCAAGATTTGTTACTCACAATGGAAGCTGCATCCCTAAGGAAGAGAGTTATGATACATCTGAAACCATAGAGTTTATCAAATTTTTTATTGTCAATTAAAAAATATTGGATACAAAATCTATTATGAATGGAAAAACTGTGGCTGCTGATCACATGATAAAGCCACTGTTTCTTTCCCCCTCTTTTTACTTAAAGCCCAATGCCCTGTGCCACCAAATGCTTGATTCTCTAGACCCTTTCCTACCTACATTCCAGTTCTGTGACTTCAAGACCTTGCTTGGGGACCAGTCAACTGATAAGATGAGGATATCTCACTCTCATTTACCCCATCATCCTTTAAAAATTGCTCTCACTCACTTGATTTCATTTGTATTGCCCACCTCAATACTGAGGCAGGAATTACCTTCACTGAACAGTTGAAGAAATGAAGCTCAGATAGTTGAATTACCCAAGGCCACTCGGCTGGTGAGTGATAGAGCCATGTCTAGAAGCCAGGCTTTCTGAATCCAGGCTTCATGGGTTTTTCCACTTTACCATGTTGACTGCAAGTTGATGGTGGCTTACTATTTGCTCCTTTCCCATTTCATCTATGTTTTAAACAGTAGCTTCCAGCATCTTCCACAATTAAGAACTCAGTAGGTACCAGCGCTGTCCTTGAGTAGCTCAAGGTGCTGTCCACACCCATGCTGTTCACAGGGGCTACAAGAGACACAAAGACAGTCCCATCTTTGACTTAGATCATTTTCTTCTTTAGTAAAAGGTGGAAGAACAGAAGTATGAATCTGTGAAGCTTAACAAGGAATAGGTGCTGAGGGAAGAGCAACATTAGAGGATGTTTTGGGTGCCAAGCTCTGTTCTAGGAATAGTTACGTATCTTTATGTGTTATCAAGGATCAGAGCAAACAGTGCTTCTTTTCATAATAAGCCAAGTGAGGTTGATCCTGCCATCAGGACCTTCCAGTGACTCCCATCTCTCTGATATTTTCCCCTACTATTTCCAGTGCCCCACGCTGTCTCACCTTGGATTCTACTTCAGCCACTTGAGTCTGCTTGCTGTTTCTCAAACAGAAAAAATATGCTGACACCTCAGGGCCTTAATGCTTGGTTCCTTCTTTGTGCATGAGGAAGGCACTTTAGAATTGTGAGGCTTGGAGGGGCATTCGTCATCTGAATATTCTATTCATTAACATAAGTACAATCATGTCATTCCCTTTAAAAAATTCTTTTAATTAATTAATTAATTAATTAATTATTTTTTGGAGGCAGAGTCTTGCTCTGTCACCAAGGCTGGAATACAGTGGCACAGTCCTAGCTCACTGCAGCCTCAAACGCCTGGGCTGAAGTGATCCTCCCTCCTCAGCCTCCTCAAGTAGCTGGGACCACAAGCACATGCCACCATGCTTGGCTGACCTTTTTTTGATTTTTTTTTTTTTTGTAGAGATGAGGTATCGCTGTGTTGCTCAGGCTGGTCTCAAACCCCTGACCTCAAGTGATCCTCCTACCTTGGCCTCCCAAAGTGCTGGGATTACAGGTGTGAGCCATGGTGCCCGGCCTAAAATCTTTTAACTGTTGCTCATTGAGCAGGAAGTCTAGACTCCCTGAGCTGTCTGGGAAACCCTCTTTCTCCTCACTCTCTGCCTCACACTTCATCTTCCAGCAGTACCAGTGGTAGTACCAAGGTTGACTGACGGAGGAGGCTTCCATTCCTCTACTCTCGATCAACTTCCACTCCCTGCAAGCAAGCTCAAATGAACAGAATAAACATGTAAAAACTCTGTGCTTTCTATAAACCAAGCTTCAAGACAAATCTCCAATCCAAGCCTTCCAGACTGGGTACCTAAACCCCTTTGACACAGAATGACAGAATTATTTGACAGTATGATTTGCAGTCTCCTGCTCACAGGAGTCTCTCTGCATTTGTTCATATTTCCCCTCTGCCAAGCAGGCCCTCTCTTCTTTATTCCCCTTCTCTCTCCCCCATCAGCTGCCTCGCTGACTGTATAAGCCTCTCAGCTTGTGCTTAGCCTTCTTTGACCCATTCTTCCCACCCGCCCCTACATGCCACCTTAGAGGCCTTTTTCTGTGTACCTCTACAGGACACATTTTACAATGTGTAGAAATGATGTTTATGTGCCAGTGTCTCCCAAAGAGTAAGAGCTTGTTGTAGGCTAGGGACATACCAGATTTACCTGTGAATGATGGATTAGAAAAACATTGCTTGGAATGTAGTTTTTAATAAATATGTGTTAAAGAATAAATGAAGGACAAAAACCATGCTTTGGGGAAGGTTATTCAGAAGTCTGAGTGTAAAGTAATTTGAAAAATTTTAACTTTTTAAAAGTGTGCAGAGAAAGGTTCAGAGAAGACGTGGGAGGGTAATTTCATTAGCCCAGGCAGTACGCAATGGAGACCCAAACTAGAGAAGTGGCAACTCATACACTACAGGTTTCAACTCCCTCATCTGTAAAAGAGGAGTTTTAACAGCATGTACATCATAAGATTATCATGAGAATATGTTGTATTGATAACACATATTAATTATTATTATTTTAAAAATAATAGCAGCAATGCTGTATGGTGGTGAGAGGCATAGCTCTGGGCCATGCTGCTGGGATTGACTCCCAGATCCCACACTTACTTGCTGATTGAACCCCAGCAAGTTTCCTAACCACTTTGTGCCTCCGTTTTTACAGATTTAAAAATGGATGTAACAACACCTATTGCATAAGGTTGTTAAAAGATTTCTATGAATTGATGCATGTGCAGTGTTTAAATCTGGAATGTAGTAATTTATTTTAAAAAGTTGGTTTAGGCAGGGTGCGGTGGCTCACACCTGTAGTCCCAGCACTTTGGGAGGCCGAAGCGGGGGGATCACCTGAGGTCGGGAATTCGAGACCAGTCTGACTAACATGGAGACACCCCATCTCTACTAAAAATACAAAATTAGCCAGGCGTGGTGGCGCATGCCTGTACTCCCAGCTACTTGGGAGGCTGAGGCAGGAGAATCACTTGAACCTGGGAGGCAGAGGTTGCGGTGAGCCAAGATCGCATCATTGCCCTTCAGCCTGGGCAACAAGAGTGAAACTCTGTCTCAATAAATAAACAAATAAAATAAAAAAAAAAATAAAATGTTGTTTTAAACCACAAACACATACACACACAAGAATGGAAAGAAAACTTGTTGAGGTAGAATCAACATGACTTTATAAACTAAATGAATATGCATGTGGGTGTGTGTGTTTGCTGATGTGGGAGGTGGAGTGAGGTAGGAGAAAGCATTTGAGATAGATTTGGTTTGGAAACTAAATGATCCTACAGATGATGATACTTTGAACCAAGACTAGGAGCCAAGGAGCTAGAACCATTTAGGAAGTTGGGCCAATAATTAATTCAATTTTCTATCTTATCAGTTTGAAATGCTGATGGGCATCTATGTACTAATGGTAAGGAAAGAGGTTGAGATTTCTGACCTAGAATTAATGATTTAAGGATCATTAACACATGTGTCAAAAATAATAACTGATATTAGTTGAAAGCTATGATCACTGTGCTAAACATTGCATATACATTGTCTCACTGAATCCTGTCAGCATCCCTAGGAGGTATTAGCTACATTTCACAGATGGGGAAAACTGAGGCACAGACCGATTAAGTAACTTGCCTTAGGTTACCTGATTAGGTGGTCAGGAAGGGTTTGACTGCAGGCAGTTTTATTCTGGAGCATGTGCTCCTTATTCTTTTTTGTTCTGTCTCCAAAGAAAAAGTTGAAGTCATGAGGTTGGCCAAAAGAACCTGGCAAGAAAGAGGATGTGTCTCATAGAGGCATGTTTTAGGCTAACCGTCAACACTTTTTGCTTGACTTTCTCATTACCAATAGGTTACTCTTTGTAAAACAAATGGTAAGGGTTCCAAAGATGCTATGTCAGTGAATGAATGATTAGATGTTAGAGGTTCAGGCTTTGTGGCCATAAAGTAGAGGAAGACTAATGATATAGTTTGGATGTCTGTCCCCTCCAAATCTCCTGTTGAAATGTAATCCCCAAGGTGGGAGGTGTTTGGATCATGGGGGCCGATTCTTTGAGAGTGGCTTTGTGCCATCCTTGGGGTAATAAGTAAGTTCTCACTCTGAGTTCATCCAAGATCTGGTTGTTTAAAAGAGAGTGGCACCTCTTACTTCTCGCTCTTGCTCCCACTCTCGCCATGTGATGTGCTGGCTCACCCTTCACCTTCTGCCATGATTGTAAGCTTCCTGAGGCCTCACCAGAAGCAGGTGCCAGCACTATGCTTCATGTATAGTCTGCAGAAATGTGAGCCAAAATTAAACCTCTTTTCTTTACAAATTACCCAGTGACAGGTATTTACAGCAATGCAGAAATGGGCTAATACAACTAACTGGCTCAGGATAAGGTTTAGCCTCCAACCCTGTCCTCCAGCAAGGCACTCTAACCCACAGTTTGTGAAGAAAACTAGATGAGGGATAAGTAGGATTGGAAAAGATACTGTCAAAGGGCACCTAACAGAATCACCTGGGGTGATCCATCATTCAAAGACAAACTCCCATTTCCAGCCCTGACCTATTATAGAGTGTTGGGGTCAGCCTGGCATGCTGTGCTTTTAACAAGATATCTTGACTATATTGACCACCCAAGTTGGCTTGGGAATGAAATGTATTTTTGTCATATAAAGTACAGCCTTAGAGAAATGATACTGGTTTTCTGTATGAGTCCTAAACCATCTATGAAGGTGATTTTAAAAGAGGAATTCCCAGAATGTCTAGAGCAATCTCAGGATCACTAAAGTAATTACATAGCTTCCCCAAGTGACTATTTTGAAGGGAAATACTTATTTGGATTTGCAGTTTCTAGTGTGTTTAATAAATACCACTTTCATTACCAAAATAATTCACTTCACAAATGCGTTTTTTTTTTTTTCTGGATAAAAAGAAAATGTAACGGAACGGAGCATTCATCCAACATTATTACTACGGATTCTCCACTTCATTGTTATTCTCCGTGTTTGGAGAGGAACTGGTCAACTGGGTCATTTTCTGAGCTTGATGGGCCATCATCACCCCTGCTTATGTTTGAATTGCTCACAGCACTTTGACCTTTACAGAGAAAAGCTCCACCTGGATGCAAAGCATTGTTATTGTGTAGTGGAGCCCTTGTACAATTGTGGGGAGGATCCAACTAACACCTGTGTTACAGTCTGGCTGCCGTTAGAACTCTAGAGAATGTTTCTCAGAATCATGGTTTCACTGATGGAGAATCTGAATCCAGACAATGATGACCATTTTTGCACCAGAGATCTTCTGAATTTTTATATCTCAGCCTGGTCTGGTGTTGGTGGCTAGAAAATAGCATCCTGGGCTGATGTATTGGTCCTTGGTACAATTCATGGCTATCCACATTATATTAGATTTCATAGATACTGTTGGAAATATCTAGCACATGTGCTTTATCCCACAATAATTACATAGAAAATTAAAAAGAATTAATTCTAATGTAACCATCTTTTTACTTGACTTTTTTTTTTTTTTTGCTCTGCTCACAGGTCTAATTGTTGTTATTCTCACTTTATTTTTCTATAAGGTAGGAATAATATCCACTTCATTAGCTCATCATGAGGGATAAGTAGGATTGGAAAAGATACTTTCAAAGGGCACCTAACTGTGAAGAAGATGCCTTCATTTGCATTTCTTTCTTGGCACATTTCTTGTTATCCAGTCATTCATTAGGACTCCATGTTTATTGAACACCTACTCTGTGCCAGGCACTTTTCTCTGTTCTGGAAATATCACCATGTAAAAACAAATAGCTGAAGAATGCCCTGCCCTCATAGAGCTTACAGACATAGAAGACGAGACAGTAAACAAAATAAATGAGTAAATTATGAAGTGTATTAGAAGGTGTTAAGGGCTATGGGGGAAAAGAATAAAGCAGGAAAGTAGGTGAGGACTGGGCTGCGGGCAAGGTGATGTTTCTGTTTTAAATCAGGTGACATAGGTAGTCCTCCCTAAGAGGGTGCTACTTTAACAAAGTCTTGAGGGAGCTGAGGAAAACCATGGCAACATATATCAAATCACATTCCATGGGATGTTAGTCCTGAGAAATGCTGAGTTAAAAGTGGTTTCACTGTTCAATCGCTTTGGAAATAATAAGTTTTGGAAACTTAGAATGATTGTAGGCACATTAAATAATTTGAAAAAGCCTGCTGGAAAGGAACCTGTTTAACTCAAAACATAATGAGCAGTATTTCCCTCCCTCCCTTCCACCCTCCTTTTCTTCCTGTTTTCCTTCCTAATCTGATAGAGCAGCTAGACCGTTTCTCTGTAGCAACCTTCAAATGTGGATACACTCCTACTTGCCCATCATCAGTGGAGCTTCTGAGGGGCTCCAGGAAAAGAGCATCGATTCTGGAATCCCGGATCTCAGTATGAGACTGGAATGTGCCACTTTGTCCCTGAGCAAGCTAAGCTTTCTTTTTGGCTTTATCATCTATAAATTGGGCATAATAATAATGCCAGCTATGCAGGCTTGTTGTAAAGAGTAAATAAAATCAGGTGTTAAAGCACTTTCTAAATGGTAAAATACCATAAATATGAGTGTTTTATGATGTACTTTTTCACTTGCTTTTTGGTACTCAGAGAGTCAATTCACTGTGATGACTCTGTCTAGGGTTCATTTATAAAGAGCTTGCTGATGGAGGGTTGAAGGAGAAGGGATAAGCTTTATGGGTCTGTGAAAGTGTAAAGAACTTTCATGTTCTGGACAAGAATCCAACACTTCAGCCTTATTTGCATCAGGCTCCAGTCCATGAAATTAACTGGCCACAGGCCCATTTCCCTACATTTGCCAGTGACTCTCAAACTTTGAAGCACACTAGAATCACTTGGGGATTGTAAAGCAATACTATTGCCTGGTTCCCACCCTCAGATGTTTGACTAATTGCTATGGGGTGTGACTGGGGCATTAGGATTTTAAAAAGCTTTCCAAGTGATTCCAATGTGTGGCAAAGTTTAGGAACCATGGTCATAAACTAATCCCTGAGATCATCTTTTTTTTTTTTTTTTTAAGCAGCCTGGCCAAAAGAAATACTTACAAATTGATCATGGTTGCAAATCGATGAACTTGATTCTTTTCTTATGGGAAGGTAAGCAGTTAGGAAGAAAGAAAGGAAGAGAGGGAGGAGAATTGCTTTTATCAGCTGCCTACTTTGACAAGGGATTATGCCATCACATGCATTATCTCATTTAACTTTCCCAATAACCCCGATACTTAAATATTATAAAATTTCCATTTTGAAAGTGAAATACACAATCAATGAGAGCTTAGGAAAATTCCTCAGGAATTTGAAAACAGGACATTCGGTTGTGCAGCCCTCCTTTACATTTACAGTGGCTTCTCCTGCTGTCATTTTCTTTTTCTTAGCTTTCTGGCAAAGCCTGGTATTGAGCATTTACATATCAGTGTCAAATGAAGTCAGTGTTATTTTCTTGCCCGGAAAGTCAGCCTTTGAGTTTTAAGTCTGATTGGGAAATGACAGACTTTATTCCCTACAAGAACTGTACACATAAGAGTAAACAGTAAATTTAGGAGTTTTATAATAGAGAGGTGCCTTTTTTTTAATTTTTAGAGGGGGTGGAGTGCAGTGGTGAGATCACAGCTCACTGCAGCCTCATCCTCATGGGTTGAAGGAGAAGGGATAAGCTTCATGGGTCTGTGAAAGTGTAAAGAACTGTCATGTTCTGGATAGGAATCCAAAACTTCAGCCCTATTCGCAATCCTGATCCTCCCACCTCAGCCTCCTGAGTAGCTGGGACTACAGGTGCACATCACGACACCCAGCTAATTTTTAAAATTTTTGTAGAGATGGGGTTTTGCCATGTTGCCCAGGCTGGAGAGGTGCCTTCTAAGCAAAGCATCTGTATGTAGCCTACAGCCTAGCAGTAAGGCTAGCCCAGCTTTTTTCCATTTTCCAATTCATCTTAAGCATTTTCAGAGAATTGGAACAGATGCAGGCAAATGTTCTCCTTGATCATTGTTTATTCATTTAGTATTTATGGAGCATCTACTGTGTGCTAGGCACTAGGAATAAAAAAATAACTAAAACATCTTTTACACAAAAGGCAGCAAAGACAGTCATATTAATAATAATTAAAGCATAAATACAATGATATCAGTTTGTGGATGGAAGTAGAGACAAAGGAGAGATTAACCTCAGTGGGCTGTCATGGGGAGGACAGTGGGAGGAGTCATCCTGGAGGAAGTTAATCAAGGAAATGGCTTTTTAAACATGTGATTGGGTTCAGTCAATCCACCCCTTTGGCGACTCGTAAACACCAGTGCTCTAAGGATCGTTACCTGAGGATTGTTGGAGGATGATAGGGCAGTTACTAAGAGGAAATCCAGGTTCTGGGAAGTTGAATGACTTGCCCAGGGTCGCAAAAGCAGTAAGAGGCAGAAATGAGACTCACACTCAACTGTTCTAAGTTTAGTGTTCTTTCCATGACGCTGAGTTTCCTCTGCTGGTTCAGCAACTGGCAGGTCCACATAGCTGAGAACGTAGTTGGTAGCTTGTGGCATCAGGTGACATCTTGATTATTTTTTCCAGTTGAACCTGGTTGCCAAGGAAAACTCTTTCTCCCTTCTAAAACCAGGCAGTGAATGCGCTATCTCAAATGGAAAATTGAGTCTTGAAATGCAAGAACTCCAGAAAACCCACAATGTAAAATAAAATTCTGAGGTGGATAGGTTTTTTCAGAAATGTATGGTACAAATACAGTTGTATAAATATTTAAAGTCACCAACACTATTTTTCCTTGGGTGTTATATAATTTCATGTTTTAAAAGTAAGAACTTATTCAAATAAATGCAGCTTTATTTAAGACTCTCCTAAGTCATTTACATTTATAATTTTTCACACTTTTATTACCAGCTTAAGCCATCACTAATTTACTGATGATTCCCAAATAAATTTCTTCAGCCATAAATGTCTTCTTTAAAAAAATGTGTTTTAAAATGTGGACACAGAGTCTTGCAATGTTGCCCAGGCTGGCATGCACTGGCTATTTACAGGTGTGATCAAGGTGCACTGTAGCTTCAAACTCCTGGGCCCCAACCTTCCTCCCAAGTAGCTGGGACTACAGGCATGTGCCACCATGCTTCATAAATCTCTTCTAAATCTTTCCCAAGACCTGTGGAATCTGGATGTTCCAGAGGCCTTTAAATCTAACATTTTAAACCAAATTCATTATTTTCTTACCAAAACCTTTATTTGTACCTGTTTAATATCCTACCATTTTAATTCAGTTGCCCAAGCCAGACATTTAAGTCTGTTGATTTCAGTTTCCTGCCAAATATCCCTCCAGTTCCTCCTCCCTCCCCACTGCCAAGGTCCGGCCTCAGTCCCCCATTCTTTGCCACCTCAACAAGTGCAGTGGACTCCTAACTGCGCTTTCTGAAACAATGCATATTTTTCTACACTAATCCACCTTGCTTAGCACACAGAGACTTGCCCAACTGGCTTAAACAAAAGCAGAAACCTCATTTTAAATCAATATTCAAATCTTTCTAAAAGGCTGGTTCATTTTCCCATGTCAGTTAAGTAAAATACCTTGAAAATAAATGTCTTTGATGACTGAGGCTTTTATTGTGTCTCAAGGCCATCATTCTGAATACTGGTGATTATTATACACTATCTGTGTTGTGGCCATCATGACATTTGGCTTAAATGAATGTGTTATTCTTTATAAGTTCAGTTTTTAAATAAATGATTCTTACATCAGTGGTTCTTAACCTTTCTGGAGTCATGCACCCTTCTGAGAATGTGACAAAAGTTATGGATCTTTTCTTGAGAACAATACACACACATACACACACACACTCACAGACACACACTTTGCCTACAACTTCAAGAGTTTCTTAATTCATCCATGGATCCCTAGAGCTATAATGAAACCTGGTTAAGGAATTTGCCTTATATAAAACTGTTTTCATGTCAGAGGCTTGATATACATTTCTATTTTAAATAAATGTTTGAATGAATTTGGTCTTTGGTGAGATGTGATTGGCTGCCTACTTTCCCAGAGTTTGTACCATGTCTTTTGAGAATGGTCTGTGGAGAGGGCAGTTTATTTGTATAGCCAACTCAATTCTGCTCTTCACTAGCTACAGGACCTTGTGAAATCCTATAACTAGCAAGATGTGCAGAAATCAGCTCAGATTCTCAGCCAGGGGACCTGACATCTTGTCTCCACATGCTCTGCTAACTTGGTAAACTTTTTAGAAATACAACTCAGATGTAAGATAAGGCACATCTGACATGATAATATTTTGTTGTATTGGTAGAGTCTGTCTCATTTCCACTACTTCATTTTATCCCAACAAAAACCTGATGAGAAAGTCAATGAGTTGTAATTATTCAACACATGAGGACAAATAAGGAAAAGAACACAGGCTTACTCAGTTAAACAGGAAACATGCAAAAAGTCTCATTCTGATTCTATACCCCAAGTCTCTGTAGACCTCTGTTCTTCATGATTTAATTCAAGCTACACGTGAGTTGAAGACATCAAGGCAAAATAGGTTGGATCCATTCATATCAAATTAGGTCTATACGATTTGATAGTGTTAGAAAGAAAGTTTTAGGCACACATGAATAATGACTAATAACATTTTGGCTGATATGGTAGGCTACTGGTAAACATGGTTGTTGATAATTTCATCTTGGGGTCTGGGTGCAGTGGCTCATGCCTGTAATCCCAGCAACTCTGGAGGTGAAGACAGGAGGATTGCCTGAGGCCAGGAGTTTGAGACCAGCCTGGACAACATAGCGAGGCCTCATCTCTACAAAAAAGTTTAAAAAAATAGCTGGGCATGGTGGCACGTACCTGTAGTCCTAGCTGCTCCAGAGTCTGAGGCAGGAGGATTGCTTGAGCCCAGGAGTTTGAGGTTACAGTGAGCTATGGTCAGGCCACTGCACTCCAGCCTGGAATACAGAGCCAGATCCTGTCTCAGATAATAATATTTTATTATTAATAAAAAATATAATAATAAATAATTTTATCTCATTAAAAAAGGGCAGTTTTGTAAAGTGTAGGGTTTTTATATGTGTGTGTGTGTTTTTTTTTTTGAGACAGGGGTCTCACTCTGTCACCTCAGCTGGAGTGCAGTGGTGCGATCACCGCTTACTGTAGCCTTGACTTCGGGGCTCAAGCAATCCTCTTGCCTCAGCCTTCTGAGTAGCTGGGACAACAGGCACATGCCACCATGCCCTGCTGATTTTTTCTATTTCTTGCAGAGAAGGGGTCTCATTACATTGCCTAGGCTGGTCTCAAAATCCTGGGTTGAAGCGATCCTCCCGCCTTGGCCTCCTGAAGTGCTGGGATTACAGGTGTGAGCCACCGGAAACCGTAGGTTTGAACATATTTTTGCATGGATTTTTTTTTTCCTGAGCTGCCTTTAACTCTACACAGGAATTAGAGACATAAACTTGTCTAACTTTACCTGAGC
Organism: Homo sapiens; assembly: GCF_000001405.40. Lineage (NCBI taxonomy): Eukaryota > Metazoa > Chordata > Mammalia > Primates > Hominidae > Homo > Homo sapiens. The sequence goes on along the minus strand of NC_000001.11, from coordinate 217,093,403 downwards.
TCTCCAGCATTTTTTTCGCATCCTTCAAAAAAACAAGTCTCACTCCAGGCTGAGTGTTCTTGCTTTTTCTCCTCTCTCACATCCTGTGTCATACTTGTAAGCTTGGAGCTGGAGGGACCTTGGAGACTGGTTCAACCCTTCCTTGTGCAATTAGGGAACTGAGGCCCAGAATGGTTAAATAATTTGCCAGAGGTCACACAGCGAGCACTAGCAGCAGCTCCAAGATGAGATCACATATCTCCTGCCTACGGGTTCTTATTTGTTTTCCTTTCCTTTTAAATGGAAATTTTAATATCTTGACATCAAAAATTCAAAATATAGCAGAGAAAGACTCATAAGAGCTATAAAGTCATAATAATTAAGTTTACAGTAGCTTTTCAAGTACTACAATTATATACCTGCTCACCCACCTCACTCCCCATATGAAGTTCTACCTTATCATAGAATGCTTCCCTAAATTGTTTTCTAGGGACTGTCTAAAATATGGAGAAATTAGCTTGTCATTTCTTCAGCTGAAAGGATAACACTTTTGCTACATAAAACTTTTAATTTCTGTCAAATTGAAAAGTGGCATTCTAGGTCTCCATAAGGCAATTTTATGTCAATTAATGCATCAGAAGGTATTTAATGAGAGCCAGTGTTGTACTTAGCACTATGTTAGGTAAACCCGAAGAGAAAGCGGAAAAATGCATATTTGTTCAGAAAGGAATTGGGAAGTGAAGAGGGAGTTGAAAGCTTCGACACTGGGATCGCAGTGTGAGTCAACAGAGTGTATGAGATGAACAGTGGGTGACCAGCCTGACTGAACCATGGCTCAGTGATGCCAGTAGTTGGAAATAAGTTTGAATAGGTAGGTAGGTAGGTAAGCAGAGAGCTTGATGGCGAACACTCAGGACACTTTAATTTGAACCCCATCTGTGTAATTTTGAGCAAATTACTCAACTTCTCTGTGCCTCAGTTTCCTTGGCACAGAAATGGGGATAATAATACTTCCATTCCCATATTGTTGAGGAGGTTTAATTAGATTTACAAGGTCTAAGCATGAGTAAAGTTTAGGGCATTGCCTTCTATATCTTCCGTCTACCTTAGTAAGCATTTTTATGCCCTTTGGTTTGGTTGGGAAGTGAAACTGAACATGCTCCAACAATATTAACTATTATATTTTGGATGAAGCCGGAAAATAAAGACTTGAAAGTAGTCTGCAGAGTTTGAACTTGAATAAGCAACAGAGAGCGGTTCCTAGGCAGAGTTGGATTTAGAGAATCTAGGCTTAGAAAGGATCTATTCAAACTCCAGAGTTCTTGGGTACGCTGCCTCTACTCTTTGCTAGTTGCTCAAACATCTCACTCCTGGGGTAAGAAACCACTCAGCTGCCTGAACTGGCATGTGGAGTGGTGACAAACAGCATGGAAGACATTTGTCTGAAAAGAACAAAACAAAATTGGATTTCAGAGGATTAAAGTTAGTCAAATTGTTATGGTTCTTTCGCTTTGTGGTGAGTCTTTAAAGGTCCAATTCCAAGGTTAATAAGTAAAAAAGCTGGAGAACCAGGATGGTAGATTGAATATTAACGAGTACCTCTTGGATAGTTACTGGAAAGTTACCAATAACGCCTATAGTAATCCCTCCTTGAGTTCTCAATAGGCCTTTGCCCTCTTTGGAAACATCTATGCCTCTGGTAACATCTAAGCACCCGACAAGACTGCACCAATTCATCCTTCTGGCATGCCAAAGGGACAGATAAGCAAAGTGAGCCAGAGAAGCTATGTCCAATTTTCAAGGTGGAGAGACATAGGCCAAGTTTTGGGATCTGGCCATCAGTCAATAGTCCTCAGACCCTCTTAGTCTAGTTTCTCCAATTCAGATCATCTGGTCTCTGCATAATTACAATATCTTCCCTGTGGAATTTGCGAATGATTCTTGGACTGTGACTCTAAAGGGAAAAGATCTAGTAAGTTACTTGCTGTTTTCATTAAACTTATCCGACCTCTCAAATAGGTAAACTATTTTTAAACCTTCGAGCAGCTGCAGATTATTATGGATGAATTCAAAAGTTTTTCTCTCAATCGGCTGTGCTTTTCAGATTCAAAACTCTCCTTGTGCTTAATTTTTTGCAACCTCGGCCTCTGCTGTCATCTTTTAGGAATTTGGAATTAGTAGGAACAGTGACTCCACCAATACATGATGGTGACAAAGGCCAACTACAGGCTCGGTGAAAATAAAAATTCCTAAACAAATGTTGTTACTCCAAATGGATAATTATTGATAAAGCAGAGCAAAGCATTTGCCAAACCTGGTGCTAGATACTTATTTATCAGGAATATGCCACATGTTGGGTAATATACACAACATTATGATTAAGAGAAGCTACATAAAAGGTACCAGACAATGTACAAATAACACAAATATTAGAAAAAGAAGTAATCTGTGCTTTACCTGCCATGTGGCCACACCGGCTAAAAATGCATTCTCATATTTGCAGAAGTAAACGTTAAGGATTGTTCTTGAGACCACTCCTACTGATTCTGAGCATAATTATAAAAATAACAGATACAGTGCATAATTAGCAATAACATCTTTGTATTAAAAAAAAGTTTTCCTGCTGTTGTAGAATGAGTTAAATAAAATCTAGTTATCCTTCTTGCCCTTCCAGACTCCCCTGGTGGGCCAGATGCCCGGAGCCCCCCAAATTTTATGATGTGTCAGTCGAGTTTCTCAACTAGGGGTTTGGGCTTCTCTCTGGGTCCCTTTCTCTCTATTTGTCTCTCGCTCTTTCTTCCCTGACCCCTCCCCATTTTTAAAAGGCTTTAAAGAACATCTCTGGGAGACAAAAATAGCTCCAGTTGTGAGAGGCCTACACACCGGGAATGCAACTGAGAGATGCAAGTCAGCAAGTGCGAGCCGCGAACATGAGTGTCTGGCCCTGGGTGGATGCTCCTCGCTGTCTTGGTGCCGATTCTCTGCCTGGGCCCGGTGGGTAGAAGGGAAAATGGTTTTTCAGGGTTGGGAGGTGGGTTGGGTAGGTTTGGGATCCCTAGCCGTAGGAATGGAAACCCCAGCATTCGGGCTGAGGGGGCTCTTCCTTCCCCTCCCCCCACGTTTTTCAAATTTATTTTGCCCAGGCGGGGATTGGTGACGGTCAAAAGGGAGCAGTTGGCACTGAATGTCACCCTGAAGGTAAAATGAAAGACAAAAGATGAACGCATGCTTGCTTTCCGTTTGCAGCGGCTGCGGCGGCGGCAGGAGCAGCAGGATTTAAAGGGGAAAAAAATCACACGCATATGCACACATATATACACACCCAGAGGCGTCAATTATGCAAACGCAATAATGCAATCAAATCATGACAGTGCCGGGAATTTTTTTTAGAAAAATATAGATATTTATTTTTAAAAAGAGAAACGCATGCAAACAGAATCGTGCACATACCACGTAACCACCCGAGGAGAACCTGGCAGCCTCTCTCTTCTTCTGCCAAGTTATCATTGAGAAAACAGACAGGCATCATGACGTCCTGGGTCACAGGGAGTGCGGACCGACGCTACCAAGAGAAAAGGGAGGCGCCTTGGCGCTCCGGCTAGCCGTGGGCGCCCCTCTGCCCCTCGCAGCCCGGCTCGGTGAGTGCACAGCCGCTCGGGACGCGGACCCCGGGTGCCAGGCCGGCCCCGCGCCCGCGGGGGCAGAGCGGGGGGCCGTGCCCTTGCCACCGGAGGGCCGGCCAGCACCCCCTCGCCTGCCGAGGTCGCGGGAGCCCAGTTAAAGGAGGCGTGTGTAAGATGTGCAATGTTCCTGCATGGGGGTTTTGTAGACTTTCATAGCCAAAGAAACCGGCTTCGGCTTCTTTAAAATCCCCGACGACTCACCTGATTAACCTGCTGCAGTTCTGACCCTGCCAAGGTAACTGGTCCAAATCCTTATCATCAACATCTGGAGACAGACATTTGCATCTGGGGCATTCTTTATTTGCAGTCCTGGTTGAAATCTAGATTGCTACCCCCTTCCCCCTTCACTTGCTTATAGTCTCTTGGAAAAAAAAAAAAAAAGCAACCCCTCCCTGAATAACACAACCATAAGTACTGCCCACCTCTTGTAGACTTGCCTTACCATGACTGCAAAACTGTGAGCGTGTGTGCTGGAGACACAGATGAATTCTAATTGCAATTAGATTTGTTCTTTAAACACCCCTCCCATCCCCCTTCCTGGATAGAGACTTCAGTGCTTGGTAAAGTGGCAAAGAGTGAGGGCAGAGTTAGGGCGCTGGGAGGGGAGGGGTTAGGGTGAGGGGATATGGAGCAGGGGTCGTTGGGGGAGAGGGTGGTGCCAGGAGTTGAGGACTGCTGTCATGGGCTGGAAAATCCTTCTGGTGATTGCTGCTGCTGTAGTCCTAGGTGTCTCCCTCCTGTCCTCTACGCTGCTTTCCCTCCCTTCTCTCTCCCCAACCCTTTCACCTTCCCGAGGGAGTCGCTGAAGTTGCACGGAGGTCACCCGATCATCATTTAACTATTTTAAACCATCTACCTCCTTCTACCCCTCAAGTCTGTTAGAGCCTCTGCAGGATAGACCCCTGCACCCCTTGTTTGGTGATGGGAGAGTCTCAGAGACAGAAAGACACAGAGGGCAAAGCTCCCCTCCTCCCTTTCTTTTCCCTTCCGGCAACCTTTTCCAAGCTGCACCCTCTCCCCCTTTCAGAATCTTAATGAGCAATTCTGGAAGAGTCCGGAAGGGCCTGTAGAAACCCCCGCCTGCCTCAGTGCTGTGGAATGATTATGTATGTGTTTATTTATTGTGCTTGTCTCGGTTATGTTGTGAATTGCCACATGGGTCTGCTTATGTTAGGGAAGCACGTTTGCTATGTTTGTGTTGTAGTACCAGAACCAGTGGCCATGCAATAAGACACAGACACACACAGAAAGCAAATGATTTCACTAACATAAACCAGAGGGCAATGTTGAAAATAGCACTCTCTCTCTCTCTCTCAAAAAAAAAAAAAAAAAAAAAAAAAAAAGACAGGAAAAAAAGAAATTCTCAGCATGTGGGTTAAGAGAAGCTGTTAGGTCCATATGACCTCCTACTACTTTCAAAACACTCCTGCCTAATACTTTAAGTCAAGATCAAGAGACCTGCGGATGTTGTGAAGTATGTTTCAGAGCAGCTGAATGACTTGGTCTAGTTTTGAAGAGAAACTCTCATTTGTTTCTCACACTGCCCAAAGACCAAATAGGGGAGTGTGTTTGGAAAATGCCCAAATTCAGAAGCAGCAGGCGAGAGAAAAAGAGTCGGAAATGTCTTAGAGAAAAAGACAGAAAAATGGGATTGAGGAGTGGTTTCAGGGTTCTCTCTCTTTTTTTTTTTTCCTGTCCAGCAGATTTGATGTTGTCAAAATGAGTTAACCAACCTGAGAAACAGTTCTGTCATTGTGGGAAATAGAGGGAAATTTGAACATTTCTCAAATCCCGAGCTGAGGAATGCCTGACAGGAAGAAGAGACATGAAAACACTGATGGAGACGAAGTGACATTGATGAGGTTTCATCTCCTTCAAATAGAAAAAGAATCAAGTATATAAGGAAGCAGGCCTGGATGATCATTTAAGCGTACATTTGTCTGTTACGCATGGCTTTGTTATTCTTACTAAAGCAATTCTCATAACTCTTTAAACTCGCATTAAGTAGAATTAAACGTGTGTATATCGAGAATGGTATCACATAGCACATAAAACTGTCCATTGACTGGGGTGATGAATGGAGATAGAAGATTGTTCCCTTTCTTTAATAAATCAAAATAGCATCAAAGTCCTCGTGCATGGTATATACTGAAACCTGCTGGTCTTCTTTACCGGGAATTGCCTGGGGAGCCAGGGGAGTTTGTGATGGGTGTTGCTTTAACAAAATAGAGCAGATCAATCGATTAGGTTTCCGTGTGTGCTGCTCAATTTATTCTGTACAATTTTTCCAGAAATTAAAAGGTTACCAAGAGAGTACCATGTTCCCATCTCTGACTGAGCACCACTTATTACCGCAACAGTATTTCAATATTAAGTGATCTTCAAGATATTTCAGCTTTCATTTTGAGTTCTGAATGTGAATCAGCATGAGAATGGCAGTGCAGCAAGATAAGGTATAACTAACCCGGCAGACAGCTGAAGGGCTCCTAGGAAAGTGTTGCTGAGAGGAATATCTGGGGCTGTTCTCAGTAACCTTGTTTACAGGGACATTTCAGTTGCAGCTAGAATTTTAGCGAAAGCCCGCCAGAGGTAATGGGCTTATGTTTGAAATGGATCCTAAGTGTCTCTTTTTTCTTCTGCACAGACATGCTATGCACCTTACCTGAATACTCAAGAGAAAACTTTTCTGATGCCCTATGACATTTTCTAATGCAGACAAATCCTTGGATGAGTGTGTCATTGGAAAGGGGGTTATTTATGAAGTTCTCCTTTTGTTTACAGATGTGTCAATACAAGTAGCTTTAGTCTTTTAAAAAAAAAATGTCTTGTGTGTTTGACTCTGTTAGATGCAAAACAAATCATATCCAAGGAGGTTAAAGTATGCCTTACAGATTGATCTATGAAATTGGTTTCAATTAGACACCGAAGGTGTCATTATCCTAGTAAAGGGGATTTGTGATATAATATAGAAATTCTGTATTTGTTTCAAAATTGTTGGAAAAATGTGGGAATAGAAAGATTTTGAGGGAAATGCCAAAAGCCACATTAATGAAGAAAAACACTGTTGAGATACTTTTGAATAATAGATAGGTTATGTAATGGTCAACCACAAGATAAAATTTTTACACGGTATTTTTATGGCTTTAAATTGGCTGCATTGTAAACTAAGCTTACTACTCTATTAAGTCATTATACTTTTCAATTATTTAACATTTCTGGCCAAGCTATCTTCTGTGGTCTTTTTCTGTACACATCAGAAATGATGCGTACAGTAGTAGTTGTTTGTTGTTAGTGCGAGGACTTTGTGATGGAGCAAGCTTTAATTTAAACTTTTCAAGACAATATTATGAAGAATGCACAGAGGAAAAAGCATGTTATGGATATAATTTGAGCCCTATGAAATGGGGATAGCTACAGCATTGAAATGTACCTAATACAATTTGAGTTATTCTCACTAAGAAACCTTGATGGTATCTGCCTTCTAGGTACTGTGCTTTTGGAAATACTATATATCCATTTAAATGCAGATCTTCTCTTTTCTCCAGGGAGCAGTTGGTGAATCTTTCAATTGAACCACGGGTATGATAAAACCAACTGAAAATTTTTCCATGAACAATAGAGTCTGTCGTTTTGAAGTAATGATTATCAAGTTTCATAATATTGTGATTTTTAAAAATTCATTTAAAATATCTTCATAAAGTCAAAATAATGTACCGGGACTTCTTGTGCAAAGGAAGAAGTTTTCTCTTGTCACTTTGTTGTCAGTTTGTTAAAGCTGTGAAATCATACGGCTTTGCAATTCAGTTTTTAGGTTGGCACTGCCATCCCAGTAGAGTAAGTAGGCTTTAGGAATCAGAGCAAAGAATTATAAGTAAGTTCTATGTGTTCTCACCCTCTCATGCTAGTGGATGAGCGTGTGGTGCTGTAGGAGAGTTTAAAGATCTTTCTCGGCTGGGCACAGTGGCTCACTCATGCCTGTAATCCCAGCACTTTGGGAGGCTGAGGTGGGTGGATCACGAGGTCAGGAGATTGAGACCATCCTGGCCAACATGATGAAACCCTGTCTCTACCAAAAATACAAAAATTAGCTGGGTGTGGTGGTGCGCACCTGTAATCCCAGCTACTCAGGAGGCTGAGGCAGGAGAATGGCTTGCACCCGGGAGGTAGAGATAGCAGTCAGCCGAGATGGCGCCACTGCACTTCAGCCTGGGGACAGAGTGAGACTTCGTCTAAAAAAAAAAAAAAAAAAAAAAAAAAAAATGAAAAGAAAAGAAAAAGAAAGAAAAAAAAAATCTTTCTCCAGAACAATCTTTAGATAATTTTGAACCTAATCTATAATACGACGTTTGTATTGGAATTAGTGGTGGTGCCAAAAGGGAGAGCCAGAGCCCCACGGGGCCTTCTTTTAAGAGATGATTGCAGAAAGTAACACAGCTTTTTGAAATAGAAGGTCAATACACACAGCCTTATGGTTCAGAGAACTAGAAAAATTATTGCAAACCTTGAAGCAAAAATTCTTGGTAGTATGTTCCTGATAAAAATTTCTGTGAAATTATTGCAACTCTTTATGTCTCTCACACAGAGAAGGAAGTTTTCTTTTTCTTGGAGGTTAGATACCATTCATTTACTCATCCTTGATTCACAACCCATTGTGAAAGGCCACTCTCTCCTTAGCTTGCCCCCTGCACTGTATTGGGGATAAATCTCATCTCCCGTTCCTCTTGGACATGTATACCATATACAGATGTTTATTAGTATATTTATAATATTATGCTTGATAATACCTATAGTTGTGAAGAATAATCATTTATAGTTTTAAATCAGGCCTTTATTTACATTTTTATTATGAAGGATACTTTGTTCATTTAAACAAGGTAATGATCATAGTTATCACACACACAAAAAAGGTTGAGTGTGTTTGGAGTACCTGTGGTAACATGCAAGATACTGGGGAGTCAAAGATATTTTATTTATTTATATGGCTGTTTCTTATGGTGTATCTGCTAAAATAAATAACCTGGACACTTAAAAGGATGTTAACAAATGAATTTGCTCATTTTACTTTCCCTATACAAACAAATTTTTTTTAACTTGGACAATATGCATGCCTGACAGTGATTGTTTACTAGTTTGAAGATTTAAATTCAGGTTGCCAACATTATGTGAAGTATAGCAAAACTTTTGCATTCCTATTCTGATAGATACTAATGGAATAGGATAAACCATATTTCCAGATATCTACGTTATAGAGTGGCTCATTTAAGTTTGGTCTCATTCTAAGATATATTAGATTAATAAGTCTGATTTTATGACCAGTGTAATTTATATTCACAAATACCTATTTTTATTAGCACACTTATAGGTTGTAAGCAAATTTCCATATATGTAAAATACTCACAACAAGAATAACTAACATTTGTATAGTGAGTTACAGTTTATAACCATACATTATCTACAAGCTGTTCTTTAGAAGAATATTTATTGCACTTTCTTCCTTAAGGAGGCAATCAGTTTTTACATTGTAAACATTATTTGAAAATAGATCCTATTGTCAGAGTTCCCTCCCTTCCTTCCTCTTTCTTTCCTGTTTCTCGTTTTTTTTTTTTTTAATCCATTCTTCCATTTTTCTTCTTTCCTCCCTTAATGGGGAAAAAAACCTAATGACTTTTTTTGGTGGAGCATGTATAATTGCTTATCATACATTTCTATGAAAGAAGTAGATGTAGCAAGCAATCCCACGTGATTTTTGGAATATATCTTCTGCTCACCAGTGTTCTTGAGGAAAATGTAAGGTTGCAGAAATCATTTCATGCCCTGTATGTTTTCAAACATAAATCAGGAAAATTGTTAGCAAGTTATAGCTTTTCTTAGAGACTGTAGCTATAGTACTATAGTAAACATGGGCTATATATTTTTCCAAGTTATTATGTGTGGAGAGAAATCTGAAGTTGGCTATTTAGATGAACAGTTTAATTCAGTTATTAGAAATTCATTTTCTATTTAGTATGAACATTTATTTTCCTAAGGTTGCAGAATTGGGATATAATACCTGATGATGCTTTGGCCCAATCACCTTCAAAGTTAGAACTGTGCTCTTTGTAGCTAATGTGCATACTAGCAGATGTCAGTCCTCAGCTAAAGGTCACTCGAAATGGTGCTAAGCTGGGTTTGTAGTATGAGCTAGTTACCCACTTCATCAGAGGGCAGTAGTGAACCTTTGTTTCTTCATTTCTAAAATGAAGGGGTTTGACTCCATGGTCTCCAACTTACTTCACCCCTGCGATTCTGAGTTTAGTGCATGATTGATAATGATCAATCAATTAATCATAAGCCTATTTATTTCCTTTCTATAAACTAACTATTTACTTAAGTATGGCCCTACGCCATGACTAGAAATATTAGTATACCGAGTAGTAAATGAGCTCAGTATCTGTGGTTTCGAATGAAAGCCTCATGAAATTTAGAGTCTGGTTTGCATTAAAATTTTTCCATTGTAAACCAATTAGTAGATATTTAAAACACTTTGTTTTTTTGGTCTTGCAGAAAACAATCTTAAATTCTGATTAGTTTCCTACGCTAGACCATACAAGCCCTTTGTTGCTTATTGGAGTGAAATAGTGTATTATCAGTGATGAACAAAATGTAAAGAACAGTTCTATTATGATACAAGTGATAAGCATAATACAAAGGCAGTAAAACAGAATGAGAGTTTATCATTTATCTAGACTTGCGATGGTTGGTGTTTAAAAGAAAGCACATATAACAGGAAGTTTAAAAGAGACAGAAATGATTGCAGAGTATCTGAAAGGGATTCTTAGAAACTTTCGGGACTCTTTGAGGCTGGTTGCAAAGTATATGGCTTTTCTTTCCCTGATATACTGAAATATTAGCAGTACTTCTAAGTTTATCACTTGTGATAAGATATGGCTTTTAACACCTAAATTCATTGAACAGGGGGAGTGAGGAAAAATGGAGATAGAAAAAAAGCTATTCTCTGAAGTAGTTGGCCAAGTTGTGAGAGAAGGAAAAACGGAAGCAGTTGGATGAAGAAGAGGGTGAGGTGTGTGTGTGTGGGGTGGGGGTGAGGGATGGGGATAAGGGTGGGGAATAGCCTTGTCTGTACTTAACTGAGCTGTGAGATGTGAAGCCAAAAGGAAAAAGAGGCAAACTAGTGTGTGCACGTATCCCCTGAAGGGAAAGGACAGTGTGTTATGAGAAAAGGCTTTGGAATTAGAGCTCTCATTTCAAAATCTCTACTGGATCACTTATTGCCGTATGATTTTGAGAAATTATTTAATTTTAACTCTTTGAACCTTTATAATTATAAAAATGTGAATAATAAAAGCATCTGCTTCTCAAGATGGATATGAGAGTTGAGTCAGACTCTTGGCTATAAAAGTGCTTATAAATGGTAAAGTTACTTGGTTTCAGGTGGTGAAGAAGAGTCACTGGGTCCACCAGTTCTCTGTGCTGAACAGATCTGGCCATTCTGAGGTGAATTTGCTCAGCTCCAGAGTGGTCTTCGGTTGGTACATTTCTTGTCTACTGTAGAACAAGCATTGTGGTTGGTACTTTACATATTACTTCAGGGAGGAAGCAGGAAGTAGTTGCTGGGCACCTGCTAGTTTCTCCCTGAAGTAGTTGCAGGGCAGCTGGGCAGCTGGACATAGAAGATGGTAGTGAGACTGACAATTCTCACGTATGCAGTGCCAGTGCTTGAGCATATTTACTTTCCCTTACAGATGGCCACAGCTTGTCTAAACAAACAAGTGACTGACTTTGGAAACAAAAAAAATGTATTCAGTAATTGTGTTCTTTATCTCAAATATCGCCTGTCATTGGCACTTTTGCCATGACGTTGCTATTAATCAAAATTTCCTGGATTTTTGTTAAGGCTGGAGGAATCAATGTTTGGTAGTAAATACTTAGAAATAGTATTATAAATTCTATTTTAAAATATGCCCAGGGTACAAGATTAGAACTAATGCACATAGTAAGTGCTGGGTGCTGTGGCTTACACCTGTAATCCCAGCTACTTGGGAGGGTAAGGCTTGATGATTATTTGAGGCCTGGAGGTGGGATCTGCCTGGGCAACATAGCAAGGCTCCATCTCTAAAAAATGCCAACCAACCAAACAAAAAGAACTAATGAATGTAATACATTCGTTGAAATCCAAGTTCTAGATACCATACATATGTCTTTTAGGAATATTTTTGGCCTGGCACGGCGGCTCACACCTGTGATCCCAGCACTTTGGGAGGCTGAGGTGGGCAAATCACCTGAGGTCGGGAGTTCGAGACCAGCCTGACCAACGTGGAGAAACCCCATCTCTACTAAAAATACAAAATCAGCTGGGCGTGGTGGCTCATGCCTGTAATCCCAGCTACTCGGGAGGCTGAGGCAGGAGAATCACTTGAACCCAGGAGTCGGAGGTTGCGGTGAGCCGAGATTGTGCCATTGCACTCCAGCCTGGGCAACAAGAGCAAAACTCTGTCTCAAAAAAAAAAAAAAAAAAAAAAAGAATATTTTTATCTATAATTCACTGATAAATATCTAATCAACCCTTCCATCAGAAATGGGTTACATTTTAATGCATAAAATGAAGCAGTAGATCAATAATTATTTAAGAAATTTGAGCTGTTGTACAGATTATATATGTATAAAAAGCAAACTCTACCCAAGATTGCTGGATACTGTGCTCTGATTTATAAGATAATGATCAACAAAACTCTACACTTTTGTGAACTGTTAAACCTAGAAACTGGGGTCAGGCGCGGTGGCTCACGCCTGTAATCCCAACACTTTGGCAGGCCGAGGCGGGCGGATCACGAGGTCAGGAGATTGAGACCATCCTGGCTAACACGGTGAAACCCCGTCTCCACTAAAAATACAAAAAATTAACTGGTCATGATGGCGGGCGCCTGTAGTCCCAGCTACTAGGGAGGCTGAGGCAGGAGAATGGTGTGAACCCGGGAGGCGAAGCTTGCAGTGAGCCAAGATGGCGCCACTGCACTCCAGCCTGGGCAACAGAGCGAGACTCTGTCTCAAAAAAAAAAAAAAAAAAAAAAAACCAAAAAAACAAAACAAACAAACAAACAAACAAACAAAAAAACACTAGAAACTGGAGTGGACCCAGAAATCAAGAGATGTCTTCGGGTCAGGCTTGAATTAAAAAGTAAATATTTAATCACTTTTACCAGAATTCATCAGGGCTACAGTGTACGGGATACGTGCTAAACAAATGAAGAAAACAATCTTCAGGGAGTTTGATGATGAGTCAGTGTTAAGAACTTTGACATGTATATAATGAGTTGGAAGTAATGACATAGACAGCATGAGCACTGGAAGGCCACATATAACCTCCAAACCATCATTTATTGAAGGATTCCAGCTTTCTGTGAGGACGATTTTGGGTAGTAAAATTGACCCAACTTGAGTTTTTTTCAATTTAGGAAAATTTATTAAACAGGTAATATCTTTAACATCATGCTAAGCCTGTTTGAGAATATAAAGTAATTTTAACATATAGTACCTCTCTTTAAGGGACGTATGCTACCTGCAGGGAAGTGCATTATATGTATACGTGACACTGTGAAGATAGCAAGTATAATATCTAATAATGCAAAATATGAATGCTATGTGGTCAATTCATATATATTTATATATATCTTAAAGAGAACTTGACAGAATCAGAAAGCTTGGATTGATGTTTAGGCTGCAATTTACCAGCTGTGTGACCCTCACTTTCAAGCCAAAGTTTTCCCATTAGTAAACTGGGTGTAGCTTCATCTATCTCATAGGACTGTTGGAAGGATCAAATGAAACAGAGCATTTAAACAGAGACTGCACAAATTATGGGAGGGAAGGAGGAAATATGTAACACTTGTGGAACTGCACTTGAGGGTAGAGACCATGTCTTAATTGACTTTGTGCCCCCAGTGTCTGGCACTGTGCCTGGCTCTGAGAGGAGGCTCAGTAAATGTTTGTAAATGCATGCGTGCCAGGCGCTGTGGTAAGCCCTTGACATGTGTTATTCTTTAAAACTTCACAAAAAATTGTGTATGGTAGTTATAGTGTCTCCATTTCACAGATGAGGAAACAGAAGTTCGGAGATTTTTAAGCAAACTCCAACCTCATGTAGGTAGAAAGTGGTAGAGATAGGAAGTTAGATCTACTTGGCACCAGAGCCCAGAGTCTATTCATTACATTATGTGGACTCTCAGATGTAAGGGAATTATCATTATTCCTAAACAATAGTGTGGCCAAAATGAAAAGCAAACACCTTGGATAATTCACCAATTGCCCAGGCAGCTCCTGGGCTGGCTTTCAGATAAGTAAGGGAACATTCTCCCGTGCTACCTGACACATTTAACATGGTCTTTTGTTAAACTGTCAGTTCTGATTTCTGGCCTTTGAAATAAAAAGCACAATAGTGAAAAATACCATATAATATACCATAACCTGGACTTGTCATAGAGACAGAAGAGAAAGGAAGGACAGTGAGGAACTCACAGTTAATGAAGTGGTTAACCAATGACTTGAATTAAATTTGTTACTGCCACTAGCAGCCGCCCTTACCTTCTGTCTCTGTCTCTCTCTTTTTCTCTGTCTCTTACTCTGTCTTAACTTTCACTACTACAGTTGGTAAGGTCTAGAATTTTCACTCTCTTCTATGTTAAGGATGATAATAAAGAAGGTGATTCCACTGCTAAACAGTGGAATATTTCATGTTCTTCATTGCTTGTCTGTTCCTAACATCTCTATAGCTCATTACAACAGTTGGTTCTGTTGGAGTGAAGTTTTGCAGCCATCCCCAGTTTCTAAAGAACAATACTAAAATGGCCCCTGACAACACAGTAATGTTAAAACTCCAGCCTCTGCATTGGGAGACAGAATGCAGAGGTTGATACCAGACTACCCGATCTTACATTATTTTGTCCTCAGTTTATTTCTGAGGAAAAACAGAGGAACCTTACATACAAAGGTTTCTATAAGAAGCAGAGGGAAATGCATTTTAAAAAATCCTGATTCATTTTAAAGCTTCTGTTAAAATATAGTACACTGTAGGTCAGGACAGCAGAGACAGGAACTACGTATAAGTCCCGAGAATACCTTACACTGTTGTCAGAATCCAGCCAGTAACAGTGTGTGGTTTCCCAGGGACTGCGCTAACATACCTGAGATGAAACCTGGTGGGGAGATACTTTCCACATTCCTTTCTGACCTGTGGTGAGTCTGCTGGGGTGAATTGTGTGAAGTTGTCAAAGGTTGCTCTGCTCTCCAGCACTTGGCACCAGCTCTGCTGAAATGTGATGCCATTGGTTTTCAGTAAAGGTTCCTTTCTGCAGGGCTGCAAATACAGATCAGCTGCTACTGTGTATACACAACCAGGGAGCAAATCAACCAGCACATTTAAAGCAGCCTTTTTAACCCTGAGACTTTCCAAGATCTCCTCTTCACACAGGAAGTTTCCTTCTCTGTTGTCAGATTTAGCACTGTGCTCTTGTCATCAGATCCGAGCCAGGCTCCCTGCTGCACAGTAGAGAGGCTTCCTTAAGACATTTGTCCTTGAAACTGCACCAAACTCTTGGAAGAACCCAGAACGTGTAAGTATGTATGATTTAGGCAGCAATAGTACAGGGCAAAGCTGCAATCAACCATTATACAATATCCGATTAGCAGTGCAGGAGGGATTTTTCCGACGTTATGTTACATTCATTTTCAATTTGTTCTGAGGAAACAAATCAATTCTAGCTTCTGATACAGTGACTTTGCAGTAGATGGGGTTGTAATATGTTAGCTTTAACTATTTGCTGTTCTCATTTAGCATTTAGATGTGACTTGTGGGACAATTACTGTGGGCATTAAACTATAAAACTTCTAAATTTTTATTAGGAATTGTAATTGTTGGTCATGTCCATCTTGAGAAACAAGTTAGCTTTGGGGAATGTTTTTAAAGAATTAACCACATAAATTCATGGACAAAAGAATGAATTTGTACTGTTCTTGCTCTCAAAACATATTAGTTTGCAGTTTTAATTTACTCGTAAAGAGCATTCCACTGAGGTTTTGTCTTAATTGAATCCTACCCAGTGCTGTCTGTTTGGTGTTTTACTGTCTTGTATATATCTGTTTAAGTTACTTCGCTAGGATTGCAGTCTGGTTAAACCTGTATTTAGCCACTACCTAGATTCTAAGAACATTCAGGTCAGTAAATGCTCACAGAATTTTGGAAAGTGGTGGATTTGTTTTCAAGGGTGGTCGTATTACCCTTGAAAGCTTTTTAGGTGCACAATGTGAATGGCTGTCAGATGGAGACCACAGACTGAACACTCTAAGGCTCTAAGTCAAATCTCGGCTTGTCCACTTTCATAACTCCAATTAACTCCAACCAATAAAAGCCCATGCCCCCTTTCTATCAATTTTTAATATGCAACAATACTTATGTTTATGAGATTAATTTCTCTCAGATTAGTCTGATTGATAGCTGGATTGTGGTTTCTTAAGAGCTTGCTCCCTGAAACCCACAGCAGAGCTGCATTCCATTTAACTAGTGAATGTAAAAACGGGTAACCATGGATTCAGCCACCACTAACTGCCAGTGCAATGACTTGTTGTAAACAATACAAATGAGCCAGGAGAGCAGAGGCAACCAGACATGAAATGATTTTAATAGAAATTACGGTAAAAGGTCATGTGATTTGGTATCAGCTTCTGTTCAGTTTTAAAGGGAAAGTCTTTATTTTCTCCCCCTTCTTCCCCCCTTACCTATTTCCAACCAACCCAAGTAGGTATCTCCACAAACTTGGCAGGTCCCACTCTGTGCTTCCATGGAGAAGGGCGGCCAATGTGATTCTGGGCAAAGTGTGGTGACTTGTGGATTTTCACTGGTAAGTACCTTTATTTTAGAAACAAAAAGGAAGTCTGTATTTCAGGGCTTCCTTTATGGAAGGTCAAGCTAATTGCGTACTAGAAGTTCTCAAGTCTTGACATAAGAGGAATAGGTCATTTCGTTCCTTAGCTTTTAAATGGTACAACTGTCTTTTCTCTCTCTCTCCCTGTCTCCAGATTAATTCGTAAACTCAGTCTTTCTGAAAACTGTTATTTGCTTTAGAAACAACTTCTGCCATATGGTAATAAGCACATGCAGATACTGTGAGAAGTGCTGTGTCCTAACTTCAGAGTTTTCATCTACCCAGATATTTTCTGAGTTCTACGAGGACCAGATATCACAATAATATTTGCATTTCTCTGGTAGAGGTGGTTTCAGTGTGTGAAAATGATTGTATTCATAAATTTGCCTTCAACCGAGAAAAATGAGCAAATTGTACCTGTGTTAAGTGCTAACCTCGTGGTTTGTTTGGTGTGCTGTTATCTGCTATGCTTATTTTAAAAACTAAGTGAGGAATGTCTAGTAGCCAAATCTGGGGGGAAAGGGGACATTTGGAAGCATAGCCGTGTCTTTATCCAGATTTGGAGGTGGATCTAGTCAGTACACAGCATGCATGCAGGAATGAAGATGCTCAGAGTCACAGTCTCAAGGAACCACAGGCACTTTAAGCAAAGGACTCTGTCTAGGTGTGCTGAGCTTCAAGGTGAAACAGACCTGAACTGGTTTCTTGAGCCATACTTCCTTCCACATACAGATGGTATAAATAATTGCATCATCCTGGAACAAAAGATAATGGCTCTTTTAACTCCTTTTAACATATAGATTCTTCTGAATAGATGCATCATTGTACATATACAGGTGTCATACTGAATGATAGAATTTCAGGTGTGTATTTTTCTATTAATACCTCTACTGTAATAGAACCAATCAGCACATGAAAAAGCATGAGGGTTATAATTTAGAAGCTCAATAAAATGTAAAAGCATCAACCCCCTCTACATACACTCCAGATTTTATCTGGCAAACTCTTTGTTTAGAACTGTAAGTGCTAAGTGTTAACATAGTGCTTATATTTAAGCTTTTTTTAAAATCAATCTTTTTAAGATGTTGGAGAGCCTTATTGCATGCTTAGACTGAAAAATGTTTCAGAATATCATGGTTAATACTGTGATCTCATGGTGTGTTTTCTATTCTAATACCAGCTATGTTTATCAAAAAGATATAAAAGAATAGACTCTAGTAATTAATGTTGGGGGGGGGAAAGGAGCAATTTGAAGCGAGTGTGGGAACACCAAGTATAAGTGGAGTTTGGGGTAAAATATAATAAAAATATGCTGTTTTTACTTTTCCTCACCTTGATTCTCCAAGCTGAAAGATAGGACTAAAAGTGTTAGGTACAGGGTGATTATGAAGCATAATATTCAGAGTCAGACATGGGTTGGGGTTTTGCTCTGGACCTAACCATGTTTAATATTTTTAGGCCAAGTGACTTCACCTACCTGACCT
Source organism: Homo sapiens (assembly GCF_000001405.40). Taxonomy (NCBI): domain Eukaryota; kingdom Metazoa; phylum Chordata; class Mammalia; order Primates; family Hominidae; genus Homo; species Homo sapiens. The sequence continues at coordinate 217,075,343 of NC_000001.11, read as the reverse complement.
TCCACATTCTCATCTGTAGAGTGAGGGTAATAATGTATACCAATGTTGGCTGAAAGAGTTACATGAGATAACATATGGAAAGTATTCAGCAGTGTGTCTGGCAGAGTAAGTGTCCAGTAAACTGTTGCTGGTTTCATTATTATCTTGACCCTCGAACAACATGGGTTTGAACCATGCAAGTCCACTTGTGGGTAGATTTTTTTACAACCTAACACCGATCAAAACTACAGTGTTTGTGGGCTGTGAAACCCATGTCCAGAGGGCTGACTTTTCGTGTACGTGGGTTCAGCAGGGCTGATTGCAGGACTTGAGTATGTTTAGGCTTCGGTATATGCAGGAGTCCCAGAACCAATCCCCAAGGATACTGAGAGATGACTGTATTTTTGATTGAGGAAAAATATCATCAAGTAGAATCCTGCTCTGTGTGCTTCACAGAGGAGGACACTATTCACACCATTGTTTGGTCCTGTCATAGTGACAACTGTACATCACAGTAGCTTTCATCACTTGGGAGATGGTGATTCATTTTGTAACATAGTATAGTGTTTTACTTTTAAAAAGTATGTTTTTTGAGATGGGGTCTTTCTCTGTTGCTCGGGCTGGAGTGCAGTGGCACAATCATAGCTTATTGCTGCCTTAAACTCCTGGGCTCAATTTTTTAAATGTTTTGTAGACATGGCGTCTTGCTTTGTTGCCCAGGTTGTTCTCGAGTTCCTAGGCTCAAGCTGTCCTCCCACCTTGGCCTCCCAAAGTGCTAGGATTACAGGCATGAGCCACTGCACCTACCCTATATAACACTGTTATTAAAAACCAAAAGTAATATTTATATTCATTATTTTTTAAATTTTCATACAAATTACTTAGAAAAACTAGTTGAGTTTTTTTTTTTTTGGGGGGGGTGGATTTCTGATACTGTGGGTATTGAGGCTAAATGCACATTTTATGTGTAATTCTATTGGTAGGGTCAAGGCAGAGGGACATTTAAAGGGATTCATGGCTGGGCGCGGTGGTTCATGCCTGTAATCCCAGCACTCTGGGAGGCCAAAGTGGGTGGATCATCTGAGGTCAGGAGTTTGAGACTGGCCGGGCCAATATGGTGAAACCCTGTCTCTACTAAAAATACAAAAAATTAGCCAGGCACGGTGGTGGGCACCTGTAATCTCAGCTACTGGGGAGGCTGAGGCAGGAGAATTGCTTGAACCTGGGAGGTGGAGGTTGCAGTGAGCCGAGATTGTGCCATTGCACACCAGCCCGGGCGACAGTGTGAGACTCTGTCTCAAAAAAAAAAAAAAAAAGCATTCATAATTACACTAATCCTAAAAGCTTTAAAGTAGGGGTTCACAAAGATAATCATATATACTAAAAAGCAGTAATAATGAACAGACTAGTAAGTATGGAGTGTATATGCTACCAAAGATATATTTCTTGGGAGTATTGTCTACATGTTCACTGTGTCTTTTGCCCTTCTTGAAATCTAAGGGTCTCATTCTTTCATTCTTCTCTCGTGTCCCTCCCTTCTTCTCTTCTCTCCCCTTTTTTCCTTCGCTCTTTTCTTTACTTCTCTTTCTCTCTTCCTCCTTTCTTCCTTGTTTTCTCCCTCCTTTTCTTTCTTCCTTCTTTCCTTCCTCCCTTCCAGCTCTTATATATTGTCCCAGCTACATAACATTTCATTTTTACTTGTGAATCAGAGGGTTCAGGGGATGAAAAAAGAGGGACAGGAGACCCACAGTCTTTTGATGCCAGCCCTGGTTTTATAAATGGAAACTTTAAGAGGAGTCAGAAAAATCCGTTTTTCTTTCTCCTGCTATTGAACAGGAGAGCCACATTTGAAGTGACCTGCAGACCCTAGGGAAGCCTTGCTCAGTAACTATTTGTTGATTCATTGATTAAACAGCATGGAGAGAAGGGGCATCAAGCACGGAGATCCCCTTAGTAGTGAAAGCTTTGAAACTCCAAGCTGCAGTGTGCAGTAGGATGGCTTCTCTGTGACCTTCCAACAACTAATCTCCTTTAAGAACTGAATCAAAGCAGTTAAGAGATTCTGTAAGATGGATTTTGCCTACAGTTGGGTTTTTGGCAGTTGCATGTAGAAAGCAATACATTCTTCATGAGGATTTTTTTTTTTTTTTTTTTTTTTTTTTTTTTTGTCCAGAAAGGAATGAAGACAAGGTGCCAGCAGAGATCTCTAGAGAGAGACTCTTATTTAGCCATGGTACTATTCGGGCAGAGACAGCTGCAAGGTGGATGACTTTCTCACACTTCCCAGCCAACCTTCTTTTTAACCACCCTTGTCTGATGCTCCAGTCAACAAGCACATCAGTGCAGTGGGCTTCTCTCTACAATCTTCTTTCCCAAGGGCAGAGAACATGCCCTTGGGAGATATCATATGACTGGATATCATATGAATGACAATGGGTATTTGTCATGTTTTTCTAGGGAAATCATAGCAAGTAGCAGGCTAGAGATGAAATTCCTCATTTTAATAGATAAATAAGTTGCCCACACAACACATGAGCTGCAAAACCAGGGCTATGGCTTGCGATTTCAGATTCCCAATCTAGAACTTTGTTGAGGGCTTCTGCTTTCTAATAAATAGATAACAGAAGAGACAGCTCGTGTCATAGGAGAAAAAACACACACACCCCCAGTTTAGAAAATAGTAAAACTATCTTAAAGGGACTGCTCAAAAGAATCATTATAGGTCTGGTTCAAATCCTGAAGCTGTAATTTCAAAATTCCGCAATCCTTGGGAAAGATGCTTAGCCATTCTGAGCAGTGGTTCCCTTTGTTGTAAAGCTGGGGTTAAAATAACTATAATGTCTATATTTTAGGCCTATTTTGAGGATTAAATAAGATTATATATTTAAAATGCCTATTCCAGTGATTAACACAAAATAAATACCAGTAATATTATTGTACTCTTCTTTCCCTCTTCAGGTCAGTGGTATATGGTAGAATTATGAGAAAAGTCTTATAAGTATGCCTCTGGAATAGTGTAGCTCAGTGGTTTTCAACATTTTCTTCTGCTGTAACACATACAGAAAACATATGTGAAGAATCACCACATCCCTGGCATAGAGTGATCAATATATAATAATACGATGGTGGTGATGATAACTGTGGTGGTGATGACAGAGATGCTGATGCTGACGGGTGACATGCACATACTGCAGATGAGCACTGGACTCTGAGTAATTCCAGAGCTTTAGCTTGGATTGCACTGCTTTTCTACACTAGAGAGGAAATCAGAATGTTACTGAACATCAATAATTACATTATAAGTGCAACTGCACCCATTTAAATTAAAAAGAAAATCATCAGCAGGCTCCAGTACTTTATTACTGGTAACAAATTACTGGCAACATACCAGTTGGTTTAGAAGATGCCATCTTTCCTGGAGGAAGATGATTTTGGAAAATGCTTTACATCATAGCTCTAGAACTAGACCCCAGGGGTTTGAATTCTGGCTCATGTATCTGCGATGACCTAGGGAAGTAACTGAACTACTCTTCATCTCTCTTTCCTCATCTGAAATTGGAATAATAGTTATACCCACTTCATCAGATTGTTTTGAGGATGAAATGAATGAACACATGTAGATTACCAAGAAAATGTCTGGCATACAGTAAGCATTCAGTGACTATTAGACATTATTGGAGGTTTTTGTCTCCAAGCTATTTGATGGGGCAACATCCTATTTTGAAATTCTCCCTACAAATTGCCAATATTGAAGTTAGTCAAGGTGCCATTAATATATAAAACTGATTTTTAGTTTTCACATAATAGTATCTGCTCCTTACTGTTCACTTACCATGTAACCAGGCATTAGGCTATGTGTTTTACCAGTATCTTAATTGATATAATTCTCTCATTACTCTTATCAGATAGATATTTTTACCCCTATCTTATACATGAGAAAATTGAGCCCCCAAAATGAAACTTGCCCAAGTTCACACAGACTAATAAGTGACAGAGCCAAGCCTCAAATTCATAAACTTCCCTACATATATACATATTGCTTCATTAAGTTAGAGAAAATTTGCAGGGCTTGTGGGAAAGGTGTTTTTGTTTGTTTGTTTGTTTTTTGTTTTTTTGCAATGAAGGAGAGACCCAATACATAACTGCATTTATTCTAGGGTATTCAAAAGTCTCATAGCAGAAACATGGAAGGCAATCACAATAAAAAGCAATTTAATTTTGCTATTTAATAATCACAGAAATATCACAGAACTCAAATTTAATTCTGTCTTATGGAGAAGAAGAAATGGCAGTGGTGGACAAGAATAATGGGACAATGAGGAGAAGAAAGAGGAGGAGGAAGAAGAGAAAGTGGAGAGAAGGAAAGAAAGAGAAAGGCAGAAGTAGGTGGCTCTCATTTAACAGGTCACCAGTTCTGGAAGTAGAGTGTCTGGGATCATCATTTCCATTTCAGACATTATTTTGTCCAAGGTAACACAGCTAGAAATAGTGGAATTGAGATTTACATTGTGGTATTTTACCTTCGAATCAAGTGAACTCTTCTACTCTATTTTGCTATCTTTTGAGACAGAGATTCATGTAAAAATATAGACACAGAAAGAGGCATGGAGAGAAGTATAGGTACATTTATGTGAGGACAAACAATGTTAAAAGCATTATTTTACTTTTCCAGATTTTAACATTGGTCTGGAGTGGTGGCTTACGCCTGTCATGCCAGCACTTTGGGAGGCCAAAGTGGGGTGGATAACCTGAGGTCAGGGGTTCGAGACCAACCTGGCCAATGTGGTGAAACCTTGTCTCTACTGAAAACACAAAAATTAGCCAGACCTGGTGGCACATGCCTATAATCCCAGCTACTGGGAGGCTGAGGCAGGAGAATCGCTTGAACCTGGGAAGCATAGGTTGCAGTGAGCCAAGATCACACCACTGCACTCCAGCCTGGGCGATAGTGTGAGACTCCATCTCAAAAAAAAAAAAATTAACTTTGGAGATTTTCTAAACTCCTGTTGTACTTTTGCAAATATAGACATAAATTAGATTAATCTATATTAGAATACTAGGAGTTTAATACTATTTGATGATTTTTATTTTAAAATAGCTTTTACTTCTCTTAATTGATATTTTAAAGTATTGTGAACTAAATAAGCCACATTCTTCCTAATTTTACAGATGAAGAAACTGAGTTATGTAGTTTCCCTAAGATCACCTCAACTTACAGCCAAAATGAGAGTCATTCTCTGCATTTTACCCCCACTTCCTGGACCCTTGCCCCAGAAAGATTTTTCTCTCTACTTTGGTGATCTCTTCCAATTAGAATCAACTTATAGGAACTTGGGGACATGTGGATGGAGGAGAGTCACATCTTTGTATATAATGAGGGTCTTCCTGGGAAATGGAAATAGGTGACCATTTTTTGTAGGTTTTGCTATTGCCTTTGAGTCTGGGACACCATCATCTGGTCTTTAAGGAATGATGTGAGGGTTGTGATTTACAACATTATTTTTTTTCTTAGAATCCAGGCTGGGGCCTGGAGGGAATCCTGTGCCTTCTTGTGCTGTAGCTTCCTGGAGTCCACCAGACACTATGGTGTCTTCCCTAGAGAGTTGCCTGCTGCTTCTGTGATGTGGCCGACTGGCACTCTGTAGAGCAGACGGAATTCCCTTCTGAGAGGTACTTCCTGCTTTGCATGTTTGTTTTGAAGATGTGGGTTTTGGTAAGCATAGGGGACCAGAAAAAGAGGAGAGGCCCTAGACTGTTGTATGAGAAATGAGATGCAATATAAGTCAGAGTGGAAAGAGGAAGATGAAAAGTCCTTGTATTTCCAAGGTTAAAGTCAAGGTTAGGCAACCTTCTTAAGTCAGTTTAATTATTGTATTAGGGTTCTCTAGAGGGACAGAACTAATAGGTGCTATCTATATATATGTATATATATATATATTTCTATATCTGTCTATCTATCTATATACATACACTTTATTATATATATACAAAGGGTAGTTTACTAAGTATTAACTCACATGATCACAAGGTCCCGCAATAGGCTATCTACAAGCTGAGGAGCAAGGATAGCCAGTTCCAGTCCCAAAATTGAAGAACTTGGAGTCAGATGTTCGAGGGCAGGAAGGATCCACCACGGAAGAAAGATGTAGACTGGGAGGCTAGGCCAGTCTAGTATTTTCATGTTTTTCTGCCTTCTTTATATTCTAGCTACGCTGACAGCTGATTAGATGGTACCCAAACAGATTAAGGATGGGTCAGCCTTTCCCAGTCCACTGACTCAAATGTTAATTTCCTTTGGCAACACCCTGATAGACACACCCAGGATAAATACTTTGCATCCTTGAATCCAATCAAGTTGACACTCAGTATTAACCATCATAGGTGTAATCTCTGAAGTTAGACCACTAGTCAAAGGCCCTAAGGTACTTCTTGGGAAAATACTGGGAACTGCCCAATTATTCTTTTTAAATGCTGGACGTGGAGGGGAAGGATTAAAGTTAGGGATTGGAGTATTTTAATGCTAGAAGGGAGAAGAATGATTGGAAGGCGGAAAAAGTGATTGCTTTTTACCTTTTTCTTCAGAAGGTCATGTGACCAGCTCTGAGTAAAACTGCTTGAGAGTAATTGTGCTTGTTGATTAGATGATAGTTTTCTTATCGTTTCCACTAAATAACATGCAAAACGACTCCCTTCTACTGTTTTTCTCGATGTATTTCTTCTAATAATACATGATATTTTTGTAGTGAAAGTTTATGAAGTCACAACTTACCTGTCTTTTACAGCTGAGTGAACTTAGCAAGATTATGTGGCTTGTTCAGAGTGACACGGCTTGTTAAAAAAATATAGCCGAAGACTAGAGATTGGTTTTCTGACATCTAGATCTAGGTTGATTTCACCTCTTAGAGATTCCAGTCTTGGAAGAGGGTTGGTGCAGGAGAGGACTGGAGATTAAGTATGAAGAAAGTTAGGAAGGGGATTAAACGCCCCTGGAGATGTTAAAAAAAAAAAAAAGACTCCTAAGATCATATTGTGTATTGAGTGTGGTATCCATGGCTACCAGATGGTGCAAGGATTCTGACTTGGTCCTCAATTGAAGAATTAAAGAAAGGAGACAGGGAAGGGCACAGCGGCTCCTGAAGGCTCACATAGGATGCATATCACTTATTTTTCCTCCTGGGTCCTCAGGCTTTCCTGTCATTGTGAGATCACGTGGTAGCATGGAAATTGCAATCTCTGCTCCTCAGAAGATGGAATTGAGGTAGCTCTATGCAGAGAGAAATGACCTTGTACTTGCAAACTTAGGTCCCGTGTTTGTCTGCAGTCCTACCCACTTTACCATGTAATAAGAGAGTAATCCCTGTCAGTAACATCATCTTAGAAAGAGAAGGAACAACCAAATGAGATCTAGTGTGTGTGGAGATGGTGCAACATTCTTTCATCAAAGCGACTAATACCCTTAGGGGAATTGGCTTGATACTTTGCCAAAATGTGGGTGTCAGTGTTGTGGGGTTTTTTTTCCCCTTTGAAATGAGACTTTATTAGTCATGTGGTTATCAGAAGGTGAAAAAATGAATGTGTGTCTTCTCTCACATGAACTCTATTAATATCAGTTAAGTAAGATCCTAATACAGCTCTGTGTATTAGCTTGGATTTCTTGGCCTGGGTTAATTCTAAGACTATGACAAAGGAATTATGTCTTATGATAATGGCTCTGAAATCTTCAAGTTGATATGGCATTAGCCAGCATTTGACCATAGATTCCAGGTAGATAGTTTATTCAATCTATTACTAATGCCTCAAAAATACTGTATGTTACTGGCAGACTGAACAAACTGGTGTCATATAGATGTCAACTGTTTGTCCTCAAACCATCATTAACTGGCAGCAACTAATATTTCAACATTACTTTTAGAGTGTCAAGCTATTAGTTATCATATGTGCAACAGCTATCTATGTTCAGTTGAAGGATACATGCTTATAAGCAAAATGGTCTTTGGTTTACCTTAGTGTTGTTTGTACATTCGAGTTGACTCTGTATTTCCCTCCATTGGATTATTTAATAATCAATTTAATTTTAGGAAAGTTTCACTTTAGTACTCCTAGAAATTAGAAGAAAATATTGCCTACATTCATTTGCTATGTTGCACAGACACAGTACACAGTAAAGGTAAAAGATAAAGGATCAATTCTTATGGATCTCATAGTTCCAAGCTTTTAAGGCTATAGTATAGAAACTTTGTAATTATTGTGGGTAATCTTGCAGAAAATTAAATGTTGAGTTTGCATATGTGAACAAGTTTAGACTATTTTGCTCACCGTAACTTGTTAGTGCCAAGCATCTCACTGTTCCTGTTAGGCAATGGGTTTCAGTTTACTTCTAGTAAAATGCTATTTGTGGTGTAAGTGAAATCCTTGGTGAGAGCATACCATCTCACATTCGAGGCACATTTTAGAGAACTTACGTCTGTAGTTCATTCATCTATTTCAAAATGGCTCAGACTAGTGGTTCTCAGTTAGGGGCAATTTTGTCCCCCAAAGACATTTTGGCAATGTCTGGAGAGATTTGGGATTATTAAGACTGGAAGAGGGTGCCACTGGCATCTAGTGAATAGAGCCCAGGGATGCTGGTAAACATCATGCAGTCCACAGGGCATCCCCCCACACAGCAAAGAATTGTCCAGCCCCAAATGTCAACAGTGCCTAGGCCGAGAAGCCCTGCTCTAGACACTTACAAAGTTTAAAAGGTAAGAGAGAAAGTAGGTAGCTTAAATATTTTCATCCTTTTTAAATGGCTGCTTTCATGATTAGAATTCTCCCCATGGGAGGCCAGGCTCAGTGGCTAACGCCTGTAATCCCAGCACTCTGGGAGGCCGAGGCAGGTGGATCACGAGGTCAGGAGATCGAGACCATCCTGGCTAACACGGTGAAATCCCGTCTCTACTAAAAATACAAAAAATTAGTGGGCACCTGTAGTCCCAGCTACTCGGGAGGCTGAGGCAGGAGAATGGCGTGAACCCGGGAGGCGGAGCTTGAAGTGAGCCGAGATCGCGCCACTGCACTCCAGCCTGGGCGACAGAGCGAGACTCCGTCTCAAAAAAAAAAAAAAAAAGAAAAGAAAAAGGAATTCTCCCCATGGGATATAGAATACAGATGAAAACTACAAACAAGCCACATATTTGCTTTAAAAATATTTGGCATGTAATATGTATGTTGTGGCTAATTGAGCCACATTTAACAACACCAGCACAACAGTAGCGATAGCCACGACTTATAGAGAGCTTACTAAATGTACCAGACACTGTTCAGAGTGACTGTCCACATGATAATTCAGCTATTCCTCAAAGCAACGCCACTGGGGAGGGACAATGACTGTGCACTTCGGTCTTGGAGTATGTAGGAATATGGTGAGCTCCTGATAGAAAATGTAAGGAACAGGGCAATGACAACACAATACTTGGAAGCGGGAAGGCTTTATTTTTCTAAATGCCCCTGGTCGCTCAAGCTTTTATTCTATGGTGTTATTATTGCAAAAGTGCTTCTCTGGGAAACGAGGACTGCCATCATAAAGTAGGTTTATATTTGCTTCTAGAGGGAGAAAAAGAAAACTATTGTGTAACTCTCTCTTTGCCAGTTCTGCAGCTGATCCCATGCATGTCTGTCTTTTCCTCTCCAAAAACCATATGGGACTGAACTGGTCTTCAGGTTGTGTGTAAATGGCAGACAGTATCCAGTGTGGCTCAGTCTTGTAAATATGAAGTGGTCACTCCCACCTGTGGCTGTCACCTTTTAGTTGACTGTTCTCTAAGCCTCCTTCCCAGCATTTTCAGAAGAGAGATGAGGCTCTCCTTTTAGATTTCATCATCAGAGTGGGTCAGATCCACTGAAACCTCATGTTTGAAAGAGAAATGGGTAAAATTTCTCTAAGCAAGCCTCATGGGAGATTCTCCAAGAACACCTTTAACAACAGAATTTCCCCTAGAAATGCCACATCGAAAGTCATATTCCCAGTGGAGATTTCTATGGGAATTGGGAAGTTAACTAGATTTGCTGTTTTCACACCTGCTGAGGGTTTTGAGTCTAGGGAATTAAGTTTGTCATAGCTAGACATTTTACCTTTGCCAAACCAGTCTATTGTATGAAACCTAAGTTGCCATCAAAAGCTGGAAAGGAAAACATCACAAATCACTAGAAATATATCAGCATTCTGAGCAGCAGAATTTATGGGGCATTAATGGATATCCTAGGCTATTTATCTTTCTAGTAGCAGTTGAAACACCTCTGCCTTTTTCTTAATATAACAGGGCTTCCCGTCAAGGAGCTATAGAGTCCCCAAGCCTGGTACTTGAGTCAGGAAAATGTGGCATTCTCACATTTGTTTTGGGGCATTATAGGAGGGACTATAATTTCTTTTTCTTCTTCTTTTTGTCCCTACTCCTTCCTCATTAAAAGCCCAGAGTAAAACCCAGTCAGGATATATTGAGGTTTAGGGAGTTTATTCAGGGTCTAGCATAACCAGGGTAGGGTAGAGAGTGGAATAGAAAGAGACCCATTTCACATGTCCTTTATCCCCTTCTGATTCAGAGGACAGCCATATTTCATTTACTCATAGCGGGCTTCTCTGTGCCTAAGGGCTGATATCTACTTGAAATTTATTAGTGCAAGTTGTAATACACTTGGTAAGGAATGCCTGTATTTTGGACAACTTCTGATATTTTGTACCTGTTAGCTGCACGCTTTTCTCAATCTCCTGGCCTCATTCACTCTTGTCTTCTGTGGAGGGAAGGCCTGAAAAGCAGGTGAATTAAAACACATCAGGAAGGACTGCAGCTTCTTTGAGACTTCTCTCCATGGTGCTCTGTGGGTCCATTTGGTAGGGGCACATCTGGGTTCTGCACATGGCTTTGCCGCTTATTAGCATGTGACTGTGGATCAAGTTACTTAGCATCATTCAGCCTCAGTTTCTGTGGTTATAAAATGAATCAAATTATATATATGTGTGTGTATATTTTTCATCATTTACTCTTCACAACATACATATATGTACTTATATATACGCACATATATACATATCATTTAATCTTCACAACATACATATATACATACATATATGTATATATACACATAACACATATGTGTGTAATGTACATACAACATATATACACATACAATATATACCTATATACATACATCTATACAACGTGTATATATACATGCAACATATATATGTATGTTGTGAAGATTAATGAAAAACACACACATATACTAAACCCTTGTGCTTTGTGTATTTTACAAATATATATGTATATAGGGTGTGTATATATCTATTTATTGTGTATATATACACACACCTATTTATTGTGTGTGTTTATATGGTGAAGATTAAATGACATAAAATATATAAAGCACCACAGGGTTTAGTAGTTTCTGGATAATAGGTGCATACTACTGGAGTCCTGAGAAACTTGCTTCAGTCCTTACCTTTCCAAGAAGTGTAGTCTGAGAACCACAAAGTTTGAATCACCATTATACTCATTAAAACGCAGATTTTATGTCTCTACCCCAATGCTTTGAGTAAGACTCTCTAGAGGGTTGCATCCAGTAACTGGTATACTTAGAAACACCTCTTATGATTCTGATGTATTCCAGAGTTTGATAATGTCTGGGTCAGCTGGTCCCTCTTCCCACCCTGTGGTGCTCTTTCTCTTCTGCCTCAGGATAGCTTAATCTAGAGAGTTTTAGCTTCTCTAGTTGGAGGGTCTTCCTACCCAGGTGGAGTCTGTCTTTGAGCCTGTTAACTCACTATCCCAGTTTATAAGCAGCCCTTTTTTATGGTAGGCCCCACGTGGTTGGGTAACCTAACTGATGTGATAATGAGGACAGACTAAAGGTCACGAGATTGTTAACACGTGTGAGGAGATTGTAGGCTTAGCCTATCAGGTGAGGGAAAGGTTAGCGTACCAACTGTCTCCACACTTCAAAGCATGTAGCTAGTTTGCTGCACTAACTTAATTATCTGTGCTATTGATATCTTTGAGGAACATATCTATACCCTGGATACAGTTACTTCACAGTAGGAGATAGCAGGAGGTGGCTTGTTCGGTTGCCAACTTCCTAAAATGCTTTTTAGAGTCAGCTGGGTTGCTTAGTCCTCTCTTGCTCTTGGATTAAATATAAAAATAACTATGTAAAGCATATCAGCCCTCTTTTCCCTGTCTGCTGAAACTGCAATCTCCTATGCTTTTTCTAGAACCCATTAAATAGGGAGGAGGAGGAGGAGGGGAAGGGTAACAATATATAAAACCCCGAAGTCCCAGATCAGATATTCTCCTAGAATGGATCCTGCTGTTAAATCTCAACGGAGATAGAAAACAGCTGGTCACATAGGTACATACTAGAGTTCCTTCTTGATTAAGAGCTGATGAAGTAGCGTGCACCTTATCCTTGTTTTCATGATTCTTCCTGCTCTCTGTAGCCATATTAGTTTTATTGCCATCTTCACCAGAATCCTGGAAGGGAAAGAAATACAACCCAAACCAGGTGATGTTTTCATTTCCAAGCCGTAAAAGTGTTTGATGTTAAGAAACATTTGAAACTGTAGACTGAAGGGAGGTATTCGTTTGTACCTAGTTTTCACTGATCTAAACTGGCTCTGTCTTGTTGCCACAAAACCAGTAGTGCTGGTTGCAGAGGCTTTCCAAAGAGAAGACCTCAAGCTCTGACACTCCTCTTTGGTTTTAGCTCTTGAGAACAGATTTTTCTCTGCCAGATGTTATTTTAATTTCTTACCTCCTCACAAGGAGTATTTTTGTGTGAGTATGCCTGACTTGTGGACATTATTTTGGAGCAGCTGATTCTGTTGACTTTTCTAGAAGTGCTGTGATCTCAAATGTAAAGAGACAGGATTACTCAAACCCCTCACTGCACCGAAATTGAATACAGTGCCCTGTTCTTTGACACCAAAATGTGTCCTGCTGTTGTAAAGGTAGGGTGTTTAATAGGCAGAGGCCAATAGAGAAATTTCCAGCTTTTCATCCTTCTCACTCTTATAAAGTCTCTCACACGGTATGTCATTGCTTTTAAAACATGGTCATTTTAATGATAAAAATGCTGTGGAGAGAGTGCCAGAGTGTCATGCAAAACCAGCTGCGGCATCCTGCGTGACATTCCAAATATTAATACAAATAGAATTAATTCACACGCCAGGGGTGTCTCGGGAATCCATTTTAAGTTGGCACTTAACTTGGGCTTGAGATTTCCCTGTGACTGCCCATGTTGAAAAATGTTTGCTAAACAAGGCAGTGCTGGGCTGCCCTCAATCTATAAATTCACTCAAACTAATTCATTAACGAATGCTTGATTTTAACTAGAAGCAAACATAGGTTAAAATGTAGATGGCTGTTTCATGTCATTGGTGAGCAGGGAGGTTTTTTGCAGATGTTATATCTGGGACAATACTCTGAATTTATCTTATTTGTTTTATTTTGAGGAAAGCACATAGATGACATATTTATCATTAGTGGATTGTTTAATTGCATAATTTCTTAGTTCATTAAGGATTTACTCTAGGTTTTTACATGTATCTGATTTATAGATACAGTGAAGAGGAGGTATCTTGGCATTAAATTTAGATTGTGGCAGTGCTTAGGCTGGACAAAAGTAAGACATTCTGTGTCTTTCTAGTTCTCCCCTGGCCTTGTTTTTCTATTTCTGCACAGCAAATTTAATAAAGAAACTATCTTGGAGTAATAATTCCTACAAGCCCTGGACATTCCTTTGGGGGAAGAGGACTGACCTTTTCCTGTTTTTAATAAAACCTCTGTGAATTTGGGCTTACCTCTTCTATAGTCCGGTGCAACTGTCTTTTTATTCCATATTTAAGTGTGGGGGGAGCTCATTTATATCCTTTGAATTGGAAGCGTGAAAGCAGTCCTAGGCAAGATGGCTCCTGTGAGGTTTGCATTACTCATGCCTGTTAAATTTAGTACTTATTTACATGCATTTAGCTATTTTGATACATATTCTCTCTCTCTTTGGGGGCTTAAATTTTGTTATCTATTTGCGATTTCAAACTCCACCTCTTTCTAAAGGAATTGGGAAGGTAATGCTTCGGTAATAGGGGGTTGAATCATGCTCTGGTGATAGGGAGGTTGTTTTATCCTAACTGTGACAAGGGCAATTTAAAAAGCTTCATTTTTGTCTTTGTCTTGAACAAGGAACATTTTACACATTGTTAACTCCTGAAAATCCCCCTGGATAGATAATTTGGAATGGAAGAACTTAAGACTTTTTTTGGGGGGAAAAAAGCACAAATCCATAAGATCCCTTATGATTATATTTTGTGGTCACTAAAAATATTTAACATACTAAAAAAAAAAGACTACCCATGAAAGTTTGATATATTTCAAAATAGAATAATGGATATAAAGTAGTTATTTCTAAGGAATATCTTCTCCACAATCTCAAGAAGATTCCTGTACATTTGTTTTGAGCTTTCAGGCACTAGGAATTCTCAGAGGCATTTATTCCCTTTTTTCTATCTATCTATCTATCTATCTATCTATCTATCTATCTATCTAGTGTTCAATATCATTTTGATTTTATTACTCAAAGTTGACTTTTTTCTTCTGGGTCCTGGCCTATTCTCTGAGAAACTGAGGAATTTAGATGCTTGAAAAGGCAAAAATCTTAGGATAAACTTCATTTTATATGCATGGCACAGTGAGTGGATTTCTATTAAATCACAATAAACAGGGTTAAGGTGGCTGAATCCAGGAACGTGGCACCAACCCATCACTCTTCACCTGCCTGACACTACTTGTATAGCAAGGGTTTATTTTGCATCATATTTCTTTGGCTCTCTCATCTTAATTATCCAAATAGGAGAATCAAGTAAATGGTGGAGACATCAAGAAGTTCAGAGGAAAGGGGGAGTTGCTGGACTCATGAAATCTTTTAAGAGAGTCTACATTATCTTCCAAATTAAATATAACTTTGCAAAGATATTTGTGAACCTTCACAATATGACTTCAATCATGATTTGCTAACATTATTTTCCACTTCAACCATGTGCTTTATACTGTCTTCTCAGTAGGAGATTGGATGGCAGTGAGAAACTCATAGTCTTTTAAAAATATATATATTTTTGTAATTAAAACACAAATAGAGAAATCCACATGAATACAATGCATGGCTAGTATATTGTATGTTTATATATTGTATTAATGTTGCATAAGTATATACATATATATGCATATTATATACGTATTGTATGCCGGCCAGGACAAGAGATAGAATTTTTGCCACCCCCAAAACCCCTTCATGTGCTTTACCCAATTATAATCCTTTGTATTCTTCATAAGTAATCATGATACTACTGTAATAATAATTTCTTTGTATTTTTAAAAAATACATTTGTCACCCAGTGTGCATCCTCAAACACTCTAGTCTAGTCTTTCCCATTTAAAAAATGACAAGCCCTTGAATCCTCTTTTAATCATTAAGTTCCTCCTTAATTCCTTTTATTTCCTTACAATTTATCTATTGAGGGTCCAGAGCCATTTGACCTGTATAGTTCTTCTGAGCCTGAGTTGTATATATTATGTACTCACAGTGCAGTTTGATATGTCCCTCTGCCCCCTGTATTTCCTGCAAATTGGTACCTGGGACTGGACTCAGGTTTGATCCCTTTGGCAAGACTATAGGTGGTGGTTGGAAAGACTACAATCATTATTGAAGTTCAAACAGTTCCACGTTAGCCAGCAGGGGCAACAGCAAGTTGGTTCTTGAGTCCTTTTGTCATAGCCTTAAAAGCCTTTGATAGCTCTCCTGCCATGGAGCAATTTAAGACTCTTCAGGCATATCTATAAATTTCCTCTCCTAGACCTGAAATCAGCAGTTTCTCCAAGAAGCTCTGCTTTCTTTGGGTAAGAAATATTATTTGAAGACTACAATCTAGATGCTAGGGATGCGCGTTGGTACTGGGTTGGTCATTGTTTCTTAACATTTGTAAAGGGTAGAATTGGGGAGACTTATAAAAACTATGTAAACTAATAAACTATATGTAGTTATATACTATAGTTACACTATAGCTTACTTTATTATATAATAACCATGGTTATTATATAGTATATCATAATTATTATATAATAGTAATGTAGTAACTAGTATAGTTCACCTGAGCCTGAGTTCAGGCTCACAGTGCAGTTTAATATGTTCCTCTGTCCCCTGCATTTCTTGTAAATTGGCATCTGGGACTGGATCACACTCAGGTTTGATCCCTGTGGATATATAGTATATTATTATATAGTATACTATAGTTATTCTATAATATGCTATAATTTATTTTGTTTATTCATATATTTTTATTATTTTATAGCTTATAATTTTTATTATTTTATAGTTTTATATTTTACTTATAGTTTTTATTAGTTTATATTATCTTATATTTTATATAGTTTATTCTATATTTACATTATAATATCTATAGTTTATTGTATTATGTTTTATGAACTTATGAGTTCTTATTAGTACTCCAATTCAAATTTACCGAGTTTTATTTAGCCTCTTCTGCATTACAGTTAGATCGCCTTCCTTCCCAAAATATCTGGACCCTCAAGGACACAGGGAATAATAGAATAATAATATTCTAATAGTAATCATTGTTTTATCACATATTATATGCACAGTAATCTCAGGAGGACAATACTAATACTAGTACTAATGTGGTTATTGAAAACATTACAACAATTTTTTGCATATGGTTGTCCCACCTTCCTTCATTTTTAAATAGTTGTGCTCTATTTACATTGTCAGAGCATAGAGACGTCAGATACTCTGCTCTCTGTTAGTCCCCTTTAAACTTAAGTCCACAAGTAACTATATACTTAATATTCACTGCCAGTCCTTATGCTGATGTTCTCTCTAATTATTTTGATCATCGGAAGCTCATTCTCAAATATGCTACTCAGAAAGGACTTATGGAAACAATATTCTCTAAGTTCTTGTCCATATTCATAACAATTTGTTTGAGTCCTTCATACTTGCAAGTCAGTTTTGCTGGATATAAAACCCCTTTCTTTTTTCTAGCATATTAAGCAGGCTACTCTATTTTCTTCTAGCCTAAAGCGTTTGCGTTAGAAAGTCTGATGATAGTTTAATTTTCTTTATACTATAAGCCATGTATTCTTTTTGCTCAGAAACTCAGAGAGTTTACTAGAATATGTCTTGCTATTGGTCTTTTTTGGGTCAGTATTTTCAGATATGTGGCACAGCTTTTCAATATCATTTCAATTTTTTTGTACTTCAGGACATTTTCTTGAATTATAGTTATTAGTATTTCTTCTCTTCCCTCGCTTTTCTTACTTATAATCTCTGGTTATCCATATGTTCAATTTTCTTTGCCTATGTTCATTATTATTTTTTCTCTTAATTCAGTGGTGTCCAATCTTTTGGCTTCCCTGGGCCACGTTGGAAGAAGATTTATCTTGGGCCACACATAAAATACACTAACACTAATGATAGCCGATGGAGCTAAAAACAAACAAAATCTCATAGTGTTTTCAGAAAGTTTATCAATTTGTGTTGGGCCACATTCAAAGTCATTCTGGGCCACATGCAGCCCACAGGCTGTGAGTTGGACAAGCTTGTCTTAAATCCTTTTTATCTCTTTATTGCTTTCAGAGTTTTCAGTTTTCCTCCTTTTCACCTTTTATATTTATTATTAGATTATCTGTTCTGTTTATTTTTTTCTAGTTTAGTTGACATTTCTGAAGTGAGTTTTTCTTTTATTTATAATCATTTTTTTCAGTCCTGTCTCCCTATTTATGAGCTTTTCTAATCAGATGGTCATGTTCTTTGGTAGTTTGTATCATTTCTTAATGTCTTTAAGTTTCTTTTGAAATTATAGGTAACAGCTTTCAGCATGCTTTTATAAGATGCTATTCTGCTCCTTATTCTATTTTGTAATTATAATCACTTTCTATGGGATTTGACCTTGACCTTGATACTATTCCATTGTTCATTTTTATGTGAACTTAATTTTTTCTGACATTTTAGAATGAGGTATGATTCAGGAAATCTCACTAACGTCACAGAACTTCCTTTTCATGTGTGTGTAGCATTTTAAAAATATGGTAGATATGGTAGATGCTTCCTGAGATTCCCCGGCTGTTTTCTCCTCAACCACTTTGGTCAAGACTTTCTCTTTCTTTAGACTCTTGTTCCATATGGCTCAAATGTGAAGCCACTCTCAGTAGTTTCTCACTGGTGGGGGCTTACGCTGGAAGGGTGCCAAGTGGCTGCACACTTCATGGGGAGTAAACTGCTCCATCTCCCTCAGTCCTCCTTCCCATGTGCCCCTTGTACTCAGATGGTAAAGAGGATAAAACCCCTCCCAGTGAGAGCTGTTGTTTCACAGTGGCCCATTGAACTCTCCAGTGAGTACTATTAGCTCTTCTGGGTTCTCTTGTTCTCAGGTCCATCGATACCCAATGTTTCCTTCTTCTTCCCACCCAGGTGCTGATTCCATGCAGAATTTCTGGCAGTTGGTGGTTTGCCCCATTAACTGGTATTTTGGGGTTCAAGAGGAAACTTTGTCTCCTAGTTTAGTTTTAAATGTTGTCAGGGATTTGGGGTTTTGTTATCTAGTTGCTCTATTTGTGTAGTAGTCAAAGGATTGAAAAACTATGCTGCCGTCATGGCCAGAATCTTTCCAGAATTCCCCCTACCCTCATAGTATTGTAAATTGTGTCCTTTATGTTTGGTGGCATACATCTGAGAAACAGCAGCTCAGGAGAAAGGAATGTAGCCTGGGCCCACAGAAGGGCTTTCTTCTGGACCCCTCAACACAATATCAATGGCACCATGTTCTAGACAACTCAGCCAGTCAGCCCAGAAGTGGAAAAAGTCTTGCATACTTTTGCATTTGTTTTAGTATAAATTCTTTCCTTTAATAAACATGAGTTTCTATTTATACCCAGACTTCTTCCAGAAATAAATATATGGTGACCTATAAAAATAACCACAAAGACAATAAGTAAAATGTAATTAATAATATCTGGTTGAGTGTATTGGCCAAAGTAGACTAGCTAACAAACACCCTAATCCTTTTGGTGTCTTAAAGTATTTCTCACTTACGCCACAGTCTAACATGGATTGCAGGGTTTGGTGAGTAGGCTTTTCTGCTCCAAGTAGTTATTCAGGTACCCAAGGCCACTCCCAAGGGCCTCAGAATTGGAATCACTGGGAGAAAGAGAACATGGAGGATCTCAAAAAAGGATTTTAGGGACCAGAAATGTTAAATATAATTTTCACCCATGTTCCATTGGCCAGAGTTCCATCATGTAGACCTACCTGACAGCAAGGGAAGCTGGGAAGGGCAGTGTAGCTGTGTACCCAAGGAGAAAAGGAGATACAGTTTGGTGAGCCTAGGATCTACTATGAAAAGGAAAAGGGACAAGGAAAGAATGAAGGAATATTTTACTAGAAAAGAGAGGGCATTGCAGCCAGAAAAGAATTGTATAGACATCTGGGTGTGGGGAAGAGGACAGTGGATGTGGAAAACTGAAAGAATTTTAGTATAGTTGGAGACTCAGATGATCTGAAAAGGAGACTCTGGTGGCCTCATGTAGTGTAAATGTACCTGAGAGCAATAACTTAGGCATACCCTTAGAATGACCCTGTGTGGCAGACATATCTGAGGAGGGAATCCAGAAGTGGCCAACCTGGAGATTCATTCTTTGTCTATGAGGAACATCTGAGCCCCAGCCTATCCCATGGCTGTACAGGGGGTTGAAGCCCTGGTTTTGGGGTACATGAAGGTTGCCAGGTGGAGGGCATTAAGGGGAGGGTGTTAAGTGGAAATGTTATATAAAGTGCATACTGTTTGCAAGTGGTTGCAGTTTTTTTCCTGCCCAACCTGCCACTGGACTGTAGGAAAGTGAATATCTTGTGCAGCTCACTGCCACTGGACTGTTTCTGTATATAAGGTGGTTCTCCTGTACAGCCAGCCACCACTGGACTCTCTCCCCTCTATAATTCCCTAATGAAACCCCACATCTTGTTTATTGGCTCTGAGTCTCTTCTTCTACCCCTTGAACCTCATGCTTTCCCTTTGAGGTTAATAGGGGTTCAGCACAACACCTCACCAGAAAGGCCTTGCCTATTGTCTAAGGATTCTAAACCTCATCATGCATGAAAAAAAGGGCTATTGGTGGTTTGTAAGCAAGACACTGACATAATTAGATTTGTGTTTTTGAAAGTTTGTTCTAGCCCCTAACTGTTACCAGCAATGTCCCTTAAATTGCAGAAGAAACCTATTCTGAACTTTTCTTGATCGCACACCTAGTCATCTAAACCCAGGAAAAACTGAATTCACCTCTGCCTGTGCCCATCTAAATCATGCTTACTTGGTAGGCCCCCATTAATGTGCTACAATCACAACCAGAGTCTGCAGTGAGTTCTATAAATTCAGACTGGAAATGTAATTTCAGATCTCACAGGGCCTGTGTTGTTTCAGTGATATTATAATCAATGACCGTAGCTTCCTTTGAAGCTCATAAAGTGACCTCTTTTGACATTGATTTCTCATCTGTGTTTTTTTTTTGACCTTTCTTCACCTCCTATGTCTCTTCATTTGCTAAGGCGTAGTATTTTATTGCCAGGCACCTGTATAATAACCACAGTAGCCATACATTTAGGTTTTTTCAGGTCATTACAACCTAAATAGACACAGTTGTGGCAAGATCTAGTCCCAGGAACTGGTGTTGCAACCTCCTCGAAGGGAGACTGTTTTTCTTCCATTAGAAGATACTGAAATATGCTGTTAAGTAGTCTTTGCTTAGACTAACATCTAGGAAGATTGTCACACATATTTTGTCCTTTCTTTTGAGTCGACCCTCAAATTGAGAAAATCTCAGAAAATGATCCCTATACCAAACCTCACGTGGACATTTCCAAGACGTTTCTGAGTTTTGGTATTAATAAAAGCCCATATGAGGTTAAATAGGAAGGCAAATAAAATGTGCCTCTT
Organism: Homo sapiens; assembly: GCF_000001405.40. Taxonomy (NCBI): domain Eukaryota; kingdom Metazoa; phylum Chordata; class Mammalia; order Primates; family Hominidae; genus Homo; species Homo sapiens. Next base: position 217,054,336 of record NC_000001.11, on the reverse strand, counting down.
ACTTGGAGAAGTGTGTGGTTTCTTGAGCATTTATGCTCCCCCCCAGTATGACCTTTAGAAGAAAGTATGATCAATAGCCTATTGGATCATCTCTAATCTGGCTGTCAAGTACAGGAGGGGGAAGTTGAGAGATTTTGATGAAAAACAACTGAAATGGCTAAGTGCAAACTTAGTAGAAAAATACCCATGTTTTGTCAATAGTTTCCAGAAACTTCCTAAGCACCTGATGTACAATGGGCTTTTTTCATTGTGGGCATCTGCTGTCTTTGCCTAGCTCAACATTCCAGTGAGGCTTTTTTTTTTTTTCAGAGCTCAAAACCAAACATGTCAGCAGTAAGCAGCCACCCAGCTTTGTAAAGAACGCCACGGCTGACAACTTCACAGCTGCTGAGGAATTGGCTGAGACTTTCTTGTAAAGTAGTACCATACACAAGAGCCTTTGTGCCATTGGGACCCACCATGGAGTTTCCAAATGCCCTTACTCCTAGAAAAATGTGCCAACCCCTTCTTCCCATGTTGCCCCCATGTCTGGTGATAATAACCATGACGATAGCCAGCCCTTTGGTGGCTGGCAAAAGAACACAAAGGGACTCTTCTTCTGCACTATCAGGGTAAAAAACAAAACAACTACCACATTTTAGAAACCAGGCCAATAATTTATTTGTCATGCCATGCAAATTATTTGGAACACAAGAACTCATTTTGGTAACATGCAATTTTTTGTATTAATATTTATTCTTGAATAATCTATGGACATCTAATGACTAAAACACAAATGACATAATTTTTCTACAGCATTTTGAGATTTTGTTTTTGCAACCCCATTACAGCAGGCATTTCTTTCTTTCTTTCTTTCTTTCTTTCTTTCTTTTTTTTGGCTTTGGGACAGAATCTCACTCTGTTGCCCAGGCTGGAGTGCAGTGGCGCAATCTCGGCTCACTGCAACCTCTATCTCCTAGGTTCAAGCGATTCTCCTGCCTCAGCCCCCTGAGCAGCTGGGATTACAGGCACCTACTACTATGCCTGGCTAATTTTTGTATTTTTAGTAGAAACGGGGTTTCACCATGTTGGCCAGGCTGGTCTCGAACTCCTGACCTTAAGTGATCTATCTGCCTCAGCCTCACAGAGTTCTGGGATTACAGGCATGAGCCACCCTGCCCAGCCTTTTCTTTTTTTCTTTCTGTTTTTTTTTTTTTTTTTTTTAAGATGGGATTTTGCTATGTTACCTCAGCTGGTATCAAACTTCTAGGCTCAAGCAATCCTTCCACCTCAGCCTCCCAGCTGGGATTACAGGTGTACAACATTGTGCCTGGTAAAGGATATGCAATTTTGATATAACCAAGGAAGAATGAATGAAGGAAGTTGAAAGCAAGGTACCTCTGGATCTCCATGTCCATCTTTAGGAGGTCTATTTATTTTCATCAAAGCTCCCATGATATGTAAAGCCCTTTTAGTGATCAAGCGTGACTAGTCCATGGACTCTGGCTGGAAGATGCAAGATTTCTTAACCAGCTGCCCCAGACTGCCTCGGAGAAACCACTTAAGGAATGCCCTGCTGTTGTTAATGATCAACATTAGCCAGATTGCAGTCCTCATTATCCCTCACCCCAATAGGAAGGTAGAAGCTATCCTCTTCTAAAAATGCTTATTTAGTTATTGACTAGCAGTTGTCCCTTTGGAAGTCTAGCAATGTTCAGTCAAGTCAAGGGAAACCTTTGGTTCTTTTGAAGAACTCTTGGATATTCTGTCAAAGATGTTATTAAATTCCTGGTTCTGAACACCTAGGTCTCTCTTAGATCCTTTTAGAAAGATGGGGAGTGAGACAGAGTAACATTCTAACCTGAATGTAATATGTGGTTACTACTCAAGCTGTAACAAATAATTCACGTGGAGTGATTTACAGATGGAGATTCTTTTGATGTTGATGCGTTTAGTCACTATGAAACCTGCCCCAGCATCTGCTTCAGGCTTGCCCAAAGTGCCTTTGGATATGTGGAGATCATTTTCTGCACCAAATCTTAAAGTTGATCTGTTTTGAATCATCTCAGTTCATTCTCTGGCACTTCTGCTGAAGTTGCAGTGACACTTTCTTCATAGTTTTAAAATTCAGTCTAAAAATCCAAGGTGTAATTCCATTTTGCATTCTTAGTATGTCTTCCTCTACATCTTGAAATCATTCTGATCGAGTACTTTATCCAAAGTGATTTCTATGCTCTTGCCATTCTTATTTTCACAGAACCTTTCTGTATTTTATAAATGGGAAATAGGCTGAGTGTAGTGGCTCGTGCCTGTAATCTGGGCAACTTAGCAGGCTGAGGTGGGAGGATTGCTTGAGCCCAGGAGTTTGAGGTCAGCCTGGGGAACATAGCAAGACCCTGTCTCTAAAATAAATAAATAAATAAATAATTATCTGGGTGTGGTGGTGTGAGCCTGTGGTTTCCAACTACTCAGGAGGCTGAGGGGGGAGGATTGCTTGAGCCCAGGAGTTAGAGGCTGCAGTGAGCTATGATTGTGCTACTGCACTCCAGCCAGGCCAACAAAGTGAGACCCTGTCTTTAAAAAAAGGAGTATGGGGATGGGAGGGCAGAATAGGACTCCAGATGGGATAAGTTGTTTTGCATATGGCCATTCATCTGTTTAAAAGCATGGTCAGGCCATAACCCAGGTATCTTGTCTCTCGGGCCAACTCCTATTCCATATGGCTCATTTCTCTCTCACCTCTTAATACAGAAAATGGAGCAGTGATTGTTTCTGAAACATAAGTAAAGGATGGCCCATGCCAGTGGGGTGCATTGACTCATCATCATTGCCCTTTTAATTGGAGGCTCCAGCAGATGCAAAGTTATTTGGATGTTGCAGTAACAGCAAAAATAATGTTGGCTTCCTCTCAGTTTTTGCCTGGAGAAGCCCAAGAAGCCTGTTTCTTATAATTAGAAGGTGCGTGTGAACCTGAACAGTAGGACAGAGTCAGTCATTGTAAGCGTTAACTGATTCACCTTTTAGAAGTGACAAGTGAAGAATCAGCCTAAGGTTGCCTGGAGCTTTCTTCAGGATAATACCTAAAGGGAAACCCTCTTAGGTTCAAGCCAAGAATGACCCAGTCTTACAATTCCCCTGGCACCCCCCCCCCCCGCCCCCATTATCCACTCCTTCTGCTCTTATCTCAGAACCACCTGAGGACACGTAACTGCTGACTTCAGCCTTCTGGCCAGTACTAGGCCTTAGATCCTGGATATGAAATAAGAAGGAAAAAAGTCTTTCACAAAACCTTTCTTCCCGATTTCTTTTTTCCCTTTGTCAGTCTATGTGCATGCCTTAAAAAAGATTCCTCTTTCCACCTTGGAGTCTGTTCTGTTCACTGAGTCCTTCCCACACCTGGCTATTTCTAACCTGAATGGCCAAAGCAATGTTCCTTGACCAGAGCAGTCATCTAAAACAGCACTATTTTTATCATTTGGAGCCCTAGAAAGGTCTTCTAATAGCCCGTACTGACATTCAAGCCCAGGTAACACAGTGAGCTGGGCTATGACTGTCCCCAGACTTACTATTAGCTTTGTGATTCATTTATTTTGGTGAGAGTCTATCTGCTGTGACCATTTGTAAACAAAAACATTGAGGAAAAGGCAGTGGCTAAGAGAACAGAGATGTGGTCCACATCTCGGTTTGGGTAGAGGATGGCCCGAGCTTTCTCATTCTACCCTGGAAATTTTGCTCTGTCAATCATAACATCATTCTGAGAGTATTGGCTATTGGAGATTGCCATTTTGTCAATTGATCCCCAGTCACCTGCCTCTCTGTGTAGTTTCTTATGAACAGGAGGAGAGGCTTGGCTTCTCCACCAATAACCTCCAGGTAAGTCTTCACTCACGTGCAGAATGCCTGGCTCCTCTTGTTCAAACTTCAGTTGTCCCCAAATGACCTAAGACCTCAGATGATAAAGCTGCACAGGTTATGTGGTCTATCCCATCTAATAGAAAATAATGTAGTTTTTCTGGAGAAGGGCTATATTTTATCAAGATCTTTCTCATGTGTAACCTAATTTTTGTTGGACTGCGTCTCATTTTACTACTTCAGCAACTTCTCTGGGCCAAAGAATCCATTCATTAAGCTGTGTTGCCAGAAGTTCTTTTTCACCCCCCCAGCTCAAATATCTTGGCACATCACTGTAGATGATCCTTGAGGTCCAGGTCAGAGGATCACATAGGTAAGATTGCCTTCTAATAAGGTTCTTTGACATCTCAGTTATTAAATTCCCTTGAATGGGATTCAAACACATCTGACTTACAGTGACGTTTGCTCCTTGTGGATAATGCCATAAATCTTCTGTTGTGAAGTGTTCTCATACTTCTGCTCTTGTTCATAGATGTACTTATTTTGCTTATGCAGAATGATGGCATCTGTGTCTCAGAGCTAAGCCCTTTCCATCCAGTCTTCCCAAATGGGAGCAGAGAAGACCAGCTGCTTTCACTTCACTTTCTGCCCCATTCTGGATCACTTTCTTTTCTTGTGGCCTCTTTCTTCTGGCTGCCAGAAAAGCTGCTGTTGACTTCTCACGAATGACACTGGCTGATCTCCCTGGATTGGAACCAATTCTAATGCAGCCTGTGGTGCTTGGAGCTCAGGCCGCAACCATGGGCCAAGGAATTGGGTGGAGGACCTTGCCCAGTGGAGAGATCATGAGTGCCCTACACAGGGCAAGTTCCTACACTCACCTCTAGATCTTCTTGACAGTACCAATGGACACACAAGTTATTCTTTTTTCTTCTCTTCTCTGCTATATGACTGCCTTAGCACCTTCTCAAAACAAATTCAACAGTTTCTCCCCTTGATAGGCATAGTATATCTTCTCTTTTCCAAGAAGCTTTACTACTTTTAGTTATGCTTTGGTCTTCAAAGAGACATGATTCTTGGTCCTGTGAATCTCATAAGTCAGCAATTACCAAATGATTTCTTGCAGATAGCAATTCAGTGAGATGGAGAAAATTGTACCCCAGGCAAATAGGTTTAGGAGACTGTGCCGGCTTCATTCTCCTTCTTGGAGATTCACAGTAGCATAGTAAAGGCTCTGAGAATTCCTACACTCAGAAAATTAGTTTGCATAACCAAGAATTTTTCAGAGATGAAAATCCTGGTCAGGAAAGGCTTATCTAAGAAAGAAATAGCTGAGTTCCAACCTGAATGATGAATAGAATTTGGAGTGAGGGAGGAGCTTTGGAGATAGCATTTTGTGTTGAGAGAATGTTAGCTCAAGAAACTGAGGAGACCATGATGACCAGGGCCCTGGAGTGACAGAGGAGCTAGGCAAGGCAGGAGGTGGTCATGGAGAGGAAAGGAGTGCCTGATTATGAAGGGCTTGTTAGCCACAGTGAGGATTTTGATCACTATCCAATGGGCAAAGGAAGACATGGGAAGGGTTTTCACAACCTGTACTGTATAATTCAATGTTCATTTTCAAAACCCACTGTGGCTACAAGTTGAGAGCAGATAGAGTGGGGCCAGGGTATGTTGCAGAGTTGAAAATTTACTCACACTATGCTCAGACATGTAAAGAAAATGTTGAAGTCTTCATTTTCTCTGGCTACTCTGATTTTCCTCGTAAGTTCTGACTCCAGTGGGTAACAGGGAAATACATCATATCCTAGTCTCTCCAGATACATTTAGTCTCCTTTCCTTTAAAATGGCTCATTTCAGGGAACTTCTGAGTCAAGAGTTATCTACCCAGTTGGGATGCAAGAGCTTCTTGTGCCTGTGGCATTGGTGGAAGGGGGCCTGGTTTCTGCATAGGAGTGTTTGAGTGACTTCTGGGTCCTCACTGCTGCCCTCTGCAGGAATAGCACCCTCGTTGTTGGCCTGGTCATGCAGCCCTGCCTCCATTTGCAGTTGAACTCTGTAGCTGCTGAACTCAATGTCTGTTCTATTTCAGCTAGATTGGGGCCTGGCAGTCCCCTCTGCTGCCTCGTTGCACCTGAGCTCTCTCTGACACTATTGCATCATGGCTGTCTGAAGTCTGACTCCGTGTTCCATCTGGAATCCAACAGAATACCCTCTACTCTCCACCTCCCAGCCCAAGCCCTCTGTGGCCTCTCTAACCAGTACCGTCAGCGACTGCCCTTGTCCCTCCACTGAGCACACAGGACCTCCTAGATCCTGCTGTACTACCTTGAAGCCAAAGAGACAACTGGGAAGCTACCCTTACACTTACTCTCTGCTAACTTGTGTTTCCCTTCACCTCTACTCTGGGCTCCTCTAGTTAGGGAGGACCCTGAAAGACAGACTCAAATAGGAAGGAGAGAAAGACTCTTTAGATGCCCACCTGATCCAGCACTTCAGAGAAGTGAGCTACTACACATATTTCTTGGTCTGCTACAGCTACCTCTGTCCATCTTCTTCTTCTTCCCCGATACCGTGGTCTGGAAATGTGGGCTACTTCTTTTCTCTAGTTCCATTGCATATTCTCTCTCCCTTGGCCTATAGTCAAACACACAATCTGGTATAAAAGCCAAAGCACTTAACTATGGGATTTAGAATTCCTTTTCTCTCTTTGTACAAAGCCTGGCTTTTGAGGCTTCTGTCTAGCTACAGAGATCAAGCAAGTCAGCTTTGAGACTCAAAGCTGAAAAATTTCTTCTTTCTTCTTGGTCATTCCCATCTGCTTCCCCCATTGGAACAATGATCATCATGGCCTAGCTGTGAAAATGGATAGGTGCAACAGAATATGATTTAATGTATCTATTTATTATTTCCAAAATATTCTCCCTACTAAAAATAGAAACAAGGTCTCCTCAGAAAGATATTCGTAGCTTGGACTTGAGTGATGACAATGGGGATGGAGGGAAATTAATGGATTAGAAAAATATCTAGAAGGTGGGATTGACAGTATTTGGTGCTTAATTAGATGAGGTGAATTGACTGAATGTGAGAGTCCGAGGTTTCTGGGTTTCATGGATGGATGACAGTGCCATTTACCAAGATGCAAAACACTGGAAAAAGAATTGGTTGGGAGGATTAGCCCAGTTTTGGACATGCCAAATTTGAGGTTCCTATGAGACATCCAAGTGGACATATTTAGTAATCAGTAGGATATACAGATTTATGGCTCAAAAACGATACTTCTTTAGGAAATCACATTATAATCATAAAGTTGGTAGATGGGTATTAAATTAGAAGATGGTAACTAGATTATTCAAATGATAAGTAGTTTGATACAACCACTTCATGGTAGGCACAGGCTTACCATCGAGACCAGATGTTATGTAAGTATATTGATTAGTACTCCTTCTCCCATGGCATATCCCATGGCTGATCATGCTGCCTCCCTTTTTGAGTAACACATCCTTCACTTACATATGTTAATATATTCAATCAGCTTACAACAAATCTTACCAACTAAGGAATAATTTTGTCTCTTTCCAATGATGTTGCATATCTTCCATTCCCCCCCCTTTTTTTTTATGAGACAGGATCTCACCACTGTTGCTCAAGCTGAGTGCCTGTGGCATAATTATGGCTCATTGCAGCCTAAAATTCCTTGGCATAAGCAATTCTCCCGCCTCAGCCTCCTGAGTAGTTGGGACTACAGGTGCATACCACCACACCTGGCTAATTTTTGATCATTTGTAGAGATGGGGTCTCACTATGTTGCCCAGGCTGGTCTCGAACTCCTGGACTCAAGAGATCCTCCTGCACTGGCCTCCTGAAGTGTTGGGATTACAGGCCTGAGCCACCATATCTCCATTCTTATCCCATTCTGTGTGATTCTTAAGATTTTCCTCTCAAAAATCAACTTTATTATTACTTTATGCCCCAAATACTTGCAAAATTCTTGATGAGAGATGAAGCTATAAATGTAGGTAGGAGCTAAATAATTAGAAGATTCTTGAATGTTATCTGAAGGTGGGTAATGGAAAGCCATCAAAGGGTTTTAGGCTAAAGAGTCAGTAAACTAATTTAGGTGTACTTGGCTAACATGTCTTTCTTGATGCAGTGCTAGCAGGTGGATTCATTTGGTCAATCCAACACCTATTTCTTGATCATCTCTTTTGTATAAGATACTGTGCTAGGTGCTATAGGGATATAAAATTAAAAGTTAGGAAGTATCTCCTGGTATTATGCTAGTATCCATCAGGGGTATAAGTAGAAAAAGTTAGCACTAATTTTAGGTTTTTTTTTTTTTGAAAGGAATGTGCAGCTTAGGCTCTCAGTGGTTCCTGACATAATTCCTTTTATTGGCGACATGCCTTAACTCTTTTGGGTCACAGTGAGCTGCACGGACATTATGTTTTTTAGCACTGGAAATGCCAACCTACTTGCTCTTATTGTGTTCCTCTTGTCATTTAGCAGAATTATTATTTTCTTCTGCTCCCAAATGGAAAGGCATCTCAATCTATACTAACTATATACTTTGATTTTATTTTTAAATACTTAAAAAATCCTAAAGAAGCAAACACTCCAAAGATTTTTTTGTGAAAATTACATATTTCAAAAGAAACATAGCAGCAAAGGACAGTGTGCCTCTGAGGGAAAGCGCCCAAGGGAGGCTTTCAGGGTTGGATTTTAACATCTCTGACCGGTTGGGTGAAAATTGTTTTGAAGATGTATTACATTCCCTGATCAAATGAAAAAAAAACGACAACTGCCGTCGTATCTAGGAAAAGCCCGGTTAACATGGCCAAGAGCCACACGTGCTATCCCACATGGCCTTGCTGTGCAAACCTTCCAATATCCCATCCTTGGAAACTGGGGCAACCTCGTGCCTCCTCACAAAGACCAGCCATCTCAGGAGATCAGGGAAAGCTCGAGACTTCTCATCATTTTCCTTTGGGAGGTCCCAAGGGTAGTTAATGGGTTTACTCTAGCAGGTCCCCCCTTTTCTCCCACTTTTAATACCCGAGTCAACTCTGCAGATCCTTTCACTTTGAATATATGAGTCTGGAGATTTTGTGGGGAGACTGTTATGTTAGAAGTTTCTCTTGGATTCACTTCTGGGTTGTGTCAATGGTTTCCTGGTTCCTGAACTTCCTTTGACCTGGTCTTATGGGGTTTTTGTCGTTTACAATCCCGCAAGGGTTAATTTTTTTTTGCTGCTTTTAGGGGTTGATGAGAATCCTCCTATATTAATGTGGTTTTTGAAATGACAAATCTCTACATGCACAAAGAGTGCCTTGGATAGTTTTGCATTTGCAAATAAAGCCCTAACAAATGCTCATTTAAAAAAATATATTTCCCCAGCTGAGCACATTAAGGCTATATGCTGCATCTTTGTATTCACTTCAATAAACCAGGTGTGCTTCTGGAGATTAGCTATTTTTTATAAAGAATGATTTTAAAATAAATGACAATGGGCTCATTTCTCTTTATGCTGAGGATAACATTAAAGGAAAACTGCCGTGATTAGTTTTAATATCTCAGATAGCTTAATGAGTACTTACTAAAAATGTGAGTGTGTTTGTGTGTGTCTGTGTGTGAGTGCACAAGCATAGAAGGTAGATATATGTGTACACGTGTGCCTGAATAATTTTCTAACATCTTAAGTAATACCTGTCAGGGATTTTAATAACCAAGTGCCAGTGAATTATTCTGGTGGCTGTTTTTGCTGAAGCTTTCGGCAGGAAGTCCATTTTCCTGCAGAGCTGGTTTTTTTCTTAAAAAGTGCCAGTCAGAAAATATGAAAATGGACTCAGACTTTATGTGTCATTTATAGTCAATGATTGTGTCCCTCTTTCTAAGTTATCTGGAGCTGCAATTGCCCTTTAGTCTCACTGGTAAGCTGAGATGGAGGTCAGCATAGGGAGTGAAGGTGTACAGATTAGGTTTGGAATAGTTAGTATGTGAATTACGTTAGGAACCAACAAGAGATGAATTAAAGATTTCCAGGAATGGGTCACATTAATTTAATTTAATATAGAAGAAACTTGCAATGGGATACAATTGTCATTACATGAATCTTTTTAGTACAGCCCTGTAGTTAATGAACACAGTGAGTGTGTACAGATGGCAGGAGGGTCCCCATGGTTGAGAAAATTAGGGAGGCAGGAGAGCCCAAGGTATTAGGGAGGCTAATGTGCAGTGGCTAGTCACAGAGGCCAATCTGGGCAAGGACTTCCATGTAGCCAAAAGGGAGGGTGGTCAGTGGACAGAATGTCAGAATGATCTATTGTACATCCTATGGAGGAAGAAGACGTGCCTTGAGCTTCTGCATTTCAAAGTCTGCTACCTACTTCAGTAAACTTGAAAGCCAATTATTGCCTTATTCAATAATTGACTGGGTCTTGAGATTGAGGGTACAATAGTAAAATGATCCACACTTTTTTTTTCTATTTTTATTTGCCTTTGGCTATATTATTCCTATCGGTTTCTTTTCTAAAAATTGGAGAAAGGTAAAGTTAAAATCTGGCAGTTTTTTTTTTCTTTTCTTCAGAGCTCTGGGTAGTGGTATTAGGGAAGGGATGAGACTGAAGCTGTTGCTAATATGTAGTGAGTTAGTATTAAGGAGGGACCATTATCTATATTTTCTGTAATCCCAGATAACTGACATTTAGCTCTCTATTTTGAGTTCTTAGTTTTTGACTTGTTCCTGTATGGGCACAATCTATATAAAGAACATTAACACTTTTTTTTAGTAATATGACTCAAATTGTTGTTTATATATGTTTTTAAGAGCCAGGATTGGGGTGCAAAAAAATCCCCATTATTCTTTGCCTCTTATCCTGAGAAGTTGGCTCAATGTAAGAGCAATGAAAATAAGTACAAAAGTAGCTAAATTTAAAATTCTGGTTAAGATGATGGCTCTTTAATGAAAGTACTAAGGAATGGTATTGTAAGACCAAAAAGGGCCAACAATGACGTGTTTCATTTTAGGAAATATAACTGAGAATTTTGGTTAATTAGAGATAAGTTGTGCACTATTCATTTATTATTGATAGGCTTTGAAAATGACACAAACTTTTCAGGTTGAGTCTGGCAATTTTATATTGTTTGTGTAAATGGGAGAGAAAAGCTTCCTCTTTGTAACTGAACCCAGCTTCCTTCTTTCCATTTATGGAAAGCATCTTTGAGGCCCAATTTAGCTGCAGTTGGTGAGGGCAGCTTACTTTGCTGGGTCTAGGATTGGAATGTGGTGTGATAGCCCTACAGATGTATGAAGTTTGTCTTCTTTGCTGAGTTTCTTGATGGATGTCAAGACTTGAGCATCTATACAGAGGTTATTATTAAGTCTTTGTGTGTGTGTTTGTGAATGCCAAGTAATGCTTAATGTTTGGCGTTAAATTTGCACTGGAGCTGGAAGCAAAAGGAAAAATAGGAATTTATGAGAATGCATTTTAACATGTTTGAGGTTATAAAGGGAGATATCAGGCCACCGAGTAAAGAGGTGTCATTAATGTCCTGTCCCAGAGAAGACAGTATCATACTATGACAATGGATGAGAATCATGGCTTTCTTCACTAGGAACTAGGAAGCATACCTCATGGCACAGTGGAAATGCTGACAATTAGCAGTTCCCTGGCTGTGTCACCAGAGTTCACCACTCCTTGCCAAATCAGAGCTTACTGGCTGCTTTATTTAAATAGACCCTTTTGGAGAGCTTTTTAATTTTTTTTTTTAAAGTGAACAGATTGGGTTTCTAATTTTAGCTCGGACTGTTTATAATTAGAATTAGAAACATCTTCAAAGTTCCTTGTTTACAAACACTTATACCGATACTGTTTGCACGTTTAGAATGGGCCTGTGGGGCAAGGGCAGGGGGGAGTGTGGGGAGCTAGGGACAGGTAGCGGAATTCCTCTGTGTGTTCTCTTACTGCTGCAGGATGTCAGAGCACATGCAGTGTGTGTGTGTGTGTGTGTGTGTGTGTGTGTGTGTGTGTGTTTGTGTGTGTATGTGTGTGTGCATTTTTTCCTTTACTTTCCTCCTAGGTGAGTGCTTCAAGCTGAAACAGCCAACACTCTGTGCCTGAGTCACACTGCAGTGCTCTCCATTCTTGGGAATCAAAGAAATTGGTGGTCAGTTGTTATTTGGGACAAGGTTAGATTTGAAATGCCACCCTAGTGGGAAATTTTAGTGACTCATTTTTAGCAACTCAGGATCTGCATTGGATAAAATGCTTTCTCTATTTCCATAATTTCTATATTTATATGTCATTCAGCATACTGTATAGCTGAGTGATTCAAGAAAAACAAATAGAGCTATCCATAATATAAATAATTCTACATTTTATCAAAGCAGAAATACGTATCTATGGTTAGAGCAAGCCCACCTATTAGAGTGATGGGTTCTTTCAAACTGAAATGGAATGCTATCAGGGACCATCAAAAGATGACAGCAGCACAGCCAAATGACAGAGCCCTCACATGGTACTCATGGGTTTCAGATGATACATGCCAGAATGATGTGAACCTACTGGGTGCATTGCTTTGAATATAACCCTACTGGTTTCTTGGGATAAGCATACTTATTCCCTTCAAAGAATCTAAAAAGATATTGCATGCCAAAGCAAGATTTAAAATAAAAAATAAAATTAGAACACATACTCACAGACCAATATCTAATTCTAATTAAAGTGATGATTCTGTAGGAAACTAAGCAGGTGTGGGCTTTAGCTGTGACACTTGAATCTGCCAGCTGGTAGGGTGACAGTCAGATGCCTGTTTACTCTCTGATATCCAAGACCACTTTAATGTTCCAGGGAGGAAACAATAAACAAAAACCATATATACTGGGCTTGTTGTGGTGACTGATTTTTCCAGAGAAGCAAAAGATGGAAAATGTACTCCTTAAATCTAACTTGGGCATAGCTAGCTTCTTTACTGTCATACATGGCATCAATTAGATTAAATGACTATTTTAAGTCTCTACTGAACCTATTTTTTTTAAAAAACTATGTAGTATTATTTGTGGATGGATATATACATATGTGTGTGAGTGTGTTTATAGACATTCTTTCAACTCTTAAAATGTACTACCTTTATACCAACTTGCTATGAATGTTTAAAGGATTTAATGCATTTGCTGTCTTGTATCAGAAGAATGATAGGGGATTAGATGAGGAAAAAGGGCTTTTGGCACAGCTTGCAGGCTGTTATTTTCACCAACTGTGGTGTCAGCTATGATCTTTTTACAGTGTTTCTGACTATGGGGCCTCTTAGCTAGAGATCCCTGGGTCTCTGTGATTTCGTGTTTTTTTATGAAAAAGATGAGAATATTTTTTCATGCTTAGTTTAAAATTCTCTACACCCACTCTGTGGAGAATTTTAAACTAAGATTGGGGAGCAGGAAAGGAACTGAACTAAATGTAAAAGATTATCTGAGCTGTTGAGGGTTCCCAATGTAAAAAAGGAGTAACTGAATATATTATAGGGCAATGGGATATATTGCCAGAAACTGCAAATCAAACTCAGAATTCCCTGTGTTGATGTAATTGATCTGGTATGTATTTCCTTTAGGTCCAGGAAATTTCTGGCCCTCCATCTGTGTTGAGTGGAGTAGTAGGCCAAATAGTATCTACTGAGGTCCACTGTGCAGCTAGCATAAGTACAAAGAGTAGGATTTGGAGACAAATTGGTTTGGTTTGAGTCTCAACCCAAATTTTTGCTAATAGTGTGTTATTGGGCAAATTACTGAACCTCCTTAATTCAGTTTTCTCATAATCAAAACAAATAAGCTCACAGGATTTTTGGAAGTGTAAAGGTGTACTAGCAATGTGAAGATATTTCACAGGATAGGAAAAAAATTTTAATAGAAAAATCTTGAAATATTTCAAAACTAAAACAGTCATCAGCATAAAAAAAGTTTTTGATTGCTAACTTATTGCTGAAAAAGCTTAACTAAAGCAATAGCTTTACTTACTATATCCTGAAGTAACAAAATGAATAGTTTGAAGAGAATTATGAAATTCTAGTCCAAGGGCAGGTGATGTAGAAAAAAAGGGGGATATTTTTCTCTCTGTGGAGGCTGGGTTCAAGGCATCCTCTTAATTGCCTTCTTCATTGGACTGTAGACAGGGAGACAAGGCAATGACTTCCTTAACTTTCTCAGCAAAGCCACAGAAGAGACAGAATTTGAACTCACCAGCCTAGTGACTTTTTTCTTCCATGACCAGTCCAAATACCTATTTTCTTACCGTCTAAATAACCCATTTTGCAACCACCAGCCTGAAATTTCAAAAAAATGTATAGCAACATAGTTCTTATGAACCAGAAGATTTAAGAACATGAGGGCAATTAGGGATGTTGTGTGAGATATCACTGCGTTAAAATAATTTAGCCATTGTTGCCATTCCTCACCTTACACACACTCTCTGTCTCATTCTCACCCTGCTCTTGTGTGTGGTGTGTGTTCATGTGTGTGTAGGAGAGGGGTGTTTATCTTTATTTCCATATGTTTCCATGGAGCCTAACCTACAAACCTTAAGACAGAGTGGATGCAGTTATGTTGATTACTTTGTGACTGTGTATAGAATACTACAATTTGGGAAGCACTGGGATGGGGTGGAAAAAACAAAAGCCAGTCTTCAAATTGTAGGAGGATGAACAGAACATAATGAGATACAAACAATTTGAAAACATATCAAAAGGTTGTAAAAACAAATACAAATAATTGGTAGGGTAAAGCCTTAATTTAAGTGCTTTAAAGGAAACTTATAATGGATTTAGTGAATGAAGTGGTTTGGCCCTGCGTACTCACCCAAATCTTATCTTGTGGCTCCCATGGTTCCCACATATTATGGGAAGGAGCTAGTGGGAGATGACTGAATCATGGGGGCAGGTCTTTCCCTTGCTGTTCTTGTGATAGTGAGTGGGTCTCACGAGAGCTGATGGTTTTGAAAATGGGAGTTTCTCTGCACAAGCTCTTTCTTTGCCTGCTGCCATCCACATAAGATGTGACTTGCTCCTCCTTGCCTTATGCCATGATTGTGAGGCCTCCACACTTACATGTGGAACTGTAAGTCTAATAAACCTCTTTGTTTTGTAAATTGCCCAGTCTCGGGTACATATTTATCAGCAGCATGAAAACGCACTAATACAGTAAAATGGTACCAGGAGTGGGGTGTTGCTGAAAATATACCTGAAAATGTGGAAGAGACTTTGGAACTGGGTAACACACAGAGGTTGGAACAGTTTGGAGGGCTCAGAGGAAGACAGGAAAATGTGGGAAAGTTTGGAACTTCCTGGAGACTTGTTGAATGGTTTTGACAAAAATGCTGATGGTGATATCAACAATAAGGTCCAGGCTGAGGTGGTCTCAGATGGAAATGAGGAACTCAATGCGAACTGGAGCAAACGTGACTCTTTTTCTGTTTTAGCAAAGAGACTGGCAACATTTTGTCCCTGCCCTAGAGATTTGTGGAACTTTGAACTTGAGAGAGATCATTTAGGATATTTGGCAGAAGACATTTCTAAGCAGCAAAGCATTCAAGAGGTGACTTACTTGCTGTTAAAGGCATTCGGTTTTAAAAGGGAAATGGAGGATAAAAGTTCAGAAAATTTGCAGCCTGACAATGTGATAGAAAGGAAAATCCCATTTTCTGGGGGAGAAACTTAAGCCAGCTGTAGAAATTTGCATAAGTAACAAGGAACTGAATGTTAATCCCCAGGACAATGGGGAAAATGTCTCCAGTGCAGGTCAGAGGTCTTCATGGCAGCCCCTCCCATCACAGGTCCAGAGTCCTGGAAAGAAAAGATGGCTTCCTGGCCTGAGCCTAGGGAACCCCCTGCTCTATGCAGCCTAGGGACTTGGTACCCTGTGTTCCAGCTGCTCCAGCCCTGGCTAAAAGGGACCAAGGTACAGCTTGGGCTGTTGCTTCAAAGGGTGGAAACCCCAAACCTTGGCAGGTTCCATGAGGATTACAATTTGAGATGAGATTTGGGTGGGGACACAGAGCCAAACCATATCACTGTCATTTCACAATCCATCTATCCTGGGATAGAGTGATCATGGAATTCAAGATAGAGTCACAGTTTAACTGTAAGGAGCTAATGGTGTTGAGACTGTGGGTGCACAAAAGTCAAGAATTGAGGTTTGAGAACCTCCCCCTAGATTTCATAGGAGGTATGGAAACACCTGGATGCCCAGGCAGAAGTTTGCTGCAGGGGCAGGGCCCTCACGGAGAACCTCTGCTAGGGCAATGACAAAGGAAAATGTGGGATTGGAGGCCCCACACAGAGTCCCTTCTGGGGCACTGCCTAGTGGAGCGGTGAGAAGAGGGCCACCATCCTCCAGGCCTCAGAATAGTGGATACACCAACAGCTTGTACCTTGCACCTGGAAAAGCCAGAGACACTCAATGCCAGCCTGTGAAAGCAGCCTGGAGGGAGGCTGTACCCTGCAAAGCCATAGGGGCAGAGCTGCCCAAGACTATGAGAACCCCCCTTTTGCATCAGCATGACCTGGATGTGAGACAGGGAGTCAAAGGAGATCATTTTGGAGCTTTAAGATTTGACTGCCCCACTGGATTTCGGACTTGCATGGGGCCTGTTGCTCCTTCGTTTTGGCCAATTTCTCCCATTTGGAATGGCTGTATTTACCCAATGCCTGTACCCCTATTGTATCTAGGAAGTAACTAATTTGTTTTTGATTTTACAGGCTCTTGGTGGAAGGGACTTGCTTTGTCTCAGATAAGACTTTGGACTGTGGACTTTTGAGTTAATGCTGAAATGAGTTGAGACTTTGGGGGACCATTGGGATGGCGTGATTGGTTTTGAAATGTGAAGATAGGAGATTTGGGAGGGGCTGGGGTGGAATAATGTGACTTGGCTGTGTCCCCACCCAAATCTCATCTTGTGGCTCCCATGGTTCCCATGTGAGAGGGACTCAGTAGGAGATGATTGAATCATGGGTTTGGGTCTTTCCCGTGCTGTTCTTCTGACGGCGAGTGGGTCTCATGTGATCTGATGGTTTTGAAAATGAGAGTTTCTCTGCACAAGCTCTTTCTTTGCTGCCATCCACGTAAGATGTGACTTGCTCCTCCTTGCCCTCCACCATAATTGTGAAACCTCCCCTGCCATGTGGAACTGTAAGTCCATAAACCTCTTTGTTTTATAAATTGCCCAGTTTCCAGTATGTCTTTCATCAGCAGCATAAAAACAGACTAATACAGTGAAATAAGAAAAAATATGAAACATTTGGAGTAGTGCAAATAGTCTTCTCTTAAACAAAGGAGGGAAGGGATAAATATCTACCTTATCTTGGTATTAGAGAGGAATCTCAGATCAGGGGTAAAAAGGAAAACTGAATATTTGTTATCAGGGAGCAGGATCAGGCTCCCTGAGACACTTGTCAGTCCTTTACCATTTGTGCAGAACAAACTCAGCCTTGTGGTCCACAGGAAGCAGCTTGGAAGTGATTCCTCTGGCCTGGGAAGAGAGATTCTTCTCTAGTGGTCATCTCCCAACTCGGGCATGACTGAGGAGAGCTAAAAAGGAATGAGGTCAGTACCAGCTTGAGGGAAGTGTCACGCTGCTGACTGATTGGCTGGTTTCCATCGCCTATACTCTTTTTTTTTTCTTTTCTTTCTTTTCTTTTTTTTTACTTTTAAGTTCAGGGGTACAAGTACAAGTTTGTTACATAGGTAAAATTGTGTCATGGAGGTTTGTTGTACAAATTGTTTCATCACCCAGGTATTAAGTCTAGTATTCATTAGTTACTTTTCCTGGTCCTTTTCCTCCTCCCAACCTCCACCCTCCAATAGGCCCCAGTGTGTGTTGTTCTCCTCTATGTGTCCATGTGTTCTAATCATTTAGCTCCCACTTGTAAGTGAGAGTATGCAGCATTTGCTTTTCTGTTCCTGCATTAGTTTGCTAAGGAGAATGGCTGCCAGCTCCATCCATGTTTTTGCAAAGGACATGATCTTGGACCTTTTTATGGCTGCATAGTGTTCCATGATGTATATGTACCACAATTTTCTTTATGCAGTCTACCATTGATGGGCATTTAGGTTGATTCCATGTCTTTGCTATGGTGAATGGTGCTGCAATGAACATACACATGAATGTATCTTTATAAATAGAACAATATATATTCCTTTGGGTATATACCAAGTAATGGGATTGCTGGGTCAAATAGTATTTTTGTCTTTAGGACTTTGAGAAATCACCACACTGTCTTCCACAATGGCTGAACTAATTTACACTCTTACCAACAGTGTATAAGCATTTCCTTTTCTCCACAGCCTCACTAGCATCTGTTATTTTTTGACTTTTTAATAATACCCATTCTGACTGGCTTGAGATAATAGTATCCCATTGTGGCTCTGATTTGCATTTTTCTAATCAGTGAAGTTGAGCTTTTCTTCCTATGATTGTTGGCTGCATATATGTCTTCTTTTGAGAAATGTCTGTTCATGTCCTTTGTCCATTTTTTAAATTAGGTTGGTTTTTTCTTCTTGTAAATTTGTTTAAGTTTCTTACATATGCTGAATATTAGACCTTTGTTGAATGCATAATCTGCAAAAATTTTCTCTCATTCTGTAAGTTGTCTGTTTACTCTGTTGATAGTTTCTATTGCCACATCATCCATACTCTTATTAATGGGGAAGGACACTGGGCAGAGGCATAGATATGACTTGGGCTAATAATGGAATCCTAAGTCTCCTTAAAACTCTGACAAGTTATTTATACTTCCTTTGGAATGGTTCTGCCTCCAGCTCCTGATTTTTTTTTTTTTTTCACGGAATCCCTAGAGTTTTTACTTTATTAAAGTTTTTGACTTTTGTATTAAACCAAAACATCCTATTAAATATCGCAGGGCCTAGTAACTTTTTTTCTGTTTATAGCTCACTTCTGTGGCCAGACACATTTGGAAAGGGCTGGATTTGTGGAGAAGATTGTCTAGGGGAGAAAACTGTCTGAAATTTAGTAAAAAAATAGGCCTCCTTTGACACTGGCAATATTGAGTAACCTTGGTCTCATTCCTCAATTTCTGAGATCTTATGTACCCACTAGGACTAGCAGTAACAACAACAGCTATTCTTTACTGAGACACCACATTGGTACTTGGCTCACCACTTTTTTTTTTTTTTTTTTTTTTGAGACAGAGTCTCGCTAGGCTGCCCAGGCTGGTCTCGAACTCCTGGCCTCAAGTGAGCCTCCTACCTCTACCTCCCAAAGCACTGGGATTTCAGGTGTGAGCCACTGCACCAGGCTTCTCAGCACTTTTTATACATCATCTGTTTAATTCTCACATCAATCCTGATGAGGTAGATATTATTACTCCTACTTCAACAATGATGAAACTCAGGCCAAGTCCTGTAAGGAAATCTGGCCAAGGTCACACCACTAATCCACTAAGATGTGAACTCTGGACTAGCCTGCTCTATCTTGTTCTCCATCAGCAAGGGGGATTTGACATTTAATTAGAAGTCTTTTTTAAAGCCTTGTTAAAAATAAAGTAACATATAGATACCTAGAAGGCGTTATTTTCCATGTTTTTCCATGCAATGCAGGAAATCCTGGGTCTTGACCCTCTAATTTACGGTGTAATATTTCATTATGGATTACTTGCCCACAATTTGTCTGTGTTATTACAATTATCATTAGGCACAGAATGTACCTGGTGTTACGTATGGTGCACTGCAGCCTGGTCCCTGTCCTCCTGGACCTCTGAACAGGATGCAAGAGGAGCAGGAGCGTGGACCAACGCTGCCCTACCTGCTCCCATGCTTTGGGTTTGCTCCTATCTTTGCTTATCTGTATTAAAAAGATTTTACAGGACAAAGTTGGCTTTTGTCTCATGGGAAGCAGTGATTGCCCTAGTGGTTTAGATGTCAGTACCCTGTGCTTAATTGTTTTGTGGCCAGAGTGAAGCTTGCTGCAGAAGGCCAGGTCCGCCAGTGGTTCTCAGAACTACACTGAATTGGGAAGAAAATCCTCCGGGCCTATCCGAGCTAGACCCAGGAGTGGCAGCATTTCAGACAGACCATCGGGGACCAAAAATTTTCAAAAGAACGTGTCTCAAACTGTCAAACTCTAACAGTTGTCAGAATACCTTGCTTGAAATAAGTGCAGCCTAAAAATGTGGCTATATGGGTACGAAAGATATTTACCATTTTTATTTATGTAGAAGCCAAAGAGATCCCTTTCTACAGCAAGCCGTTTTATCCCTGGATGCTTTAAAATGTAATTCAAGTTGCAAAATCTCATAGACATTATTATTTTCAGTAAATGCCTATTAAATTATAGATTATTGAGGATCTATTATATGTAAATAACTGTTTTGTAGGTCCTATTGTATAAAATCAAGCCATAGCTAGATGAAAGAACTTGTCTGGCTCTTCAGAATGATACTAACATTCAGGATGATTGTTGTTTATAGTGAAGGGCAGTCAAAAATCAAGCCAGTTCTAGATGTTCAGATAAGCACAGTGTTTCAGAAACTGAGCTCTGGAGATGGAGGCCTCGGCTCCAATCTCACTGCCATTCCCTAGTAACTGCATAGCTTTAACGAACGTATTTAAACTCTTTAAGTATGGAGTTCACATCTGTGAAATAACAGTGTTTCCTTCCTCATAAGCTTACTATGAACATTAAATAAGACCCTATATGAACTGCCTACTCCAAAGAACCCACTCAAGCTACTTAGCTATTATTATTCACAGCAGAGGGTTACTAGGTCAAATTAAGCTAACTGGTAACTATGCCTCTTAATTACTTGAAAGTAAGGTATTTGGATTTCTATGGCTTTTTGAAAACAGCTTTATTGAGATATAATGTACATGCCATACATCTCTCCCTTTTAAAGAATACAATTTCATGGCTTCTAGTATATTCAGAGTTGTATAACCATCACCACAATCTGATTTTAGAATATTTCACATCTTTTTTGGGCTTAATAAATTAATGTCTTAAAAAAAAGACATCCAAACATTAATCATTTACAAAATCTCCAAAGCGTGACTTTGACATAAAAGGAGTTCAGAAGTTAGGAGGGAGAATTTCAATAATGTGGAGGAACCCAAAATATCTTCAATATTCAGAGGCCATCTCTACTGTATGAACTCACAGGGGTGGAGAGGCATCAGTGATAGTTAAGGTAGGAAATGGCCTCTGAGATTTGTGAGTTTAGCATAGGTGGAACTGGGTACTGCACAAAAAGGGGACAGGTGCTTCTGCAAAGAGGAGAAGGGCTAGGACACAGCAGAACTTTTTGTCTTTCAGTGTCTTCCCTCTGTCCTGGGCATCGGCCACTACATTTCCCTTAGCAAACTCCACTCTGGGCAAAGCCCTTGCTGAGGACTTGACACAGCACTCAGCCATTGCTAATGAGGTTTCAGGGGTGACTTTCTAATATAAATAAAGGATTATAGGTGCACCCCCTTTTAATCTCCCCCTCCCCTTCCATAAGCCTTAGTCATGGGTTGCTGCAGGCACGTGGCCACAGGGGACGGTCTGTGCCGAAGGCTATCAGTGGAGATAGCTATTTAAGAGGTTTTACTTTTACATGTGAGCAGCCAAATTGTGCATGTAACAATGGGGACCAATTATTGCACAATAGAGCATCCCTGATGAAACATAGAGAGTGTGTGTTTAATATGCAATGAATGACACCATCTTTTCCCAAACAATGAGAATATTTTCATAGCATTTGGGAGATGGAGAATTCCATTCTTGAAGTTTCAATTGTTTGTGAAACTGATATGTACTATCATTTCATCCACAGTTTTCAAAACAATCACCCCCAAATAATGAAACAAATAATAAAATATCTCCATTAGGTTTATATGTACAGAATATATAACTTTTTTAGGTTTGAAGTACCATTTGTATAATTTTTTCTTTAGAAGCTGGATCATGTTGAGTTCTACGTTATCTCCAGTTCAAGCAGTTACAACATTGAACAATTTAAAACACTTTAAAAAATCCATCTTATGGACAATTGTTGTCTAGTCATCCTGTATTGACCATCAATCTTGAATTGTGAATCCTCAATTGACTCAAAGTTCTTTGAGTCTATTGTTTTATCCTCCACTAGAAGTAACTGGGAAGAATGCACTATCTACTCAGTATATTTTTACAGAGGAAAAAGTGAGGCCCAGAAATGGTTAGGGATCTGATCCAAAATCATAAAATGAAAGAACTGAATGGTCAGTGGAGAACTTACTGAAAATTTAATTTTCAGTAGTTAAAAGGCAAGGAAAGTAGAAAAGGCAAAAATTCAACAGGTAGCTTGTTAAAGAAGGTATTTCTATTTTAAAAAATGTGATTAGTATTGCATTCTTTATATAACATAGTACCATATTTTTAATTGGTCAGATTTGAAGTGACCAACTCATTCTGGTTTGCCCAGGACAGTCCTGAATTTAGCACCTTAGCAAGGGGAAAATTCCACATTCACAGAAAGCTCTTGATCCTGGCAAACTGGGGCAGTCGGTGGATTAGTCTGTTCTCATGCTGCTATAAAGAGCTGCTGAAGACTGAGTAATTTATAAAGAAAAGAGTTTTAATTGAATCACATTTCCACAGGGCTTGGGGGGCTTCAGGAAACTTCCAATCATGGTGGAAAGGGAAACAAACACATCCTTCTTCACATGGCATCAGGAAGGAGAAGAATGATAGCTGAGCAAAGCGGGAAGCCCCTAATGAAACCATCAGATCTCCTGAGAACTTATCATCGTGAGAATGGCATGGGGGAAACTGTGATTCAGTTATCTCCCACTGGCTCCCTCCCACCACATGTGGGGATTATGAGAACTACAATTCAAAATGAGATTTGGGTGGGGACACAGCCAAACCATATCTGTTGGTCTCTGTAAATGTGTCCCCCCAAAATATGCTACAAAATTAGATTAAAGTTGTCATATGTTTCTCCCTTGGCTGAGTTTCTTCATGCTAAACCATTTTCTCTTAAGAAGAAAGCTGAAAGCTGTAAGGTTGAAATGTGTGTAAGCATTGCTGCTACTCTAGTTAGACAAGGAAAAAGTAAGCATTGAGTGTGGACTCTCCTTTCCTTCTCTTTCTGCGATTCTCCTCTTATTCTCTCCCAACACCTTTAGGACAATGGTGGGAATATGAAGATTGGTAGGGGAATTCTCTCTCAGTGCATGTTTTCTGGCACTGTGTTGAAGACTTGGGTATTACTGTAGTACCCGAACTCTGGAAGGAGAGGTGTGAGCAGTGGTTGGCAAGCTGCTTTTGTAAAGGGCGAGATAGTAAATATTTCAGACTTCACTGGTCACACATGGTTTCTACAACATAGTTTTTTTTAAAATAACTCTTAGAAAATGTAAAAACTATTTTTAGCTTTCAGGATATATCAAAACAGACCATTGACTAGATTTGGCCTGCAAGCCATAGTTTGCCAAACTCTCCTTTAGAGCATGGCTGTGCAACAGAAATACAATGTGAGCCACATTTTTAATTTTAAATTTTCCAGCAGCTTCATTTTAAAAAGTAAAAATAAACAGGTAACTTTAATTTTAAGTCTCATGCTCTACTGACTGAGCCAGCTGGGCACTGGTGATTTTAAAAATGCATTCTGTTTATCCTAAATATTAGCATTTCAATGTAACTAATACAAAAATTATGAATAAGATATTTTTGCACTTTGGAGGTACTCTCTGAAATCCAGACTGGCCACATTTCATGTGCTCAATAGTCACTGCATGTGGCCAGTGGCCACCACATTGGACAACACAACCCTGGAACATGTTTATAATGTAAAATTTGACAAATGCTCAGCCCATCTCCTTTAGTTTATTGACATATCAGTGAGCAAAGAAAAAAATAACAATGAAGACCTTAGAACTGGGAGAAGGCTTAGAGATCTTGTCTAACACTTTATTTTGTAAATGAGGAAGCTGGGGATCAGAAAGGCTAAGCGGTATGCTCAAGGTCACACAGCTAGGCTAGCAGCAGACCTCATACTATAACTCAGATTTCTAGACCTGCCAGTGGCCTTCCCACCACACTGTGAAGTTTTTCATAGTTAAACCTAAAAGGTAAAGTGGGATTAATGATTTTCTACCTGGGAGTCATAGGAAAATGGTTGAGTTTCGGGTAATGGTGGTCTGTTTATCCCATGCGTGGCTCAGTGTCTGGTTCTACTTATGGTCTGCTGCAAATCTGTGAAAGGTCTGGTTGGGAAGAGGGCTGTTATCTATGGCCACAGAGAAGAGTGAAGGGACAGGGAGGCTTGTGGTTTGATCACTTGGTTTATGGTCATGTCCATGAGAGAGAGAGACAAAGAGAAAGAAAAAGAGAAAGAGAAAGGGAAAGGGAGAGAAAGAATCTCTGTGTAGGCACTGCCTCCGCACCACCTTATTCTTTCTTTGACATGGTCAGCATCCCAGTAGAAGGTGGAATCTAGGGCTGTAGTACAGTGTGCTAGTGAGGATACCCAGCTTCGGTTTTTCTCTTTTCCCTGCCTGGGAAATGCCTGTCCCTGTGCTAAAGGGAGGGCTAAGCTGAGTAAATATTAGTTGTGTCATCAAAGCAAATGGAAGAAAGAGCGTTTCATTGCTTTATAAGTAACCTCAAACCCGCGCCTTTCCTTAGCCATTCCTTTCTTTTTGGTCAGCTGCGTTTTTATTTTTTGGACCTGACTCCTTTTCTTTTCACTTAAGGGAGTTGCAGACCAGCTAAAGAATGTTATGAATAGGAAAGGCCTGTAGTGCATTTAGCTTGGGAAAATATCCCCTAGAATAGATTGTTTCTGAGTCAAGTGTATAAATATTCTGGCTCAAGACTATACCCTTTTTCTTAATGAATTGGTCTGGCGGTAGTTAAAGCCAAGTGTGGTCTAGCAGAGTGCTCCAGAGAGAAAATTGAATGGACACAGAGCCCAGTCATAGTTTTCAACTTTATATAATGCGTTTCGCAACATATTAGAAAATTAACTTTATGACAACTGGCAGGACCTGTTGTGTAAGTCAGTCCATTTGGAAGCAGTTCAGTGTCTTTTCCTGCTTCACCTGGGCCTCCCTACTTAGTGAATTTTGAACACACAAACAGCAGCCGTGGGCCTGCTCAGTTTCCTGGTGAGTCATTCAAGTTTTTCTTCCCTTACGGTCGGTTTCTGAGCTAGTGAGTATAAAAAAAGGAATTTTTCATGGACTACTTTAAAAAACGACTGCTAATCAATTTTTCTTATTATTTTATGCCCTCTGCTTTTACACTACCCCCACCAGCTGGTTAATCATGCAAAAGCTGAACACTTCATTAGCTAGTACATGTTCGCCCATGGGCATTTCTGTAGTAAATTAGTTCTTTCTATTTATACAGGTAAGTCATGGCCAAAAGTCTTATAAGATGCCAAAGGTAAGGGTTAGAATTAATTTCTTCTTTTTTTTTTTTAAGTTTTTCAGAGAGCTCATTTTAAACTCTGAGCTGTAATGGTACACAATTACTTTTGAATTAAAGATAAATTAAAGATAAAGAGGGGTCCAGTGTTGTAGCATAGAGATGGCTAACATAGCTTTTGGTGCAATGCTTGCATTTCAGAAAGCAGGGGCATAAGGTGCAATACTTAGTATTTTTTCAAGGTAGGGCCTAGAAAACAATTGGGAAGAGGCTTTTTCAATGCAAGTACAAGGCAGGATAGAGGCTAGACAGAGCCATCAATGAATTCTGTGCTAGGGTTGGTGCCAGATGCCCATGTAATTAGGCATATAACCCATGCACAAACCTATGAACTACCTGTGTATTTTTTGCTATCTTGTGAAAACTTCCTGGAATTTGAAAATATTCTTTGCCAATTTTATTTTGTCAGAAAAACTACTTGTGTAATTGGAAGGAAATAGTGATGGTGGACTCCTAAAATGTGCTATTCCCAAAGACATAAAATTGAACCCAGAAATTTCTCTCACCCCTCTCCTGGGAGAAATTATTTTCACTAGGGGCTCTGCAATTTTGCAAATTCACCTAACAGGAAAAGCTCAGGCCCCTCTGAACTTGGCATCAAATATCTTGACATGTCTGTCCTCCAAAGCAGTATTGGACTTCTGTATTTACCAGCCACAATTCTTTGTAGGTATGAGGAGAGTTGCTGTCTCCAATGTGGGTTCTCTCAGTCTTTCCATTTTCTGTAGAGCCTTTTCAGCAGGAGCATCTTCTGGCAACACCTACTCTAGTTGTTCCTTGCATGTTTTAAGTCCTTCCAGGTCTATACATGGAGAGGTAATGGAGATAGAGGCTGAATTAATTTCTTCCATAAAGCTGAAGTAAGATGCTATTCTGTAAGACCGATATCCCTTTGTAGGTTATAATGAGAATGTACATGCACTGTGGAGGTGATGGGGTGGGGGCGTGTATAGAAATTCTAGACATGGGATCCAGAGGGAAATGCAAGGCCAAATCTGTGCGCCACTTGAGTTTTTGTGATTCTCGTGACAGTTTCTAGAAAATGGAATGAATTTCAGTTGATTGTTGTTTGTTCTCTTTTCTAACCCTGTTAGTAAGGCATTAGTTTAGAAAATCTTGGTAGGCATAGAGGTTGGGGACAGGCTGCATTGAGGCAATGATTATGCACAAGGGATACTCTTAATACAGAGGCTTCTTTTATTCATTTAACCACTAAAGGTCAAGTGTTGTCCTGCATTGTTATTTGTCTACTTTATCCTGTCATATTTTTATGCCTGGGGTTTTCATAAAATCCCATCCTAAACTAGGAACCCAAGCTTTACCTCCTGTGTTCCACCTTCCTTCTGATCTGTGGGTAGTTTCTTTTTGCATGGTAGGCTGATGATTGCTGGGAGTGAAACTTTTTCTTTTCACATATAGCTTTAATTCCAGTTTAATGGTGTGGTTTGCGGCTCTCTGCTTGCAGTTTCAGTTCCTGTTTAAATACTAAAATCTATTGTTTGTCTCCATTTCCAGACAACATAATTGTGTTGCTAACTGGCAAGAGCAATTAAGTGTACAACATTATGAAGAAATAGAGGTTCCAGGCCCTAAGATTTAACTCGATTTCTAATTACACTGAATCACCTCTGTAAGGGTGGTTTGTAAGGGCTGAAGAATGCATGTAACGAAGAACTAGGGTGTAAGGAAAGAGGACAATAATTCAGTGGAGTTTTGGTGAGCTGGTCTTCTCTAAGGGGGTGCTTGTCATTGAGCAGAAGATTAGTGACTATTTCTATTTATAATGTGGGTTCAGGATGTATTTATTCTTTTCTGGTTACTGGAGACAGTAATTCTCTGTGGCTTTTCTGGAATTACTATAGACATTAGGAAGTTGTTCTTGGGGACAGTATGTTTGGGGAACAGAAGGAACATGTGGCCTTTGTGGTGAGAGATTTAAAACAAAATCGACACAGAACATTTAGAATTCTTACCTTTAAAGATACATCATTTCAGCCAATCTTGGGGGACTTGACCTGCAGTAAAACCTTGAAGGAAAAGGAGTCTTACATAGTCAGAGAAAATCTGGCAATTGAATAAAACCATGATACCCTAGACTGGGCTTTCTCTCTCTCTCTCTCTCTCTCTCTCTCTCTCTCTCTGTGTGTGTGTGTGTGTGTGTGTGTATGTGTGTGTGTATATGTGTGTGGTCGGGGGTGGGGTTCTCAGCCAGGATTGGCAGGGTGGTCCTTTTGATGGAACACAATTTTTCCTGCACTGGGGACTCTGCATGGAATGTTTATTGCTAAGCAAGTCATCCACATGGCACTGTAGGCTATTTGTGTGTAACAGTATGTTGCAGGCTGCAAAGTTAATGTGGTTAATATTCAACTGAACTTTTGGGGGGTGACTAATCCCTTAGGCAGATTTGCCAGGAAAGGCTACACATTAATAGTACTCCAAATTAGATACCCACAAGCGGATAGCCACATGTGTTATCAAATGGGAAGCATTCCACCATTTCACCCAAACTCAGGACCTAGGTGCTATTTAATAAACTGTAAGCTGGAGCCCTCACCTGCCTCGAACCCATAACTCTTTGGGAAGAAGTGAATCACCTTGAGTGCACATACATTTTACCTATTCTTTAGTTAACTGTGAGTGGTGTCTTCAAAACTCTTGCCATTTGCAGGGTCTTCTAATAAATGTGACTGATTTGGTTCTGATTCTCTGCTAAGTTTAATTGAAATGAAGCATTTCTTGGCATCTCTTCCTTTTCCTTAAAGGGGAGGATGTTCTGTCCCTCCATTTGGCCAATTGGATGGATCCAGAAGGGCATCTAGTCAGCAGGTAGAGCTGTGGCCGTCACACAGGTGACAGGTCAAGCTCCTTTTATGCCTCCAACTCAGACAGGAATTAAATCACGAGTTGCAGAAAGTTGTGTGGGGCTCAGTAGGCCAGATGAGAGGTCGGGCAACTAAAGGCAAGGTGTTAAGTCACCATGCACGGGTGACCTCAGTGGATAAAAGTGGGGCAAAGGTGGTCCTCTGCTGGGGGTCATGGGCTTAGTTCTTATCATTTTACAAGAATTTTCCTTTTTTGGCTATTTCTTCTCTCATCTCAGGCCATGTATTATTCCAGATAGTAATAATGTATAAAAGAGACAATAGAAAAACCAAATGAAAATGACTTACCAGGACTATGGAAATTAAATGGTAGTGTAACTATATAACCATATGTTAGATATTTTCCAAGATCTTCCTAGGACATTGGCAGGGCCCTTCCTCTTAAAAACAATTTATTAATGTAATAAACATTCACCCAGTAGTTTTCAGGACATTTGACTTTGATTATGTCCTGATCCTGAGTTTCTATAAAGTAGATAGGGGCTGTGTTTGGACCCATAAGGGTTTGGCCAAAGACAAGGGGCCAGGCTTACAGAGATTATGCTTTTTTTCTGGCAAACAGCTTTGGCAGGTGGGAGGAAGAACATTAGCATGCTAAAATGACTAAAATAGAGTTTTCAATGATCTGTGGACATTCTTTGATTTCCCCACTGTCTTTGAAAAAGAGTTAAATTTCTTGTGCATATACTTTTTTCCCAATTGATTTACCCTAGAAGTTAGAACCAAAAGCCCTGGACAGACTTTATTTCTTTAGTGTAGAGGTACAGAAAATAGCCAAATCAGTTATCTTTTATCAAACCATTACTTTTTTTTTTTAAAGCAGAAATTTATTTTTGGCTACAACTATTTGAAATAGATGTCACCCTACTAAGCGTTTATTTTTAATGACTGACACTGGCAAAATCATTCTGCAGAAACATATGCTAAATAATTCTTGCCTTGTTTTCAGAAAACAAAAGCACTCTGTGGATGCCTTTTCCTGATTCCCTAGATTTCTAAATACGTTTTTTAACCTGATGATGCTGTAGACTCTGGGACTTATCGAGCACAGCTGTTTGGCTTCAGCATTGCTCCTGGTCCCTTAAGGCTTCTAGCTTTGGGGTCCTGAGCAGGATAACGAGGAAGGTGGTGAGTGTATGCAGGGGCTCCACAGTCCTGGTGCTGCTTCTTCCAAGCTGAGTGGCCTTGGGCATGTTACTAAAACTCTTCATGCCTCAGTTTCCTCCTATGTAAGTGGAAGGATGTTTTAAAGTATATCTCTGCTGCTAATTGGCTGAGTAATCTGGAGCAAGTCACCTAATCTCTCTATACCTCAATTTGCTCATCTATAATAAAACGCAGACAATAATAGTGCCTCCCTCATAGAGCTGTTGTGAATATCAAATGAGGTGGTGAATATTAAAGCTCTCAGAATAGTTCCTGGTATAACAAGTGCTTATTATTCCTACAACTGCTAGGAAGGAAGCCCTGAGACATAGTCAGGGAGAACTAAAAGATGATAAAGTGGTTGAGAAGAAATGGGGACAATAAAGGAAAGATGGGGTGGAGAGGAAAAAATAGAGATTAAGAATTAAGAAAAGAATAATTGCATTTGACGGTGATTTTGAATGATGCTCATGTCTCCAGGCTTTGGTGTGTTTGTCTCTTACATGGGAATTGGAGTGGGTGTGGGTGGGTGGCTGTGGAGGGGGTGATTGGGAAGGTCCTTCTTGGCACTAACTTCTCTGGTGGTGTCCTCAGAAGCAGCCATGACAAACTACCTACCTGTCCTAGCCTGAAGTTATTCAGTGCTCTAATTTTTTTTTTTTTTTTAAATGGACTCTTGCTCTGTCGCTCAGGCTGGAGTGCAGTGGTGCAATCTCGGCTCACTGCAAGCTCCACCTCCCGGGTTCACGCCATTCTCCTGCCTCAGCCTCCCGAGTAGCTGGGACTACAGGCACCCACCACCATGCCCGGCTAATCTTTTGTATTTTTAGTAGAGACGGGGTTTCACCGTGTTAGCCAGGATGGTCTCCATCTCCTGACCTCGTGATCCGCCCACCTGGGCTTCCCAAAGTGCTGGAATTACAGGCATGAGCCACAGTGCCCTGCTGTACAGCTCTAAATTTATTTGAAAACCCCCTACATTTATGTCCCTGCTGTTAATCACAAAACCATTTTGTGTTTCAAATGTATCTTTTAGGTTTACGATATCTTGAATTTCCTTGTATGTCATGACTGTATCTTCTAGCTACCATCTCTGTTTAAAGGATGGCTCATCTGCTCATGCATTGCCATGCATGGTGACTTCACAGACTGATCTGGAACTAGTTAGCTCTGATGGACAGTTAGGGATGGCTGATGTTTGACAGAGGTTCTGATTATTGGGTGGGTAAATACTCTCCTTTCCCATCCCTAACCTTTAGTTTTTGGGGCAAGGGTCGGGGTGGGGAAGTGAGTGGGCAGGGAGCAAATCATTCTGTGACAGAGACACGCCAAGGAAATCCACACCCTTGTGATTGTTCCAGGAAAGCATCTCAAGGAAGGAGGTTTCCAGAGTTGTTTGAATATGGGTGGAAATTACTTTTTAAATTGCAGCTAATGTTATATAAATTTTGCTTTCAAAGATTTTGCCCTCCTTCCAAGTAATTCCAGAAATGACAAAAACCCACCCTCACTCCAAAGGGTGATTTCAGTGTCTCCAGGCTCTACCCCTGCATTGAAGAATTGGCTTCGTGGCACATCAAACTTCTCCTATAAGAAGTGGGAGTAACTTGAAGCTCCAGGAAACTCCCTCTGGATGCCATGTAGGTGCAGATAACAGGAATAGTTTCCCTGAGAGTCTCTGGGAACCCTCCTCCTGGTGTCTGGTATTCTGCTTTCCTTCCTGTACCCTCCAGATGGGCCTTATTGGTTTACGTGGTATTGATGTACGATTGCAGCTGATTCCATTTCTGAAATATATTAATGGAGAGGTAAATTGCAGGAAAATCTTAGGGAATCTTTTAGAGACACATTGTTTTTTGTTTAAGTTAGTGTACATTTTGATAGTACATGCATTAAATTAATATATTGCATTAGCTTCTTTTCTCCATTGTGAATGGATCTTGGCCAGAGTAGAAACAAGTAATGGTTTGATAAAAGATAACTGATTTGGCTATTTTCTGTGCCTCTACACTAGATTAGTTTTCAGAAATGTGTTCATCCCAGCACACAAAAGGAATATTTATTTAGAAGACAACACTAACTTAAACTCTAGGTCCCACTGGATTGTTAGTCTGCCTCCTTTCCTGCCTTCCTTCCATCCATCCTCCCTGCCTTCCTACCTTCCTCCCTCCCTTCCTTACTTTCTTCCCTCCTTTCCTCCTTCCTTCTTTCCAGCACATACAGCTTGAGTGCCTACAATGGACAGGTGTTGCTCCAGATGTGGGGGATGCCAAACTGAACAAAACAAAGTGTACATTGCTTCCTAAAGCCCTAGAAGGGCCATTTTACTCGGTCATGAAACGCTACAGTCACTAGACATACCGGTTGAGGTGCCAGGCAAGCACAGGGTCGATGCTCCCATTAATCCAGCCTGGGCAACGGCTGTTGCTGCAGCCTTCCAGCTGTGAGGACCATTGGGAAAAACTCATTAGCCATAAAGTACAATCAGCGTTAAAAAAAAAAGTGACCATCAGTAAATTTGGGAAGTCTT
The DNA here is from genome assembly GCF_000001405.40 of Homo sapiens. Taxonomy (NCBI): domain Eukaryota; kingdom Metazoa; phylum Chordata; class Mammalia; order Primates; family Hominidae; genus Homo; species Homo sapiens. Next base: position 217,022,492 of record NC_000001.11, on the reverse strand, counting down.
AGTTTTAATTTCCTCACCTCACTGTGTGCAAATGAGCGACTTGCCGTTTGCATATGGGAATCCTGTCATAACAGTTTCAGGAAGTGATTTGTTAATAATCAAGTTCTCTGAATGGCCCTAAATCGGTAATTGATGTGGGTCTGGATAAAGCAACCCTTCCACCCGCCTATTTTGGGGACCATTTTTTTGGCAGGGTCTGAGCCCAAATGAAAACTAACCATCAGAACAAAATTTAGGACAGCTGGGATGCTTTGCAGCAAAGACTTTTGGCTCCACAGTTCAAATAATCACAATAGCAGCTCAATTTAGCCTTTGGCTGAATGGCTTTGGCAGGGCACAATGAAAAATAATTATTTCATGGCCTTATTTTTTCCTTAACCAATAAACTCTCAGACCTCTTCAGGCTCATGTAAATATTCTGCTGTGGATGAGACCGAGCACACCATAATATCCCTATTTAGGAAATGATTGTATTTTACCCTTGTGGGGTGGAAAGCAAAACTTAACAACTTTTTGCAGTATCTATTTAGAATGGGGAAAAGAGAAAAGATGGGAGGACATTTAAGAGCTGGAAAGCGAGCCCATAGTCACAGCTGCAGAGGAAAAAAGTTTAAGTCCCAGGCCCTCACTTAGAAGACAGGGCATTAGGATGGGTTATTTTATCCGATGTCGAAGGAACAATATTGCACAAAGGATGCTAAGTGTAGTGTAATATCAGCAAGAGACAATGGTTCAATCCTTTGTAGCTGCAGCTTTTTAGACTATATATAACAGTTCTCAAAACTTTTTATTAAGTGCTTGCCTGATTTGCTCTCATTACATTCAATGTGCTGTAACTCTCTGTCCCTGTTTCGTAAGTCCTTGCTTTTGCCCTGGGTGATTTGAATGGAGTCATGGAGAGGTGGATGGGATAAATTAAGCATGGCAACAAGCCTAACAGCTACCCTAGACCTGAAGCCCTTCAAGGTTTTTGCTCCAATCCCATCAATCTCCTGCATTTTATATCTGCCTTTTCAGGTCAGCTGCTTCTTAGTGCAGGGCATCTGTGCCACTTGATGACCAATTCCTATTCAACGAGAGTCCATGGCTTTGCAGCTCAGTTGGTCAAAGCAGAGTGTTAATGAGATTGGTCATGGGTTTGATCCCTGCAGGAGCCAGTTAACTCCATTCTGTCCCATTAACCCCTGCCAGCTGCCTTAGGTCATGGGTGGAATGGGGTGAGAGATTGTGAATGGCTCACCATGAACCATCCACTCTACTGGGCAACCAGCTAGTCCCACTAACAATGGGTCCGGAGTGTTGTCTGTGAACGTGAGGAACAGCAGATGGATCATTAGAAAAAGAGAAACAACCACAAGCCTAATGCTATTTCCTCTCCCTTGTGTGAGTGAGTGAGTGTATCTTTCTCTGTGTGTATGTGTGTGTGTGTGTGTGTGTGTGTGTATGCATGGCAGGGTTGGGGGATGGGGGGGTTCTCCTAGTATGAAAGGGTAGTGTTTCCTTGCTTTGAAAACCCTGTACCAAATCAAGCTCATACTATGATCCTCATGATCTGGGTTTAATGAGTGGCATTTCTTCTCAAAGTATCTTTAAAAAAATTGGTAGTCATGTCATGCGTCAGGATGAATTTCTAAATGTAAATGAGATTCTCTCAGTAATTTATTTACATTTGTTTTCAGCACAACAAATGAGACATCACGTAGCTTCATAATTTTCCATGACCGAGTCACCAGCATGCAGTGTGTAATTTACCATGATTTAAGATGCTTATCCGTAGATTTTTCAACAGCACCTTATAAGTCTTAAACGAGAGAAAGAGCTCCTCTGTCCCATTTCACTTCTTGTTCTTCTTGTCCTTGCCCCCCTTGAACAAGTGTTCTAGGCCCTCTAAACTCTGTAATTGTGCTTTCATCTTTGAAGCATTTTGTGTGGAGGGTAGAAGATACTGGTCATTTCTCCATTTCAAGTAGGGCTGTTATCAAGACAAAGCTCTGATATGAAGGAGAGGAAGGCAGTATTTCCCTTGGATATTAGAATGTGTGAACTTGCATAAGTTACCTTTCAAGTCTCAGTTTCTTCATTGTAAAATGTTGTGGTAGATAATCCCTACAGTTAAGCAATAGCACTCTAGGCCAAGGCAGAAGAAGATAGACTGTGTCTGATGGACAAGTGAGTATTTTACAAACTCCACCCAGAAGTTCTGCAAATTTGTCATATTTTACTGGGGCTTTCCTACATTGTTATTTTTAAAATATGGTACTGTGATATCGGCTCTCCTTAGTGATTAATTCATTGTCACTGAAGTGCTGTTTTTCCCCGGGATTATTTCATGCCTCCTTATTTATTTGAGCAAAACCATGTGAGGGAATACCAGGACCTTTGTGATTCAGGGAAGAGGAGGAAAGGGAGAGTGTTCTGTCACTTATTCTGTGGCTTTGACTGAGCCTGTGGCTGAAGGTCCATGGCAAGTAGTATTAGGGATACCAGAGTTCAGGTCATTTTATCCGGGTACCTGATCCTCAGGTAAAAAAGTACCATGCCCTAACTCCAAGCAGTCACCCAAATCAGTACATTAGAAATACTTTCTAATTAGAGCTAAGATGTAGAAAGAGATTTTTGAAAGTATGTTCTCTAAGTGAAAATTTTTAGTTTTGTTCAATAAACAAGAGCTTTCTATGAGACAGACACTATACTAGTCATGGAAGATGAATAAGATAAGACAGAGCCGTTCCCACCTGGGGATGACTCTGCTCTTCCTAATGTAAAAAGAAACCTGGTTTCTATAAAGACAAAAATGATAAGTGGAAGAAAAGAACGAATATGACAGGCTCAGTGTTTCCTAATACATAAAGTATCTTTAATTATTCATCCCAAATACCCTTGGAATGTACTAGTTAGTAGTGTCTCTGAATAGTATCTGAGTCCTTCAGACATGTGTTTTGGTCCTTGCAGGTTTTCCTGTCAAGACTATCCTTGCACACTCTAAGCATTTTTCTTTCTGGAACATTTTTCTCCTTACCATGGATATGCTTGTGTGGTAGATGCCAGGGATTTTCAGACATTGGCATGTAGAGCAAATGTCACCAACACATGAAGTAACTCCCCTGGAAGTGGTGGGAAAGTCATGCCTTTATGAAAAATTCTATGGACCTAAGTCCTCTCTCTGCATTTTTCTCTCTCTGAAAGCTTTGCAACTTGAAAGCAAACTCTTGTTGGCTAAATTCTAATCTTTGTCTAGTGCTAGTGATACCTGCTTAAATGCTTTGTATTTCTTGTTTTAGGAATAGACTAAGGTAAAAAGCAGAGAATTTTGTTCAACTTGAGCACCAGACTGTTTAATAGTTCTTCCATGAGAACTACAGTTAGAGAACAAACCTAAATTTTATCTGAGAAATAAAAGACATCTGAACTTTTCTCCAACTTTAAAGTTAGTGAGTGGTGGCTTTTCATATACCTTGAACATCTGTAGTTTTGATGAAAAGTTATAGGAAGCACTTTTATTCATGAAGCAGATGCTCACTAAGCACTCACTTTGTAAAGTGCCTGTGCCAGTTTGCTGTACCAGGGATGCCTATTTAAGAGTCTGGGAAGAGGAGTAGATGCATAATTATAGCAAGTAATTGTGCCATAATGCGGTCCACGTGGCAATGTGATTAGGGCATGATAGCTGCTGGCTTAAGACGGCATGAGTGTTAGAAGAAATGTGGAAAGGACAGGGTGGACTTCAGAGATGAAATTTTTTTTTGAGAGGATGGACAAAGGATGAGTAATAGTTACCTGGCAGACCTAATTGGGGAAGGACAGTCATAGCAGAAGGGATGGTGTGAGCAAAATGCAGAGGTAAGAAATTGTATATTGACTTGTATATTCACTGTGAAATTGTATATTCACAAATGCAAGTCATTTGGCTGGACTGAAATATGGGCTTTGTGGATGGGGAAGGAGGGAGCTGAGCAGCAAAATGAGGCTGGAAAGAGAGGCAGGAACCAGCTCAGAAAAGGCTTTGTGCACGATATTAAAAAGTTAGATCTTTGTTGAGTAGAATTATGGAAGGGCATTGAAAGATTTTAGCAGAAAGGTGCCACATCTAAATTTTCATTTTAAGAAGATCTCTCACTGCTAGGTGGAGGATGGGTTGGAGGGAAACGGGACCAGTCTAGGAGACTGTCATCATATTTGGGAGTGTTTGTCTTCCTATTATGCTTGAAAACTTGTCCTAGCAATGTAGAGACTGGAGAGTATTAAAAGAAGGGCAATGGAATGATAAGTTTAAAAAAAACAGTTGAGGTATTAGATTAGGAAGGAAAGTGAAATGAGAATAGTTGAGATGCAGAACAGCTAGGAAGACATTTAATAACCATTATTTCCATAGTAAAGTGTGGCTTGTATGTTGGTTTATTAGTTCAAATGAAAAATCTATTTATCCATAATTCGGAAATCCAGAAAAAGTTGTTGTTGGTTTTTATTTTTAAATTCGTTTTATACATTTGGCCACAAAACTTATTTGGCAGCAAAATCTGACCTTGACTGACAGCAGGCAATTTATATTCTTTTGTTTATTCCACTAAGTGTCAATATTCATATCTTTTGCTGCAGGAATATTAACGTGTTTGATTATGGCCCTGCTAAGGGGTTATGCAATCGATGATGTGTGCCTTTGGTTATTGCTGTTTCTGCTACTGCTGCCACTATGAACTATTACTGTCAACTAACATTTATATAGCATAACAGAGTTTTCAGGATATTTAAGAATTTTTTATTTTAATTAATTTTTTTTCCAGAAATCCTATGGCGTAGATATTATTCTTAACTCACTATAAACACATGAAGAAAACTGAGGCATAAAAAAGTTAGGTGACTTGCCTAAAATAACAAATTTGGGAAGGAGTCAACCTGGAAATTAAACTCTAATTTTCCCTCTTTCTGTGACTTTAAACAGGATAATCCAAAATGTCCTGAGAGTGAACACTGCAAACAGTGGAGTGGTTTTCTCCTTTTTTTTTTTTTTTTTTTTGAGTTATGTAGATTCTCTTTTCTCTAGGGATCTTGTAAATAAAAAATCAAGCTAGATTCAGTTGTGTCTGATGTGACTCAGATATGATCCTGTCTGACAGCAGCATGAATAATAACATTTTCATTTATTCTCAGTGTGAATGAGGCTGAGAGGGGTTATTTTTATTATATTAGGTTTTCTGCATTTGTGTATTGGTAACTTTCACTGTAATGTATTGCATTTTCCCCCTCCCTGGGTAGAAGCTGTAGTGAAAAGACTAGTGTGATGGCCATAGATTACACTCTACTCCACAAGATAGTACAGCTGTACAACTGGTCATTGGATAAGCTAACTGTCTACAGTTCTAAAATAAGAAGCTTTTTACTTGTATATCATAGCAGAGCATTCTGTCCCAACTTCTGATCTATAGCATGCTTATTGCTGAAGTCAACATCCTAATGCTACCAAAAAGTAAAGCCCTACATCACTTATTGATTTGCAGTCTGTTAAAAAGTGACAACAGGCTTTTCGGTTATGTCTCTTAGTAAAAGAGTTTACTTATTGGATTTTCAATTTTCCTGTATTGCATGAGGATAAACTGTATGGACGTATGCCTAGATATATAGGCATTGGATATTCTAATTGACAATTACAGTTTGCAAGTGAATTACATAAATACTCATTGCTTACTCCAGATTAATAATTTAATGTCATTGGCCAAATTGGATCCATTTATAGCAAAATATAGCAGAACACCTAGCTTTAGAGATATGATCAGCAAAGTCAAATAGAGGAGATATAAGGAAAATCTCTTTTGATGGTTCTTTTCCGGAATTTGTAGGTAAATCATTTATAAGTATGTGACTACTGGGAACAAATGCTAAAACAGGATTTCCAGCCCAGATACTTTCCCCTAGTGATGATAATGACAATGATGATGAGGATGATGATGATAACTGGTAGTAGAAGTTGGAGAATGAAGGAAAGAAGGAGAAGAAAGATGAAAACAATAATAATAACTTAGATTTGGAGAGTAGTTTACAGTTTTTCTAAATGCTTTCTGGGTTGTAGGGAGGCAGGGTGTTGTTCTGAGGAAGAGATGGTCTCAACTAAATTGTTACTTGCCCAAGATCACATATCGGATCACATGAGAGCCAAATTCTAGCTCATCTGACTCCAAATTTAGTAACTGTTCCATTATACAATCTTAAAAAAAAAGGAAATGGCACTTGGCTTTATTAAAAATGTACAAATAATGTTACACTTGCGATGAGTAAGCTGCAGACTATCTCAGTCTGCATTATGATAATATATTCTCAGCACTTTTTAACATTTTCTTCAATTGAATTTTATTCTCACACTATCACTCGCTTCTTTTCCTAACCTCTTTTATTTTGTTCATCATTTTTCTCTGTTCTAAGATCTCCCTTCCAGTCTACTCCTGAAATCAGCCATAAGAAGGGGAAGGTAAGATCGACACAAACTTTCTCGGCATATTTCTTTCTCACTTTAAATCTAGCCGCCCTCGATCACCTGAGGTCAGCAGTTCGAAGCCAGCCTGGTCAACATGGTGAAACTCCATCTCTACTAAAAATACAAAAAAATAGCCGGGCGTGGTGGCATGCGCCTGTAATCCCAGATACTCAGGAGGCTGAGACAGGAGAATCATTTGAACCTGGGAGGTGGAGGTTGCAGTGAGCCAAGATCATGCCATTGCACTCCAGTCTGGGCAGTAAGAGTGAAACTCTGTCTCAAAAAAAAAAAAAAATCTAGCTGCCCCCTCTCACCCCCCACACAAACAAAACCTGAGGTTCCTGAAATATCAAACCATGCTTGCCATACGTAATTAAGATCCTCACAACTCTCTTGCATCTTGTATAGGTATTTTCAGGAGGTGAGAAAATATGATTGAGTACACAATTTTAGTTAATTAAGGAAATTTCCATGTATCAGGATGACATAAACACTTAGAGCTCCTGTGTAGAGAAAAACAACCCTATAAACCTCCTCCAATGGAATGATGAAAGAAAAGATACTAGTTTGAGCCAAGTTTCAAGGAAATAAATTTATGTTTTATATATTTTACTTTGTCTAAACTATGAGTTTAATTCTTGTTTAGGTAGTGTACATCTGAAACATTATTAAGGTGAAATTTTGCTTTTCCAGCAGTGTCTGGATGATGGCCCTTAACAAATGCAAAATTGGACATTCATGTAAAAGGAAGCAAAGAAAGACCAGTGAAGAGATGGTAGAAATTGAATGCAGCCAGAAAAACACAAAATAATGCAAACAATCAGCCCCTGCACTATTTTCAGAAATCCAGAAGCTAACCTATATGGGGTTCTGCACTGTGTGGGTATGTGGAGTAGTATAGGGAGGTACCTGTTGTCAAGAAAAGAGATGATTGGATTCGGGTTCATAGAAAGCTGAGTTTAGAGAAGGGTTGATCTTCTTTATTTTCAGAGCAGATTGTTCAATGGGGTTTCTGCTTTTTTTGGTCATTTTTCTAAGTGATGCTTGGAATGTATTCAGAATTCAATTGGTTTGGGAGCTGTAATGAATCGCTGTGGAATGAGCAACCTGAGAAATAGAAGATTTGGGGCTGATTAGGATTTGATGTAGAACTCCTGCATCTTATTTAATCATCTACTCAAATCTCCAAGAGGCTACTAAAGGTAGAGAATAAATAAATGAATAGAGATAAAAATAATTGAACCCAACTTAAGTCTAAGATAACTTATATGCTCCTCTTTTAACTTGCATGTATTTTCTCATCTCCTGAATTTCCTCTTTAACATCCTAAGATGAAGAAGTTGCCCAGTAAATAAAGCACCAGGATGGAGCTTATAGGTCGCCCAAGTCCATGGTCACACTAGTTGAATGTTTCTTTGGGATGACTGTTGGATGCCTTTTATTACTTTGATTTCCTTACCTGTATGATTTTATAGAGGACCAGTATCATAGGGGAAATGTGGAGAGCAAACAACCAATGAGAGAAAGCCATATTGGAAAGCACTTGTTTTAAAGAAAAAAGTTATGAATCCATATGCAGAACAGAGCAGTACAGAATGAAAACTATTGCAGGTTTTGATAGGTATGTTAGAAAAGAGTCACTGAACAATTTCCTATTAATTCTGGGGCACTTATACTATTTTTAAAATATCCCACAAACCTTTGCCTGACAAAAGAAGAGTAGGAAATAAAGCCTTAGTCTCTGCAATGACAGCTGTTCCCATAGCAACCTGTCTGTCAGTCAACACCCACTTCATCCAGCTTCAGAAAACACCCCCAGAAATAAATGTCAAAAGTCTTATGCAGGTTCCAAATTTAAATCAAACTTTAAAATAAATTAAAATAAGAACCCAAACACCCACAGCAGTCACAAAAGTAAATTTTGGAAGGAGGGAAAGGGGGTAAAAAACAAAGGTCAAAGGAATCCTCCAAGCAGATGCAGGAAGTCAAAGAAGGGTGGATAGGCACCCTTCACTCCTTTTGGAGCATTGCTCTGATAAAGCATTATTTACCTAGGTGGGCACTAAATGCAATCCGTTCATATCTTGTTCCTCTTGCTTTAATAGTTGGCTTTCATTTTCATGATCATCAAATCATATTTACCCTCCTCATTCACTCTGGTGTGCTAATGTTTCAGCCCCTCATTTTAATGGTAGGAGGTAACAAGATTCTAATTACCAGTCAGGGAGCACTGTGCTTGGCCACTCTTTCAGGGGGGATGACATTTAGCTAATAGTGACTGGCCCTTCTAGCAATTAAAATGATCTCACATGCCATCCTTAGGTCCTGTGTTGCTAATGTATACTTCAAAAAGTAAGCACTAAACAATCTTTTATCCAGAGATGAAATACATTTAAAGCCTAATGTCACACTTCAGGGGTAAGTGATAGGTCTTAACCTCTCTTTTCTGTGAGCCCTAAATTATCTGGCAGAGAGGCATTTAAAGGAACTATAGATTGTCAGAGATTATGGACTGTCTGTCCTTCAAAAAGCTGTAATGTATTGAGTTTACTTGTTCAAATGTCCATGGACATGGAAGCAAAACAACAAAAGTTATGCAATTTTACATTATTCTTTGCCAAATTTATACTTGTTACTTAACATCATGTTAGTTCTCAATCTGTTTTTTGCATTAGTGTAATGCAGTCTTCAAACACCCCTTTGACATCCTAAGGTAATATCTGCTTTGCTCAGTGAACTAATGGTCACCTTAGCTGCACATACTTTTTCTTAGCATCTAATAAAGAGAGCTGCTTATAGTTTTGTTATGGGTTGAATTGTATACTCCAAGAAAGATATTTTGGAGTCCTAACCTCCAGTACAGAGGAATGTGATCCCGTTTGGGGATAGAGCCTTTCCAGAGGTAATCAAGTTCAAATGATGCAATTAGGGTGAGCTCCAATCCAGGATTATCCTCTTATAAAAAAGGAGAAATTTGGACACAGAGACAACATGCATAGAAGGAAGACATGATATGAAGAAACTCATGGAGAAGACAACCATCTGTAAGCCAAGAAGAAGAGCCTGGAACATTTTCTCACAACCCTCAGAAGGAACCACCCCTATCAACACCTTGATTTTGAACTTCTGAGTTGTAGAGCTGAGATAATATATTACTGTGGTTTAAGCCACTCAGTTTGTGGTACTTTGTTACAATAGCCCTAGGGCAAACTATGAATAGAAATCCTGAGGATATAATACAGTAATATTCAAAGAACTCAGAAAAAAAAGGAGCAGGGATTCTTGCTCACTGGTCTGTGTATGAAATTAGCTTGAGAACTCTCTGGCCAAATTGTAGCTACTGAGGGCAAAGTGGGAGGCCAGTGGGGAGAGGCAGCTTGAGGAACCTGTGGAAGGAAAGGACGGAAGAAGTGTTCTTGTACTCTGTAATTTCCTTAGCCTAAACTTAGCCTCTGAGTTTGCCTTTTCTAAATTGCCAGTGTCAGTGTCATTTTCTTGCTATCAGTAACTCGAAACAAGGGTTTTCTAATACTATCTAGTTAGGAGCTATTTCAAATGCTATCAAGCTAGGTATGTAGCAGTAGCAGTTTCCAAGATAACAGGTGGGATTCATGAGCTTCTTTTTCCCACATTTTATGCATTGAGAGTTTGGGGTCCCTGTGATCACATCTTATCATTTTTATTATTTATATTTGCAGATATTGATTGCATACCTCTTATGGGCATAAACACTTTCAAGTTTTATTAAAATCTCAAATTCTCAAGGAAAAAGTCCTAAGTGCTGTAGAAATAGATGGGTTTCTCAGAAGACGGGCCAAAAGCCTTTAATGGCAATCCACTAGAATGACGGTGTCCACATCAGAGGCAGATTTATTAAGAAATGGATGAAACTCAAGCTCTAGGTCACCTCACTTTCATGGGTCCCCTCCAAAGTTTTACTTATTACTTTACATTTATATTTGTGTACTCATCTTCTTAAAAAGAGTCCCTTTTCAATTGCATGCATTTCAGATACCTCAAAGCCTGAATGTGTCCCTCATTGCAATGATGGTGGGGCTTCTAGGAATATGTAATCCTGCAGAGGGGGTACAAGCTAGCACGAAGAAAAGTGAAAACAAAGTTGTATACAAAACTCGGGGCTAAAGAGATAAGTAGTTCAAATTAGGTAAGTACTAAGAAACTAGACATCCAGGCTGAGGTGGGCCAGAGGGTGAGCCTGGGGACAGAGTAGCCACAAGAGGAGGAAGGCAATCGCAGCCTGAAGCTGGGAAGTCAGGATCACAGAGGAATCCCTGGGAGAATTTAGATTAGGAACTAGATATGAGGTACCCACAGTGAGGTGTGTGTTTGTGCATATGTGGACATTATGTCTTCTCCAAGACAAAACCAATCCCAAAGCAATCCCAGGCTAGTTTCTCGACTGGACCTACTGAAACGAGGAGTGAAGTTTTTTTTATTTCCTTGGGAGATTATCTAGCAAATGCTTTGCATGTAGGCAGCCAACTAATTAGCTAATGTGTAGAGGAAGCGGGATAGTATGCAACCATTTAGCCACTCATAGCCTCTGTTCCCTCCAGAGCCAGTGCAATGATTCAGCTTAATTCACAGTTTACCAAGTCACCACTCAGACTAGCTCCAAGGAAGGCCAGCCTTGGTTTCTAGCATTGTAGTGTCCACCAATAAACCTGTTTATTGAATGTCAGACAACTCTCATTTCACTTGGGACTTCCTTTTATGTTCCCCACAGAACCTAAAATCAGGAGAAACAGGTTTGGAAGACTGATTTTATAAATCACATTCACTTGGCATCTTTTAGTGATAGTCAGGCAATGTGTCATTTTTTCTGTAGAGTGTGTACGCAGCTGGGAAATGAGTTATTTATAATAATCAGACTTCACACATATGTACACATTTGCATAGTAAGCAGATCATATGGTACTATGAGTTGATGGCGTTTGGTGGTAACCTTGGTATCGTCAGTATATCTAAGCAGTTAATGTGGCTTGTTGGAATTTGCAGGCTGTTGCCCATGAATATTTTAGCCTATTGGTGCTGCAACCTGTCTACCAGAGATGAAAGGCATTTTAAGATCTAATCTGTCTCAAGGGATGGGTAAGGAGGTAAGGGGCTAATATTCTATAGAAGAGAATTAAACTTCCCTATCCTCTTAATTTTCCTACGTTAGCTTCCTGGTCTACACACAGCTACCTTAATCATGTTTCCCATAATTTTCCATTCAAGGTCATTGTTTTCCTGGTCTTTGCCTGTTTTATTCAAAGTCTCTTGGCCTCTTCAGATAGTCATTCTATAGCTTCTTTTCACGGGGCCAAATTTGGTGTGGAGTTACATCTCCATCTTTCATTTTGTACCTTTGAATGAAAAGATAACCTCTGACAAGGCTCAGTTCTTTATGAAGATCACTGTCAAGCGCATTGCTTGATGCATGGCATATATGTGGGAGAATTCATTTGAACAGATTTTCTATCAAAGGATAAATACACCCGCAAATCACAATGGTAATCAGAGCCAGCCACCTCATTTCTGATCATTTTACAAATCAGTTGGTCTTCAGAGATGAGTCAACATGACACTGTTCCCACACTGAGTTGTTTTGGCTGCAGGGGTGGGGTTGCTTTTCACTCTTTCTCTTTAAAAATTTCAGCTGCATTTGTGAGTGTTTTCATCCTTTGCTAAAATATGTTTTTAAAAATGTGATTAACAGTCATTTTCAGACCCAGAAATTGGCTCTCTTTTGCCAAAGAGACACAGCATGAAGAACAGGCAAACAGCAAAATAATGCAAGAGGGTATGTTTATTCATCAGAAATTGTGTTAATGACTACATCTGCCCCTCTCATTTTGGACTGGCTGGGATCATCTCTGCACTTCTGATTTGCTGATGTTTCCCCCTACAGTGAAATCTCTTCGTATTGTACTCCATCAATAAAAAAGTGCCCATGGCTAGTCTAATGTTTATGCTCTGAGTGTAAGTTAGAGCAATTTAAAATTTGAAAACTATACTCAGGCCGGGCGCGGTGGCTCACACTTGTAATCCCAGCACTTTGGGAGGCCGAGGTGGGTGGATTATGAGGTCATGAGTTTGAGACCAGCCTGGCCAAGATGGTGAAACCCCGTCTCTACTAAAAATACAAAAATTAGCCAGATACGGTGGCAGGCACCTGTAATCTCAGCTACTTGGGAGGCTGAGGCAGGAGAATCATTTGAACCCAGGAGGCAGAGGTTGCAGTGAGCCAAGACTGTGCCACTGCACTCCAGCCTGGGTGACACAGCAAGACTCCATCTCAAAAAAAAAAAAAAAAAAAAAGAAAAAGAAAAAGGAAACTATACTCAATGGGATATGCTCATGGGAGACATGGATGTAGAGGTCTGGCACTCCCAGTGTTCCTTAAGCAAACTTTCAGGCCTAAAGCATTCTTGCCAAACACCATGAACAATAGACAATGAAGCTAATGTAGTAGCTGCACATCATGGAACAATGGGAAGTTTTATGCTTGTTTTATAGCTTGCCATTTTAATTGTTTATGATTGTTTACTTTTCAAATGAAATAAAATCGTGAGCTTATTTGAATGACTTGGGCTGTCCCTCTGTGTCTTTTGGAATTGAGAGCTTTAAGCCTCAAAGCCAGTGATCTGATCCCTTAAAGGTGTGGCATCCCTTGTAGGCAAGTCTCAGCAAAAATGTACATTATCTACCATCCTATGGAATGAATTTTAAAGAGCAATCTTCAATATTGTGCATTAAAAAAATAAGTCGACCAATATATAGATCCCGCTGTGGGCCCTGCATTGTGCTGGGTGCTGTGAGAGCGGTAAGGGGGTAATACCTGGTTTCAAGCATGTAGCATTTAGATGGATCAGATTGACTTGAGCAGGAAGCATTTTAGTAACAAGGAAGCAAGGTGAAATTACGGAGATGCAAGTGAATGTGACATATTGAGCTGTAAAATATTTTTTACCATGAAGAATGAGAATATTTTCACTGCTTCCAAATAAATTTCTGGACATATACAAAAATAATCCCCTCAAATATGATCACATCAGGTGATCTTGAAATCTGGCCACTAAAATCTCTGATTAAAGTCTCAAGATGGTGTTTCTTCAGTTTCTAAGCCCTGCAGAATATACCTGGTTTTTGGTGGGAAGACGTTCATTTAGCTAGCAGTTAGTTGGGGAATGCTAGTCTATTTAACTAGGTCTCTTTACCACAGAAGCAAGTGGAATTTGTTTCAACTCAATCACAGTGCAAAACCCTGCAGGTGTGGACTTAAGTGGTATATCAAGAGCCACTGTCCCTGATTAATAAAATAAAACCTTTAAGATTTCTTGTAGTAGAAGTTGGGATGCTGCTTTACATGGCAACTTGTCACAGATATCTGTGTTGCCCTTGGGGTTTAATTCATTATCAATATGTGTCTTCTCTGCTCTTCTCTCTACTCCAAGAGTTCTCACAGTCACTAGCAACACCAGCCTAGAACCTAGAGAGTGCAAACAATCTAAGTAAATGTAGTATGTTGCCTATGCCACTTCAAGGAAATCTTTCCCTACTGGTTGCCTTCTAATATTCCATTATGTAGATATTCTAGAGCAGTCACTGGAGTCCAGGGTTTGAATTCAGTTGCTAGATTATACTTTCGTTGAGCATATATTCTGACTGTGGAGAAATAATGTATGGAAAAAGCTCTGCATTTGCAATCAGAGGTCTATGTTCCAGATCTTAGTTCTGCTACTGAGCTTTGTAACCTTGAACAATCCTTTTGCTAAGAATCAAGTTACTCATCTGTAAAATGGGGAGAATAATAGTTACGTTGCCCATATCTCACAGTGGCAGACAGCCTGAAAGGAATTAAAAGGTGTAAATGGTTTGCAGTGGTGAAGATTTTAATGTCTGCTGCACTGGGTTTAAAGTTTCTGTTGTTGTAGCTGTTGGTTTATCTTAATTGCCTAGTTCTACTTTAGGATACATTTGAGCATAGCAGATGAAATGTAAGACTATAATGTGAGACTAGACACACTGTGCAGAAGATCTGATGTCTGTGGATCCCTTTGATAGATCATTCTTCTTGTTTGTATTATGGCTCTTCTCTTGGACTCATCTCTTAATGCTCTTTCCTCCCCCTGCACCTGCTTCCACCTCAATTCCATAATTGGCTTGGGATTTTTCCCCCCTTATTTGCCTTTGACTGTCTAGCACCTAGAACAGTGTTTGGCATATAGTAAATGCTTAGTCCATATATAGTGAATAAGCATCAGAAGAAAAGAGGGAAGGGAGGAAGAAAAGATGGAAGGAGGAAGGAAGTCAGTCGGTCCAAGTAAAATCTTCTTTGATAGGTTTAGAAAGCTCAGTTTCATCAAAATAAATAGCTTAAGAATAAGAAAGGAAGGAGAAGAATTTTATGGAGACTGTTCTGATAATGATATTTACAAGACTGAAGTTTATTATTCTCTTATCCTCCAAAGGAAGTCATAAATGGTTTTTGACAATAATCGTTGCAAGTATTTTTAGACATTGAGCTGAGGGTGAGGATAATGTCCTTGAATTATCCAACAGCACCATAACAGTGTTTCAAAGTTTGTTATGAAAATGTCATTGACTTAGTGTTTCTTTCCTTCCCCTTTTCCCCCTTTGGAAGAAGAGACTAAAATTGTTGAGTTAGCAATAACATAGAAGTATGGGAAAATATTTTAAAATTTTAGCCTGGAACCATATGGTGATGGTGTTGGCACTGGCCCTCTCCCCCTTGACCCACATAATTTTCAGGAAAATTGAGAAGTCACATTCACATCTTAATGCTTTGGGATAGTAAAACAATCTACTACATTAGAATGCTGTATGTACATGTATATGGGGTGATGAAATATTCCTTTTGCTCTCATTGTGAGTATCCTGTAAATTTAATCTCTATCATCTCTGAACTCCTTACAGTCCTTTTAAAGATCTAAAGAAAAATCCTGATGGATTATTGAAAGCATTAAATCACATAGAATTAAAATAGTTTTTATAAGCCTTAAACTGGTGATATGATTTATAAAGTACTTATGGGGAAGCTAGCCTTTATCGCTGATGGCAATAAATAAAACAGCACAGCAGCTAAAAAATTACTTTGACCACAGTTCAGTTTACTAAATACAGGTGGAGCATGCCTAATCTGAAAATCCCAAATCCAAAATGCTCCAAAATCTGAAACATTTTGAGGGCCAACATGACACCACAAGTGGAAAATTTACACCTGACCTCATGTAATGGGTTTCAGTCAAAGCACAGTTAAAACTTTGTTTCTTGCAAAATAATTTAAAATATTGTATAAAATTACCTTTAGGCCGTGCATATAAGGTATATTAGAAACATAAATGAATTTTGTGTTTAGACTTGAGTCCCATTCTCACGATATCTCACTATGTATATGCAAATATTTCCAAATTCAAAAACATCCAAAATCGAAAACACTTCTGGTCCCAGGCATTTTGGAAAAGGGATACTCAACCTATAGTTAAAATTAATCTTTGTTATTAAGCCAGTTCCAACGTAACTGTAGTGCAATGTTGGCTCCACACAGCCTGTGAGACTTATTGAAGTTATATGTATATTGTAGTATATTGTGTACTACTATATAGACATAACTTAAGATTACTAATCCAAATTATTGATGGTGTTATTTGTAGAATTAAAGTTGTATATGTTGATTACTCAGATAAGCCTAACACCAATAATATTAAATAAAGACTATGGGTCTTTATATTACCTAATCATCATATTATTCAGTTACATTTTACTTTTTAACATTTTTAAGTGATTTATAAATTCATTCTTAGCATAACTTATGTTGAACATTGAGTGTATGTTTATTTTTCTACACTGTATTGTAGAATACACAAGAAGTCTGATAATAAGCCAAAAGGACTCATTCTATAAGTTCAAATTCTATGAGTTCAAAGCCATTCTATGAGTTCAAAGCCATTCCAATTCAAACTGGACTCAGTTGTGTTAGTTAATCATTAGTCTCTAGGTTTCAAGAGTGAACCAATTCTGTCCCTAATTATTAGTTATTGTTCTACTGTAAGTAAGTTGTTACATAGTTGGGATAAAATATCCATTAATAAAGACCACAGTGATTAACATAGTAATGAAGACTGGCTCTGAAGTTGACACATTAAAAGTAAGCGAAAGCACTTTTCCTATAAATTTGTATAGGCTACTTGACTTTAAAATGCTTAGAAAAAAAGAAGAGAGAATTTTGACATAGAAAGCTATGGTTTTAGACCTACTATTAAAAATTTTTTTCCTAATGGTCAGAAGAACCATTTAAGAACCAATGCTAATGTTATTATACAACATTGTTAGGGAGAATTTATGGTATTGTAAATGTGAGGTTATCTTTGGAGTTAAAACACAATAAACAGCAGAACTACCTCTTTGGTTGACTCTGACACTTTGAGAGGGAGAACATTACATAACAAGTCCTTCTATTAGTTGTCCTATCTGTTTAGCATTATCCTAAGTGTCTAAGAGTTCCCTGTTCTTTTAGAGGGCTTATCTGTGTATGCCAAGCAACAGTTGTGATTGAAATTTTTATTGATTTGGCTTATTGAGCTGGTAGTTGTCATGGGCAAACCTCCAATCATTTTAGCGCAGTGGAGAAAAGGCACCAGTCTTTGTTTTAATATGTAATTTACTGTCCAGCTTATGCCACTATTTAGCTGTGTGCTTGGACTAATCATCTACCGCTCTGGTCATGATTGTCCTTCAAAGGAGGTGGTTGGACCTGAATAGTTCTTCTCATTTAGAATCCTTGGAGGAAGTAATAGGGGAAAGACTCACTTTCAGTATTTAAAAAAGTCTAATGAAAATAAGACATAAAATCACAATATACACAAGCTAACTAAGACATCTCTTTGGTTTTGGTCTTGGTTTGGCTGATATAAACTCACCTCTCCCTTTTTGACAACACTGAGTTATCTTGTGCAAATCACAAATTCTGATCGGCAATAAATAGCTTTTTATTAATAAGAGTAGAACCATTATTACTAACTAAATGCAGTTTGATTGTCAAAAACAAAACAATATGACTCATGGGGGAAACCACTAAAAGGTATCAAGTGTCCTTGGTAGTAAAAAGTCCAAAGTCCCTTTTACTATTTTTAGTCCCGTGATTTCAAAGTGATATACCATTTATCATGGCAGCTAGATTCCAAAATAATATCATTCTCATTTCACAGGCACTATATATATAATGTGTCAAGCAGCATCATTCATGAGAATACATATTTTCAGAATAAATTAATTGATTGATATAGTTATACAGATTAATTTCTTAACCAGCACAATCTGTTTTCTTTCAAATAATTAGATTATATGCCCATGGCTTACCATATTTGGGGGGAACCTTGGGTTGGGTACTGTTTACTTCATTGTTGGTCAGTATATTAGTTAGTTTTCACGCTAATAAAGACATACTGGATATTGGGTAATTTATAAGGGAAAGAGATTTAATGGACTGACAGTACTACACGGCTGGGGAGGCCTCAATCATGGCAGAAGGCAAAGGAGAAGCAAGGGCATGTCTTACATGGTGGTAGGCAAAAGAGCTTGTGCAGGGGAACTCCCATTTATAAAACCATCAGCTCTCCTGAGACTTATTCACTACCACTAGAACAGTTTTGGGGAAACCATCCCCATGATTCAATTATCTCCACCTGGCCCTGCCCTTGACACCTGGGTATTATTACAATTCAAGGTGAGATTTGGGTGGGGACACAGCCAAACCATATCAGTCAGTAATCCATTCTTCTTTCTTTTAAAGTCCTCTCTAAAACTTGTGAAAACAGGCAGGATAAGTAAAAGAACTGGGAAAATATACTTCATCGTCTGTCAATTTTACGTTGTAGAAATGTAAACATTGTTTAATAACACAGTCTATGCATTGGTGAATATTGTAGATATTGGGATCAAGATTCTGGTAACTTCTCGCTCCCCTTTACCCCATAAGACAGTATGTTATTTATTTATGAGATTATGATTAATAAGATAATTATGAATATTCATTGTGAATCAAACCATATTTCCAAATTTGAGGTCACAAACTCAGTTAATTGTGCTATTGAATTAATGATGACTTCTTTTTTTTTTATTTTTTTGGTCCATCCATGTATGTACCCATATGTCATCTGGACATTGAAATTACATTTATGATGAAAAACAACAGACTGAAAATAAGTCTCATATCTGACCTAGTCTTAGAAGTCACACAAATATTATGGGTAATCTGATTGGGCAATGTGTTTATTTAGTTATTTCCTGTTTCCAAAATGTAAATGCCATTTCAGTGGCCAATAACAAATGAATTACTGATTGTAAATACTCTTGAGTTTGGTTAGCTCAATATTAGGCCTTATGTTAGTATTAATATTAATATTAATTAATATTAATACTTATTAATTAGTATTAATACTAATATTTCAAGCCTAATATTAGTATTAATATTAGCCATGAGACAAGCAAATAAAGCTTACATAATACATTAAATTATTATTTTTAGAGTATTTGTCTTTACAAAACAAACGTGGCCCAGATTCATTTTAAGAAAAGGGAAACTAATGTTTATTGAATAAAATTATTTTTTCATATTATCTCACTTAATTTTCTCAACAGTGTAAGCTAAGTATTATTTTCCCTGTTTTATAGGTTGAGAAACTGAGACTTGATTAGTTTAAGTAATTTGCTCAAGCTATTAAGTATGGCCATTATTCATATCCACTTTTTTCTGACTTCAAAGTCCATGCTTTCTCCAACATTATATCACTTCAAACCAGTACTTTTTCAATGTAATATCAGTCAAATGAAAGATTTTTTTTTGCAACTTCCTGATGTAGTTTTATCTGGCTGTGATCTTATTACTAAATGTTTAGTTGAGTTCAGAAATTCAAAAGCATATCTCACAAAAGTAAATGTTTTGAACAGTAGCTAACTGATGATCACTGTACAGATTATTTGGAATATAACAGTTATCTGCGCTTGAGTAACAAAAGCTTTCATGGCTTAAAATAATACTGAGGACTTTATTTATCATGATTTCTGTTGATTGGAAATTTAGAAGCAGCTTGGTTGGGCAATTCTGGCTCATGGTCACTCATGGGGCTGCATGTCACCAGGGGGTTGCAGTCACCAGTTGTTGGCTGGAGCTGCAGTCAAATGAAAGCCTGCGTGGGGCTGGAGGTTCCACTTCCAAGGTGACTTGCTCATATGGCTGGCAAATTGGTTCCTCTCCATGTGTCCCTCTCCTTATGGCACAATGGCTGTTTCTCCTAGAGCAAGTGATTCAAGAGAACAAGGTAAAAGCTATAATGCCTTTTATGACCTAGCCTTGAAAGTCACACACCATCACTTCTGCCATATTGTATTGGTCATACTGGCCAGCTGTGATTTACTGTTTATTCACTGTAAAGATGTGAATATCAGGGGCAAAGATCATCCTAGATGACCATGAAGGCTGATTCCTACAGTATTAATATACTGTATATGTGTAATTTTATAGATAACTGTCAGAATCAACTCCTTAATTTTAATGAGTAGGGAATAAAATCTAAGCCCATATAACTTTAGGGACGGATCTGCCCTAAAATAAATATTATACAATGTGCATAATCTCTGTTTCTTTCTTTTCTTTTCTTTCTTTCTTTTTTTTTTTTCTTTCTTTCTTTTTTTTTTTTTTAGACAGAATCTCACTCTGATGCCCAGGCTGGAGTGCAGTGGCACTATCTCGGCTCACTGCCAGCTCTGCCTCCTGGGTTCAAGAGATTCTCGTGGCTCAGCCACCAGGGTAGCTGGAATTACAGATATGTACCACCATGCCCAGCTAATTTTTGTATTTTTAGTAGAGATGGGGTTTCGCCGTGTTGACCAGGCTGGTCTCAAATTTCTGGCCTCAAGTGATCCACCAGACTCGGCCTCCCAAAGTGCTGGGATTACAGGTGTGAGCCATCATGCCCGGGTGCTCCTTTCTTTAAAAAAAAAATTATAATGGTGCCAAACTTATTAGCAGTTGGAGATTTGAGCTGGGATTGTGAAGGTCCATTTCCATGTGCTGAACTGGCTTAAGCTATCAATTCTTGGCCTTTCACTTTTGATGTACAAATGACTTTTAAGGTAAAGAGATTTTAAAACAAAAGTCTGGTCATTCTCTCTGTTCAAAATGCTGGTATGGTTCTCCATTTCCTTCAGTAAAAGTCAAAGTCTTTGTAGTATCCAAGAAAGCCTTATGTGAACCGGCCCCTACCTCCTCCCTGACCTCCACTCTAACTCCTCTCCTCTCATTGTCTCTGCCCCAGCCACCTTGGCCTCTTTGCTATTCCTTGAGCTTACCAGACTTGCCGTTATCTTAGGGTTTTTGCATTGGCTGTTTCCTCTACTTGAAATATTCTTTATATATATTTCATGATCAACGCCTTTTGTAATTTAAGTCTTTTCTCAAGTGTTACATTTTCAATGAGGTCTATATCCACTACCCTATTTAAACCTAAAACAGTGAACATGAGACAGAATATGTGTTCAAAAATTGTGTGTGATTGAATGAAGGAATTATTAATGGAAGAGTAGGGAAAAGCTGCGGCTGCTTTTTACTGCCCAAGGCAGTTTGGTATCATCCACGTGACTCATTTTCAGACTCTGGTGCTTGCAAAGGGTCTGTAAAGACGGTAATCAAGTGTGGATTTGCTTTATTTCTGTGGGAGAGTTCCTGTCATTCAGAAATAAGCACTGTGTCCATTCCTATATCTTTACAGAGTTCCAGCATAAAAAAAAGAACCGAAGAAAAGAAGGCAGCTTCCACTAAGGTGTATTATAGTAGACAGGTTGATATTACTTAAAGGAAGAAATTAGTTGAACCATTTCTGTAGACATTAGACAAATTTTTTCACTCAGAGTTAAAAAGCAGCTTGGGAGTATTAAAGTATAGGGTGCTTGCATGCACTTTATGATGGTCTTAGCTTATGATCTTATATCACTTTTATTTCTCCATTAAATCAAGATGTATCTCATTGAGGCCACCATCCTACATGACAGCATGGTTCATTTTGGTGCCGGTGAACGGCATTGTCCCTGATTGAATGGAAAAGTGTATCTGTCTTTAACATGTGCATAGTGTGGATAGCTGGAGTTTCAATTGGCATGGAAGTCTATGGAACACACACAGAGTGCATAGGCCCTTGCTGCATGGGACCAATGCTTTGCTGAATGCCTGCCCTTTCTAACATGAAGCTGTGTCTTGTCTTTTTTCTGTGGGTTTCCAGTGACGATGTTGCTACACGGTCCTTCACTTGGAGTTAGTGCAACAAGGAGACATCTGAGCTTAAAATTTATGAAACATCTAAAGAAATCAAGCTTTATATAGGATCACCGTTGTGGGTTGAATTGTGTATCCCCAAAAGATGTTGAAGTCCTGACCACCTCCCTATACCTTACAATATAGCCTTTTACGGAAGTAGGGTCTTTGCAGAAGATCAAGTTAAGATGAAATCATTTGATTGGGCCCTAGTTCAATATATCTTATGTCCTTATAAAAGGAGACAATTTGGACACAGGGACAAGGGGAGAATGCCACATAAAGATTGGAATTATGCTGCCATAAGCCAAGGAACTCCAAAGATCGCTGGCAAGCTGCTAAAAGCTAGCACAGATTCATGGAACAGAGTCTCCGTCATAGCCTACAAAAGGAATCAACCCTGCTGACATCTTGATTTCAGACTTCTAGCCTCCAGAACTGTGAGACAAATTTCTGTTTTTTAAGCCACTGGTTTGTGGTACTTTATTATGGCAGCCCTAGCAAACTAATACAATAACTGTTCGCTTACGTATAATAAGGCAAGCATTAAGCAGCATTCAGATGAAAACATAGCACTCCACTTAGTACATTTTACATGTAAAAAATCTTGGGGATAAGCAAAGATGTATGAAATAGATTATGCTCTTTTAATGAAGTCACTGTTTAGCCCACATTTCCATGGAATGCTTATTAATTAACAATAGCTTGATACTGGTGTATCTGCTACAGAATAATAGTAGATACTGTTTGAGAATTGGAACAGAAGCATAAAGAGTTTCCCCTTTTAGAAACAAACATGGGAATAGTCATGTCTAATCTTTTCACATTGAAGATGCAAGGGTTGAGTGGTTTGCCATGGTCAGAACACAGAAGCTAAGAAGGAGGCTTATCAGTTTATCTCAGAATCAATCTGAGATTCTAAACCACCCTTTTTTAAAAAGCAAAAACAAAAACAAAAATACATTTCTTCTCACAAACTATGAATCATCACAGAGTAACTACTCAACCAATGTTTGCTGAACGAACAAGCGAATCTACAGATTTTTCAGCCAGGGTGTTGGTAAAATACTGGATCTTTTTTAGTTTTTTAAATCCATGTCACATACCTCTTGAACTAGGAAGAAAAATGAGAAATTTGGAGTCCGATAGACCTGGGATGGGCTTGAATCCCAGTGTATCCATAGCAGCTGTGTAAAGTTGGTCTGATTAACTCCTCCAAGTCTCAATCACATCCTCTCCATAACAGAGAAAAAATACCTTGAAAATATTTTGTAAATATGAGATAATGTATGTAATGTATTGAGCACAGTTCCTAGCATGTATGTGCTTGATAAAGAGTGGCTCTTTTGATTTAAGTATCCTTATGGATAGTACCCATAACAACAATATCTTTACATACACCTAGACTGTGCTGCCACTGTGGCAGGTACATGTGAGTTGGCTTTGTAAAAATAATGATAAGATGTGAACCCAGTTTCAGCTCTTGTCTTCCCCTAGTCCTCCTTTAACACAAGAACTGGGCATACAGATTCAGGTAATTGGGGCTGGGCATGCAGTCTGTGGTCCAGAGAGGGCAAAACTAAATAGTTCACCCAAGCCACTGATCCACAGCATTCTCTTTTCTGACATATTATTGTACTCAGGCCCAGGAGAGTCACAAATAATCACAAGAAATAGGACCATGCTGTGTGTGATTACCTCAGTAGTATGCAGTAGAAGTGGCACACTAACTCCAGCCTATGGTTCATGGGTTATATGAACCACGCAAATGTGAATGTCCATGTTTCATTATCTTTTCTGAAATCTCATTCAAAGGGTGGACATCACCTAGGTGCTCTCAATGGCCATTTATAATTTTGTCATAAGATTTTATAAATTGTATAAATTTGTTGAAATGTGTTATAAATCCATTTATATTCTTCTTACTTGTCCAATACCTTGGAATTTATGAGATATAGAATTTTATTTCACGCTGTGTGAAGGAATATTTCTAATTATCTCTTATAAATAGCAATTAGGGTTATCCTCATATATGCACATTGCTGAGATTAAAATCACTGAAAACCAGTTCTTAATTGTGATAACAGAAATAACAAAATGTAAGCAAAATGCTAAATTATGTAGGGATAATTAAATGATAACAATATTATAAGTGGATTTATATTTGCAAAAAAGAAGTAATGTCTAGATAAAATATGCCATCATGCCATCTTCAAAGCCTATTTTTAGATTGCTATCACTCCATGAAATGAGGATGGTATAATACAATGATAATATGATTGTCCAATGTTTGTAGGCAAACAACACTGGCAAAGGTGTAGAGAAAGAATGTTGTTAACATTCAAAATTTCATTTTTAGTTTCTTTTGTCTATTTGTCTAATTTTTTCCTGGAGCTTTAAGAAGTAGAGAATCATAGACAATGTTAATATCTATTTTCAGATAAAACATCTATTTGACATTTTAGGTGTTTAGTGTTTCTTGCATTTTATTATCAGAAACAATGGCTTGAAAACAGGGTCTTTGTTTCACAAGAGGTTAGCTGCTTCTACTTGAAATCACAATCCTTTGTGATTTTAAAATTAGCTCCTTAGCCAGAGCTATGATGTCACCAAGGTGCAGAAGAAGCAGTAGTAAGTAGCAAGTGGATCAATCCTTAGGAAACAAAGATCCTGTTTTCATGCAAATATCTTTCACAGTTAAAAAAGGGAAGAAAAAAAATTCCTGAGCATGGGTGAAAGAGTTATTGTTTGTACATTTTTACAGAAATTGCTGAAAGCGATTTAGCCATGCAAACTAATGACCTTTACAGTTCTCTCAAGGTTAATGGGGTCCAGGAAAATGGTAATGTAATAATTTGGGTTCCTTGGATGTCCCAGTGACTTGTCTGTTCCTTATATTTGCTAGCATTGTATGGTGGAAGAGAATAGTGTTCATTATAAAATGTATTTGGAATCCTCTGTCCCTATTTTAAACGCTTTTCCGTATAGAATAGCAAAAGTATTTAGGAAAGATGACCTCAGTGGGAAATTTTGTAAATTCTCTCTTTATGCAAATTAAGTAGGAAGCTAAAATTTGTAGCCCAAATGTAAAATAGTAAAGAGACTTTGTTACAGAGAATCTATAATGTAACAACTCAAAGTCTAAGACAGTCATAACCAGGAAACATCAAAGGTTGGGGACTCAGTAGAACCATGTTCCTGCAATATGTACCTTAAAGGCCTCCCTCATGGGCAAAGGGAAGCTGTTCATTCTTTTTCTGTACATCTGGGGAGGAAAAGCCAGACATTGGTCTGTTTCACTGCATGCCAGGCTGCTAAATGAAGTGGCTGCTAGTTCCTTGCAGGAATATCCTGCTAGCGGCATGTTCTGCAGGGTTGTCTTTAAGGAGCTCTTGAGAGGCCAAGTGTTTTGGTGTTATCAAGAGGGGCTCATTATACCGAGGGAATCAATTTAGAATGACTTTAATGGGACTGGGAGTCAAACTGCAGTACAGCCCTATGACAAAGAGAATTTAAAGTACCCTGTATTTATTATGCCTTTCTCTCTTTAATTATGTCTGTCTTTAATATTCTACTGTTAGCTCCTTTAATGTTTTTCTTCTCCACGTTTTTGGCATTTTTATGATTTGCAGTTCCATTCTAAATGGGCACATGTCATAATGTCATCTAATTCTATTGAGAAAAATGCCCGTTTCCTGTGGCTTTTGGCCAAGACATACTATTACTTTTGATTTTGATTTTTTTTCACAGATTATGTAGCCTGTGCAATATAAAGTAAAAGATTCTTTCCAACTTGCAAAAGATATTTAATGCTTTCTTTTGCAGTCTCATTGGGGCCATAGGTTGTGTGTCTTACAGTCAAATTCTTAACACCTAATGTAGTGTCTGCTGGCCCACTGAGAGTGTTTAGTGAATATTGGCTGAATGAATGAATGAATGATATTAGCATTCAGATTATTCTTCATATTGCTATAATAGTGTTTTGCTCTCCATTGACAGGATTAGGGGAGGACTCAGCACTTTTTGAGTATAATGCATACAGTATTATGAATATACAACGTGGTAGACTAGAATCAGATTGTAAATATTTTTACCTTTTTTGGCTACTCCTTGACTCTTTCTCACCTTTATTTCTCACCTTAACTTATTCATTTACTTATTTAACTTTCAAAATAAGGCCCCCAGTATGCATAAATTACTATATTCCATTTCTCCCTTTCCTTCTTTTTGCCTGTTATTTTTCACTTTTTTTCTCCTCTGATTTATCTATACTGTTACCTATCTTCTTCTCTGTTTTTCCTCCTCTCATCCCCTTACCCTATCCATTTTTCCCATTTCCATTCCTTGTTTTCCTTTAGTACTTACCATTTCTACTTCCAGTCCTCTGCATGTACACTTTTTATACTCTCCTTTTAAAATGTAACATATCATCTTATCTAACTCTTCCTCCTCTTTTTCCTCTTTGCCTTCTCTGTAAAGTCCAAAGAAGCAGAGACACAGTCATGAAAGAAATTATCCTAGACTATTCCCCCTCATTTTAAATCTGCACTCAGATTTGTTTATAGCAATCACTGATCCAATCTATTTCATTATCTTCAGGTAGGATCATGCCTAAAACTCTTTTAGCAAGGGGATAAACTGCCCTTAATTTTTTTTTTGTTAATAAAAGCCCTTCTACAAAGGTTATTACTTGATTTTCCTTTGTAACCCACATTTTGAATCCTGGAATTGAGTGGAGATTACAGCTCACTCTTCATTTCTGCTGTCCTGTTCTTTATGTGCATAGGAGTGAATGGCAAGAAAGAAAACACTAGAATGGGATCAGGACACAAGTTGGTTTATGATAGAACAAAAAGAATAGGACAAAATGTAGTCAGGAGATAGAGGAAATGGTGTAAGCAATTCTTAAAATTCTGACCTCATTTATTTATTCATATTATTACAATCTAGATATTACTAACCAGGGACTTGACAGTGAATAAGATTCAGATTCTGCCTGAAGGAGATTCTAGTATAGGTGGAAAGTGAAATGATAGGGCTATAAGAATAACACCCAACCTAGAATTTGGAAGGATCAGGATACCCTCTGGAAGAAATGACAGCTAGGTTGAGTCAAGAAGGATCATTTAACAGTAACTAGGGAAGCGGTAGAAAGTGGCAATTCATGCCTAGCCATTGGAAGCATGCTTCTTACAGGAATGACAATGAAGGAGCCCACAGGGGTGAAATCCTAAAAATCTTATTGGCTAAGCTAAGGATTAGGGACCTCATCCTGAAGGCAATGGAGAGCCACTGAAGGGTTTTAAGCAGAGGAGTGACATTTTGGAGAGACACTCTGGTAGTATCATGGAGAATGAATGGAGGAAAACCACAGATAGGCAACGGACAGTGAGGAAGTCGTTTCAGTCATCAGGGTGAGAGATGACAGTGGCCTTCCCTAAGGTGGTGATAATGCAAATAAGTGATGAATTCAGGGTATATAAAGAGAATAGAAGAACAGGGCATGCATATGTATTGGATGCAAGAGATGAAGGAGGGGCAGGGGTCAAGAATGGCCTTTGGTCTCCTGAGTCCTGAGGAAAGGTTCTATTTCAGAAGAGTCATCTCAGTCGTCTTTGATCTTTAAGTGCAGGCTAGTGTTCCTAAAAGCTTCCAGATTGACATCCCTGAAGACGAATGCCATCTTCTGTTTCATCACAGTAAACAGCAAAGCTGGCTTATGAAGGTGCTCTCATCTGTGTGCAGAAATCTGCACAGCAAGAGCAGGATCACTGAGGGTTGTAGGCAAATTTAGAAGTTGTTGGACGGGGCCGGGCACGGTGGCTCACACCTGTAATCCCAGCACTTTGAGAGGCCGAGGTGGGTGGATCACGAGGTCAGGAGATCGAGACCATCCCGGTAACACAGTGAAAGCCCGTCTCTACTAAAAAAAAAATACAAAAAATTAGCCGGGCGTGGTGGTGGGCACCTGTAGTCCCAGCTACTCCGGAGGCTGAGGCAGGAGAATGGCGTGAACCCTGGAGATGGAGCTTGCAGTGAGCCGACATAGCGCCACTGCACTCCAGCCTGGGCGATACAGAGAGGAGTCTCAAGAAAAAAAAAGAAGTTGTCGAACGGTTAGGACTGAATTGAGTGTTGTCAAATACAAGGCCAATATATACTTTTTTACCGTCTCTTATGGATAAGCACAAAGTAGTTGTACCAGGATGTGTGTGTGTGTGTGTGTGTTTACACACATGGGTTTATATGTGTGTGCAGTCACATGTATCCGTGTGTGTGTTTGTGCAGACAACACCCCTTCCGGGTGCCCCATCACTGGGAGGGTCTCCTTTAATGCCTCCAAGATGATGGTTGGTATTTGTAAAATGCATACCTGGGACTGGAGAGGAGCTACTAACTCATCTTCCACAAAAGTAAGCCAAACAATTGTCAGTTGAAATGATTTTTTTTCGCTGCTTAATGTCTAGACAAAATTTGAACTGGTGGCTTCAAAGTGAGTGACTCTATAGCCCATTACCAGTCCCCTGAGACATGTAATCTACTTTAAAGATACATTTTAAATAACCTACTATGGAAAATGTAGTTAGCAAGCTCAGAGATATGCTTACATTTAAGAACTCTCAGAAATGCACTTACAGATTTTTTAAAAAGTCTTTGCAAGGAGTAAAACGAGAATGAAAGAGATGATTCATTTTATTAGAGCAATTAAAACATTGGCTCCTGTTTTCATCCATCATATTCATGAAATAAAAATGTATTAGAGAAAAAGTGATATTTACCTGGAGATAAAATTTGAAGTATAAGGAAGATAAAAGTCCATTTTTCTGAAAGAAGTAACTGAAAATCTGCTATAGGCTATAATTCAGGCAGAACCTCATCATTATGGACCAGGAGCTGGAGTGAGATCATTGTGGAACAGGAGCCAGAGTGAGCGCAATCTCTACCCAATATTTTTTGAGCCACAAACCTAGCCAGGAGTGAGTCATTCAACAGGGTACCTCAGAGGTGGAGGGTCTTGGATATAAATGGGCAAGACTGCGGTACGGGAATATCTGTCACCTTAACCTTGGATCTGCCCTCATCATCTCCGGGTGAGTTCAAAGTAATGGAGGTATCTGATTCCGGTCTCTGCCTTAGGCTTTTTTCACACTGCAGGGATGCTTCAGGTGACTCAGAGATGGTTCTTAAATCCAACTGTCTCTGCTCCCAAACTCCAAATGATATAACTTTTTCTTCTTGGGTTGCATATAAGTTATATAAAAGTAGCATGGAAAATGATTAATATGTGTGAATTTTGCTCATTGTGTTTCCTGAAAATAGGCAAGTGAAGTGAGAAGTGGAGATTTCAGTTGTGCCATAGAAAGGTAGGAGAAGGAGGGAGATGGTGAGGGAGGAGGGCTTTCTCTCACCTTTTTGTTTATTCAACACATGTTTGCATGAGGTACCAGGAAGAGTATGAGACTTAGAGAAATGTAGGTTCAATTTCTTGTGGCTAAATATACTACTTTGCAGAGTTGTTTTAAAGTGTGAATAAAATAACTCATTCATTCATTCATTCATCAACTACTTGTTGAATTTCTACTAATTGCTAAAGATCTAAGAGTAAACAATGAAGTTAGAGCTCCTACTTTTTTGAAACTTACATTCGGGTTGGTAGAGCTAAACCTAGTAAACAATTGAAACAAATATATCAGTGGGTGGATGATAAAACAAGGTGAGGAGTGAGAGGGATCAAATGGAGGTGATATTTTAGATGGTGATTATAGGAAGCCTCTTTGATGTGGGAGGTGACATTGTGTAGTGACTTGCTGAACAAAGACGGAAGGACATAATGAGGCATCTGGCACCATGGTTAGCACTTAATTAATGGTAACTATTGTTATAATCACTGTCATCATATTCTTTGATAATAATGGTATACATTAAGCCTGCATGAGCTTTGTAAATTTTGGGAATCTGTAAAGTATTATAGGGAGTTTGGTTTGCTTCAAACCAATATTGGAATTTGATATCTATGTTTACAAATAATTTTTATTTTCAGTCACAGTTTAACTTTGGAGATATCTAATAATGTTTAAAGGAAAAGTAACAAAAGCTGAGTGTTTTGTGTGGTTAAATATCTTACAACTTTCTCCCCCATTAATACAATTAAACAAACATTTTTTGATCATTTACTTTATGTCAGGCACTATGCTGGGTACTGAGGAACAAAACAATGTAAAATAAAATCTTTGCCCTCAGGAAGCTTATAATCTGATTTTATCTCTAATAATTCAAGACTCTTGCACTGTTTGTTTTAATAGAACTTGCAGGAGGGATTCAGATCCTGACAAGGCTCTGAGAGTTTAAGAACAGGTTGCATTTGAGTGTTAACTTTGATGTTTGTTTAGTTTTATAAAATATGTAAGAGGCTTCTCCATTAGTGAATAAGACTTTCAAAAAGCTTTCAAAATCTCATGTCATAAGTAGTTAAATATCACTGAAGGGGAGTCACAAAGACTGACAGCTTGGAAGCTTAAGCACTGTGTGTGGTTTAGGATGTGTGATCAAGGTGAAGCCCCCATTCCCATCTTAATTGAGGTTATGTAGGTCCAACCAATTCATTTGGTCTGAAAAATCCAGACTGCATGGGAATCCAAAATCAACTTGGCAACCCCCTATTATTTTTTGGCCTCTGAAAGCAGCGTATCACACACTGTCTGGTAAAGGTTAGGGATGAAAAATCACAGCCCAGGAGTATCCCAAGATGGAATGAAGTGGAACTTGGGCAAAGTGATTTACAACAGACACACATACATATGTTGCACATTTAGTGGCACAAATAAAACACGCCTGGAAATTTCTTTCTAGGGAGAATTCATGCTTATTTGCAGAATGTATAGTTTACATTGGGACCAAACATGGCTTGGATTCAGAGGCCTATTCTAACCTTCTCTAACATAGCCATGGCTTATCACACTCTACCTCCCTTTCCTGTTTCTTGTTCTTCAAGGAATATTCTATCCCATCCCATCCCATCCCATCCCATCCCATCCCATCCCATCCCATCCCATCCCATCCCATCCCATCCCATCCTATCCCATCCCATCCCATGCTATCCCATCCCAGCCTATCCTATTCTGCAGTTCTCTAATGGGAATATATTTACTTATCAATTAGCTATTTCCCCCATCAGATGTGTAAACCTCATGAGAGTGGACACTTTATCTTGTTCGTCTGTTCATCCAGTGCTTGGCCCAGAGTAGGCTCCCAATGAATATATGCCGAGTTAATAAGTTTTAGCAATGATGGATGATAACAGCAGCAGCAGCAGCAACAACAAAACGCTTGGGATTACCTAGACGTTGGCTGAGGACAGGAAAAATCCTGTGACATCAGAGCAAGGATTCTATGTTGGTTTCAATGGTACAGTATTAGTGCTCTTTATAGCAACAGTCCCCAACCTTTTTGGCGCCGGAAACAGGTTTTGTGGAAGATAATTTTTCCATGGATGGGTGGGGGATGGTTTTGGGATGAAACTGTTTTACCTCAGATCATCAGGCATTACTTCAATTCTCATAAGGAGCACGCAAACTAGATCCCTTGCATGAACAATTCATAATAGGGTTCATGCTTCTATGAGAATCTAATGCCACTGCTGATCTGACAGGAGGCAGAGCTCAGATGGTAGTGCTCGCCTCCCTGTCACTCACCTCCTGCTATGCAACCAGTTTCCTAACAGGCCATGGATGTATATGGGGTGGGGTTGGGGGGCAGTTGGGGACCCCTGCTTTATAGGACCACAGGAAATAGCAATACAGTACAATTGACCCTAGAACAATGCAGAGTTGAAAATCCACTTATAACTTTTTGACTCCTCTAAACTTAACTACTAACAGCCTACTGTTGACCAGAAACTTTAAAATAAACATGGTTCAACACATATTTTGTATGTTATATGTGTTATATACTGTATCCTTACAATAAAGTAAGATAGAGAAAAGAAAATGTTATTAAGAAAACCATAAGGAAGAGAAAATATATTTACTATTAGTTAAGTGGAAGGAGATTATCATAAAGGTCATGACTCCTGTCATCTTCACATTGAGTAGGCTGAGGAGGAGGAAGAGGAGGAATTGGTTTTGCTGTCTCAGGGGTGGCCAAGATGGGAGAAAATCCGCATACAAGTGGACCCACATAGTTTAAGCCCATGTTGTTCAAGGGTCAACACTATATGAAATTAACTCTTTAACTCTTTTTGCTAAACTTTAGGATACAAAAAGGTACTATGCACCAAATGTTTAAAAAATATATATAAATGAGGCTAAAACGTTGTTTGCATTGATTATTTTTAAAGTTATATGCTTTTTACTTTAAAAAAATATTTTTGAAATTTGGATAAGTAGTGCTGTTATTCAACTTTAACAATAGGACTCATTGGTTCAGTTTGGAAAACATCCATTTTTTAGGGTTGGGTTACACATTGATCAGCATCCATTTTTCTAGAAATGTTATCTTTGCCTGTCATGCCATCCCTTCACTGACACCACTGTGAAAATCTGAATGGTTTGACCCAAGAGTAGAACCATATTGGACAAATTTCTGGTGACATTCCTTTGTGAGTTCAGACAATTTTTTTTTGACTCTAAAGAATTGTTGGGTATAACGGAGAATTTCTCAGTGTTTCTGTAGATCATTATGTACCTTGTTAACCGTCCACATCTCAGCTAAGACACATTATAAAAAGCTCAGGTTATCTTTCTCTGTCTCCTCCCCCATGCACACTGTTCATTTAGACTAAAGCCAAGCCACTCATTTTAGAAAGTAAAGTTAGAAACTCATTGAAACATACCAACAACTAGTGATACAGAAGAACTTTCTTCTCACCAGGACTTTCCAGTGGAAAGTGCCTTGTAAATACCTATTGCTAAGCCATAGGTAGAAGCCCATGGAAACCAAGTCATATTGCCTGGAAAAAGGAAGCTGCAGGGACACACTTTTTCTCTGAATATGAAGGAAAGTGTAAGCCATCACTGAGCTGATTGACGTAGGTGAATAATAAGTATGTATCAGAATAGGAAATTGCATGAAGGAAATTTGGGGCTATATTTAAATACACACATGTACATCCATGCTATCAAAAATTGGGGTTGGGTTTTTTGATTGATGGAATCCTCGAAAGCCTATTTTCACCTATTGGTTGATGATTTCAACTGGAGAAAACTTGATACATTAGATAAATTTATAAATCACTCCCACTGTGTTTTTTTTTTTTTTTTTTTTTTTGAGACAGAGTCTCTACCATGCAGACAGAGTGCAGTGGCAACATCACGGCTCACTGCAGCTCAATTGTTTCACTTCAGCCTCCTGAGTAGCTGGGACTACAGGTACGTGCCACCATGACTGGCTAATTTTTGTATTTTTTTAGAGATGGAGATGGGGTTTTATCATGTTGCCCAGGCTAGTCTTAATCTCTGGGGCTCAAACAATCCACCCGCCTCAGCCTCCCAAAGTGCTGGGATTTCATATGTGAGCCACCCAAATCTCCCTTTTTAAATAAAAAGACACCGATATCTGGTGTTGAGTTTTGATGTATGAAAAATTACCCACTCTAGAATATTCAGACAGGTCATTAGATACAAACAATAGGCACTTATAGTTGTGTGGGCAAGAAAGGCTCTATCTCCAGCATCTGCCTTTCAAGTCTCATGGTGGAAGTGTGATTGTTGTAATCCCAATTAAAGGGCTATGACTGTGGTTAACTCTCATCCATTTTAGTGGACTGGAAAACTTGAAGTACTTCAAAACATGAGGCCCTTTCATTTTCTTTAGGCACACTTATTTTTCATTCAGTTTTGTCTGAACGTCATAATAGACATTCTCCTTGGGGCTGTGGTAAATGACTAAGGTTAAAGGAGAAGAAAGCCCAGAAGTGTCCATTGCTGCTGTCTGAAAGGCATGAATCATCTAGGAAGATATCTAGAATAACTCCTTCAAGAGTTTTACCTTCAAGTACCAGAATCTAAGCCAGGGAAATATACAAATATGGTATTATCAAGCTCAAGTAGCTACCCCTAAAGAGGAACTAAGTATGGATTGAATATTCAAGCCACCATATCAGAACCCAGTAAATCTGAGGGTTGGGGTTCTCAAACAGAAGGACAGAAATTAAGAATGAGTCCACAGCCAAGAGCTAGTTGGACAGGGAACCTGAAGGAGACCCATGTAGCAGCTAGGAAGAGGGAGGCAGTGAGTTTTGCTGCTGAGTTCCTGTGTTCACAAGCAACATACATTGAGGGTTGAAAATTACAATAAGGAAAACAACTGATAAGTATGGGAGATCAAAAATAGTCTTTTACAGGTAATCCAAAAAGTTTCTACAGTGATAATGGAATACCTAAATCCTGATGGTAAGTAATTTCTCACCCTCAAATGTCACATTCAGGGTAACCAGAAAGCAATCATGCTGTTGGCCATATATGGCTTCTGGACTTGATGATAATAAGTAAAGTAATAGGAATTATGCAACTCTAGATGTACCTTTACTTTCTTCCAATTGTGTTTTCTCTAATAAGGCTTCAATAAAGCAACACCTTATTTTGAGTTTCTGCAGGAACAGACTCCAAGACAAAGATTCAGGGGCATATAGTTTATCTGGGAGGTGATCAGAGTAGAAAAATAAGGAAATAAGACAGAGAAGGAAAGGCAGCCAATAAAAGGTTTTGTTATTAAGTTACCACTGTGGATAACTGGAGTTCAGTCTTGCTGGGAAACTCTGGGAAGTTTTAGAGTGATGCCACCAAAGGGTGAAAAAGATGGAATATTTGTATACTAACTCTTCTGTCGATCATTGGTTAGAGCTTGGGTGAGGGATCAATTCCCTGGTACAGCTCTGCTGCCATGCAAGCAGATAGGCAAACCATCATAGTGGCCAGAGAATGCCTTTGAGCAAAAAAGTTTTAGGTGATGGCAGATAAGCCAGCCTTCACTAACTTGGTAAGGAAGAAGGGATGGGAGTGGGGCACTGGCAACTCCTGCTGTTCCCAGGGAGTGCCTGTCCTGGACTTAAGCTCATAGGGTAGACAGTGGTAGAAAGGAAATGAGTACTTCATCAAACTCTTAACCAAACTCTTCTACAGAATAGAGATAAAACTCTCTGTATCCCTTCATTTGTCTTCTTCCCCTGAAATTTGATTTCACCTCAAAGAGGAAGTAGGATTGTAATGGTATCATCACATCCCTCTTTAAAGTACACACACATTCAGACATCCCAAACGTTCAGTATGAGAAAGACATTTCTAAGCAGGAGAGGGAAGCTGAACCAGGCAGCAGCAATGACTGTTCTCCCCTTGGAGTCCCTGGTGCCACTAGCATTGTATTCCTTCATAGGTTGATGGCTTTTCTTTAAACTGAGTCATGCATGGAAGCATGCTCTTTTTCCTTAAGCACAGCTATGTTAGAGAAAGGATATCAAACTAAAAATGCAAAATTAGGTGCAAAAGTGAATATTTGTTCAGAATGGGAAAGAAAATCATGACAAATTTTAAATGTAACAAAGCTTACAAATATCACAACTTTTAAAAAATCCAGAAAAATAACAAAATTCTAATGAACTGTCTGGCACTCCTCTGTAAAATATCTTTTCTGTATTTTTTGGCTACATGCTCTTCGATTGCCTCTTCTTTGACAACAAAGATTTTGTAATGTCATTTTCTATAGAGAGAATAGAAAGAAAATTTAGTCTTTTCTCTAGCATGTTGACTGAAATTTGTTTCTTATTATTGATGGTTTAAAATGTCTTCTTTTAGTTACACTACTCATTATTGGCAACATTATGTAAATTTTTAGGATTGTTGTCGAATTTTTGGAAAAACTCTATTCAAGCTTCTTTCATATATGAGCTGGGAGATTTAGAAGAATTTTCCAGACTAGGTCTATGCATTTCAAGCCCTTTTTCTTCTTTTAGTTCATTTTATTTATTTATTTTGAGGCAGAGTCTCTCTCTATTGCCCAGGCTGGAGTACAGTCGTGTGATATTGGCTCACTGCAATCTCTGCCCCTCGGGCTCAAGCGATCCTCCAGCCTCAGCCTCCCGAGTAGCTGGGACCACAGCCATGCCCCGCCACTCCAGGCTGATTTTTGTATTATTATTATTATTATTATTTTACAGAGACGAGGTTTCTCTATGTTTCTCAGGCTGGTTGACTCCTGGCCTCAAGAGATCTGCCCACCTTCGCCTCCCAAAGTGCTGGGATTAGAGGCATGAGCCACCATGCCGGCCTCAAACCTTCTCTCATCTATGACCCATTGGTTTGGAGCCAGGCCACATGTTTACGTCTCTATACAATTTCTGAATCTGCATTCTCAGACATGGTACCTGTACAGAGTGGATGGAGTGGTAGAAGCGTTCCTACAAGTTATTCCTACACGGGAATAACTAACAATAATTTAAGTATATGTGATTGTGAGCCACCTAAATATAAACTATGAAACCCAAAATAAATATATTGACAACTCAGCTGTTCCTTTGCCAAATACCAGGAATGTCTGGGATCATTCCTGGGTCACCCAACCCAAGAGACATGTGGAGGGAAAGCCAGAGATCAACTGTGGTTAAAATATCTTGCTATAGGAAATGTCACCAAAATATACAACTATGTGTACACAGGGCCTTGAGAAGAGCTTCCGTAGTGAGGGGACCTAAAGATTAGACTCCTTTAGCTTTGTGGTCAAGCTATCTTTGCCCATATCATGGTTTTAGAAGTTGTCATGGTCTTTACCTATTTCATGTCCTGTCTAAGAGACCTATATTTTAATTCCCAAGGACTGGTATACATTTGTATGACTCTTGCTTAGCTTTTTGCTTTCTAATTCCTTGTCTGTCTCTGTGTGGCAGATGCCATCTACCTTGGCAGCCAACCCATATCCAACCTCAGTCTTCTGGATCAAATCTAAGGTAAAAGTTTGAATACATTTACCCTCTAAGAGTTTTGCTACCAACAGTCCTGACTGTCCCCCACCATAAATGATAAGATTATGGTAGTTGATGAATGGTGTCAGACAAATGGCCTTCAAGCAAGACTTGACCAACATTGTCTTACACAATATAGAAGAGGTGAGTTTTATTCCATTTAACCCAATGGGAAAGCAACTTCCTAACTGAAAATAAAAATCATACCATTAACATCAAAGATATAGAGATGGGGAAGATTAGTCCAGCACAGGGAGATATAAAGCCATTTACTGGAATTTAG
The DNA here is from genome assembly GCF_000001405.40 of Homo sapiens. NCBI lineage: Eukaryota > Metazoa > Chordata > Mammalia > Primates > Hominidae > Homo > Homo sapiens. Next base: position 216,985,459 of record NC_000001.11, on the reverse strand, counting down.
TTATGAAGGAAGCAACTTTGCCTTTGAAATATTTGGAGAAACCTTGTACTACCTCTTCCTTCTCCAGCCTGGATTGGAGGGTAAAGCTTCCAGCATGCTACTCCGAGTTGTAATGGCTCACCTCTTCCAGTGCGTGGAGGTGGGTTGGGAAAGGCACATCTTCTGGCTAAAGAATTCCTTTACCAGAGGTTCTTTCCTGTGGTGTTGGGAAAAACTGAAAGGTGATTTATTAGGCTGTTCAAAAGAATCTCCTGCCCTATCACACCTGCCTCTGATACTTAGAAATATGTTTTGAAGTTCATAGTTATTCACAGATTCTCTCCAGCTGATCTTTTATGGGTTAGGTTTTGTAAAAGTAGCCTTGGAAGCTGCACCTGCCATAAAGGGGTTCCATACTGGCAAACCCAGCCGTGATTCTGAAACTGGAGCCATACTTTAGCCTGTGAGGAAACCATTGAAATAACAGGAAATAATACTTACATACACTGGTGATTTGTATGAAATTATTCTTGAGTTTATTATTTAATAAAGAATATTCAGAAATAGGCAAGTAAAAAATGTCATTGATGTCACAGATGAAGAAGCTACATATATGTGTTAATGGGATTCATTCACTGGTTTATGGACCCAGACTTCTCCTGGGATGCCACAAATCCACGGGTATGTAGACCCCCTTCAATTTGACAGGAATGCAGATTAGTCACCAAATATCTGTGAATAACCAAGGATTATGCAAATAACTCTCCTGTGGGCTCACTAAGGGATTCTCTTCTCTAGCATGTAGCCTAGAAACATTTTGAATGGAGACAGCCTAGAGATTTCAGCAATGTTGGTTGTGCTTTTGCTGAGCAGATGTTTTTATGGACACCTGGGCCATCCTTACTGCACAAAGAATCTTTGTAAACATTTCCTCTAGTAAGCACTTTCCCATTATAGGAATGGTTAAAATTATCAGGTGTCGTCCCCAAAACAGATGTTTGTTTCTGCTAAAATATTATAAGAAGCTTCCATATTGGAGATGTTAGAGAAATACTTGCAACTGAAATATGTACTCTGCTTGTTAAGCCTTTGCCAAAATACCCTTTTATGTTTAGGGAGCTATTTTGCATGAAGCTATTGTCAGCTTGTGTGGGCAGGTCATTCTCTAAGTGTAGTAAGGATGCATTTTGGGGATTAGAAGATCTTAAAATGATCACGAGGATTTATTTTGAGTTCTCAGTTCTTCAAAAGAAAAAATATACGGAAGAGTATATTCCTGCCAGGGGCTCCCAGAAACCTGAACGATGCTCTTGTTTCTTTTGTTTCAAGAAACAAAGCACAAGATTTGCTTGAATTCTACACATGGGAAGTTCTAAATGTAGTCGTGTTCTTTGGTTATTTATAGTGCTTGAGCCTCCACATACCCCCCCCCATTCTTATTATCTCTCCGCCCCCTCTCCCAGCACCATGACCCTATATTTAGATCTGAAGCGTCATCTTCTGTGACCACAGCAAGGTTGTGTCTCTGAGAAGGATTGCAGGTTATAAGGATATTTCACCAAATGGAGGAGATATCCATTTAGGACATTTTCACCTTCTGGGAGATAAGACCTCTATGTAAGAAACCCAATTAGCAGGCAGGTTATCGTTTATATCATCTTATAGAAGAATGCATTTTTTATAATAACTTGGTATGCGTTGCAAAAAACACTGCTGTCATTACATATTACTGACTTTTTGGAGTAGATCCTTATTGTTTACACACACACACACACACACACACACACACACACATGCACATGCACGCGAAAGGGATTATTTTATTTGGTAAAATTTAAAATTCTAGTATAACAACAATATCAACAAAAGTTTTAACCCAGGAAGATCTTTGATACCTGCTTTTGAAAAAGGAAGTAAGTCTTTGAAGATGTGTCATGGAACTCCCTCACCAAAAAAATCAGTACATCACGTTTGTAATCCTAGCACTTTGAGAGGCCAAGATGGGAGGATCGCTTGAGCCCAGGAGTTTGAGACCAGTCTGGGCAACATGGCAAAACCCCGTCTTTGCAAAAAATACAAAAGTTAGCCAGGTGTGGTGGCGCATGCCTATAGTCCTAGCTATTAGGGAGGCTGAGGTCAGAGGATCACTTGAGCCCAGGAGATCGAGGCTGCAGAGAGCCTAGATCACACCACCAATCTCCAACCTGGGTAACAGAGCGAGACCCTGTCTCAAAAAAAAAATAAAAAAATCAATACCACTGTCTTGGTATACTAATTCTAATAATTCTAATTCTAATACTAATTCTAATAATAGCTATAAAAGTGCTAAGCACATTTAATGAATTCTTTCATTTAATCTGTATGTTACACATCAGGTATGTAGTAGCATTCCCACTTTACAGATAAGAAAGTTTAGGCTTAGACAGTTAAAAAAAAAAAAAAAAAAAAACAGTTCAAAGTCACGTAACTAGTCAGGTTTCAAATTCAGATGGTCTGACTCCCGGACCAGAGCTTTAAACCATTATCCTAATGCTCATAGATATAATTATCTGATGACTCATGTTATCTTGTGTGTGAAGATAAAATTATTGATGATTGTGACCTAGGCATCAGCAATTGGCTGGAAAAAACAGTGTCTGTGATGTCACCTTTTGTATGTGCCAGGTTCTTACTGCTCATTAAACTCTGGGTCTTGATTTAGAAATCACCAAAAGAACCTCTTTGCCTATTGCTTATTGTAAAGTGGAGTTCTCCTTTATAGTTTTCTTGCTACTGAAACCCAGCAGTTATATGGCTAAAAACACTTAAGTTTGGAAGCCAAAGATTGGTTTTAAGTAAGGTGCTCTTCTACTCTCTACTATTCCATTCTTTTTCAATACCTTTTTTTCTCTTTTCTCCTGAAGGTGTTTTATAAAACCATAGCTCTGCAGAAATTGCCCTTGTCACCCTCCAGTTGTATTTCTATCCATGAGTACAGTGTTGGTTGGGCAGGTGCTCATTGTATGGGAGGAATGGTGAGGGATATACTCCAGGTATGGCAGTGCTTTGTTTATGGGGAGAAAAAAAATCAAAGAATGGGAGATAAGTGCTCAGATCTCTTGCTCAGATGGCCTATCATTGCCCATCTAGAACATAAAACTTTTGGCTCATTTCTTTTCAGATCCAAAAAGAAAATACTTTTTTCTAGAAAATATCCAACTTATACCTGCATGTTTCTATCCAGTGAAAGGCTGTACTATGGTATCTGAATCAGAGAACTTACACTGCATGATTTTCTTCTTTTTCTCAAAGTGGCACTGAGTGCAGCTAAGCTGTTACACACTTGATGTAAAATTTTTCCATTTAAAAATCACCCATCTTTAAAAAGGGAAAAAATAGTCCTGGCATTTTGGGGAAAGAGTTTTCTCTGAAGGAAGGAGGAGAAAAATATGGAGAATAATGAATTCATCAAGCTGAAAATGCACGAAGCAGCGAAGCGCTCAGGCTTCAATACATGGCAAATGGAAAGAGAGCTCCCATTACTGTCGAGATGCACAGACACAGCCCCGCTAATCGCTTGGTCATGCTTGGGAGACACTAAGTCATCACAGGCCATGACATGGTGAGAACAGGGTGCCAGGGGTTTGTTGTAAGAAAAAATTGTTTATTTAACATCCATAACCAGCAGCACTCCTTTCTCTGACCCTCATCCTCAGGTGACAAGTCTTGGTTTGGAAAATGCATATGTATGTGTGTGCTGTGTGTGCGTGCGTATGTGTGCATGTGTGTGTGTGTGTGTGTTTAACTCTTTAGGTTCAACACAATTGGAGATTATATGGGTAGTAAAAATTATAGCATAAGTAACTATTTGAACCAATAAATTAATTTTTATTTCTTTCTATAATTTGTTGTCTCTTATATGTATAGATGAGCAGTATTAAATATAAAATAATAAAAGTTAACATTTATTGAAGAGTTGTTTTGTGCGAGGTGCTGTTTTGAGTTATTTACACGAATTGCTTCATCGGCTCCTCATGACAGCACTATGAAATAGGGTACCATTATTGTCTCCATTTTACAGGCCGTAAGTAGCCTATCCAAGGTCACAGAGCTAATGAATAGCAAAGTCAAGTTAGGGACTGAGATTGTTTGACTCCAAAGCCGGTACTCTTGACCACTGCACCTTGTATTAGATTACGTTCTTTGAGAAATCCAGTGAAACCAGAGGACAAATTAGTTGAAGAGACAAATTATAGTTTTTCATTCTTTCAACATATATTTTATTGAGTATTGTGGTTATGATAGAATGGAAAGACAGATATATACATAACTCCCACTCGATAACGTTCTTGCTGTAATGGCAGCAAGGGCAGAGGTAGCATGGATGAAGGGGTAATTGTACCTGTGGATATTGCTTCATGTACTCTGCTACGTAATTAGTGACTGGCATGGTATCTTGCCTTAGTAGGTACTTAATAAATAGTGCAGTCAGAAAAGGATGCAAATAGGTAACATTTGAGCTGAGACTTTATGGATAAATAGTAGTTTCCCTATGGATAAGGTGGGAAATGGTATTCCAGGATGAGAGAAGAGCATATGAAAGGCAGGAGACCGCCTGACCTGTTCAGGCAACTACATTAGTTCTATATTGCTGAAGTATAAAATGGAAGATGACTGAGTAGAGGCAAGCGAGGGAGCCAGGATTGTTCAATTAATGAACAGAGTTGTAATGGACATTGTATGCCATGCAGTGGGATATGCATTTATCTGGAGCAATGGGGATGCCATTTAAGTAACATGAGTATTGTGGAGGGGTGGTTCAGCTTGAGGTTACAGAAACAGCCCCTTGGAAGTTGAATTGAAATGGGTGGGGGAGCAGTCAAGATTAGAGGCTATTGCAGTGATCCTGGATGAGATAATGTGGGTAAACAGTACAGTTCCCGTGGAGTTGGAGAGGTCCCACGGACTTACTAAATATTCAGTAGATGGGGATAGATATGGCTGGTCACTCATTAGATAGATTTCTGGAAAATCTGGAAAATATTAGTAAGCTATGGTGCCATTGACTGGGTTGGGGAATAAAAATAATAAAACAGACTTGGAGTAAAACATTGTGCATTGTCTCAATGTTGTCAGGTTTGAGGTTTTTCTGGGACATATAGCTGGAGTTGTCTAAAAGGCAGTTGAACACACATGACTCAAACTTATACAATAGGATTGTGTTTGAGCAAGTATCAGCAGCAGACATGGAGGTAACAGCTGGTGAATTTTACTGACCAAAGTTACCATTCTGTGCACAGTGGTGCAACATGGAACGCAAGCATTAATGCTACACAAATTCATAATAAAACAAGAAAAAGTAGGATTTAGTAACCATAGAGGGGGTTGTTAAATGGACATCATGAAATAAAAGAATTGGGATTGGAAAGTGAGCGTTTTAATTGGGTAGAAAGAAAAGAAAGGGGAAAAATAGCATTTTGTATGGAAGAGTCCTTAGGTTTAGCAGTGTGATGCTTTAGACACTTCCTTGGGAGGTGTCCATTTTAAATATTGCATCATTTGATTCTGGAGGTTTTGGAGCTTTAGGAATTACTTTACAAAGAGTGAGTGGCTCAATGCAATATGTGCATTTTTATTAAATCACTTTTAAAACCTCTTTTGAAATGGGCAAGCTGTCTATATAATAGCATGATGTCTTGGTGCCAGTTTTCCTTTAAACTCTAATTTAAATTTTCATTCCAGTTATTAAACACTTATTATAGTCTTTACTTAGGGAGCCAGAGTTCTAAGTCCTTTACATCTATTAATTCATTTATTTTCATAACATTCCTATGAGTTACGGATTATTATCATTCCCATTTTATAGATGAGGAAACAGAGGCACAGTTTGAGTGACTTGTCAAGCAGCTAGTAAGTAGGTGATCCTGGATTTTGAAATCAGATGTTGTGATTCCACTATCCTGCATTATATTGTCTCTCTGATATCATGGCCAGAAGACCCAAGAATCTAAGAATCTTGGCCATGATCAAGCTTCCCACCTCTTGGAATCCCCAAGGGATATTTGTGAAGAAGACAGTGACTGGCAAATGGCAGATTCAGGTGTGGAATGGGGGATGGAAGAGAGATAAATGCATACGGTATTGTGGCTGGCTGTTTCATGTCAAATCTCAAAGCAGAACTCTAAAGTTAGTTGAGAGTTGGGAGGAGAGGCATTTTATCCCTTAAAGCCAATCCTGAATCACACATTAACTCCCTGTAAGGAAAGTCTTTTTCAACATGTCCATACCATAGTCTGAGGAACTGGGGCAGAAGAAGATAGGGCCAGTGATATGGGGTGGGAAGGGTAGGGGTTTAGAGAGACTTTGCAGTTTGAAAAGTCAAGCCAGTCTAAGCTATATTTGTGAGTATATCCAGCTAACTTCCAAATAAAAAGGCAAAAATGGGAGGAGGGGAGGGAGAGAGAGCATGGAGCAAACTTCTCCTCTCTAAGGCTGGATAACTGTTTAGATTAAGTGAGTGAAAGAGAAGAGGTCCCAGCTCATGTGCACATGGTCACTGTGGCTTTTGGACCTGGGAATATTTCACTTCTTTAAGCATGTAGCCTGATCAGCTCCCAGAATTTGAGCTCTCTGGGGAAAAAAAGCTGAAGAGGACAATAAAGGAAAGAGACCTTGGCCTCCTTCTTTGAGAAGCCACAGTGGCTCACAGCTCTCATTTCATTAGTGGACATGTGGAAAAAACTTCCTTTTCAACACAAAATTACTATACCTTAGGGGAAGAGAATAGGGTACTTGCATAGAGATGGCTCTTTCTGCTCTGACTGTCATGGAAGAGATTGACATTCAGAAGCACTGCACACAGTATTGGGGTACTGAGAAACTGGGTTGTCCATGAGACTAGAGATGTGGATAGAGGTTGAAAGATAGATATTGGATGTCCCTTTGCAGTGCTGAGGCCACAGTGTCCGGGAGATCCTTGTTGATTCTGGTAGGGTGAGTATTAGCATGTTTGACTAGATTAAATTTTATTCTCTGTGTGAAACAAGTTACTAGATGTGGGTTTTAGTACCAATTTTGGCACTGTCTGTGTACCTTAGGCCAGGAACTGGCAAACTTGTTCTGTAAAGACCAGAGAATAAATATTTTCTGCCTTGCCAGCTATATAGTCTCTGTTTCACAGCTACTCAACTCTGCCATTATAGTGCAAAAGTAGCTTTAGGCAATATGGAAATGAATGAGTATGGCTGTGTCCCAATAAAACTTTTTTTTAAAAAGGTAGGCATTGGAGGGTGGGAGTTGGGGGTGGTGAATTTGGCCCACCAGAAGTCATTTGCCAGCTCTCGTTTTAAGCAAATAAGTTCTCTTTGTCTCAGTTTCCCCATTCTTCCATGTCTTAGTTTGTTTCCTTCTGCTATAACATAATACAGCCGACTAGATAATCTATAAAGAAAATAAATTCATTTCTCACAATTCTAGTGGCTGGGAAATCCAAGAGCATGGTTCCAGTATCTGACAAGGGCCTTCTTACTGCATCATCCCATGGTGGAAGGGAGAAGGACAAGAGAGCACGTGCAAGCAAGGGGAAATTGGACCAAACTCACCCTTTTTATCAGGAATCTGCTCCTGAGATTATGAACCCACTCCTGAATAATAAAGCATGAATCCATTCATGAGGACCGGTCACCCATGGCCTGATCACCTCTTAAAGACCCCACCTCTTAATGCTATTACAATGGCAGTGAAATGTCAATATGAGTTTTGGTGGGGACATTCAAACCACAGCAACCCAGCTGGTTAATTATTCTTAGCCACCAATGCAGGATGTTGCAGATACCTGGCATGATAAATGGTGCCTAGAAGAAAGAATGCTGAGTAGGGAGTCAGGACACTTGGATTCCTGGAGGCCCCGGCACCTGCCAGCTGAGGAAACTTGGCCCTGTACTTATTGTCTGTGCTTCTATTTCTTCTATTCAGTAAGGGTTACAGCTTCCCAGTCCTCACATTCTATGTAGAAGGGTTTGAGAAAGTCCACTACAAATATTAAGTAAAATAAAGATGATATGTGTAGATAAAAGTCTACTTTTAAAATTTAGTTCACATTATATCTTAGGCATCTATCTATATGTATATGTGTGTGTGTGTGTGTGTGTGTGTGTGTGTATGTATCCTCCTTGGAAACTTTGTTTGTGTAGTCTCCCATTTGTAAGGATTTTTCCTTCTGGTACCATTAGGTTGCATTAAAACTTGACTCTTAAGAGCTTGACAGATAGGTCCAATACCCTAGAGTAAATGTGCGAGTCTAGAGGACAGTAAAGGAAATTTATGCTAAAAAAATTTTTAAGCCAATAATTGAGCAAGTATGTAATTACTTGCTCCAATAAGACTCCCAGGATTTCTCCAAACAATGAAAGAAACACCTTGAAAATAAGAGAGAGCGAGCAAGATTCTACTGGCTTTCACTCTTTTATGACTATAGGCATGACTTATACTAAGTGAGCACTACATAAGAAAGGAAATGACTCCATCTCCATTCCAGATGCTCCATACTGTGGTGTCCACTATAATTAAACTAATAAAAAGAGTAGGGGAAGCTCCAAATTCACTTCTTTTCCCTCTAATGAACTTGACTTAGGCTGGATATGGAATACAATTACCTAAACTCTCTCTCTTTGTTTTTCCTTCTTTATGAAAACCGTAAGAGTAATAAGGAGGAAAGACAGACTCATTTGACTACAATCCATCATTTAAGCACAAAACAAAACACAAACCACATCACTGAAGGGTAATAAAAATGAGTCTAACTGGCAGTTAGGTTCCTACAAATAAAAATTGCTACCATTGCTGCTGTTGCTTCTCTTTGTAAATGAAGAGATGAATGCTACCTTTGTTCAATGAGCCCCTAATTAAGAGGTGTTTAGCATTGAAGGATATCGCTTTGAAAAGATATTGCCAGGTAAATGTCAGACCTATGGAGACACTGGGTTATGAAGGTTACATCTGCTGAAGGTAAACTTAATAAAACAGCCAACAGCACAGACATGGTTTAGAGATTCACCTAATAGCTTAAACATTTGCAACCTCATGGAGTAGTGTCCTAGTTTAATTCTCTCCAACTTATTTTTATTTTAAGCTATGGAGGTTGGAGTGGATGAGGGAAGAGGAGTAATCATTTTCATACACACACACACACACACACACACACACACACACACACATTTAGGAGCATTTTCTACTTTGAAGTGCTGGGTTATGCTTATATGGCTTTAAATGGGTTACTCATTTAGAGTTATTAGAGTGATTTGTATTTTTTATATTTATCTACCTTTAATTTCTACCAATTTTTTTCAAACTTTTTGGATTAATGTAGGACTCTACTAAGAATTTTGTTAGATACACCTTTCCAAGAAACTTGGATTGGAAGTTTCTATTAGGTGTTAGATAATTGCTTAACCTGCTCTGAAGGAAACTTCAGCCCTGGGAGAATTGTGAAGCTCATGGACATTTAGAAGGTGGTTGGATTTGTCATGGAAAGCAGCCCTTTTTGAAATCTTTGTCATGGGTCAAGACCATTTCCTGCTGAGCTTTGTGGGATAAGAAGGTAAAATGATTTGTCCTGGGATCTCTTCCTTCAAATGATATATGTGAAGAATCCCACAGGGAACCAGCACATGCATGTACTCAACAAATGTAGTTCTTTCCCATTGACAAAAGAGATGTCCGGGTTATTTGACCAGTTGCCTATTCCTTAACCTCTTTGATTAAAGGGCATTCTACAATCAAAGGGATTAGATCCCAGACTACCTATTTTTCTCTAGTACCTCTCCTCAAGACTTAAAAGTAGAGATGCAGACTATATAAAGGTTGAGAATTGAATATTTTCAGAATTCTGAGTGTCTTTTTAGTGAGCACTGTATATTTCCAAAGTGCTTGAGATCATTTATTTCTGTGATTTAATAGAGACTAGAGCCAGAATAAAGGAAGGGCCCTCCAAGATTTTCCGCCAAATTGGCAGGGCAACTGCATCATGATAGAAGAATTTATGGCTCCTGTTACCTGGGCTCAACCCGTGCACCTAGCTTTTTGTACTTTCTGGTTTTCCTTCTTTGGATGCTGGTTTTACCAAAAGTTAAACAGAGGTTGCTTCTTTTTGTCTTCCCCTTTCCATGTCTGTCCTTGATCTGACCAGATCATTGTATTTAAAATGGTTGGTAAGAGAGAGGACATTGAAAGAAGAATATGAACTATGTGAAATAGAACAATGGTTGTTCCTTGGCTGATAAAGCAATCTGATCTCATTTCTGAGTCCACCCAGTTGTTGTTTGTTTTTATTAAAAATGTCTGTAAGGGTAACTGTTCTGAGTATGTATCCAAGATAATAACAACGTTAACTGGCTTTGCTGCAGAATCAACAAAAGTAACAAAACCATATGTCTGTTGATTAAGAATGACATAAAACAAATTTGTTAACTAAAACAGATAGTGTCAACAGTTTAAGCAGATATCATATGATGCTTAAATCCTATATTTGCAGTTCTTTTTTCTGGGAAAAAATATTTATAAATTACTTCTTAAAGCATGATTGTAGCCTGCTGAGAAAATTCTGAAAGAAAATTAAAAAAAAAAAAAAGCACAAAAGGAAGTGTAACCCAGAAACTGCCCTCCCTGTCCTCCGAGGGGAGAGAGAGAATGAGAGAAAAGTCTGGGGGTGGGGAGGGAAAGAGACCCATATACTTCATCCAGGGAAAGTAATTGAAAATGCTAATTCTCTGCCCACAGACTAAAACTTTGAAGGACAGGTCCTTGTCATTGGACTCCTCAAGAAACAGCAGAGCAGAAATAAAAATAGATCATTGACCAAACATATCTCTTTCAAACTGAGAAGTTTTAAAGTGCTGCTGCCCATTTTTTTCTGTTTAAAAAATTATAAACCTTTTTATTTTTTACCCTGAGAACTTTGGAGGCTAATGTATATGTGGTTTAGGAATAAAAATATTATGAATCTCAGCTTAAGAAATGTTGAGATCTTTTTGTTGCTATTTTTTTCCCCTTTGGAAAATGAATACCTGCAAGAGTTAGGTCTAGGTTATTGTCATATCAGGAGTTTCAGAGACATAAGTCAACTGGAAAGATTTAAAAAAGATATATAATAGTTGCATGTATTTTGGGATATATGTGATATTTGGATGCATGCTACAATCTGTAATGATCAAATCAGGGTAATTGGGATGTCTGTCACTTCAATCATTTGTCTTTTCTTTGTTTTGGGAACATTCCAATTCTTCTAGCTGTTTTGAAATATACAATAAAGTACTTTTAACTATAGTCTTTCTAATTAGCAAGACTTTTGGGAAGATGAATATAGTTGAAAGTTACCTACTTATGTTCTTTAAAAAGAAATATTAATGATAATGATTCTACTATGATAATAATCTTTTTCTATTGTAATTGTAAGCTCAAAAGTTACACCGGGGTTTGTGACTGAGTTACTGTGTTATAACTAGTGGGGTTGGGACAATTAGGATAACACAGTTTTTGAAAGTGGCCCGAACATATAGTTTGTTAAAAACCAGGGATACGCTTATGGGTTTTTAAGAATCAAGAATGCTGTTATAGTAGCTAGATTTGGGATTCATCTATTCATTCATTCATCCTTTTATTCTTTTTTTTTTTTTTTTGAGACAGAGTTTCACTCTTGTTGCCCAGACTGGAGTGCAATGGCACTATCTCAGCTCACCGCAACCTCTGCCTCCCAGGTTCAAGCAATTCTTGCGCCTCAGCCTCCCGAGTAGCTGGGATTAAAACCATGTACCGCCACACCCAGCTAATTTTGTATTTTTAGTGGAGATGGGGTTTCTCCATGTTAGTCAGGCTGGTCTCGAACTCCCGACCTCAGGTGATCCACCCGCCTCGGCCTCCCAAAGTGCTGGGATTACAGGCATGAGCCATTGCTCATGTTAAGATGTTAAAGCCATCCTTTAACATCTGCATATGGGTCCAGCACTGCTTCTGGGCCCTGGGGCAACAGCAGCGACCTGACAACACTGAGGGAGTGGTTGTGTAGATGTCTGGGAGGGGTATATTCCATAATGGGAACAGCAGGTGCAAACATTCTATGGAAGGGGACTGAGTGGTATGTTCAAGTAAAGCGAGGACAGCAGAAGGACTGGGCTGAAGTTCCTCATGGAGAGGACAATGAGAGGTGATGTCAGAGGAGAAACAGGAGTACTGCAGGGTGTGTAGGCTCATTAGGCCGGTATCATGGCTGTGGCTTTTACCCTGAATGAGATAAAACCATTTATAGGATTTTGAGGTGAGGAGTGACATGATCTTACTTACCTTTTTGAAGGATCATCCCAGCAGCTGTTTAGAAAATAGACCGACAAGGGGCTAGGACAGAAGCAGGGAGCCTCATTGAGAGGCTGCTGCAGTTCTCCAGGGAGGACACACAGTGGTTTGGACTCCAGTGGTAGACATGGAGGTGGGGAGAAGTGGTTAGATTCCCTGGGTCTGCTTCAAAGGTAGTGCCAACAGGATCTGGCGATGGTTTAGATGTAGGGTAAAAGAGAATGAAAATCTTCAAATCACAGACTCCCATTCCACTACCTTAAATACCTTAATCTCTCATTTTAATATCAACCAGAACAACACAAACTTTTACACGCACCTGCACTGTACTTTAAAAATTTAAAAGCTTTTATTTACTTTGTTCTTGTTGCACTTATGTAGTACATACTAGTTCATCTTTCAGATGAAATAACAGTGGCCTAGTGACATTAAATACTCTGACTAAGCGTATGCAGCCAGTCATTGGCAGAGCAGACACTTAAACTTGTGTTTCTACAGAATTGATGTCATAAAGATAATCCTCCTTATTAAGTGCTGAGACCATACCTTCTGAGGTTCCAGCATGTCAGTGACCCAGACAGTCCGTTGATGAGCAGAGTCAATGTGACACATTCCTAATACTGTTAGATGCTACTGCTGTATGTTAGTATGGATTATAGTTTGTATATGAACATGGAGGTTCTGGCCTACAGTGAAGTACATTTGACTGTGTACTTGGTGTTATTTTTTTCTGGTAACTAGCAATTAATGTACTCAGTTTTGGCCACTTCACTCTCATCCAGTGATTCTTAGGTGTCCCATTGGCAATTATTTGTGGTTCAGGGATGTTTCCTGAGTTACTAAGATAGGAGCAAGCCTAATTAGCCAAGCCAACAACTATAACTCTGACAGTAACTCCTGATAGATTGCTGACCACTTGACTCACCTATCACAGTTGCCATCTTTTTATGAATGTGGACAAAAACCGGCATAATTTTAGCATATCAGGTTGGTAGTTGAGAAAGCCAACTGGCACTCCAATTGGTCTGATAGGTGGATTCAAGGCTAAAGTGCAAGTTGAACTATCTATTAATGGAAAAAAATATAAATAGAAAAAAAAACTCTACCAATTTTGTTCATCAGAGGTAATAATGTCTAAACACCCTAACCTCAAAATCATTAGTCCTGAATATCTCAATCAATATGAATCTCTCAGAAATCAATTTGCTGCTACAAATATGATTGTTTAGTAATTCACAAGTTATGGGCCTTCAGGCTAGAAGAGATTAGCGTAGCTGAAGGAAAAGAGATAATCTTCACCTCAGATAAGATTTCAATTAAAAGAAGACAATGTCTACCAAATACAGTTTAGTGTTTGACGTGTCACTCTTTTATGTGTGTGTGTTTTGAGCTGTATGTCCTACTGGGGAGAAATCAATTTAGTTCAGTCTCATTGTTCGTTTTCAGATCAGAGCTATTTAGCTGTTTTCCTGAAGCATCATAAATATTTTATTAAAATAAACCATTGCAAATTTCGGTTTTACTTACTAGATTAAAACCAATAATTTTAAATAGCTAATGACTGGTGCCAAATCACAGAGACATTTTTCTCTGCAGTATTGAGGAGAAATAACAGATGAATCTTTTGAGGCATTTTGGTAACTGTTTCATGGCTTTTCTGTTTTATATCAGAGAGGGGAATATTGTTTTACGAATTTTGCCTTTGGAATGGCCCGTGCCCAATGTCATCAGTTTGGATGACACGCATTTCCAATACGTGTACTTCTTTCTAACACGTTGCTTTCGTAATAAATCTGTTCACTGTAAAGATATTGCTAAGTCTGGCTTCATGAGTGCTCTCCCTCCATTCTGCAGTTATGCAATGTGGACATTCCAATTACTAATGATTCTTATAGATCTCACTTTGATTCTCTTCATTGTCTATTCTTCATCAAGAGTTCTCTGGCCTAAGAATCTCTTTAAACTGTTGTAAGGAGAGAACATATTTTTTTTTCTCAAACAGTATTTTCTGCAGTCAGTGGCTGAAATGTTCTTCTACACTATTTTATAATGGAGCAGATAACTATTGGAATGAGGGTTTCCAGGGTCACTGCTATACACCCAAGAGAATGTCCTGTCACCTGAATGACTTGGTTCTGCCCCCACCCTGGGCCACACCCCCATGTAGGGCTGGGTGACCTTTCTGTCTATTTGCATAATCTTCCTTCCTTGGATTTATTCTCTGTGCCTGGGTCAAAAAAAGGGGCTCATTAATAAACATTTATTGAGCACCAACAGGGTATTATGTTCCAGATATATTCCCTTCCCTGTAGGTTTGGAATCCACAATTTTGGCTCCCAGCAGTCACCTCTGCCCTGATTTTGAGAAGAGTAAGGTATCTAAGCAATTGAAAGGACATTCAAATATTTGTGAACTTCAAAGGGGGATAGTCCTTCATCTAAAATGTCCTTTTAGATGGTCAAAACTTCTAAATATTCTACTTGTCTAGCAAAGCACAGTGAACTGTGAGTTTCTGGGATGCAGATAAACCATGATTAGGTTAAAAATATTAACACTCATAGATAATAATTAGGTTCTCAAGTTAAAAACATCTGTTCTGTTAGGTGTGAGGACCAGAGAGAAAAAAAGAACCACATAAAAATTGAAGAACCTTGTCAAGGTCATTGGCATCTAATTTTTAAAGTTATCTGAGCTAGGTAGCCATTGTGCTAAAAATTCCGTCAGGAGGCAAAGTTGAAGAAGACACTATGTTTTTAGAATGTGTGAAGCTTTTTACTGAAGCATGATACATAATTGAAAATGCCTTTAGCAAATTCCTGCTTTAATGGGAAAATACTTTGTCATGCAGTTTTTCAATTAGTATTCACTAATTCAAATTGGTTTATCATTTACCCAACTGCACATTAGATTTTTAGTGATGCATTTTCTCATTTTATTTGTGGATTTTCCAGTTGATAGTAAAACTCTGGTGGCTTCAGTAATGTTTCCATGGGTGATTCTTAGCATTTTTCTGTCTAATATAGTAGCCCACTTGAACTTGACTCTGGTGAAAAGCTATGGGGTTGTAGCTGTTTGAATTAGAATCTGGGATGGGAGGAAGGGAGAAATTTGAATTTGAAATAAAGAAGGTGATGATTCTTTCATGTGCCATTGTCTCTTCCCCTCAGATTCAAGAGAATTCACACCTCAGTTATGAAAGGCATCTTCCATCACAAATTTAACATTCTTGCTTGAAAACATCACAAATTTAACATTCTTGCTTGAAAATTTCAGCTGGGCACCGTGGCTCATGCCTGTAATCCCAGCACTTTGAGAGTGCTGAGGTGGGCGGATCACCTGAGGTCAGGAGTTTGAGACCAGTCTGACCAACATGGAGAAACCCTGTCTCTACTAAAAATACAAAATTAGCCGGGCATGGTGGTGCATGCCTGTAATCCCAGCTACTCAGAAGGCTGAGGCAGGAGAGTTGCTTGAACCAGGGAGGCGGAGGTTGCGGTGAGCTGAGATAGCGCCATTGCACTCTAGCCTGGGCAACAAAAGCGAAACTCCGTCTCAAAAAAGGAAAGAAAATTTCTATAGAAGGGCCAATAGTCCAAAATGTGGTTCCTAAAACATCAGTCAGTCAATCACTTAAGTATTTACTAAGTACTGAAGGTAAACTTATAATTATGTTAGATCATGGGTTGTGGTCAGTGGAAACATAAAATAGGTTTACCTATTTTTTATGTTTTTTTCTATGTTTTTTTTCAATTTGGATGAGGAAAAACTTAATCAAAAATAAGTTCCTTGAACACCATAAGGGTCAGAAAATTTCAACATTCATTCATTCGTTTAGTCATTCATTCATCGAATACTTAAAGAATATCTCTCCTCAAGTGGGTTACTAATATCAGATTTTCTATGTTTACATTTATTCTCCTCACTGGAAGGTGAGCTTCATGACAGTAGAAAATGTTAGGCCACTGCCATATCCTCAGAGATTAGAATAACAACTAACACATAGTAAACACACCATATATATTTGTTAAGTAAATGCATGAGTGAATGAATGAATGATTAAATATGTGCTTAAGAAAGATTTCCCAAAGTAAGAATACTCAGACCTGAGATTTCTAAAGGAGTTAGTCTAGAAAGAGTGGAAGCAAAGAAGAAAATTCCTTGCAGAAGAGTAGTAAACTATTTACATTAGCACCCCAAAAAGTAAAACACTTGAGTATAAATCTAAGAAAATATGTACAAGAGCTGTACAAAGAAAACTACAAAACTCTAGTTAAAGGATAACTAAATAAATGGAGATATTCCATGTTCATGGATAGGAAGACTCAATATTGCCAAATGTCAGCTCTTGCCAACTTGACCTATAGATTCAATGCAATTCCAATCAAAATTTCAGCAAGTTAGTCTGTGGATATCAACCCATGGATTCTTAAATTTATAGAGACAAAAAAAAAAAAAGACCCATACTAGTCAACACAAGAATGAAAGAGAATAATATGAGAGAACTGATACTACTTTAAAGCTACAGTAATCAAGACAGTGTGGTATTGGCAAAATAATAGGCAAGTAGATTAATGTAACAGAATAGAGAGCTCAAAACTAGACCACATAAACACAGTCAGTTAATCTTTGACAATGGAGCTGGGGAAATACAATGGGGAAAAAATAGCCTTTTCAACAAATGGTGCTTGAACAACTGGATATCCACATGCAAAAATAAAAGAATGAATCTAGACATAGATCTTACATTCTTCACAAAAATTAACTCAAAATGTGTCATATACCTAAATGTAAAATGTAAAACCATAAAACTTTTAGAAGAGAACATATGAGAAAATGTAAATGACTTTGGGTATGCCAATGACTCTTTAGATACAGCACCAAAGGTACAATTCATGAAATAAATAATTGATTTCATTAAACTTAAAAATTTCTTCCCTGTGAAAGACACTGTCAAGGGAATGAGAAAACAAGCCAAAGACTGGGAGAAAACATTTATAAAAGACATCTTATAAAGGATTGTTATCCAAAATATACAAAGAACTCTTAAAACTCAACAATAAGAAATCAAATAACCCAATTAAAAAATAAGCAAAAGACCAGAGCAGAAAACTTACAAAAGAAGAAATACAAATAGCAAATAAGATAGACAATCAACATCATATGATGTGACTCAGGAATTTCAAATTAAAACAACAATGAAATACCACTGTACACTTATTTGAATGGCCAAAATCCAAGACGCTGACAATACCAAATGCTGATGAGGATGTGAAACTACAGGAACTTTCATTCATTACTGATAGGAATGCAAAATGGTATAGTCACTTTGGTTTAGAAGACAGTTTGGGCAGTTTCTTACAAAACTAAACACACTCTTACTATATGATTCAACAATCATGTTCCTTGGTTTTTACCTAAATAAGCTGAAAACTTGTGCCACACAAAAATATGCACACATATGCTTATAGCAGCTGTATTCATAACTGCCAAAATTTGGAAGCAACCAAATTGTCTTTCAATAGTGCATAGTTAAATAAACCATGGTACATCCAGACAACGGAGTATTATTCACTGCTAAAAAGAAATGAGCTATCAAGTGATGAAAATACATAAAGGAAACTTAAGTGCATGTTACTAAATGAAAGAAGCAAATTTGAAAAGGCTATATAGTATATTATTTAAACTATATGTCTTTCTAGAAAAGGCAGGGTCCTATGGAGACAGTAAAAAAAGATCAGTGGTTGCCAGAGGTTGGGGACTGCAGGGTGAAGAGGTGAGCTGCGGAGGATTTTTAGGGCAGTGAAACTATTTTGTATGATATTATAATAATAGGTACATGTCATTACATTTATCCAAACCTTTATATAACCCCAAGAAGTAACCCTAATGCAAAGTCTGGGCTTTGGGTGGAAATGCTGTGTCAATGTAAGTTCATTAGTTGTAGCAAATGTACCCCTCTGGTGGGGAATATCAATGGGGAGGGGGGGCGATGCTGTGTATGTGGAGGGTAGGTAGGCGATACTTAAGAAGTCCCTGTACCTTCCTCTCAATTTTGCTGTCACACCAAAACTACTCTAAACAGTAAAATTTATTTTCTTAAAAAGAGTAGAAGACAAGGCCAAATGTAAGCTCTTGTTTAGGAAACTCAGGTAGTCCAGTTCAAATGGATGTGTACACAAGGCTGGAGTGCTGAGGGTTGTGGCATGAGATGCAAGTAGGGCCAGCCAGAAACAAATAAGGTGACTAAGAGTGGGATTCCATCCTTTTCGCTTTTGTATGTATAAGTTTTTGTTTCTTAAAAAAGCAGCCACCCTCTGTAGGATGCATGGGTTTTGACAGCTGGAAGGCCATTGGTTTATAGTGGCTTATAATACAGTGGAATTTGCAATGTGGAATTTTAGAGGCACAGGGAAAACTTGGGCTGGTTTTGTTCAGCAGGAATAGACTGAAGTAGACTGAGGTTCCCTGGGACCTCAGAACGATGCTAGGATAAGAAAACAAGAGCCGGAAGTTGAGCACCATGATGAGGGAAGGGCATGGAAGAAAAGGCATGGAAGGAAGGCCATCCTGGGAGATGCCTATATATCTAAATTCCTTACAGGTGAGCCTGCACCCACTGAAGGCATATGTTTTCCTAGTAGTGTGGCTAGTTTCTACCTTCTGGTCTTGTTCTTCTGGTTTCTGTTTACAAGATGATTACTCCTAGAGGTTGAGCCCAAGGGCTTGGGAATAGTGAAGATAAGTAAGTGGACTTGCTGCCAATGGACAACAAATCCTTACTTTGCTCCTAGTATCAGAATTCATACGTATAGACAGCCTGAACAACCATCTGGTGTATCATCTGAAGCAGAATGAATGGATACAAATAATCTTTTGTTGACACGTTATACTCCAACATGATTCTTCCCTTAAGATGAGATTTCTGTGGAAGTGGGCAGATCATTCTGATGAAAGATAAATGCAAGAATGTCCCTAACATTTGCTGGGCTAGGACACGTGTCCAAATGGAGACCCAGGTACCATGAATGTACCTGGCTTATAAATTGTTAAATAAAACATGTTCTATTGTTCTACCTTGACAAATGTACCTTCATGATCCTTTTTACTTAAAATGTGGCCCACATACCAGCAGTGTCAGTATCATTTTGGAGCGCATTAGAAATGCAGACTTTCAGGCCCTACCTCAGATTTACTGAATCAGATCTGCATTGGAACAAGACCCCCAGGTATTTTGTTAGTACATTGAGCTTTGAATGGCAGTGTTCAGAATGAACTGGAAGGCCAAGCTCTAATTTAGAATCCACAGACTTCTTAGAGTAGTGCACCAGACCATGGCAACATGACAAGAACTGTTTCTCAGCCCTCAGCCTCTAATCTGACCCCCTTCCTACTCCCAGCTCTTTCCAATATCTGAGTGCCTTGTGCACACCTGTATGGATGCCCTAGTCTGCACATTCATATCCCTTTAATATAGCTGCCCTTTGGCCTCCCCCCAGGCCTAGGAATGTATCTAATAGACTAGTCAGCCACTGGGAGGATGGAGTCAGACCTGAAGTAGGCCTAGAACCACTTGAGTAGGGAATTCCTAGAAGACGGGCATAGGCTCTAGATGGGCATGTCCCCTCGGCCATACCATGGAGAAGGGTCCAGCCACAGGAGGTCAGGGCCTCTCGTGCCCTGGTTTGTAGTACTGGATAAATGTATTTCTTTCACTGGGGATGAGATGATTGTGGTGATAACATTCAAACTAGAATGCCTTCAATAAGTTGGTAATTAATAGATGAAGCCTTGCATTAAAAAATTCATCTACATCTTGAAAAAATGGAGCTGCTGATAGGCATCCAGGACCATAGAACATCTTAGGGACTGACAGCTTATACTGAAGTCTGAATTTCTTGCCATTCAGGTTGGGATGGTTTGGAGGAAAGATGTGTCCTGAGGGATTTAAGAGATTGACTCTTGACACAATGGAGTCAAGAAGTAGGAAAAAAAAAAAGGCATATGTGTAACTTTTCGGTTGCATAACATTTGACTTGTCCATGATACATTTGACTTGCATTTTCATGGTTAGCCAAAACTAGCTTCCCAAAAGATATTTTGTGCCCTCTTTCAAAATCTGACACTCCATCAATGGAATTTCTTTTAAAAAATGTAATGAAATGTGATTAGTGCAAATGTCTGTGAAATTTATTGAACTATTAAAATCCTATTGGATCTTTGTTTATGAAATGTATTTTTCTGTATTTGAGGTTTAGGGAAGCTTGATAATGAGGCTATGAAGATTCATGGCCTCTTTTCTATGGCTTAATTTAGGCTCTATATCAAATATGTAAAATAACGTTATATCTTCCCACCACCTCTGTGGATCATACATTTTGTTATTATTTCTCTGCCAGAGGTTTTTTTTTTCCTTCTCTTCTCCTTTTATAAAGAACTACTAATAGTAGGAACATTTTTAATATAGAGAGCCATTATCTAGACCAGAAAGAAGAAGTGAGTTTGGGTAATGATTTTTCCTTCCAGGTGTAGCTTTAGCGTTAGGTAGACACATACAGATTCACGCTCAGTGTCAGCTGCCACCCTTACCCCTCTATACACTCATTCCATTTTAGGAAATGCATATTCCATCATATACTGCCATTATCTAAACTCCCCAGAGCCATCATCAGCTTCTGTGAGGCAAATGACTTGCTCAGCAGAGTTGCCCATGGGATAGGGAAGTGGAGATGATCAGGCTATACAGTGTCCTTTGGGGATGGGGGTATGGAGTGGATGATGTTGCTGTCAGCAGACCTGTGACTTAAGGAGGCAGCCAGTGATCTTTAATCTATTTCATTGCAAAGCAGCTAAGGCCATCCTTGATCCCTTCCACATGCAGTTTTTACATCTGTTCTGTGATTTACTTTCTCTTCACCTACGTTTACTTTGTGCCAGTGACTTTGCTTTGCTCTGAGGATAAAGACCAAAATCCTAAGCATTCCCTCAAAGTCTAGTTAACTTGGCCCTACCCACCTCTTGCACCTCATCTCACTCCATATCCTCTATTCTGTGCACCTGTCTTCCTGCCTTCTTTCAGATCCTTGGAATCACCATGCTCCTTTTTGCCACAGGACCTTTGCATCTGCTGTTCTGTCTGCTTAGAAATCTCCAGGTAGTATCTTTGCCTGATTAATTCCTACTCTTTTCTCAGATATCTACTTTGTCTCCTCATCTTTAGGGAATCCTTAGCTGGCTTCTGTCTGTCAGTCAAATCTCTGTTTTGTGTACTTTCAGATCACTTCTTTTCCTAATGTGGCTTTGAGTAATGGCTGACTCTCCCACTAGACCGAGACACTTTGAGGCAGAGACTGTGTCTGCTTTAGCTTCTCCTCTGCCTTCCTTGTACTTTCCATAGAGCCCTGCACAAAGTTGGCCTCTGGTGTCCCTTATGGAAGGCATCAGAGAGCACAACGTGATTTTCCTCTTCTCGGGTTTCCCTAAGGACACCACTGCGTGGCTTAATATTTGGCAAAATGTCATCAAATTATTTTGTATAGATTGGTGGCTCATTTTTAAAAGCTTCATTTTAGGATAATAGAGGAGGATAGACAAGTCTTCATTCAACTTGTACGAGAGGAAGCCATCAAATGCTCTAGAATTACGTGGCTTGACTCTGTTAGATTCCTCAGGACCTCAGGAAACATGGTTTAAGCCTGTCTTTAGAAGACAGAACTATCTAATGAATTGTATTAACTTTGAGCCCAATTATTTTTATCCCGGGTGGCACCAAAAAGTGTCACATACTCTATGATTTTACCTCTAAGCAAGATTGTTTTCATTCTGTCAAGCAGTGGTGGTTTATAACCTCAGAAACCAACTCTGTCGCTTCCCTAGTAATCAGTGTCACAGCCAGGATGCTTGTCCCACTGCGTGATATACATTCCTTTCACTATAATTTCATAGACTCATTTCCTTTTGTTCTTTCCTCAGGGATAATCTGTTTTAATAATTATTCTTTAGGTAGATGAATCACATTTATATAGCGCCTTATAGTGTACAAAGTGCTTTAAGCACATCATCTCATTAAATCTCCAAACAACTCAGTGAGTTGAATATTATTTTCCTGTCCTTTCACAAAACAACCAAGAGAAATTATAGAACTTGTTCAGGGTCATATGGCTTGTAAGTGACACGTATGGGTCTCTAACCCAGGTATGTGGATTTCCACATTTTCACAATATCAGGAGCCATTCTCTGCACACAGGAACTGATATTCTACCTGGTTCTTTTTTAGACTTCCCGTCTTGTCATATTAATTGTATATACGTTCTCAGTTGCTATTTTCTACACCTATGTTCATGTTCACTGTTTTTTCTGAGCTCTAAGTTTTCTCTGCATAATATATTGGTTATGTAGTCCTGAAATACAGTGTCTTTTTAGAAAGCTTTAAAGTGATTAGATTTCAATGGTTCCTATACAGTGCACTTCTGTTCATACATTCTGGTAGCGTGCTGGCTTTGTTTTTTAGCAACAAGATTTGTTAGCCTAGCAGTGAATTTTATAATTTAACAATAAGAAAGAAAAGAAAAAAGAGAAAAGAAAAGAAAAAAGAAAAAAAAGATTCCTACTTGTGGAAACACACCATCTAATGGATGAGACAACAGATGCAGGACTTTACAGATTAAATTTGTAGCCTGAAATGTTCATTTACACCTCTGTCTCTGCCATGCTTTCAAGTGGGAACACGTTTTTAAACATTCACAGACAAGGGAATTTTAGGCACTTAGCTACACTAAGCCCTGTCTTCTTGGAATGAAGACAGAGAAGAAAGCAGAAAAACTCAAAGACTTGACCAGAGATTCCTAGTTGGGAGGAAATAACCAGGTCACCAATATTCAGTAGTACTTAGGCAATGCCAGGGTCTCACACTGAGGTTACCAGCTTGCCAGCCATCTGTAGTAAGGGAGCTACTCTCAGATTCTCCCAAACCACTTTCTTTCTCTCGCTAGTTCTTTTGATTCTTTTGTGTTTATTCCATAGTTTCGAATAAGAACAAAGCTTAAAAACTGGACTTTCTATTTGCAGTTAAAAAAATAGCAGAAAGCACTGACAATTTTTCTTTCTTTATGGCTGTAACAATTATGTCATGTGTGACTATAGGGTTAGAAGTATCAGATAATTTCTTAGGTAAAATAATTGCAATAATGATCCTGTAACAAGAATCATAGTGGGAAATTCCTTTAAAGTGAATAATCTGTGGTAAAGATTATGTCACAATTTATTTTGTGTGCGTATATGTGTGTGTTTTTCTCTTTTAGCCAAATGGTTTTCAATAGCAATTACTGAAGTGTCAATGACCTTCTCGTTCAATTGAATTAAAAAACTTAAATGAAGTTTTACTAGTATCAATCTTTGCTGTCATGCAGGTAATTGAGAACATGATATATGTTACAACAATGCCACCTATAGTTAGTAGCCTTTGTTTAAAGCAAGGTAAAATTTTACATATGCTGCCGTAGAAAACAGCCTAAAATAAAAGGTTGTTAATCAACAGTGTATCAAGTACCAGGTACCCTTCCAAGCTCTAGGAAGAAATAGACAAAAAAAAAAAAAAAATAAGAGTAAATTTCTCAAGTTGTGACTATGTCAGGGAATGTAGGAATATACTTAAAAAAGAAATCCTTAAGAAGAGGTAGTTTATGTTCTAAATATCTTCTAATAGTTTGTGGTTTCTTTTATTTTCTTTATGGTATCCTTTGATAAAAATAATTTCATATCCAGATAGACTTTATCATTTTTTTATGGTTGGTAATTTTTGCACTGGCAAAATAATTTTCTTTTTGCTGACTGAGAGGTCATAAAGATATTCTGTTATATTGTCTTCTTAAAGTTGTAGAGGTTTGCTTTTCACATTTAGTCCAGCTGGAATTTGTTTTGTGTGGTATAAGGTAGGGTTTCTTTAACGTTTAATCAGTTATCTCAGCACAATTTACAGAATAGTTCATCTTGTTCCCATGGATCTGCAATTTACTTTGTTAGATTCCAAGTTACCATCTGGCAACGTCTTTTTTGTAAACTCTCTATTTGGTCCCATTGATCACTTTGTCTCTTCCTCCTTGTATAAATATCATATTGTCTTACAGTAGCTTTGTAATATGTTTTGATGTCTGATGAAAGAAGCTTGCAAAAGGATGAGCAAACAAATTTGGTATGTTCCTACAAGGAATACAGTAGAGCATTAAAATCAATGAACCACCACAGCTATGTGCATTTACATGAAGGAACTGGGCCAGGCCTGGTGATTTATGCCTGTAATTCCAGCACTTTGGGAGGACTAGGTGGGAGGACTGCTTGAAGCCAGGAGTTCAAGACCTGCCTGGGTAACACAGTGAGACCCTGTCTCTACAAAATTATATTTTTAAAAATTAGCCAGGCATGGTGGCATGCACCTATAGTCCCAGCTACTCAGGAGATTAAGGCAGGAGGATAACTTGGGCTCAAGAGTTCAAGGCTGCAGCTAGCCATGATTATACCACTGCACTCCAGCCTGGACAACAAGTGAGACTCTGTCTCCACAAACAAACAAACAAACAAACACATGGAGGAGTCATAAAAGCGTAGTATTGAATGAGAAAACAAAAAACAACCAGAGAGGACTATAGATAGTATGATACCATCTTGAAAAATCCCATAGAAATAATCTAAACAATACCTCATTTAGGGACACATTCATGTAATCAAATTTCTAATTAAAACAAAGGAATGATATGCACACAATTTGAGGTGGTGTTTACTTCTGGTGAGGAATGCAGCTGAATGGAATTGAGGAAGGGTCCACAGGTAGCTTTGATAGTTTGGCAATGCTCATTATTTAAGCTGGTTGGTAGATCCATGAGAGTTTATTCTGTTATTATGTTTCATAACCTACATATATGATATACATGTAGTCGCTAATGATTACAAAAAGAAAATTCAAACACCATAAAATATGTACATAATGATAATGTTATAAAAGCATTGGAAGGGACTAGATTTTTTTTTACATTACAGACTTTATTCTTCAATGTTCTATTTGTAATTCAAATTAAATGTACATACACACACATATAATATTTAGGCAAAGTGATACAATATAATACAGTTTAAATACTGACTCTGGAACCGACCAGCTGTATGAATTTAACAAGTTACTTAAACACCCTAAGCCTCAATGTTCTTATCTGTAAAGTGGGAATAGTTCCTCCTGGAATTCTTGTGAGGTTTAACAGTTTCTCAGTAAGTGCTCAGTATAGGTTAGTTTATCTGTCTGTTTTATTATTACTTAAAAAATTCTCTATACATGTATATGTACAGATGTATGTATACATGCAGATGCATATATAAAATATATAATTTTTCACTTTGTTCTATGAAGTCTATTTGATTCACGTGCTCACTCAGTCTCAGTTTTTAAAAACTCTTTTAAAAATATTTATTTATTTATTTATTTTAGAGACAGGGTCTTGCTTTGTCACCCAGGCTGGAGTGCAGTGCCACAATCAGAGCTTACTCCTGCCTTGAACTCCTGGGCTTCAGGGATCCTGCTGCCTCGGCCCTCCAAGCAGCTGAGACTACAGGTGTGTACCACTGCATCCAGCTAATTTTTTTTTTTTAAGATAGGGTCCTGCCATGCTGCCCAGGATGGTCTCAAATTCGTGGGCTCAAGTGATCTTCCTGACTTGGCTTCCCAAAGTGCTGGGATTTCAGGCACGAGTGAACATTCCTGGCCTCATTTCTTAAAAATCAAATTGATTTGGTACAGTGTTTGGGAGCACAGTTTTAGGTGTTTTTTTTTCTTTTAAATAGATATATCTGCCGCTTTTAAAATATAGTTAAAGACTAAAATGTTATGACTTTAAGTTGGTAAAGAGTTCAAATATATATTCCTCTCAACACTTCTGGAGCATTAAAAACTTGTTCTAGGATCTGGGAATCAGTAGTGAGCAAAAGTTGTGGAATGAATGGTCAAAATTCCTTGTCCTCATAGAGCTTATATTTTGGTAGAATGAGATAAACTATAAATAATAGGAAGGAGAGAAGGAGGGAAGGAAGGAAAGAAGGAAGATAAAAGTGCAAAAGGGAGGGAAAGAGAGAGGGACGAAGGAACTAAAAATAAGTGTAAAAATAATCACGTCTTCATGGGTAAGTGTTACGGGAAAAATAAAACTGGATAAAGGGAATAGGGAATGCTGGAGATCTGGTTGCTATTTTGTGCAGAATATTCCAGAAGGTACTAAAGGAAGTGAGAAAACAGGCAGGTGGATCTCTGGGACAAGAAAATCCCTGCAGAGGGAACAGGAGCTCTGAGAGGTCTGGTGATTGGTTGCTCAAGGACACCAGGATAATGAAGAGTCTAAGCAGATGGAGCAGTACTAGGAGATGAGATCATAATGTTACCCGAGCGGCAGATCGTGTTGTGCTTTAGTGGATGCTGTAAATATTTTTGGCTCTTAGTGAGTGATCTGAAATGCTATTGGATTGCTCTGAGCAGAGAAGTGTTAAGAACTAACATATTTTTAAAAGATCGCTTTTTAAAAATGGGCAAAAGACTTGAACAAACACCTCACAGAAGAAGATATACAAATGGTCACTAAGCATATGGAAATATATTCACAATCATCATCAGAGAAAGACCACAGTGAGATGCCATTGTATACCCATTAATATGGCCAAAATTAAAACGAACAATATCAACACGAACCCACTGACAAATGCTTACAAGTATGTAGCGTAATCTGAACTTTTATCCATTGCTAGTGAGTGTGAAAATAACACAACACTTTGAAAAATAGGCAGTTTTTATCAAACTAAAGATTTTTACCTATGACCCAGCAATTCTACTCTCAGGTGTTTACTCAAGAACAACAAAAGGATAAGTCCACAAAAAAGCTTTGTGCAGTGTTTGTAGCATCTTTATTCATATAGCTAAAATGTGTGAAACAACCCCAAATGTCCATCAACAAATAATGAATTAATTAGGGGATATTTATACAATGGAATACTACTCATCAATAAAATGATATAACTATTAATACTCTCAATAACAGATGAATCTCATAAATGTTATGCTGTGGTAAAGGAAGCCAGGGACACATGGTGGTGCGTACTATACGTTTCCATTCATGTGACCTTCTGAAACAAGCAAAACTAAACTTTCATAGCAGGAATCAGAACATTGGTTTCCTCTGGGAGGCGATTGAGTGGACAGGATCATAAGGGAAACTTTTGGGGATGATAGGAATGTCCTGTAACTTGGTGGAGATGGTTTTACAATAGTCAAAACTCATCAAACTTTACTCCTAAAATCTGTGTGTCTTATCGTAGGCAATAATTAGTTATTTAATGGATAATTTAATACTTAGACTTTCAAAAAAGAAAAGCATGTCACTGTGGCTTGCCTATAGAGAATAGACTGAAGAGGCCGAGGGTGGAGACAGGGAAACCAGTCGGGATGCTGTTGCCCTGGTCCAGGAGGGAGATGCTGGTGCTGTGGATAGAGGTGGTAAGGATGAAGTGAGGGGAACTGGTCAGCTCTGGATATCTTTTGAAGGAAAAGTCAAATGGATTGCATGGATGGTGTTAGAGAAAGAAAGAGTTGAGGATGTTTCTGAAGTTTTGGGGCTGTGCAACCACAAGACGTAAAATATTGGGGAAGGATAGATTTGCTTAAAGAATGAGAGTAATGTGGATTCATTTTTGGAAATGTTAATTTTGAGATGCATATTAGACAAATATGCATATTCGATCCAAATAAATGTGCTGAGTAGGAAGATAGATAAATGAGTCTGGTGTTCACAGGAGACATCTTGGCTAAGGTTATAAATGTGGGATTTGTAAGTACATATATGGTATTCAAAACTATAGAGACTAGCTGTGACCACCTAGGGAGAGTGTAGAAAGATAAAAGAAGAGATCCAAGGACTTGGCTTCTTTAACATTTAGAGGACTGGGAGGTGAGCAACAATCAACAGAGAGTAGATAAAAGAAGCAACCAGTGAGGAGGAAAGTAAAAAGAAAGTGATATTCCTAATGTTCAGCAAAGAAGTATAAGAATCTAACCAAGTCCTTTTCACATTTAAATTCTTTGGAATCACTTTTATCCACCAGTCAATATTTTTAATATCACAGTGATATGATGCTTTTCATAACCTGCCTTTAATAACTTTAAGATTGAAAGTATAATTTCAAGACTTGCAGAATATTAAGATTTCATCTCATTTTTGTTCTATTTTGTGGTTTTTCCTATTTGGTTAACCTTTTGGTTTTGTTTATTCCTTGATTGAAAGCTTTTGATAGATAAATATTGGTACGCAAGTGACATAGGAATTGTTCATGCGAACCTCTGTTAGCTTTCAAGATTTTATTGTTTTTTCTGAAAGACTTGGCTATTTCTATTCTCTCTAACTGCACTGCCAGGCATGTGATAGGATAGCTCCTTCGTACACAATGACATTATACCTAGTGCATCACCACAAGACAATCTTTTTTGAAGGCATTTTAAGAGATTCAAATTTAAGTTAAAACAAATTCCATAATATGGAACCACAAAAGACTTCAAATAGCCAGAGAAATACTAAAAGGAACAAAGCTGGAGGCATCACACTACCTGACTTCAAAATATACTACAAAGCGATAGTGATCAAAACAGCATGGTACTGGTATAAAAACTGACACATAGACCGATGGAACAGAGTAGATAACTCAGAAATAAATCCACATATTTATAGGCAATTGATTTCCCACAAAGGTGCCAATAACATTCATTGAGGTGTTGTTAGAGAAAGAAAGAGTTTAGGATGTTTCTGAAGTTCTGGGGCTGTGCAACCACAAGATGTAAACTACTGGAGAAGGATAGATGGTGTTGGGGAAAGTGGATATCTATATGCAGAAGATTGAAACTGTATCCCTATCCCTCGCCACATACAAAAATAAACTTAAAATGGATTAAAGACTTAACTGGAAGACCTGAAACTATAAACTACTAGAAAAAAACATACAGGAAACTCTTCAGGACATTGGTCTAGGAAAAGATTTTGTATGTAAGACTGTAAAAACACAGACAGCAACCAAAAAGTAGATATTAAACTGAAGAAACTTCTGCACAGCAAAGGAAACAATTTATGAAGTCAAAAGACAACCTGTAAATGGGAGAAAATATTTGCAAACTGACACAGACTAGCTGTGACAAGGGACCAATATCCAGAATACACAAGAAACACAACAGCAAAAACAAAGCAAAACAAATAATTCAATTAGAAATGGGCAAAGGATCTCAATAGAGATTTCTTAAAAGAAGATGTACAAATAGCCAATAAGTATTTGAAAAAATGTTCAACATCACTAGTCATCAGGGAATTGCAAAAATCAAAACCATAACGAGATATCATTTCGCTTCATTTAGAATGGCTATTACCAAAAAGACAAAAAAGAACAAATGCTGGTGAGGATGCAGAGAAAAGGGAAGTCTTATACACTGCTGGTGGGAATGTAAATTAACACAGCCACTATGGTGAACAGCATGGAGGGTTTTTTAAAAAAACCTAAAAATAGAACTACTGTGTGATCCAGCAATCCCACTACTGTGTATTTATCCAATAGAAAGGAAATCAGCATATCAAAGAGATATCTACACTCTTATGTTTATTGCAACACTATTCACAATTGCCAAGATATGGAATCATCCTAAATGACCATTAAGGAATTAATGAATAAAGAAAGTGTGGTATATCAACACAATGGAATACCATCCAGCCATAAAAAAAAATGAGATTTTTGTCATTCACAGCAATGTGGATGAACCTGAAGGACATTATATCAAGTGAAATAAATCAGGCAAAGAAAAGAAATACCCTGGATGTTCTTACACATGGGAGATTAAAAGTATTGAGTTCATAGAAAGAGAGTATAATTATGGTTATAAGAGGCTGGGAGGGGTAGGTGTGAGGGAAGGATGGGAGAGGTTGGTTAACAGATACGAAATGACAGCTAGATAGAATAAGTTCTAGTGTTCTATAGCACTGTAGGTTAGATATCATTAATAATAATTTAGTGTATATGTTCAAAAAATCTAGAAGAGAAATTTTGAATGTTCCCAATGCAAAGAAGTGATAAATGGTTATGATGATGGATATTCTAATTACCCTGATTTGATCATTACATATTATGTACATGTATCGAAATACCACTCTATACCGCATAAATATGTACAATTATTACATGTCAACTAAAAGTAAAGGGAACAGAAACCCAACTCCATATGCTGTTGCCAATGCAAATAGTACCAATGAAGTGACAATCAGATGAACAGCTAAGTTCACACATGCTCAGGCAGGATCACTACTGAGATGTCACAACTTACTCCTCTGCCTGTCAGCTGGCAAGT
This sequence comes from Homo sapiens, assembly GCF_000001405.40. Classification (NCBI taxonomy): domain Eukaryota; kingdom Metazoa; phylum Chordata; class Mammalia; order Primates; family Hominidae; genus Homo; species Homo sapiens. Next base: position 216,954,756 of record NC_000001.11, on the reverse strand, counting down.
GTCTTAATTGAAGAAACATAGCGTATATATTAACGTGAACCATACTGCTTTATATGTGATAGCCTTGATATTCTGAGGCATACATTATACATACATTTAGAACCTGATTAGGTAATCAGAATATTGTTCAACTGGTGGAATGCTCAAGGCATGATCTTTGACTCATTTTATATAAGGTCTTCTTATTTACATATGCCTAAATCAAGTAATTAGGAGCCTTTAGTGCGTTATATTGAAAATTGCATAATGCACTCTGCTCTTGTTTCCCTAGAAGAGGCCAAGATTCATCATGTTAAATTAAGCAGCAAGAAGTAGGAATAATGATGGAATTTCCAGGATATAGAATGAAGCAAACTGAACTTGGTTTTGATGGCCCCAATGCAGGGACAGGGAGTTCTTGAGTATCTTTACAGAGCTTTCCTGAAAATGGCCATCCAAGAGGTGTGAAGACTTCTTCAGTGGAGAGGGGCTGTGTTGAAGTTTTTATTTTTTTTAATATGTTGAGTTATTACTTATAGCATTTTTTTATCCATGGAGTAGTGCAATTAAAAAAATACTGATTGCACTCATATTAACAAGTCCATTATCTCATAATCTAAAAAATACGTTCAGAGATGAGATATGATGTAACTTGGCTCATAAGCTAAAGAACCAAGATGACAATTAAGTGATGTTTTAGAGATATTTATCTTCTCTTTAACAATTGAAAAATAGGAAGGAGCATGGAATCTATAGAAAATCTAAAGTAATGATAGTAATATAAAGTGTCTGGGCCATTTTTGATTTTGCATAGGTTTTTTAATGTTTTCCTTCTTACTAGTCTTATGTTTTTTTCATTGCCCCCCAAATTGATATATCATTAATGATAAACCATATGATTGTTTTAATAGTTATAATTATATCTGTTATATTATTTCTTTAAGCATTTTGAAATAAGACACAAAAGAATACTTGAGCTATATTTTATATAATTTCCAAATAATTTTAGCATTCTTCCTCTTTGCAAGTAGAACCTTTGCCTGTACAGCTCTGTGATTTATGATGACATCACGTCCTTTCAGAGATAACACTATTATGTCACTGAACCTGAAGTGGTGAGGTCAGAAGTACATGTGAAGTAATTATGGGCCTGAACTGAAGACCATGCCTCAGTTCAAAGGAAAGCAAGCAGGGCCAAGAGGGAGGATGAAGGTATCGGGGATAGGGAACAGAAAAGAAGACAACAAATCTCTGAAATATGGTCATTGGCATGAGCAGAGATTTTACCCTCAGTATTTTCATAGTATGCTTAGGAAAATGAAAAAAAATAATGATGGGAAAAAAAGCCTGTGAGCCTTTAAAACTTTGCTCTATTGCATTACTAAGAAAGGCTTTGGAAAACAGGGGGGTTACATAAATGAGAGCAGGTGCGGTCGTGCAGAGGTAACTATTCAGCATATGTAAGTGCAGTTGGAAAATCATTGTCTTGCAGAGAATACTCGAAATTGGTCCCTAATGGCCTTGGTTTTTGTCATATGGTCTTGATTATAAGGCTAAAATTGCATTGCCATGCCTTTAGTGTGAACGAGATGGATGGATAATTATTACGTGTGCTGAATACCTTTCTGCATGGAGGAACTAGGCCATCCCCTGGTCATTGTAGCTACCATTTCGACTGGCTGTCAGAAAAGCTCGAAGCAGCCAATTCATCACCATATTTATGTGGGGGAGAAATGGAAATGTGCCTCTGTGGTTTGGTGTGCATACTCCCACATACATATACATATGCAGATTGTAGACATGCTGAAGTGGCCCAATGTGAGTGATTGTGAGGCAATGTTCAAAGAAGCAGTTGAATTCGTGGAAGTGAGGGGTACAAAAATGAAACAGCGAGCTCTGTAGAAAATTGATGACTCTTGGTGGTGTCCATGTGCTAGTAGCTGACAGTAAAACAGTGCCAGGAAAGATCTGGGGGCTCAGTTGGAAATGTTGCAAGAAGTTTAAAATTATTGACAATAGGAGCTGTTTCTGGAAGACTGATGATTCTAGACATACTAAGAAAAAATAACCCTTTTCTTTGTTATGCATGTATTTTTAACCAATTTTGCTATCTTGCATGACTCTCAGGATCCTCTCAGAAGGTGGATATAATGACAGTGACAAAAATTCCAGCAGCTATTTTTGCCAAGAATAAATTTTGTGTCTGTTTCATAGTTGCTACTACCATCTTTACTGGTTAGGTTGCCACAGGAGGATGCCATGGGGGAATAATAACAAACCTAGTGCTCTGTCATATCTGAATGGGTAAGATTCAGGAATGCAATAAGATCCCTGACCATGACCACACAACTCATTCATCATGGGAATATTTATTAGGGATCCTGTCCTTGTAAGGCTGTGGCTTCCCGTTTCCACGCTGCCCTTTGCAAAATATGGGCAATTAGCTATGAGGGCCACTATCTCTTCTACACTAAGCCTTGAACTTTGGGGCCAGCACTGAGGGGAGAAAACAAATCACCCTTTCCTGAAGAGGTTGTAGAAAGTCTAATGTGAGAGCAGTCACAGGTTTGAGAGGACAGTGTTCTGAGCCCCAAATCAGCATTTGAAAGTTTTCGGGTTGTGGTATATAATTTGCCACTCAAAGACCAGTGGGGGTGTTGGCAAGGTGTGGGGCAGAGATCGTTTACACAAGTTGATTGATCAGATGTGGCCATCACTCTAGCTGTTCTACTGATGATATTTAGATTGTTTGGATGCAGGTTGTGTATTTATGGTAAGAAGTGGCCAAAACATTAAGGAATTCAGGATGTGTGTTTCTTTGTTAATTAAAGAAAGAGTAGGAAATAGAAGTGCAGAACCTTTATGTATATATTATATATATATATATGCAAACATATGTATATATAGTATGTGTATATGTCTGTGTGTGTGTTTTCTTATGCAAAATACTTAACAAGAGTCAGAATTCTGTAACAATTATTTAAGCATATTTAATGCAAGCTTTTATTTTTTGCTGTATACACACACACACACACACACACACACACACACACACACACATAGTGATAGTTCCATTATACCCATTATTATGCTATATAGTAGTTAAATCTGGGATTCTAGGGCAATGAAACATGAGGGTTACACTATTTTGGTGCTGTTTTTAGTTTTCATTTCTACTGGAAAGTGCTAAATTAGTAGCATTTTGTGATTCCTGATTTAGCTCTTTTAATAAGAAGCGGAAGCTAAAAACAGCCCAACCAAGCAGTTGAAGTCTTATCACAAGCCCGTAAGATCAATAAGCTAAAAAAAGTATGAAAGTTTTTGAGTGACAGCTTAAAAATGGAAAATTTAAATATATATCACTGCCTTCTGCTCCATTGTGTAATGCATAAAGCCCATTTTGGCAGTACATTTTTAAGCAGTCAAGAAAGTGATTTATTAGTATCACTGCATTTGTGTTTATGTTCCATGCTATAAACTATGCTTATAGCAATATGTCTGTATTAAGGCATTAATACTAGGAGCGCTACCTAAGCTTAATGTTACTAATATTGTTCAAAGTATAGTTTATTGGGCTATAAATAGTGACATCAGTATTGACACTTGCTGCATCATCTAAGTCCCTGAATAAGTTGTGTCTGATGCTAAATGAACATGCTGCTGTTGACAGGATATAAAACATAAATAGTGGATACAAGTGATATTTCATGGCTACTGCTGGTCTTTTCCACTCTCTTTTGATCTGCAGAGAAGGAGTTCTGTGTGTGCTGAGACCATCATAGATTTTCCCAGTGTTTGTTAGAGGATTGTAATTAGAAGATATCACATCTCGGTTTTAAACATGCTCATTTCATGTGACCACTAATTTTAAACTAAATTTCACGGTCAGTGTCTCATGCAAGTTCTATATTATGACACCTCTCAATAGGTGGATACTCCATATATTTTTTTAAAAATAAGAGAAATGTGCTTTCAGAACAGGGATACAACTAAGAATACGAATTTCTGAAAGAGTTTTTGAACATCTTCAATAATTGTGTAAAATGGTCTATGTCACAAATAGATAATCATTGCTTATAATAATAGACAAATAAAATATAGGACAGTCAGCAAATCAGGAATTGAGTTTTTGTTTAACCTTTTGCACTCAACCTAGGTCTTTACTTTGATATGAAGCTGGTTGATATTAATTCATTTAACAAGTTTTAATTGAGAGTTCACTACTATATGGTGGATGCTGTTTCCATAGACAAGTATTTTCTAAGCTTGATTTCTTTTGTTGAAAATCAAGGCAGTATTTCAAGTCTTTTGAATTTCACCAGATACACTCTCCTTTACTAAAAGCTATAAACAACGAAAAAACTCTTTCTTAAAAGTTACCTTCAGAATAGGGGGCAAAACAGTCACATAAATCGTGAATTTCCTAATTTATCTAGGTGTTCCTACTTTACATTGTAAAGTCTAATGACATATATTAAGTTTTGAGTTCATTAGAATTGGAAGATAGTCATCTCTAGTAGTTCATTCAACATACGATTATGGAACACCAATTATGGGCCAGAAACCACGTTGCTCTCTAGATAATAGTAAATGAAGCACATTCCTTATCCTGAAGACATAGTCAAATAATACCTCATTTTGCTGAAGTAACTCAAAAGAAGTAAGGGCTGGGTGTGGTGGCTCATGCCTATAATCCCAGCACTTTGGGAGTCCTAGGCAGTTTGATCACCTGAGGTCAGGAGTTCAAGACCAGCCTGGCCAACATGGCGAAACCCCTTCTCAACTAAAAATACAAAAATTAGCCGGGTGTGGTGGCATGTGCCTATAATCCCAGCTACTTGGGAGGCTGAGGCTGGAGAATGGCCTGAGCCCGGGATGTGGAGGTTGCAGTGAGCTGACATGGCACCACTGCACTCCAGCCTGGGTGACAGATCAAGACTGTCTCAGAAAAAAAAAAAAAAAGTTTGGAAAAAGTCAGTTCTTTCCCCTCCCTAAACTAGTAAAAGAGAATAATCAAATGATAATGATGAAACACATTTTTGGTTCGTTTATAATTTCTTGCTCATTTGTTGTAGAAGATGACAGAGACAAGCTCACAGAAATGTCAAGATATTCATGTACTTTCCTTGCCTTTTTCACCTCAAATATTGTAATTTTTTTGAAAGTGATTAGGTGGTGACAGGAAAGAGACCAGTTTAGGTAACACTTATGATCTCAGACGTTAATATCATGGGTGCTAACTATGATGTACATTATTAATCTTGTTAAAAATGAAGAGAAGCAAGCATTGACTGCCTTTCTTTCTGTTGAAAGAAGGTTAAGTACAAAGTGGATAGTGTGCCAGGAGAGGGGTAATGATCTCATCCAGAAAACCAGAAACACATGCTTATCTTTTCAAAGCCATAAAAGTTTGTGACTTGATGAAACCTTTTATTCTCCCTTAAGAAACCTTCAACATTATTTCACTTATTTTGCAGTAAATAAACCTGTGCCTTTGCATGTTTGCAGATAGTGGCCATGTGGTTAATGTAGAGGAAACAAAGAATGAGGGAATCACCAGGAAAGTTTTCTCTCTCCTTTCATCTAAATCCAGAAGGAGGGAGCTGGAGATGGATGTGGCTGGTCAAAACAACCCAGTGGGAGAAGCCAGTTAAAACAGGAAACATAATAAATTCTAGAGCTTCAGCATGGTGAAGGTGTTGGGAAGGCAGAGCGCTCTCTTCTTTCCTAGTTGATTCACTGACAGCATCCAGAACAATGCTGAGCCCAGGGGAGAGGCCTCCTTCTCCCAAAGTATGCTGAGGTCCCATAAACTAGAACTCAAAGTGCTCTAAGCTTATGTTCTTGTTTTGGGGGCCCTAAGTAGATCCTTGAAAAAGTGCACCAAATGGTGTCAGAGTGAAGGCAGGAAATCCAGGGACTTATGAAATCCAGTGGTTTTTCATTAATTCCTCAGTGCCTTATTTCTTAGTGGAAATATTCAGCTTTGGTCTAAAAAACAGCTAAAAACCTTATGCAAAGAGCTTGTAAACAAACACCCACTTGAACCATCTGGTTTTGTAACACATACAAGTGATTAAGCCTCAGAGCTATGATTGTTAAATTTTTGAGAACACAACAATCCCAAATACCCCCAAATAGATTCCTTATACCAGTTTATGGGGGGAGAGGGGGTACATAATACTATATATAGTAGATAATCTGGAAATATTAGCTAATAGTCATTAGCTAATGACTATTACCTAATATTAGCTAATATTAGGTCCCCTGTTTCTTTCTTTCTTTTTTTTTTTTTTTTTTTGAGATGGAGTCTTGCTCTTTTGCCCAGGCTGGAGTGCAGTAGTGCCATCTCGGCTCACTGCAATCTCTGCCTCCCAGGTTCAAGAGATTCTCCTGCCTACACCTCCTGAGCAGCTGGGATTACAGGCGTGCACCACCAGTGATCCACCCGCCTCTGCCTCGCAAAGTGCTGAGATTCCAGGCATGAGCCACCATGCCTGGCCAGGTCCCCTATTTCTTTCTTCCTAATCTTGACCATTCCTCATCTCCAGATTTATCATAGTAGCTGGTGGGAGGAATTGTTGAAAGAAGAGGGGAAAGAGAGTGTTTAGTTACAGCAGTGGTGGTTGGAGTATCAAACAAACTCCCAAATATTTGATGTTCAAACATAATAAAAGTTAATTTTTCCTTCACATAAAGTTTCTAATGGGTATTCCTGATTGGGGTGAGTCTCTTTCAAGTGATGATTTCAAGGCCAAGCTCCTTCTATCTTGTGGCTTTCTGACCTCAATACACAGCATCCACAGTTTCCTGTATCTATCATCTGCAAAAAAGGAGACCATATGGGATATTGTTTGGGGGAGGGTTTTATGGACCAAGTATGGGGAGGCTCCTGTCACTTCTGCTCTCTTTCCATGGAGGAAAACTCATCTCATGACCTTATATAAGCTTAAGAGTGGCTGGAATATGGTTAGCTGTGTGTCAAGGAGCAAGAGGAACTGCTGGTTAGTTTCCATGGCTAAAGGAAAGGAGGAGAAAAAGATGGGTGTTAATGAAGGACACTATGGATCTTTTTATTTGCTAAGAAGGAAACAATGAAAGAAAAACGCTTTTCAGTGATGTGCTGGTAAACTGGCTCTTCCAGGGGGAATAAAACCACCTCACCTGATTTGTATTGTTTGCCAGTTTCCTTGGTGTAAATACTCACGTACAGCCCCAGCCCTAGAAAGCTAGAAATAAGCCATTGTAGCTTGTCATTTTACTAACTAATTCTGAAAAAAATACATCTGAGGAAGCCCGTTTATGGGAAGGAAGTAAGCATGCATTTTGACTTTGGTATTTGACACAAGGAAAGATTTACTTTAGAATGAATCTCTTTATCATCTGAAAAACCATCAACATGATATATTCGTATCAACCACAGATGTGGGCATACAATTTTGAGTCAGAGAAAAATAGCACCAAGGGCACAGTGAGTCAAGGGTACCCATCTGGCCTGAATCCTGGGTCATGCTCAGGCAAAATGTAAAGCGCCTAGAACCACTTTCCAAAGAGTGTACCGAGAAGACAGATGCCACTTCTGGGATATGTATATTTATATTTTTCTCTTGGAATTTCATGTGATTGTTCCTGTAATCATTTTCCAAGAAGAGGGAAAGACTTGGAGATGAAGTGGATAATGGTGATTAAAAAAAATAGATGCTAAGGATAATTTCTCTGTTTCTGATTATAAAAGAAGTTGGATGTTGGTGTCACTCCCTGTGAGAGAAGCAAAGAAATCAGGCTGGGTGTGGTGGCTCACACCTGTAATGGCACTTAGGGAGGCCGAGGCGGGCAGATCACTTGAGGTCAGGAGTTCGAGACCAGCCTGGCCAACATGGTGAAACCCTGTTGCTACTAAAAATACAAAAATTAGCTGGGCATGGTGGTAGGTGCCTATAATCTCGCTACTCAGGAGGCTGAGGCAGGAGAATCACTTGAAACCAGTGATCTGAGATCATACCACTGCACTCCAGCCGTGGTGACAGAGGGAGACTCCCTAAAAAAACAAAGAAAGAAAGAAAAAAGGAAGAAAGGAAAGATATGGGGGGAGGGTGGTCTGTGTTTTGAGAACACAACGTTAAAATTTAAATGGATGCTCAGATCTTAATTGGCTAATTAATCGACATTATTAGTAGACCAATGGCTGTATATCCTTTGGAAATTTTCACTATTACTTGTCAGCTTTTGCTGGCCAAAGAATCAGACCCATGTAATGATCAGTTTGATTTGCTCTTTCCATTCTGTTTGATCCATGCAGATGTGGGTGTGGTGTTCCTGAATCATGGTGTAGTGGTCCAGATAGCTGGTCAAGACATGCGAGGGCCTATGCTGCAGCCCAGTTTATTTTGTTGTGTGTGGGTTTGTTTTCAGAAGTGTTAAAGATAAATAGCACCTCTCGAACCGATGATTACTCTGAGTCTTCACTGTAAAGGCTTGGAATTTCCTATGAGGTGCCTGTTGCTTGGTTTTACTTGGGAGGGTTCTGATAGCATCATGAAGACTGTGGTCTCTCTACAATTCATTTGGAACACAAGCTGAGGCTGATCAAAACCTAAAGATGAATTAGATCTCTGATTTCTTGGTTCTAGTTAGTACTGGTTTATTTTACGTCAATTGCTATTTTTGGAAAGTACTAAAACTGGTAATGACAGACTTAGGTACTGAGGTTTCTCAAAAAGTTAATTCATTCATTTAGTAAATAATGAGCTGTTCCAGGGAGCAGCTCTCCTCCTCCCATATTTCCTTATGATGGTGAAAAGTAAGCTCCTCTGAAACTAACTTTTCTCCTGCCAACCATCTCTATTGAATTTTTCCTTAACTGTGGTCTGCCAAAAAAACAGAACTGAGGCTTGGCACACCAGTTTTGATCAGACCAACCATCAGAATCATAATGTCCTAAGTACAAAGCCCACTAATTGAATTTCATTCACTGGACTGAAATACAGCAGCCAAGGCAGAGAACACTGTCGGCTCTTTTTTATGAGGTGCAGAGTCTAAAGTCATTTTTTAAATGTGAATGATGCAATTTCTTGTATTTTTCATTTAAAATGCTACTTGGTAAACAGTGTTTCAGATTAGCGTATTTGTAATTTAAATGAAGACAGTACATCAAGCTGAATCTGAAAAGAAAGGAGAAGTTTGCAAAATGATTCATTCCTCTTTTTGTGTGATCTACTGTAGAAAATAATAAATAAATAGGTATAGAGAGGGGAAGAAAGATTTGTGGATTTTAGGAGACAAAATTGAACCATTTCTAAAAGAGTCAGTTCCAATAGCTAAATCTTTGTTTTCTTCAAGCACACTAATAAATTCTGCCTAATTCATTTTTTATTTTCTCTCGGGGTCTGCTTGCAGATTTGCCTCAACAAAGGAAGCATCATGTTACATCTTTTAAATAATTGATGGCTCTCAGTTCAAGCCAGCTTGAAGGAAATTCTGAAAATAGGTACTGATTGAGCAAATGCCTCCTTCCTTCCCACATTCCCCTCCTCAGCACTCTCTCTTCTCATCTTTGTTTAACAAAACCCACTTTTCCCTCCCCTTTTGTTTCTTTGCCTCCTTGGTTGAGAGCAGAGGGTGCTTTCATTTGGGTTTAGGCTTTAGCTAATCCTTGGTATCGCTCTCATTTATTTCACATCATTCTATTTATTAAAGATAGGGGGAGCTATTAATTATAAGCTGACTGATCTAATGAAGAGCTTTTAATTAATCATCAGAAGTGTTATGTCATAATAACCACTGGAGACGGTTTGTTGGAATTATGAAAAACCTGGGCTTAGAGCTTGTCCCTCTAAATTTGCAGTGTGTTATTCTCCAACTGTCAAATTACCCTGGAAGCTGGGTCAGCTGCAGCCTTGCCCAGCCGTTCCTGTAGGTTCTAATACTGTGAGTTGATCTCTGTTATTCCCCCAGAGAGAGAAAAGCATCTCCATTTTACCTCACTCTTGGTGTCATTAGCAATTGTCTAAGACTTGGAAAAGCCATTACCACTTTCAGGCAGATATGGTTGGTAGAACATTAGACTGGTCTATTGTGATTCTGGCTTCTAGTCATGACTTTGTAAGTCACTTTGCCTTACAGGACTTCCCTTTCCTTACTGGTAAAATGAAGGCTTTGGAGTGCATTACCACCAAGATCTTCATCAACATAGCCTTCTTTCATTCTCCAGGGAAAGGGATGATAAACCAAGAAGAACTTGCACTGCATTTGATTTTGGGTGCATTAATAGTATTCTGACTTTGAATGAATGGAGATCATGTGCTCCTTCTTTATTAACCTTCCTGTTTCTTTCCATCATATTTCTTTTCTCTTAATTTTTCATTTATGTCTTCTTCTCTTATTTATTTCCCTTCCTTTTCCTTTCTAACTTTCCATGTTTCCAGCGTTAAAGTGGAAGGAAAATGATTGGCAAAGTGCTAGACTCAAGGATCTTGGCCAACTTAATGAAGAAATCTCTTATTTTAAAAATATTTTGTCCTCACAGAAAAGCTTCCTCCGTCAGAGTTTGCATCAGAAAGTAGCCAATATTATTGAATTTGTGAAGACTAAATATAGAGTGGCAAATATCGGGAGATCTAAATCTGGAATTATATGCTTGACCTCAGTTTAACTGGAGGGAGCCTTACATTGTACCCATCACTGAAAAAGCTGTATCTAAATTGATGGATTATTTTCCACTCTCAAAACTATTTCATAATCTTTGAGGCACTTTTCTTTTCAAAAGATGCATCACATAGATTATATCATGACATTTTATCTCTTAATAGAGCAAGTTTCCTGGCAGGGGGGAGCTGAAGTTGTCTTTGCCCTACATCTCCCCAGCATCCAGTAGCTTGCTTGTATATCCTGTGCCTGCCCAAGATAATCCTGCCTGATTGCCTTTATTGAAATCCTGAAAAAAAATCTTCAAATAATCAAACCCCCATGAATAACGTATGGTAGGGGATCTAGAAAGCTGAGGAATTTCTTCTGTTTATCTTTTCCTGGCTGTACGCTAGGGTTATCTTCAGAATGACTAAAGGAAATATGTGTGTTTCCCCTTTTAAAAATCTTTACTTCTGCTATCCATTCACTTTTTGAGAGTATATGCTGTTCAGGCTTTTGTATGTGTGTGTAGTAAGTAGATTACAGGTAAACCCTCACAGTAAGATATACTCCTAAGGTTTTGGAATTCAAAATGTGTTTTTCCCCAAGGACAGCTGGGTGAATGGTTGAGTTCCACTGTCATGCTACCATGTTTCAGGAATATTATGTGCCAAGTGGCTTCTCCTTTTATTGGAATATCTATTCTTAGAACCTGTTTGAGACCTGAAGAACAGATCTTTCTTGCTCTGTATTTAGAGAGGCAATTCCCCTTCTAAGAAGGTTCCTGCAACAATGCAGAGGCAGCTGCTGGTGATGGTAGAGGGTGATGGTAGGGATGGTGTAAGTCCTCTTGCCTTGGGGTCACTGACTTTGTGAGTGAAGGGATACTGGTAATTTAGTTATCTATATTTGTTTTAAAAATATTCTCTGGGATAGGAAAGAGAATCCAGAGGCTTTCTCTTCCTCTCTCATACTACACAACCATGGTAGGGCAGATCATTCACGTTGTAATGCATGTGAAAAGTACACCCTGGGAATCTTGCAATGCAAAATCCAGGCAACTGCACTTGATGGTTCTTAATCCTGTATTTTTTTTTGTAATAAGTTTATATGCCCAATCTTAATAATTAGTTGGGCATAGGATAGGCAATCATCAGCTTACAAAACAGTTGTGAGTTGTGTGTCAGTCTACATTTTAAAACTGGTTATTCAAAAACAAAAATTGATAACTGAGACCTAATTAAACTAAAGAGCTTCTCCACAGCAAAAGAACTATCAAAAGAGAGACAACCTACAGAATGGGAGAAAATATTTGTAAACTATGCATACTACAAAGGACTAATGTCCAGAAACTACAAGGAACTTGAACAACTGAACAAGAAAAAAACAAATGGCCCCATTAAAAATTGGGCTAAGAACATAAACAGACATATCTCAAAAGAAGACACACAAGTGACCAACAAACATATGAAAAAATGCTCAACATCACTAATTATCAGGGAAATACAAGTCAAAACCTCAGTGAGATACCATCCTACACCAGTAAGAGTGGCTATTATTAAAAATGAAAAAATAACAGATGTTTGTGGGGTTGTGGAGAAAAGGAAACATTTATAACTATTTGTGGGACTGTAAATTAGTTCAGCCTCTGTGGAAAGCAGTTTGGAGGTTTCTCAAATAACTAAAAACAGAACTACCATTCAACCTAGCAATCCCATTACTGGATATATACTCAAAGGAAAAGAAATTATTCTGCCAAAAAGACACCTGCCCTCATATGTATACCACAGCACTATTCACAATAGCAAAGACATGGAATCAACCCAGGTGTCCATAAGTTGAAGACTGGATAAGGAAATGTGGTACCTATAGAATATGGAATACCATGCAGCCATAAAAAAGAATGAAATCATGTCCTTTGCAGCAACGTGGATGCAGCTGGAGGCCACTATCCTAAGTGAATTAACACAGAAACAGAAAACCAAATATTACATGTTCTTACTTACAATTGAGAGCTAAACATTGGATAGAAACAGACAAAGATGAGAACAATAGACACTGGGGACTCCAAAAGAGGGGAGGGAGGGAGGGGATCAAGGGTTGAAAAACTTTCTGTCCGGTACTATGTTCACTGTTTGGGTGACAGGATCAGTAGAAGCCCAAATCTCAGCATCGCAGAATATACTCTTGTAGCAAACCTACACATGCACCCCCTGAATCTAAAATTGAAAATAAAATAAAACAAAATAAAACTGGTTGTTTGGAATTTAGAATATTTGCAGACAAGGGAAAAAATGAGATAAATAGTAGTGCATTTCCTGGGTTACCCACAAAATTCTTCTCAATCATATTGTTACTGAACTTCTAAAGGCTGTTTACAATCTTTTTCCCCCCATTCTTAGTAAATTACCTATAGTATTGAATAAGAAATCTTTCATCTGGATTAGTTGTCACCACTTAAAACGAGATTTATCTGGGGAAATGTATACTGCATTTTGTAATAAGAGGAAATCATAGGGGTAACAGGAACTGATTCCACACACCCTTCCAATGCCCCACCGTCTCCCCTCGCCCACAAACCGAATCTCCTGAGGTGAATGCCTCTGCTTTGAGATAGTTGTTGGTGTGGGATCAAAAGGAGAACTGGTTCCCAAAACCATTGTTTTAACATTAACGTTATTTCAAATTTTCAGCCATTTCAGAAATGGGAGTATGACAAGTTGTAGAGTTTAAATGTTAACTTGAAATCTACGGCCACACTGGCTATGAGCATTAGCAATATTACACAGAAAGCAGCCATATAACTGTTGAAATCAGCACCTGAAGGATTTTTCTTGATTCAAATCCTGTTTTTGTACCTCCTGAGTCCTGTGCTTTCTTTTTAAAAAAGCAACAACCTAAATTAGGTCTTCTTGGGCTTCTGACCCTCTAGTGTCAGTTAAGTGGGTCCTCTCCTAGTGTTTCTTTATACTTATATAAATTACAGCTTTTTAACAGGCTCTTATCTTCACAATCCTAGAAAATAAATAGGGTTGGATTCTCACATTTGAGTCATCTTACCTCCTGTCTCTCTCATGAGTGTGTTTGAAACACCATCCTAGTTTTATGTGTAAAGCACAGTCCTTTCTTGATTCTAGACCCTGTCAAATTCCAGCCTACACTAGAAACCTCCTCGTTCTCTTGTCTTAGTTGATCTTCAGCTCACTTTATGCAAGAAATTATTTTAAAATGATCCCTTTGTTTTCTAGTATTCAAATAGCTTCTGTTTAGCATTACAGTAAATTACCAAGATATGATTCCAATTGCTGGGTGTAGGGGGAATTTGGGATTGAAACCTCAATCTAGTTTATTTGTCAAGCATTTTACTTTTAACCTCATTCTTGAAAGAAAGCGGGAAAGCTATCAGTCTGAAGGGTGTCTTTAGTGAATAGATTTAGAGGTCCCTCTGAGGGTCTTCTAATGCAATACAGGCATCTCTTTGAGGTGTTCACTCCCCAAAGTCTACAGTTACCACATTCATGCCTCAAGGGATGTGATGCAAAGTGGCCTGGTGCCACCCGAGTAATTATTTTCTCCACATCTTTTACTTAATAAATTGCACCAGGGCATGCACCAAACAAACTGTCAGGGGCATTCCAGCCTCCTGTTGGTCACAACCTTCTCTTCTCCCTTCTCACCCCCTGAGCTGCAAGTTCGGCACAGAATTTCCCCGGATATCCAAGGGATTGCTTTGTTGCTCTGAACAGTCTTTTTATATTTTAGTAAAGATATGAGAAGCATTAAGTTAAATCATATGGAATTGCCATTTTTGTAGGTTGAAATTGATAGAATAACAGCAACTTCATGAGGTTCAACCCAGTAGCTTCCTTTGACAGACATCTCCCTAAAACATCATTAGTGTATGTTTAGTGAAAACCCACTTGGAGTTTATTTAAAATAGAAGCTTCAAGTTTTTCCACTTAGAAAGCTTGAGCCTCTCTACTCGCTCTCTTGTGTTTTTTTCTGAAGATCAGAGAAATAGGACACAAAGCCTTCACGTTTGGAGAAATGCATACATTTTGAGACTAATGTGAAGTAAGTAAAAAGTCCCTTGGTCTTGGAAGAATTTTTTTTTTTTCTGAAAGTTATATATGGGTATTATAATGGAAAATGCTTTGAAACCCTAACCAGAGCATTTGCTATAAATAAGAGAGGAGCAGAAGATTAATAAATCTGATAAAGCTGAGAAGGAAGAAATCTTAAAATAAGAAATGAGGACTGTACCTTCGTTGGAGTGTTAATACAGCCCTGAGTGTATGTGTAGGAAAATCAAAGACTTGCTAAAGGCAGAGCATACTAAGTCATAGCTATTAATGTGTGCTTAACTCTATTGCCTGGGAGATTTTATTAAATGCAGCGGCCGAGAAAATTGACCTTACTTTTTTTTTTTTTTTTCCTTTTTTGGGTTGGATCCTTGCTCACGTCACATAAATGAATAGAGCTGACAATTTACTGGTTCATCAATGAAACAATATTAAATTATGAAGATGTAAGGAAAAAATCCTACGCTAACACTGTCGCAGTTTGAAAGGTAAGCTGCTCCCTACAAGATTAGGAGATATTAACATTCTTTTAAAATCTACATAACATAATGCCACGTGATACACATTAGAGGGTTAAGTGTCCTCTTGACATCTTTGACTACTATTGTGGTGTTGGCTAGTATTTCATAGTAAGGTATAATGTTTTCCGCATTCTGCCTTTTAAAATGTAAAAACATCATTTTAAATGCCTTTAAAGTGTTTTTTTTTTTTTTTTTTTTTTTTTTTGTCTATGTGTAGGATATTCTGGAAGATTGGACTTTACCAAGTATGTGTTGTAGTGATCATGTAGGTGCTTTGGAAAGGTTTTGCCCTTGTTTCTATTGATTCACTATACTGACCAGTAAGCTGAGGTTGTGAAAGTCAGACTATTTCTTAATTCTTGTCTTTCGATGGTGCCTAAGAAGTAAAATATTACTCTTCTTTACGTCTTGTCCTGCGTTTAAGATAGGGATCCTTCTCTTTCTAATTCTACCTTCTGTGAGCTTGCTAAAAGTTCATGGTATCCATTAGATTCCAATTGAATACCCATTTCTTTCTAGAGATATCTGTCTACTTCACTCCATTTTTGAAGGGAAATTATGTAATACTAACATTCCCAGGATACCATCCATTAGTCAATTAATATCCTAGACCCAGGTCCTTCACTTGCATCCATGAATTCTGTTGTAGTTGTAATGACTATCATACGAGGATCATAGCATGTAAAGATTCTTTTGTTGGAGAGTGTCTGTGCATTCATCATACCCTCACATGGGTTTGTAACTCAGGAAGGATGAAGAGCCACTGCCTCCTCTAATGCAGGATCTCTGATGTATTAGTTACTCTGAGTTCCTGCTGCAGAGGCCAGTGCAGAGTAGGTGCACAGGAATCCCTGTGCACTCACTGCCAATGATGCCTTTCAATGGTACTTGCTAGTGAACCCTTTGGAGTAAGGCATATTTTTGAACAGCATTCAGCAGACTCCTGCTTCAGTGTGGAAAATGGCACTTTAGAAGTTGAATTACCTTTTTCATGGCACCCAGGTTGCTTAATTTGCAAATTGAGAGTAATGTAGTCAGCGGGAGAATATGTTTTCATGTTTGAAGTCCATTGGAATGAATTTGGCGTTCTCTCTTCTCCTTCAGCTTGAACTATCATAAAATGGAGTTCTGGCCCCAAATCATTCAGTTACATGATTCTGGGATATCATCTGTTGTTTTGCGTAGCATCGGTTTAGTTTTAAATATTAGTGATACCTACATCTACTTCTCACGGACTACAGGTGTGCCCTGCTTTCAGAAAACTTGGATATGCTTCAAATTCATGCTTACTATGCCATTGCAGGAAGGGGCAATGATTTGTACACTAGAAATAGATTGACTTTAAAAAATAATTTATCACAAGATTCCTTTAAATAACCAACTCTCTCAGAGCATTTAAAATATGATTTGATTTGAAAAATCAATAGCTACATGCTCAACTTTTCAAGAACACGTCTGCTTTGTAATGTGAGGCAGGTGAAGGCAGGGGCACCGAGCCACAAGGAATGAGGGTCTTAAGTGAGCTGAAGAGGAATTAATTTTAATTTAGAAAAGAATTTGCTTTTCCAGAGTTTCCCAAGAAAAACACCTTCACCTTTATCACCTCCAGAGTACGTAAAGAAAAAAAAAAATAATAAAGCAGGCCAATTTCAGTTTGGAAAAGGTAAATCTATTTCTTTGGTGGGTCACATTCTGCATTATGCATGTGTGTAAAAGTGAGGTTTGCTTTGATCCTGACTATAAAAAGTTTATTTTTAAACTCAGACTGGGCAGGAATCCAGCGATGCTCTTTCCCCTGCAACATCCTGGGTTTCAGGTCCCCAGCCTGGCAGAATGCAGCTAAGCAGCAGGAAGTAGTTGAAGAGTGTAGAGACTTGATGGGTGCTGAGGTTTTCTTCCCCCCTTCCTCCCCTCCATTTTTGAAATTCAAATTGAATGCAATTTTCAGCTCATTTGAGCCAGAATATACTGTTGCTGAGCTTCAGTGGTTCTTAAATTCAAACTCACAGGAGAAAACAGATATCATCTGTCACAGAGGGTGGGAGAGAGAATACTCCCCGCATTTATTCACAGGAGGCAGAGCTCTAGTAACTAATTCAAACCTTTCTGACTAATTGACTAATGACCCACCTGCAAACTTATCAACTAATCAATGAAACCTTTAGGACACCCATCTTATGTAGTCTGGGAGTAGCTACCCCCTTCCTTTAGAAAAAATTGTTCAAGCCTATTTTTATATCATTGGTACTTTAATACCTTTTTGGCAAAACGAGACAGAATATCACGGCAATCTTTTTTTTTTCTGCTCTTCCTGACTATTTTTATTGTTTCCATCTTTAATGTCTTTGTCAATTCTATTTATTTATGACTGAGAATTAGCAGAAAGCTTATGGCTGGCTAAGTGGAACAAAAAATTTGAGTTTTTTTTTTCTTTTTTTGTTACTATACAGAGTACTTGAAAAATATCTTTCTTTCTTGGGGGCAAAGATAAGTACCAATTACAAGGGAAAAACCCACTCCTACAGTTCTTGAGTTTGCAAGTGTGGCCAGTCTGCAGGGGGGATGTTTCAGGATGGCTTGAGAATGCCTCTCGGTTAAGTTCTGCCCCTGGGTATGTGCCCAGGGAATGCAAATAGATTTGAGCAAATAACAATCTGAAATTTCTCCTTTGATTTCAGAAAGGGTGCAAGGTGGCAATTTTGATTCTGAAATGTAGGTTATATGATTTACTGCTGATGCTTGTCCTTGAGTGTTTTAATATAAGCCAAAATTTACATGGGGATATGAAGGCCATTAGCTGTCTCTTGCTGTTTGTCTTCTTCTCCTTCTTCTTTTTTTTTTTCCTCAAGGTCCGTGAGAGAAAAGTTAATTATGATGTTATTTCAAAGTAAGTAGAAGTAAAACAATTTGATCTCTAAATACTATTTTTAATGAAGTTTGTTCATAGCTATCATGCTTGGAGTTTAAAATTGTTTTACATAAAGTAAGTATATGGTCTGGCTATATATATTTATATTTATACTCGTGTGTGTGTGTGTGTTTGTGTGTGTGTGCGTTTACCCATCCCCAAAGTCTCTAAGAAGGTGACAGCAGGAACATCCAAATGGTGGTCATTTTCACATTAATAGTCATCAACCACTGTATTCTGTTAATGGTAATATGCTTGTGAATTAGATCCTTCATAAAAGACATTTCATTTCTTTTATAAGAATGATACTGACATGCTAACTTGTTTTCTCATGATTATACCTCAGTACAAGTACGACAACCATATTGTTGTTTCTTGGACACATGGTACAAGAAGCCAAACATCTACTATGAGGTTGTGATTTATAAAAAGAAATATATATTTGTTCTTTGTTGCCCCCACAACACCCCCAACCTTCACATTCCTGACTACAGAGCTCTTTATCCCTTGGAATTTCCTGTTTGACAGGAGTGTCTTTCATTCTATTGAGGTGACTTTTGGAGGGCTCCCAAATGGGTTCTGGTCACCAGAAAAAACAAGCCATGATTACAAGCTTGGAACTTTCAACCATACCCCTCATCCTCCAGGAAGGGGAGAGAAGCTGAAGATTGAGTTAATAATCGACCATGCCTACAGGATGAAGCTGCTATAAAAATCCCTAATCTGGGCCAGACACGATGGCTCACACCTGTAATCCCAGCACTTTGGGAGGCCGAGGCAGGCAGGTCACGAGGTCAGGAGTTCAAGACCAGCCTGGCCAACATGGTGAAACCCCATCTCTACTAAAAATATAAAAATTAGCCAGGCATGGTGGCAGGTGCCTGTAATCCCAGCTACTCGGGAGGCTGAGGCAGGAGAACTGCTTGAACTTGGGAGGCAGAGGTTGCAGTGACCCAAGATCACTCCACTGTACTCCAGGCTGGATGACAGAATAAGACTCCATCTCCAAAAAAAAAAAAATTCCTAAACTGTGGGATTTCAATTTGCAATTTCAGAGAGCTTCTGGATTGCTGAACATGGGGAGCTTCTGGGAAGGTGACATACCTGGAAAGGGCTTGGAAACCCCGTGCCCCTTCCCATATACCTTGCCCTATGCACCTCTTTATCTGGCTGGCTGTTCATCTGTATTCTTTATAATATCCCTTATAAATATAATAAACCAGTACAAGCAAGTGTTTCTCTGAGTTTTATGAGCTGCTCTAGCAAATCAATCAAACCAGAGAAGGGGGTTAAGGAAACCTCGAATTTATAGCTAAATCAAACAGCAGTTGTAGGTAGCCTACAACTTTCAGTTGATGTCTGAAGTGGAGGGAAGTCTTGTGGGACTGAGCCCCTAACCTGTGGGATCTGATGCTGTTTCCAGGTAGGGAGTGTCAGAATTGAGTTAAATCGTAGGACACCCAGTTGGTGACCACTGGAGAACTGACATGTGGGAAAGCAAAAGCAAGCCCACACGTCTGAACACAGAAGTGTCTGTGTTGAATGTGAGAGTAGGAAAAGCAGTTTAATTTTTCCTATGTTATTACACCTACATTGACCAGGAATCTACATTTTCAGCTAACTACTAGTTATTAGAGTTTTAGTTTTTCTATTAAAATATCTTAAATTTTCAGTTTACAAGTAATTACTGAGTGCTTACTACATACCGGCCATTCATTGTGCTAAGATTTATAATGTATAAAATAGTGGTTCTCTAACCTAAGTGAAGTGGACATTGGAGGTGAACTATCAAAAGAGTCACCAATACGCACTCTCCCAACCCTTTCTCTCAGTGGATAACCACTTTTTAAAAAACAATGGATATGGTTTGGCTGTGATCCCATCCAAATCTCATCTTGAATTGTAGCTCCCATAATTCCCATGTGTTGTGGGAGGGACCATGTGGGAGATAACTGAATCATGGAGGTGGTTTCCCTCATACTATTCTTGTGATGGTTAATATGTCTCATGAGATCTTGTGGCTTTGTAAGTCTCACAAGATCTGATGGCCTTT